>NC_000004.12:174546381-175171381 GCF_000001405.40 Homo sapiens | reverse complement strand
ATGTAAAATTAATAGAATTTGAGAAGGTTAAGGATGATATGAGGATGAGAAACAATCAGTCAAGAGACTGCTTCACTGTCCATTCTAGTAGTATATCTCAGGTAACTGGTGACACTGTAGAAGCAGTGACTATAGTCAAAACAAAATCTGACTTCAGACTTCAAAAATTATCATTAAAAAGTCCAAATGTGGCAGGACTCTACTTGGGTCTGCCTAAGGGTAATATGTAAAATAATGAAACAAGATGCAGTAGTCAAAAATGAACATATATAAAATGTTATCATTGAGGAAATCAGAGTGAAGAACACATGAGAATTTGTGGCCTCTTGAGTATAAATTTACTTCAAAATAAAATATTTTAAAATGAGCACATTGAAATAAGAATATGTAGTAAAAAGAGATCCTACAAAACTTCTGTATCTGCAGTGGAAGGAAGGAGAAATACCCAAAAATGGAGACAGAGAACAGAGGATCAGAGAGGTAGCTGAAAGCTTAGCTGAAGCCATTACTTTGTGCCCATTGATATCTCTATAATACATTTAATATATTTACTCACGCTTATTTTCTTCACCCTGCTATTTCTTTCCCCTTTTTTGATACTAACCCTCATTCATGCATTTATGATCTTTGACCATTAATATTTGTTTCATAAAATTATGTCGGAACAGAAAGCATAGGGGAAAAATTGTTTCTGGGAAATAGTATTCCTATGTCTTATTTCTTGCTCTGAGACTAGACGGTGTGTGTCTCGATCCCTGACTGATTTGTGAGACCTTTTCTTGTCCTCTAGAAAGAACAGTGGAGAGATCGTAAGACCCCAAAGAAGAAAGGCAGAGAAGGTCTCAGCTCCTGGAATTTACCCCACACTACCATGTCAATTTACCCCACTCTACCATGTCCTGCCACATCACAGTGACGCTTGTGAGACTAAGAGTGAAGAGATATAGAAAAGAGAATTGTATGAACTAAAATAAATTTGCACAATGAACTGAAGTAACATTCTGCAAACATATGACAGCAGCATGTTACTCTCATGTGTTTGCAGCAAGTTACTTCAGTTCATTGAAGTTACACACACACACACACACACACATTCACTTACTGGCTCTTAAAATTTCCATGTGAAAGTGACCCATGCCAATTCATCTTATATGTCCTTGGCCAAAACAAGTCACCAGTGCATGTCCAAATTTAAAAGAGATATATAAGTGCAACCCTACTATTTACCTGAAAGGTAAAGAGCCAGAAATAAAGAATAAATACAAGTGAAAGGGGTGAGATGAGCTTAAAAGTCATGGATGTTTGATTACAGAATGAAGTACTCTTGTTTCTTTTATCACCATTTTTAGCCTTTTGGAGTTAACTTATTCTAAAAGTCATGGATGTTTGATTACAGAATGAAGTACTCTTGTTTCTTTTATCACCATTTTTAGCCTTTTGGAGTTAACTTATTCTAAAGAGAGTTACTAGAAATTGCAGGGAGAACCAAGTAATCTCACTTGTATTCAAACAAATTTTAAGAGTTAGCATGCAAATTTTTTAACTAAAGAAAGAAATACTTAATCTCAAGTCAATGCTCCCCTGTATCTTCACTCCTCAACTCTGTGCTCCCTCAGCACACCCTTGTGAAAACTTCTTATTCTCAGTCTTACATGTACTTAAGGGAGATAGGCTACAATTCTCATGAAAAATTTTAACGCGTCCTTCAGCGAGTTTCTTGGACTAGACGCCCACTACAACAGCATGTGCAAAACATCTGATCTAGTAAGAGTGCAAATCTCTCACAGACTATTCTCACTCGTATCTAACATGGTCTAAATTCATATTCAGGAAACAAATTTTACTGTTTAGAGGTGCTTGCTCTTACCTTTTAAGTAACATTTGTACTGTCTTAAATTTGATCCTTTATATTTTTGCCAAAGTTTCCAATATGGCATTAAAAAAGGAACTTAATTTAATTTAATGCTTTGTTTGTTCCACAGGAAATAGTTTTGGTCTTCAATAACTACTTTGAAAAGTTTTGGCTTTTAATGATGAGAGGTGGATTTTACAATGTATATAAAATGTAATATGCATTCAATGCTCCTCTCAAAGGTGCTTGTAATACAGCACATTTTGCAAAAATTATGTGAAAAAGTTATTTGTCACCTTCTATTGTGAGTGAATAAAATAATCTCTAAAATAAATTTCCTCTTCCTAGATATATTTCTTTTTTATCAATAAACACATTAAATTTTATATATATGAATATGCATTGTTTATGAAATATATACAGTCTACATTATATTTCAAATCCTTCTGTAATGTTCTATGTCAGGATAATGTCTTCAGAGCTGCCATTATACACATCCTAATTAAGAGACAGACATTTTATTTCAGAAGAGTATGCAATACAAGGCATTATTAGATGTATTTATAGAAGAATGAAGATTAGATTAAGAATATTAATGTGTTTTCTAAGCAATATTTATCTGTGTTTATCAAATTGTAGGTAATTGCAAAAATAAATCTATTCTGCTTATTCGATCTCAAGAAACAGCACACATTTTTTTTGCGATGTAAATAATCACCATTGTGATTGTCTGGAAGACTCCATTAGAAAATTTTCACTGCTTTTGACACCTTCTTATATGTTATTCACAGCAGAGGAAACTTAGGGGACTCTTCATTGGCAGGCATCTAACATCAGACCAAAAGAGAACAGTTTCTCTTATCCTGCATTTGCAACATGAGAGTTGATCATAACTTATGAAAATGTGTCTGACAAAGGTCTCTATATTTAGTACTGAAGAGTAGGGAAAAGGAAAAGAAAGAACCTTTTCATATTAAAATATATGTTTAAAAGCCTTAACCCAATGGATGCTGATATGGCTTATCCTTATGCAGATTAGAAAGATTGAGACCCTTTCATTTAGTGACTTGAATCTTGAAACTTGTCTGGGGCGTCTTTCTAAAATGGCCTTATTTATATTTTAACATTAATTTTGGCACACAAACATCTCATTAAAGTAATGTTGGAATGATTTAGACTGGGAATTACTCCAGGACTTAATTTTGATTTTCCCCTTACATGTGTTATTAACTGTATATTGGATGCTAACAGCCCCTGCATTGGCAATGTATAGTAGGCCCCCTTATCAATAAGGATATGTTCCAAGACCCTCAGTGGATGCCTGAAACTGCAGATAGTACCAAACACTATATGTACTATGTTTTCTCCTATACATACCTTCCTATGATGAAGTTACATTTATAAATTAGGCACAGTAAGAGATTAAGTACTATAAGCAATAATAAAACAATTATAACAATATATTGTAATAAAAGTTATGTAAATGTGGTCTCTCTCCCCTCTCAAAATATCTTATTGTACTGTACTCACTCTTCTTTTTGTGATAATGTAAGATGACACAAATGCCTACTTGGTGAAATGAAGTGAGGTGAATGATGTAGGCATTGTGGTGTCACATTAAGTTATTATTGACCTTCCGATGCTATTTCAGGAAGATCATCTGCTTTGGGTGATCCTGGATCATCAAGCCATGACAATGTTGATGGCTGGATATCAGCAGAAGACAATATCGATAATTAGGAATCCTGTTTAAGGGAATTTTTGCAGATAGCTTTAGGAGAAACGTTGTAATTTGACGTTGATGTCTGTTTCTTATCAATTCGTCGGAGTGTTGCTGCAGAGGTTGTAATCCTTCTCTGACCATATGGGTGAATTTAATGCCATGCTGCATCCAAGAATCATATTCCATAATTTTCCCTTTAATCTAGCAATTCAAGACAGTTGGACCAATTTTAGAAATGTCTGCATTCACGATTCTACTTTAGTTCTTTCTTTATCATTTTTCTCTTTCTCTGTAGATGACTCAACAAGCTCTTCCAATTTGTCCCCTGTTAATACTACTAGATGGTGTTCAATATGTTCTCCCACTTCTGCATCAAGCATGTTGGCAAATTCTTCTTACCAACTTTTATTGCCACATGAATGATTCTTCTAATTTTCGTCAACTCTGGGAAACTTTGTTTTGTTTTGTTTTGTTTGTTTGTTTCTGTTTTTGAGATGGAGTCTCGCTCTGTCGTCCAGGCTGGAGTGCAGTGGCGCGATCTTGGCTCACGGCAACCTCCACCTCCTGGCTTCAAGCTATTCTCCTGCCTCAGCCTCCTGAGTAGCTGGGATTACAGGTGCATGCCACCACGCCTGGCTAATTTTTGTATTTTTAGTAGAGACGGGGTTTCACCATACTGGCCAGGCTGGTCTCAAACTCCTGACATCGTGATCCCCCCGCCTCAGCCTCCCAAAGTGCTGGGATTACAGGCGTGAGCCACCGCGCCTGGCCGGGAAACTTTTAAAATTATTCATGACTTCACTCTGTAAGTGCATCCAGCAGGCATTTACAGTTTCTGGTTTAATTCATCCATTGCAGTTTTGATGAATGTTACTGCCTCAGCAGTAGTGAGTGATTTCCAGTACTGCACTATGTATAGATTAAGGTCTGTTTCAATTGCTGATCTAACGCAATCACATACCAGGCAGGTGTATATGTAGCCTTGGCAAACCAAATGACTCCTTGGTCAAGGGGCTGAATAAATGGGGTTGTATTTGAAGGTAAAAATGCAACTTCAACATTTTCATTTTGGTAGAAAACAGATTCAGGCTGGCCAGGTGCATTGTTTATTAGTAAAAGGATTTTAAATTCTAATTATCCTTCCTTCAAGTATTTTTTCACACCTGGAATGAAACATTGGTGAAATTATTCCATAAACTAGATGTCTGTTTCAGATTATGTTGCCAGAACATGCACAGATAATTTTTTACAGTGTGTAAATTTTTTGCTTTCTACACTATGCTTGTCATTATCATATGCCCTGCACTGTTGCCACATAGTTCATCTGTCCTTCCATGTTTTATGACCTGGTGCCTACTTTGCACCTTGATGAATTTAGGTTCTGTGGGCATCTTCTTCCAGAAGAGCGTAATTTTATCACAATTGAATATTTGCTTTGGTTGATATTGTTTCCCCTTAATCTTCGCCTCAGCCAGAAATGTGGCACAGCTTCTTCATTGGCAGACATAGCCTCTCCAGTAAATTTTATATTTTTCAGTCTAAACCTATTTCTGAATTTGTGGTACAATTCCATTACTTGCAGTAGATGGCATAGTGTCACTCCATTTCAGGGGATTCCTTGCTAGTCTTCACAAAGGCTCAAAGCTTTCTGATAGAACATGTTGCTGTAATGGATAGGAATAGGAACACATTTTCTGTTTTTATGTCTTCCACCCACAAATTTAATACCTTTTCCATTTTAACCAAGCTCTTGTCATGCATTGTGACTATAACTGTTGCAGTTTGAAGTGTGACAGCAAAACTAACATGAATTTCTTTTCCCCTTTTTCAAGATTTCATGGATAGAAGATTCATTCTTACCATAGATCTTAGCAACCTCAGCATATAATTTTTTCATTCTTTACTCAATAAAAAACTTTCATCTTTTCACTTAATGCAAGCACTTCATGGTGTCTCTTTAGCATCTCTTAATTGCCCACATAACTACTCTGGATTTGGGGACCATTATTAAATAAAATAAAGATTACTTGAACAAAAGTTTTCCTATAAGTCAACAGTTGATCTGATAGCTAAGAAACCTATGAAGTGACTAAAGGGCAGGTAGCTTATACAGCATGAACAATGCTGGAAAAAGGGACGATTCGTATCACAGGCTGGATGGAGCAGGATGGCATGAGATTTAATCATTTCTTCACACTACTCAGAACTCATGCAATTTAAAATATATTGTTTATTAGTGCAAATTTTCATTTAATATTTTCAGATGAAGATTGACATAGGTAACTGAAATTATGAAAAGTGAAACCTTCAATAATAGAGGACTAATGCATTGTCCCTAAAGAATTAGTGAACTTCATACAGTACCAGAAGGAACGTACCTGGCAAATGTTAACTGAGTAAAAAGTTTCTTGTTTGAATTTTTTAATGAAATATAGGTATTTTACTTCAAAATGGCCATATATCTCAGGTCATTTCTAAAAAATTTGTCTAAGGAACATGAGAATAATTGGGTTTCTGCAGCTAAAATGGTTGTAAACATATATATATATATTTTATATATATATACACATATATATATATATATATCTGTGTGTGTACGTGTATATACAATTGACCTATGAGCAATAGGGGTTTGAACTTCAGGGATCCACTTATATATGTATTTTTAAAATTATATTGAAAAAAAAGTTAGAGATTTGTGACAATTTGAAAAAAACCTCACAGATGAATGAAACATATAGCATAGAAATATCAGGAAAACAATTTTAAAGTTAGATATGTCATGAATGGATAAAATATATGTAGGTACTAGTCTATTTTATCATTTACTATATACTGTAATACTGTAATAATTTTGTAGCCACCTCCTGTTGCTATTGTGGTGAGCTTAAGTATTGCAAGTATCTCTTAAAATATAGCTTGCTTCTCCAGTAACTTGTGTTTTGCATTAAAAAGTGATCTCTTGCAGTTCTGGTATATTTTTCATTTTGTTTATTCAATATTGTAAACCTTGAAGAACACCATAGGACACATATGAAGTGCCACTAGTGATACTGGAGGTGCTCCCTGGATGCAGAGAAAAGTCATGACATACCAGAATATAGGTTAAATTGCTTGATATGTACCGTAAATCCAGGTATCTGTAGCTGTGCTTTCTTGTCATTTCAAAATAAATGAATCTAATGTAAGGACCATAGTTAAAAAAATAAAAAGAAATTTGTAAAAGTTGTTGCTGCAGCTATGCCAGCAGGAGTGAAAACCCTGGGTTTTTTTTTTTTTCTCCCAAAATAACCTAAAGCAGAAGGAAGGTGAAGGATATAACGATGGAATATTTAGTGCCAATAAAAGACAGTTTGATAATTTTAGAAAGAGGTTTGGCTTCTAAAATGTCAAGATAAAAAGAGAAGCAGCTTCTGCTGACCAATAGGCAGCAGACAAGTTCCCAGACATCATAAAGAAAATCATTGAGGAGAAAGGATATAGGTCTGAATAGGTTTTTAGTGCAAATGAAAGTGCCCTATTCTAAAAAAAAAAAAAAAATGCAGGGAATCAAGCACCAGGACTTAAGGCAGGAAGAGATAGGCTATTTCTGTTGTTTCATGCAAATGTAGTCAGGTTTTATTTTGATGACTGCCCTTATTTATAAAGCTGTTAACCCTCTAACCTTGAAGGGAAAAGATAATCACCAGCTGCCAATCTTCGGTTCTACAACAAGAAGGCCTGTACAAGGAGAACTCTTTTTCTGGATTGGATCCATCCATTTTTTGCCCCTAAAGTCAGGAACTGCCTTGCCAGTAAGGGACTGACTTGTAAAGTTCTTCTGATATTGGACAATGCCCCTGTCCACGAAGAACCCCAGGAGTTCAACACCAACGGTATCAAAGTGTCTACTTTCTCCCAAACACATCATCTCTAATTCAGCCTTTAGAAATCGGGAAATCATAGGAACCTTTAAGGCTCATTACACGCGGTACTCTACAGAAAGAATTGTCAATGGAAGAGAAATCTGATAGAGAAAACATCATGAGAATCTGCAAGGATTACACCATTGAAGATACCATTCTTGTTACAGAAAAAGTCATGAAAGCCATCAAACCTTCAAGAAGAAATTCCTGCTGGAGGAAACTGTGTCCAGATGTTGTGCATGGCTTCACAGGATTTACAACAGAGCTAACCAAGAAAGTCATGAAAGAGATTGTGGATATGGCAAAAAAATTTAAAAAAAAAAGGTGTTGTGGGGTAAAGGGTTTCAAGATATGGATATTAGAGAGATTCAAGAGTTAATGGACACCACACCAGAGGAATTAACAGAAGAGGGCCTGATGAAGATGAGTTCTGAACCAGTGCCAGATGATGAGGAAGAAGACAGAAGCGAAGCAGTGCCAGAAACAACAGCAACACTAGACAATCTGGCAGAAAGGCTTAGATTATTCAGGATTACATTTGATTTCTTTTATGACATAGACCCTTCTATGACATGGGCACTGAGATTAAAATGAATATTGGAAAAAGGATCAGTACTCTATAGAAATATTTTTGGAGAAATGAAAAAGGAAAGAAGTCAGAAATGATGATATATTTTCATAAAGTTACACCAATTGTGCCCGCCTTGTCTGCTTCTCCTTCTTCCTCTGCCTCTTCTGCCTCTGCCACTCCTAACACACAAGACCCACCATTACTCTTCCTCTTATTCTCAGTGTACTCAACATAAAGATGATGAGGAAGAAGACCTTTATGATGATCCAGTTCCACTGAAGGAATAGTAAATACATTTTTCCTTTCTTGTGATTTTCTTAATAATATTTTCTTTTCTCTAGCTTGCTTTATTGTAAGAATACAACATATAATACATATAACACAAAAAAGTTTTTGTTGAGGTTATCAGTTTAGATTATCAGTAAGGTTTCCACTCAACAGTATCCTATTAGTAGTTACGTTTTGGGGGAGTTCCCAGTTATATGTTGTTATACCTAGATTTTTGACTACACAGGAGTTTGGTACCTCTCAGCTCCATGTTGTTCAAAGGTTAACTGTGTGTCTGTGTGTGCATGTGTATAAATAAATATATATACAAAAATATAAGTGTATGTATGTGTATATAAGTATACATAATAAATATAAGTGTATGTATGTATATATGTATAGATGTGTGTATAAGAGAGAGAACGAAATATTGAAATATCACATGCTAACAGTTAATGTCTTGATGGGACTACAGTGAACTTTTTGTTTTGTTTTGATATTTATTTTTCCCTAACTTTTCTAAAATGAACACATATGCATGTGATAACTGTCAAAAGTAATATTACTCTAATTCTTAGAATTCAAGATGTCATGATTAGGAAGAAATAATAAAATCCATCAAGTAAGTTTTGACTGCAAAGAACTTTAACATGCATCCTATTTTGAAGATATTAAAATGTGAAAAACATGCATCTTTTAATTTGTGAAAAAGGTATTTAAAACTTTGAAATGTCTATATATCTTTATATTTTTATTAGGTATACTCTGTGTTATTTATTGTAGATATATGTGTCTATCATTATTTACATATTTAGTTTTATAATGGTCAGTATATTTTTGCAGTAAAAAGCTCATGTTTACATGAACCTCTCTTCTGCTTACTTCTATCTATAGAGATACTTTCTTCAACCATTAAATAAGCATGTACTAGTATGTAGGATAATTAATAGTTTTAATATAAGAAATATTACATAATACTTATGTAATTTTCATGTAGTTATTTTAATAAATAAAAAATTTTGTGGAGGAAACAAAACCTCTGCAATGGCAGACTGAAGACCTTGCTAAATGAATTTCATAAAAGCAGCCAAAATAGTAGCAACAATATAAAATTCAGAACTCTTGAAATTAACAAGAGGAACATAAGAAACTGAAAATCATTTATTTCAGAAAAGCTATGAACCTGGGTTGGTGTTTTCACCTGGGGCTGCTTTCTCCCCTCACCCCTGTACACATATCCAGCTGAGTAAAGCAGTAGCCATGAAAAGTCAGCAGCATTGTAGCCAACAAAGGAACCTTACTTCTTTTGGAATTCAATTAAAGCACATCCCCAGAGCAATCTAAATATTTTTTTATCAGTGCAGTAGAAGCTCAGTGAAAATTCACATTCCTAGAGTGTTGTCATTATTTTTTTTCTATCTGAATTCAACACTGTGGAGAAAGCCATGTCCTTGGGGCACTATCAAAAACAATAGTAATTAAATAAAATTGTTAGTTATTGTAGCTGCCTAAAACTGTGTTTTTATTTGGCAAAAATGAAAATAGCCTGCTTAATTAAAACTTGAAAGAAAGACCTGGTAAACAGATAATCATACTGGAGTTCCAGAAAGGTGTTTGCTTAAAGAGAGCTATGTGTATGCCCAGGCAAGATATAGAACATTTACTGACTTGAGGCCTTTAACAATTGATAACTGGCTAAGCACTGAACTATGGTGACACAGGGGATACTTATATAAAGTGACTTTTTTCAAAAGTTGAAAGAAAAAGAAAATGAATAGATGTGATCAGAGAACTCACTAGTTGTATGCTACAAGAAATACAGAATCTGAAGAGTTACCCAAGAAAGGCTGCTAAACAAATAAACAGATACACAGGAGCAAAAGAAACAAAAAAAAAATCTCTGGAGGGGGCAGATTTTGATTCCAGCATGGCTAAAATATATTATTTAAAATATCTAGTTTTCAACAACAAAAATATATAAGACATACAAACAAACAAAAAAGTATGGACCATACACAAAAAAGATGCAGCCAATGAAATTATTTCCTTATGGAGGCCAGATGTTGGACTTTAGAGAAAAAATTTAAATCATTTATTAAAATATCTTCAAAGTACTAAATGCTAGTATCTTTAAAGAAGTAAAGGAAAGTATGACAATTATGACTCACTAAATAATCAACAAAATCATATAAATAAAACATAAAACAATTCTGGATTTGAAAAGTAAAAAAGTACTGTGAAAAATTCATTAGATGGTATCAAAACCAGATTTAAGCTAAAAGAGGAAAGAATCAGGGAACTTGAAAATAAATCAATAGCGTTTATCCATTCAGGAATCACAAGAAGAATGAATGAGGATAAAATGAACAGAGCTTCAAAGACACGTGGAACACAAAGAAGCATACTCACAAACACGTAATGGGGGTCCCATAAGAACAGAAGATAAAGAGATGGAAAAACTATTTGCAAATATAGTAGCCAAAAACTTCCCAAATAAGTTGAAAAAGATTACGTATCAAAGAAGCTGAACTAATTTAGAAGTATGCACTCAAAGAGATTCACACCATAGTCAAACTGTTGAAAGCCAAACCAAAGAGAAAAGTTTAAAAGGAGAAAGAGGAAAATAACTCATCACATACCAGGAAATATAAAAAAGATTAGTAGCTGATTTTTTCATCAGAATCTATGGTGTCTGGAAGGCAGTGAGATGACATGTTCACTATATGTCAGACTTGCCAAACAAATATAAGATCCTAGGCCCCCAGCCAACTGAACAGAGCCCTTCTCTGCCAATGGGACTCCAGAGCTCATAAGACTCACACAAAAGACTTTGTGGCAATAAGATACCAAATTCCAACGTGACCCTGCATAGCATCACATGACAGATAGCTGATTTTTAAAGGAAATCAAAATATGTTAGCCCAAAATATATTTCTTTGAAATATTTTGAAATGGCCCTGCAAAGCTGTCTTTTGTAAAATAATTTTGCAGCTGTGGAGAATCTCCATTAATGCAGCCAGGCTTTTCCTTTCTAGGCTGTGTTAGGTTGTTCTTTCATTGCCATAAAGAAATATCTGAGACTGGGTGATTTATAGAGGAAAGAGGTTTACTTGGCTAACTGATCTTCTGGCTAAATAGGAAGCATGGTGACGGCATCTGCTCAGCTTCTGAGGAGGCCTCAGGGAGATTTACCTCATGGTGGAAGGTGAAGCAGAGCAGGCATGTCACATGATGAGACCAAGAGCAAAAGAGAGAATGGGAAAGAAGGTGTCATATATTTTTAAGTGACCAGATCTCACAAGAACTCACTCTCTATCATAAGGACAGCACCACGCCATGAGGAATCTGCTCCCACGACAAAAACACCTCCCACTAGGCTTTACCTCCAACACTGGGGATCAGGTTTCAACGTGAGATTTGAGTGAGGGCAAGTATCCAAACTATATCATAGTTCTTTCCCAAATCTAGAAGAGATTAAATGAGAGTCTGACACCTTTAAACTTTGAAAAGAGGTATTTACCATCTATTTTCTCTGAAGGCTGCTACCTAGGAGGCTTCATCTACATAATAAGAACCTTGGCCTCCATAATCCCCCTTATCTCCATTTAAGCATGTCTTTCTTTTACTGACTTCAAGCCTTTAGACAAAGTCTAACTCTTTCAACCAATTGCCAGTCAGAAAATGTTTGAATCCACCTATGATCTGTAAGCTCTGACTTCCAGATATCCTTGCTCTTTAGGCTGAATGAATGTACACCTTCCAAGTATTGATTAATGATTTGACTCAAGTTCATGTGTCTCTAAAATGTGTAACACCAAACTGTAACCCGACTCTTGGCACACTTTCTGAGGTCCTCTTGAGACTGTTCTCCTGACCATGAGACATATATTTCCTTGTATGTGATGAGTTATTTTCCTCTTTCTCCTTTTAAACTTTTCTCTTTGATTTGGCTTTCAACAGTTTGACTATGGTGTGAATCTCTTTGAGTGCATACTTCTAAATTAGTTGAGCTTCTTTGATATGTAGATATGAATGACCTGATCACTCATATTCGTTCAGAATAAACCTCTTTAAATATTTTACACTTTGGTTTTGTTTTCCATCAACATACTAAAAGAGTAAGACTATCAGACAAGAATTTGCTATCCAGGAAAACTATTATTTAAACATTAAAAAAATATATTTTTAGATAAACAAAATGGAGTTCAACAGCATCCCTGCCTACAACAAATAATAAAGTGAGTCTTTCAGTCTGAAAGATGATATCTTGGATCCACAAGATGAAATAAAAAGCACTAAGGAAGGCAATAAAGTAGGTAAATATAAAAAAACTTTACAAATAAATGTATATATATTTAAAACATTTCTTCATCTAAATGATTTAAAAGAGAACTGTAGAACACAAATTTTAAAAATTGTGTTATTTATATAATAGAGAGCCATAATTAGAAAGACAATAATAACACAAAGAAGGGGATGACAAGGAAACTATATTAGAATAAAGCTTCTATATATAACATGAATTAAGTTATTAATTTGAGGTAGATTGTTTTAAGATGCATATTGTAAACATTACAACAATCTCTAAAATGAAGCTAAATATATTGTGGAAATGAATGTACATAGTACACTGGAAAATATATATTCAGCTCAAAAGAAGGGAATAGGAATAAAAGAACGAAGAAAGATGACATATAGAAAAGAAATAGTTAAATAACAAATTTAAGTCCTACCATATCAATATGTTCATTAAATGCAAGTGGAATCAAAACACAGAGGCTGTCAGATTTGATTTAAAATAAAAACAGGATCCAACAAGTCTAAATAAATTAATAATAATTGAAACCATCTGAAGTATATTGTCCAATTCAAACAGAATTAAGTTGAAACTGAACAACAGAAGGAATTTTGGAAACTTCTCAAATGTTTCTATATTTAAATAACATTTATTTGTTTACTCACCAATCTGATAGAAAGCAATAAATATCATTTCTAAATAACAAGTGGATCAAGAAGAAATTACAAGGAAATTTAGAGATTATTTTGAACTAAACAAAAATGATGATACAAAATCTCAAAAAATATGGGATGAAGCTAAAGCAGTTCTTAGGGAGAAATATGAAGCTTCAAATGCTTATATTAGAACATAATAAAGATTTTTTTTTGAGATGGTATTTCACTCTTGTTGCCCAGACTGGAGTGCAGTGGTGTGGTCTCAGCTCACTGCAACCTCTGCCTCCCAGATTCAAGCGATTCTCCTGCCTCAGCCTCCCGAGTAGCTGGGACTGCAGATGCATGCCACCACGCCAGGCTAATTTTTGTATTTTTGGTAGAGACAGGGTTTCACCATGTTGGCCAGGCTGGTCTCAAACTCCTCACCCCAGGTGATCACCTACCTCAGCCTCCCAAAGTGCTGGGATTAAAGGCTTGAGCCACCACTGAGCCCGGCCCATAATAAAGATTCCAAATCAATAATATAAACTTTTGCCTCAAGAAACTTGAGAAGTAAGAGCAAATTATGCCCTAGGCACACAGAAGAAAGGAAATAATAAAGATTAGAGTAAAAAAATCAATGAAATAGAAAAGAGTTAAAAAATAGAAGAAAATAAGTAAAATAAAAGTTGTTTCTTTGAAAAGTTCAACTATAATATTGTCATATAATTAATTTATATTTTTTCTCTGACCCTGGTTCCTGATACACAATTTCTAAAATCTCTGGACTTTCTTAATCAATGAGTATATTTTTCTGTGCTAATGAGATGAATGATAGCTAGGGTTTATATATAGCCTCATGATGGTGGTCGATGAAGGGGTGGTGGAGACAGAGAACGGAGGTTTGGCTGGGGGGCACTTGTTGCCAGAAGAATGAACTATGTCATTAAAACTTTCAGTCCCACCCCACCTTCTGGGAGAAGTGAGGCTGAAGGTTGAGTTGATGCCTATACAATTAAGCCTCCGTAAAAATCTGAAAGGATAGGGTTTCAAGAGCTTTCTGGTTGCAAAATACATGGAGGTACCTGGAGGGTTGTGCACCGAGAAAAGAATGGAAATTTTGCACTTCTTTCCACATATCTTACCCTATTCATCTCTTCCATTTGGCTGTTCATTTGTATCATTTGTAATACATGAATAACCATAAGCATTTCCCTGAGCTCTGTGAGCTGTTCTAGCAAACTAATCAAACTTAAGAAGGGGGTCATAGGAACCCCAATGTATATCCAGTTAGTCAGAAGTATAGGTGACAAGCTAGCGCTTGCAACTGGTATCTGAAGTAGGGGGCAGTCTTGTGGGATGGAGCCCTTTATCTGCTGTATCTGACATTGTCTCCAGGTAGATAGAATTCAGCATTAAATTGAATTATAGAGCACCCAGTTGTTGCCTGCTAGAGAATTGCTAATGTGTAGGGAAACACTCACACACATTTTTGTGATCAGAGATAAGTACTGTGTATTGTAAGAGCACAAAAAATGTATCTTTTACATCAACAAAAGTGACAACTTTTGCCTCTATTGACCAAGAAATAAAGCACAAATCGCTAAAATTAGAAATAAAAGATATTACCAGTAACCCTTCAGTAATTAAATGAATTACAAGGAAATACTGTGAACCACTTTACGCCAACACATTTGACCCCTGAGATGAAATGGAAACATATCTATAAAACTACATATTTCTACAATACATTTGAGAAGAAATAGAAATTCTAAATATACCTATAACAAATAACAAAATCTAATTCATCTTGTGAAATCTTCCCACAAAGAAACTCCAGTCCTAGATGACTTCACTGGAGTGAAGTTAGAAAAGACTTATTCACGATGATCAAGTTGAATTTATCCCAACAATGCAATGTTGATTGAAAATCAATGTAATATACCATATCAATAGAATAAAGGGAAAAACACATGCTCATCTCAATAAACACAGAATAAGAATTGATAAAATCAAAGACCATTTTATAGTAAAATTTTGAAAGTACTTGGAATGAAAAGGATACTCCTCAACTTGATAAAAGCATCTACAAAAAAACCTATAAGAACACCATTCTTAATTGTGAAATGATGAAGGGCTTCCCCCTAAGAAAGTGAACAAGGTAAGATTGATGACTCTCGTTACTTCTTTAAATATTGTACAGGAGATTTTAGTCAGTGCATTCAGGCAAGAAAAACCAAGAGAGGAGCATTCAAATTGGAAAGGAAAATGTATAACTCTTTATTTGCAGAGGACACAATTTTGTATGTGGAAAATCTATGAAATTCTCAAAAAATTGTAACAAGAACAAATACATCAAACAAATATATCAGAACTATAGAAGTCAAGATCAATTGCATTTCTACATACAAGGAATAATTTAAAAAGAATCAAGAATGAAGTCTTTACATAGCAGTTTCAAAAGGAATAAAATACTTAGAAAAAAATTAGCAAAAGAAGTATAAGACTTGTGCACTGAAAAATTATAAAACTTTGCTGAAATTAAAGATCTAATTAAATAGAATGATGTCACATTTCATGCATTGAAAGACGGTATTTTTAAGATGATAGTTTCCCCAAAATTGATGTATAGATTCAGTATGCTCCCTACATGACAAGATCATTATAAAATTTATGTTGATTTTATAAAAGTCAAAACAATTTTGAAAGTGAGATGACTTTCACTTTCTCATTTCAAAATTTACTATAAAGCTACAGTTATCAAGATGGTATGCTACTTACATAGGATAGTTTTATAATCAATGAAATGGAATTATCAGTCTTGAAATAAACCCTTATATTTACAGCCAAATGATGATCAACCAAAGTGAAAAGGAAATACACTGAAGAAAGAATAACCTTTTTAAAAACCACTGCTGGGTGAATAAAAGTAGATCTACATATAAAGAGATTAACTTGGACCATTGCCTCACACTATGCACAGGAATTACATCAAAATATGTTGTCAATTTTTATATATGCATGAAAGTAGTAAAATTTTTAGAAGATAACATGAGAGAAAAACTTCAAGATTTTGATTGAGGCAAATATTTCACAGATAAAACACCAAAAGCGTGACACACACACACACAAACACACACACACACACGAGATAGATTGGATCTCATCAAAATGCAGAATTTTTGCCCTTCAAGATAACACATTTAAACAAATTTTAAAAAAATCATGCAACAGACTGGTAACAAAGTTTTGCAAAATATGTGTCCAACATTACAAAAGATCTCTTATACCTCAATAATAAGGCAAACAATCCAATTTTTTTTTTTTTTTTTTGAGACGGCATCTCATTCTGTTGCCCAGGCTGGAGTGCAGTGGCATGATCTCAGCTCACTGCAACCTCCGCCTCCCGGGTTAAAGCAATTGTCTGCCTCAGCCTCCCAAGTAGCTGGGATTACAGGCACACACCACCACACCCAGCTAATCTTTGTATTTTTAGTAGAGATGGGGTTTCACCATCTTGGCCAGGCTGATCTTGAACCCCTGATCTCGTGATCCCCCCATCTAGACCTCCCAAAGTGCTGGGATTACAGGCATGAGCCATCACGCCCGGCCTCCAATTTTAAAAAATAGGCAATGTTAAGGGTTGAATTTCCCCTCCAAAACTCATATTGAAATTTACTTGCCATTGTAACAGTTATTAAGGGGTGGGACCTTTAAGAAGAGATTAGGCCATTAGGGCTCCACCCTCATGGGTGGGATTAGTTCCCTTATAAAAGGACAAATTCATTCCCCTCCTGGTCTCTTCTCTTTAGCCTTTTGCCATGGGATGACACAGTAAAAAAGACCTGTACCATATATTATCCCCGCAATCTTGGACTTCCCAGCTCTAAAACTATGAGGAAATCAATTTCTGTTCTGTATAAGTTACCCATTCTGTGGAGCAGTATGCCGTCTGTATTCACTAGTTCCACATCAACAGGTTCAAATAACCATGGATGGACAATAACAGTGTTCATGGGATGTGGAGCCTGCAAATAAGGAGGGCAGACATTTTGTATCCACAGGTTCTTAAAAGTACAACTTTGGGACTTGAGTATCCTAGGATTTTGGTATCTGAGGGGATCCTGGAATAAATCCCCTGAAGTTACAGAGGGCTAACTGTATTCTGTGAAAACAGCACACAATGGACTAAGACAGGCAATATATTCAAATATTGCCCCACAGAAGTCGGATAGATGAGTAAGTTTAATACTCACACCATGAGATTTTCTGGTAAGAACAGTGTAGGATCCCAAGCTGTGTGAAAATGGCTTGAAAGAGTAGAGAAAAGAAACTTGCTTGACTTTCATGAAGATAAGGGTACAGGGGTCCTATGTAAAGACAAGGCTTGTGTGGTTTAGACTTCCCCAGGCAGGGATCAGTGAGCTCTTTCATCTATTTGTCCAGATGTGGGGCAGAAGAGGATCAGGATGATAGGGCTTGCATGAAAGCTATGAGCAGTGAAAAGCAGCCAAACATTAAAAATGGAGTCAGAGTCTTTATTTAATTTACCCTTGATATTTGCCTAATGAACAAAATACGGCATGTTTCACTTAATTGAATTTGACCTTATTTAATTAAGCCAATATGACCCTTTAAAGAAGGCATATAGCCTAAGGTCAGAAAGGGAGGTGAAAGTTCTATTGATTGCATTGTTCAAGAACTAGAATTGTGTAAATTGTATATTTTGAGAGGAGAAATAAGTATCTTGGTAACTATCAATAATAGTCTGGAACTTTAAGGGGAATAAGAAACATAGTAATGAGATCTAGTACTGTGGCTTTTGTGTCCTTGATTTATATTTCTGTATTTGTGAAGCAACAAATTTCTCTACAATTCTTTACCCTAAACGTGCAACTTTCGGTAAGGAATTGTTGCAGTCATCAATCAGGATAGAGCAACAGACCATAACCCAAGAATCTGTAAAATTGTATAGATGGGGACAACTATTGGCCAGGACACACAGTACTAAGATGACTGCTTAAAACTCACTAAATTGTACTAACCTGTAGATCCTATCTTTGATAAAAGATGTCCTGATTAAGGGCTGAAAAACAACCATTACATCTTTTTTGGATTCTGTAGGCAAGATATTCTGGATTTATTTAAGTTCAATTATACTGTTGCTCACAAACAGGCCCACCTTGAATGGTGCCACCTACAATAAAAGGCAAGCTCCATTATGTGTGATGGGGGTGGCACCATCTGTAAAGTATACAAACTCTCTTTTCTGTTCACTTGGTTGATCCCAAATGCCTTGCCAGGTAGCCAAGTGGTCTGGAGGTGGATAATCATCCCTATCACTCTTGCATCTGACAAGAGAATGAGGACAAGAGGGGGTTATGCCAGAAAACCCAAGTGTGGCTCTATCCTGAGAGTACCATTTGTCTTAAGCTTATGAGATTGGACAACTTATAGTCCTCATGAGTGGTCCAGAGACTCTAGGAAGCCTCAGCAGTAATGGATTCTCTGCAGGCCGCTAATGAGAGTGCCTGTTCTGTTGCAATTTGGACAGATTTCAGAGCCTTTTCTTGCAGGGGGAACCATTCAAGATGGGCCTATTTGTGAGTAACAGTATAACTGAACTTAAATAAATGCAGAATATGTTGCCTGCAGAATTCAAAAAGACCTAAAATTATTGAACTTATTTTAACTTACAGGTAATGAGAAGGCCAATAGAAGTTTCTGGACATTGCCAGAGATGAAATGACTCTCCGCTTATCAAATAACTTTCATCTATTTAAATGAGGTGGCAGGGTCTATGACTACATGTGGGGAAATGGCCCATTTCCTTTTCATGAGTTCTTTTTTGAATGTTTATATGTCTTGAATGAGTGAGTCCAGTGAATCTTCTCAGAGGAGAATATGAACAATGTAATGTTATACTTGTATTACTGGAGAAATTTGGATGTGGTTAAGATCTAGTCTGCCAAAATCATTAGCAAAGTAAGGCTGTTGAGGTACCCAGTGGATAAACAGATAAAGGGCTGTTGAAATAGGCACTGAACAGAACATATTAACCAATCTATGACTGCAAATAATTTACCAGTTGTTGATTTGATGGAATTAGTAATTTTAGTTATATTGTACATGGGGGCCTTAACAAATGAGACCACAGCATCAACATGGTAAAATCGACCACAAGACACCACTCATTCTTTCCAAATTAGGAACAGGTTAGCCAGAAGTCTCAGCTACTCAGGAGGCGGACACATGGGAATCCCTTGAGTCCAGGAGTTTGAGTCCAGCCTGGGCAACATAGCAAGACTTCATCTCTAAAACAAACAAATAAAAACAACAAAAACAGGCCAAATTAGTATGTTAAATTGAGCAGTATGGGATAATTACCAGTTCTCTAGTGAGTTATAGGTGATTTATTGTTCTCTGGTGATTTAGATCTTTTATAATAGGTTTCAGTCCTTTAAGGCACTGTTTTAATTCACATTGTGAAGAACTATTTTAGCCAAACAAGTATGCCATGGGGTCCCATTCTGCAAGCCAATTATATGTGCCAAAGATTTAATTTATTACTAATTAAGAATGTCCATGTTCACTATAAGATATTTTAGGACAATGGGTGATATGACTATGGAGAATTTAGGTGATGGATCTGACGGTTAACTTGAAGCTTAGTTGTTTGTTTTCTATTTTATACCCAGTATAAGTTATATATATAGGACACCTTGTTTAAGTTTATTTGCAACCCCCTGTAAAATATAATTGGATCCCTTCGATTAAGGTAATGAAAATTTGCCAGTTAGTGTATTTCAAAATGTGTTAAAGTTAATTCAGAACCTGTGCCACAGAGGCACAAATCCAATCAATTTACTTTTGTTGTATAGATTTTAAAGTAAATTTTGAAATTTTTTTTTCTAATTGTGGACCTCTGCTTTTGTTTTTTGTTTTTGTTTGTTTCCCTCCTTATATGTAGGTTTTGTTTTGTTTTTATTTTTAACTTTTAGTAGTTACTTGCTATACTTCAGAGAGGTGTTCTTCTCTGGCTCATAAATTTCTTCCTCCAGAAATTCTAAAATCAGTATCATCAGGGCCTTTCTAAATGACAGTCGTGTTTCATGGGGCTTAAGGACCCAATCTCAAGTAAGGTTTTAACTAAAGTAAGAAACAAATCCCTGATGGTGGTAGTGTTCGTCATCCTGCTGGCTGTGCCATTGTTGGAGTTACTCTAGAGTGGATAAACCCCAGATATTGTTTGGGTGTTGAGACTGATAAACGGCACATGCATCAAAAGGCTATCAAAAATATGTTACTCACATAATGAGACTTTCTTAGGGAGAACAATGTGACCTCCCAAGCTGATCTGAAAGTGGCTTGAGATAACAGGAAAGGAGAATGGCTTGGTTTTTATAGTGGTTGAGGTGGCGAGCATGGCAAGGATTCCCATACACAGGCAAAGAATTGTATGGTTTGAACTTCCCATTGGTACCAAAGAAGGGCTTTCTTATCAGCTTTCTCAGATGTGAGACAGAAAGGGAAGGGGTAGTGCTAGGACTTGAAAGCTGTTAGCAGGCAAACATCACACAAGGATCCAGACTCTAGTAGATGAAAAGGATTAAATTCTGTAAAATATTTGAAAAGATTTATTCTGAACCAAATATGAGTGACCATGGCCCATAAGGCAGCCCTCAGGAGATACTGACAACATGTGCCCAAGGTGGTCAGGGTGCAGCTTGGTTTTATACATTTTAGGCAGGCATGAGACTTTAATCAAATACGTTAAGGAAATACATTGGTTTGGTCCAGAAAGGTGGGACAACTCAAAGCAGGGGCTTCCAGCTTACAGATAGATTTTTAAATGTTCTGGTTGACAATTGGTTGAATTTATCTGAAGTCTAGGATCAATAGAAAGGAATGTCTGGGTTATGATAAAGGACTGTGAAGACCAAAGTTCTTATTTGCAGAGTAAGCCTTCAGGTAGTAGGCTTTAGAGAGAATAGGTTGTAAAATGTTATTTATCAGACTTAAAGTTTGTGTTGATGTTAATGCCCAAAATGTATAATGGGGCATGTCCAACCCCGACTTTCCGTCACGGCCTGAATCAGTCTTTCATGTTAAATTTTAGGAGTGCCCTGGATAAGGAGGAAGCCCATTCAGATGGCTGGGGATGGAGAGGGGGTGGGTTGCTTAGAATTTTATTTCTGGTTTACACTCTTTATTGCAACATTTCACCAAGGAAGATATTTAAACGGCTAGTAAGAATATGAACAATGTCCAACATTACTAATCATTAAGGAAATACAAATCAAAATAATTAGATACTTTTTTTACACATACTAGAATATCAATAACAATAAAAGGAACTCAATAACTAAGGTCAGTGAGGAAGTGAAGAAATGGGAATCCTTATACATTGCTATTGGAGATGTAAAATGGTACAGCCTCTTCGGAAAATAGTTTGGCAGTTTCTTCAATAGTTAAACATAAATTCACAATATGACCCAGTGGTATTAGACCGTTTTTCACGCTGTTAATAAAGACATACCCAAAACTGGGCAATTCATAAAAGAAAGAGGTTTATTGGACTTATAGTTCCACATGATTAGGGAGGCCTCACAAACATGGCGGATGGGAAAAAGATCAAGTCACATCTTACGTGGAGGGCAGCAGGCAAAGAGAGAGCTTGTGAAGAGAAACTTCCATTTTTAAAACCATCAGATCTTGTGAGACTCGTTCACTATCAGGAGAACAGCACGGGCTAAGCACGGGAAAGAACCGCCCCCAGGATTCAATCATCTCCCACAGGGTCTCTCCCACAACACATGGGAATTATGGGAGCTACAAGATGAGATTTGGGTGGGGACACAGAGCCATACCATAACTCCCAGCAATCCCACTCTTATGTGTCTACATAAGATAAATGAAAACCTATATCCATACAGACTTATATATGAATATTCTTATGAGCAGTATTCATAATAGCCAAAAATTAGAAACAATCCAGATGTGCATAACTAGTTAATAGTAGACAAAATATGATATATCCATACAATAGAATATTATCCAGCAAGAAAAAGGAATGGACTACTGACACATGCTAGAACAAGAATGAAACTCAAAAACGTGCTACATGAAAGAAGCCAGACATGAGAGTACTGTTATATGATTTTATGTATTTGAAATATCCAGAAAAGGCAAAGCTATAAAGACAGAAAATGAATTAGTGATTACCTGAGGTGAGGGGCAGAGGTAGAACCAGGATTCACAGCAAATGGACATGAAGGACATAATGGGTAATGCAAATATTCTAAAACTGATTTACAGTAGCTTCACAATTAGTAAAGTTTATTTTAAAACATCCTTGAATTGTACTAAATAGGTGAATTATATGATGTATAAATTATGTCTTAATAAAGTTATTTTTCAAATCTTTCATTTGTTTGAGTGTATATCCATATTACAGGCAGCATAGAACTCAGCTAAGTAAAAAGTTTAGGCATCACAAGAGACAGCCATTTTGAAAATTATATTAGCAGTAATGTTAGCTAGAGAAAGAGTTCAACTGGCTGCACAGAGAATACAAATAATTGCCTCTGGGCTGTTTTAACATGATTAATCTTTCATCTGATATAAAATTATATTGTAACCATTCTTTCTGATGAGACTGGGATGTTCTAAACTAACTTTTTATTTCTTTAGTTATCAAACACTTTATTTAATGTAAAATACACATGGAAGCCTAATATTTAAAACAGAAATAAACTCCTTGAAAGCATCTGGAACAGTATTAAGCCTCTTCTCTTTAGTCATGAATATTTTGTGGGGTTAGGTGGAAAAGTATTGAACTTTACCTATTCAGTTATGAATAGTGAAAAAATTAAATGTTCTACCAGTCATTATATATGCAGTTACTATTGGTAAAATTGAATTTTTATGAATGTCAGTGAAAATTATCCTTATGTTTAAGACATTTCCTAACTATTCGTACATCTGTTGCTTTTTGTGAAATGGAGATTTTGAAATTAAAATAAATAAAAATGTTTTATCTGATCAATTATGAATAACTAGAAAAACGTGAGTTACTGCTTATTTAATGTGTTACTGCTTATTAATGTGAATAGGGAAAGATAATTTTGAGGAAATCATTGACACATACACATTGTGTGGAAAAAACACAGCAATAATAATGATGGCCGTGAATAATCTCATTTTAATGGTTGGAATGGCAATTAGTACGCAAAAATACTGTGCACATGAGAGAAAGGAGAAAAAGCATTCCAAAGTTTAGTCAAAGTATAACAAGGAAAATTAATGTGAAATAAAGGACTAGTTTATTTGTATTTGTATTGGAAATGAGTCCTTTACTTCACATGAAACACATAATAAACCTATTTTTAATGAAGTCTTTAATATCAGACACCACTCTGCCTCGGATCAACATTACATTTGATCCTTGGGGCAAACTTTGAGGTAGTCACTAATATTATCTTCTTTGCATTTTAAAATAAAGACGCAAAGTAAAGTTGCCAATATCATACAGCTACGAAGGTCTCAGCTGGGATATGAATCCCACTCTATAATGCAAATCTTATCCTCCTCAAAAGTTATGTTCCGGTCGCCCTCTCTGTGCAGGGCCTAGGGTGTCCGTGGTGCGCCTGTTTTCAGTAATGGCGGTTCCGGCTCTGAGCTGAGGTAGAAAATTCTGAGGACTCTTAAGTTTGTGTTAATGCTTCCTCCAGCCTTTCTCGAATGGCAAGAGTTGTTCCTGGGCCCCCAGTAGGCTTAGATAATGTTGTGGTGGCCCTGGTGTGCCAAGGACTCCCTTCGTGGGTCTTCAGGCAAGCCCCCTAAGCTTCTGGGTCCTCAAGGGAACTTGTTCACGCCTTCCGAAGGGTCAGTCAGGCTGACCTGCGCTTCAGTTTTCACAGTAATAGTTCTAGGCTTTGAGCTGAGGTAGAAAATTGTGAAGACACTTGGACAGGCGGTAATGCTTTCTCCAATCTTTCCAGGACGGCAAGAGCGGTTCCAGGACTCTGGTTCGCTGAGTGGACTTAGAGTAATTTTAGGTACCGATGGAGGGCCGAGGACGCTCTCGTGAGCCTTACGGGCCAGCATGAGTTTGCTGGGCCTCCGAGGGAACTTGTGCATCTTTCTCAAGGCTCAGGCAGCCAATGGCGTTGTCCCCGGCTAGCCTTTCCTGTCACTGGAGGAGGCAGGCGGGACTTGGAATATTTCAGGAGGCTCACTGCAGGACGAGAAGGGACCCAGGGTACAGTGGGGGGACCTGGAGCCTCCCTGTGTATGTAAGTATTTTGGGGAACTCTGTATTGGTCTCCAAGAAGTTAAAAAATTGACTGAACAGGAAAAATCAATTTGATGTTGTATAGCAGCCATCACAAAAGTAATCCAGTAATAGGGTGCATAATACTGAAGATCATAATGAGTAACAAAAAGTTATACTGCATCGCCAGCTTATATTTAAACAAATTTGGGTGATCTTTGGACTTCACCACCTATGATAGACTGAAGAAATGCAATAGTATTCTTTTTTTAATCCTTCAGTCAAGAGATTGAATTCCTCCCCATCTGAACCTGAAATGAGCCTGACAGAAATGGTCTTGGTTATATTCTAGGGTCTAAACCTCAAGACGAATTTTAGCTTCCATTCTCATGTTCTTGCAATAGTCATGCCACCTTGCAATAGTCTTCCACCAAGAGTGCAGGAAGAATATTGAATGATGACAGACCAAGTGGAAAGTGAGGCCCAGGTGACAGCCAACACAAAGTTCTAAATATGTGAATGAGGTCAAGAATAGTGGTAAAACAAAGACAGTTTTCTTTTTTTTCAAAGAGTAAAAAAGTTGGAAACTACGAAAATTCTATAAAGGTAATTAGAAGGGTGTTTGTTCTTCAGATCATGAAAATAATCTTACATGGAAGCATCGAGATGCAGAAAGGATGAACAATAATAAGAATACATAAATGGGCAAAATCTAAATATTATTCTATTAAAAAATGAGAGGTAGTGCGTTGCATGAAACATTAATAAAATATGTTGAATATAAGTAGATAACCAAAGTAACGAGTTAATCATAATAAGCAAAAATGGAGGTAGTGTTTGAAGGCCATTGCGTTTTCTGTGAGAAAGGAAAGTAATTGTGTGTTGAGACATTAAGGGTTCAAGTGGAAATCATTTTCTTCATAGATAACATATTAGACTTGATAATGTAAAGATTCATGTTGTCATCTCTAGGATAGTCACATTTGGAAGAAGCTGTAAAAGGTCTGTAACATCCAACAGAAGGAAATATTCAATACTTAAAATTCCTAACTTCAAAACAGGATAAGGGAAAAGATTAGTGAGGAGTAGGGGTTGAAATAAGTAGAAAACTAACTATTAATTTGTTAGATTTAATCACATATACAATGGTGAACAAGTGAAAAGGATCTATAGGGTTCAATGAAACGTGAACATATCAGATTTACTATAAGTAAACCCAAATTTGTGCTACTTACAATAGTCATTCGAAATCTGGTAATACAAAAAAAAGCAAGTAAAATTTGAAGATGGCTCTACAATGCATATCTTAAAGCTGTTGTTTTTATTAATATCAGACAAGTATGCTATGAAGTAAAAAGCATTACTGGAAGTAAAGACGCAATAATAAAAAGTTAAAAAAGAACAGGAAGATATGACCATTGTAAGTATGCATGGAAAAGCGTAGACTCAAGATACATGAAGCAAACACTGCGAGAATTAAAAAGAAACATAATCCATAGTCCTGATGGGAAATTTTTTAAAAGCACGAATTTTTCTTTTTAACTTAGAAAACAAACAAAAATATAGTAGAGATATGTAAAATTGAATAATAAGATTTGCAAAATTAACCTATTTGAAGTATATAGAGTAAAGCATCCAATAACTACAGAATACATGGTCTTTTAAGGTGCTAGTGAAATTCTTTGAAATGACCCTATTTTTTTACCCCAAACTGATCCCATAAAATTTCAAGGGATTAAAACCGGATTGAATATATTCTCTGACTATGATTCCTAAGTTAAGAGATCAGTTACAAAAATAAATCTAGAAAATGTAATATTTGGAAATTATGAAAACTATTTAAAATAATCCATTGGATAAAAGCAAGATCACAATGGATGTTAGAAAATATTTTATCAATGTGAATATGCAATAAAATATAGAAGGCAACTAGAGCCATGCTTCAATGGTAATGTGTACCCTTAAATGCATGTATTTGAAAACAAGGAAACATATCAACAGATTTTTTTAATATTCAAATTAGGGCCGGGTGTGGTGGCTCACGCCCGTAATCCCAGCACTTTGGGAGGCCGAGTCAGGTGGATCACGAGGTCAGGAGATCAAGACTATCTTGGCTAATGCGATGAAACCCCATCTCTACTAAAAATACAAAAAATTAGCCTGGCATGGTGCTGGGCACCTGTAGTCCCAGTTACTCGAGAGGCTGAAGCAGGTTGAACCTGGGAGGTGGAGGTTGCAGTGAGCCAAGATTGTGCCACTGCATTCCAGCCTGGGCGACAGAGCGAGACTCCGTATCAAAAAAAAAAAAAAGTATTTTAATAAAACACAAGGAAAGAAAACTATGGGTCAATATCTCTGATAAACATTAATGCAAAAATCTTCAATAAAATATTTGCAAACCGAATTCAACAACATATGAAGAAAATTACACATCATGACCAAGTGGGATTGATCCCTGACATACAAGTCTGCTTTCATATATGCAAATCAATTAAAGTGATATATAACATTAACAGAATGAAAGATGAAAACCATATGATTATCTCAGTTGATGCAGAAGAAACATTTGACAAGGTTCAGCATACCTTCTTGATAAAAAATGCTTTTAATGGTTTAACTGTAGAGGGAAAGTTTCCCAGCATAATAAGAGCCATTTACAAAAATGACACAACTAACATTATGATCGATGGGAAACAACTAAAAACTTTTCTACTAAGGTCTGGTACAAGGCAAGGATGCCCACTCTCACTACTTATATTCAACATAGTACTGAAAGTGCTAGCAAGAGCAATCATAAAACAAATAAATAAAATAAGCATCCAAATTGGAAAGGAAGAAGTAAAATTATCTCTATTACAGATAGCACGATCCTATATGTAGAAAACCTCAAAGATTCTATTAAAAATTTTTTAGAACAAATGACCAGTAAAGTTGCAGAATACAAAATCAACATACACAAATCTGTAGCATTTTTATACAAAAATAACAATGGATCTGAAAAAGCAGTTAAGGGAGTGGTCCCATTTGTGATAGTATCAAAAAGTAATGTAGGAATAAATTTAACCAAAGAGGTGAGATATTTGTACACTGAAAACTATAAGGCAGTGATGAAAGGAATTGAAGAAGACACAAAAATGAAATGAAATTCCTTGTTCATAGACCAGTAGGATACATATTGTTAAAATGTCCATACTAAGGAAAGGAATATGCAGTTTTAATGCAGTTCCTACCAAACTTCCAATGGTATTCCTCACAGAAGCAGGAAAAACAATGCAGAGATTTATATGGAACCACTAAAAACCCTGAATAACAATAGCAATACTGAGAAAGAAAAGTTGGAGGCATCACAATTCCTGATTTAAAATTATATGCTATATTTCATTAATCAAAATACTATCATACTGGCCTAAAAACAAAAACACAAACCAATGAAACAAAATAGCCCAGAAATAAATCCAAGAGTATATCATCAGCTAATCTTCCACAAGGTCATCAAGAAGACACATGAAGAAAAGAATGTCTCTTCAATAAATGGTGCCAGGAAAACTGGATTTCCACATGCAAAAGAATTAAACTGGACCCTTATGTTATACAATACAAAAAAAAAACTCAATATAGATAAAAGATTTAAGATGTGTAACCATAAAACTCCTGGGGGAGAACACAGGGGAAAGCTCCCTCACATTGGCCTTGGCAATGATTTTTTTTTTAATTTCACAGCAAAAGCCTAGGCTACAAAAGCAAAATTAAATAAATGATTCCACATGAGACTGAAAAAATTCTGGACAGCAAAGGAAATGATCAGCAAATAAAAGGGTAAACTATGGACTGGAAAAAATTGTAAACTACATATCTGATATAGGGTTAATATCTAAAACTTATAAAGAACTCATACCACTTAATAGCAGAAAAAGAACCTGGTTTAAAAAAGAGCAAAGGCCCTGGATAGACATTTCTTCAATGAAAAATACAACAATGGCCAGCAAATGTATGAAAAGGTGCTCAACATCACTAATCAGCAGGAAAATGAAAATTAAAACTATTATGAGACATTATTTCACGCTTATTATGATGACTTTTATCTAATAGACAAGAGATAAATATTGGTGAGGTTATGGATAAAAGAGAACCTTAGCACACTGTTGGTGGGAATGCAGATAGGTACATCCATAATGTAAAACAGTATGGCAGTTCCTTAACAAATTAAAAATAGAATTACCACACAGCTCAGCAATTCCTCTTCTGGGTATATACCCAAAGGAGGTGTAATCACCACCTCCTAAAAATATGTTCATTGCAGCATTATTCATGGTAGCCAAACATGGAAAACAACCTAAATGTCTACACAGACAAATGAATAAAGTGTGAGATATAGATATATATAGTGGAATATTATTCAGTCATTAAAAAGAATAAAATCCTGCCATTTGCCACAACATGGATGAACCTGTAGGACATTACACTAAGCGAAATAAACCACAGAAAGAAAAACATTGCATTTTCTCACATATTTGTGGAATCCAAAACAAAGTCAATTAAACAAAGATGGAAAATAAAACCATGCTTACTATGGGCTAGAGGTGGAGAAGAAAATGGGAAGATGTAAGACAAAGAATAAAAGTGGCAAACGTAGGATGAACAAGTCTGTATATCTAATGTACAACATGAGGACTATAGTTAATAACATTGGTCTGTATTAGGGATTTGCTCTTGTTACAAAAAGGAACTATGTGAGTGAGATGATCTGCTTCAGTATAGTAACCATTTTAATATCTATATGTATCCCATAGCATCATGTGGTAAACTTCGAATCTATACAATAAAATTTATTTTTTAAAGTAAATTTTCAGGAAAAAATTCAAGAAATTGTTTGCAGGATTTTCTCTCTTTAAAATAAGAATTTTGTCCCCCTCAAAATGAGCTAGTACTTTTAACATTTATTATATGCTAAGGAGTTAATATAAATTAGCTTAATCAATCTTCAAAATAGTTGCAGTAAGTAGGAACTTTTGTACATTTGGAAATATGAAATTAAGTTTTTAAAGATAGCAAATTCTATTGTTATTAAAAGTTGTTAAGAGGGGCCTTGAATCAATGCTGTTGTCTCTAAAACCCACACACTTAGTGTTATTTTATGTTTTTCCATTTTCAACTATTTAACAGTAAAAGTATGTAGTTGTTTAATCATCTAATATCTGTACTGTACTGTATTACCAGCATTATGAGAGAAGAGCACATTTGTTTCTTGTTCACAAATATAATCCCAGTACCGAAAACACTGTGCCAAATACTTGAATTTAGATGAATATTGAATAACTTGGTCTTTGAAAGATTAAACATGTAAGAGCTGCTCAATGATTCCAGACAATATTACAAAAACCATGGGTTCACAAGTCACCAAATACTTGATATGTGTTCACCCAATTATATATTTTTCAAATTCTGTTTTTCTAATTAATCAAAATATATAGTGTATTATGATTGTATGACTTACTTAAAATTGATTATGACTCCATAATTTCAATGAGTGTATTATTACCTCTATTAATAATTACAGATTGTATCATGTTTATTGTGTAAGCCTAGGAAGAAAAGGGCAGAGCAGAATTAAATTATATAAATTCAACATTTGTTCAAAGTGAAAACTAAAGGTAAAAGTGCTTATACTGCAAAAGGAATTTTCACATTAATTGTAGTAGAGAAAAATGATGTAAAGTATTTAGCTACCATAAGGATCTCATAAGTTACATATTTTAAATTCAAAACTATTGGTACCACATTCATTCATATCAAATTCATATTTAATGTGCTCATTAGGAAAGAAACATCAATGGTAACATTAAAAAAGTGTTGTTAATTTTAATTGTATTAATTTCTTAGTTTACAATTTATTATAAACTACTGTCTCTATAATCTCTAAAGATATAAACAAAATTAGTTAAAATAACTTTATCCAGTAAATATTTTCCAGAGTCCACCTGTAACTTTTTAAGAAATACTTATCTAAAATGCAATAATTTGGAAGTCAAATGACATATTTGCCAAACAAAATTGATTTTTCACTTCAAACTTTCCCACCTTCCTCCCTTCAACCTCCAGAATCACCCAAAGCTCCTAGATTGTAATGACAGTCTGAGCTGTTGGAATCAGGAAGAGGAGCCCCGTGACACATCAGTCCTGCTGGACCATTTGTGAGGCTGGCTGTGGCCCTGGTGACCTATGCCTCCAGGGACAGTCCACATCCCAGTTGTCTCCAACACAGGCTGGACAGGGTTGAGGTAGCTTCCTTTTGCTTCCTGGGCAATCCTTCTTAATGCCAGTGCATTCCAGCCTGGGCTACAGAGGGAGACTGTCTCAAAACAACAAAAACCAACCAAACAAAAAAAACTTCAGATTAAACTCAATGAAAATATAGGAAAGAATTAAGAAAATAAGGAATTAATGTAGAGGACAAAAATACAAGAAACAAGATCAGCAAAGTTATGAGTTGATTCAAAAGAATCAAAAGTCTGATAAAATTGAAAAATTGCAAAATGAGAGACAGAGAGAATGCAGGTGTCCATACCTACAGTCAATACCAAGACTGAAAAAGAGGACATCATAGTGGAGACCCACAGAAATAAAAAAATTTGTGAAAGGCTATTATGAACCATGTTGTGACAAATAAACCTAAAAATCCAAAATTGATAATTTTGTATTTATATGTGTATTTGTCATAACATGGTAATTTGAATAACATTGTCATTTGAATTTTGATATTTTGAATTAATTTTAAATTTCCTGAAAAATAAACTTATCAAACTTGATTTAAAAATAAATAAAAAAATCTGAAGAATTTGTAATAAAGAAATTGATCACAACCTCAAACAAAAATTAACACCATTACTGAAATAAATAAAACATGGAAATAAATAATGGCATCACAATGGTTGTCATATAATCATTATTTAGGAACACCACTTGCTGTTTCTACTATCACTGGATCAGCAGAAAAAGGCCCCATTTCACAGAGGTATTGGGATAAGTATATATCGTTTGTGAATATCTGCAATCCAGATAGCCAAACTATTTCCAACATTAGTAGGCTATGTAAATCTTATTTGTGATCTAATTGAATTCTAGCTGTGATTCCTTACTGTAATGTATTGTTAACTTTGACAGAGAATATGCACAAATCAAAACTGGTAATTTTTTTTTACCTCTGATTTTCAAATTCGTATCTCTCTTCTGAGATAATAAACACCAAATGGCCAATTCTTTCCGAGGGGAGGAGAGAGAATGAATTACTAGCTAATGACAAAAGTATCCTCTCCTATAGGTAGGTTTTCAAGATGTAACTAAGAGAGGAAAACAAGTACCAAATAATGCTTGTGAATGGTAACAAAGAGAAGTCCTCTACGTTAGGGGTCCCCAGCCCCGGGGCCACAGACCGTACTGGTCTCTGACCCTTTAGGAAACAGGCCGCACAGCAGGACCCGTGGTGGGCAAGCGAGCAAAGCTTCGTCTGCCTTTACAGCCACTCCCATCACTTGCATTGCCGCCTCTTGTGAGATCAGATTCTCATAAGGGCACAAACCGCACATGCAAGGATCTAGATTGAGCTCCGTATGAGAATTTAATGCCTGATGATCTGTTACCGTCTTCCATCACCCCCAGATAGGACCATCTAGTTGAGGGAAAATAAGCTCAGGGATCCCACTGATTCTACGTTATGGTGAGTTGTAAAATTATTTCATTATATATTACAATGTAATAATAACAGAAATAACGTGCACATTAAGTGTAGACCATTCCCCTTCCCACCCCAGTCTGTGGAAAAATTGTCTTCCACGAAAATGGTCCCTGATGCCAATAAGTTTGGGAACCACTGATCTACGCTATTAAACCAAATAGAAGACATATGCCAAATTATTCATATTAAGAATTAGCAAAACCACAAACGACAATGAATCACACATAGTCTAGCATAATAAGAGAAAAATGAAACGAAGCATATAAGCTGCAAAATAACAGCCTGGAAATAAAATCTATGGAGGATAAATTCATTGCCTCACAATATAGAAAAGGTAATAAAAAACAAAAGTTCAATAAAATAATGGTTTAAATAGGTTATAACTGAGGAATTCAATAAAAATTGATGTGCATTGTAATATTGCAATGTTGTTATGTTAAGGAACCAATATTGGAACTAGTAAATAATGTAAGTTACAGAATTAATTATAAACAGTTAAAAATTGAATTATTGACATTAAAATAGATGTTGAGGTGAATTGCAATCCATTCAGAGAAAAATAGACATAAGATAAAAGATAATTACAGATTTCAGAAGTCAATATATAATGACTTATGAGAAAATTGGCACCCTCATATTCTCATATATTATTGGTGGACCATATTTTGGTACACTTTCTTTGGAGGGTAATTTGGTAATACTTATCAGATAAGAATTATTATATTCTTTGATAAAGACATTTACACTACTAAGACTTTAGCCAACCTATGCAAAAATATATTTATACAAATATATTTATTGTGACATAAAGAACTGGTTAAACAAAACGTAGAATCCCTATACAGTACTATAAAATACTACATAGTAATTTTAAAAAGGTATGTAGGCATACTTTTACTTACTGACATGGAATAATCAGATAAATATTAAGTGAAAACATATATTGCCATATATGTAAAAATAGGTATGTATATGTGTCTGTTGTTGTTTCATAAGTACAAAAATAGAAAATATTTGGAAATATACCAAAGAACTTGCTGTCATTTTTTTTTCTTTTTCGGAGAAAATCTGACGGTCAAAACAGTTTCAGAAGGAAAATGGCTTGTCACTGTAATCTTTTTGTTACTTTGGGGATATATTTTTCTTTTTCAAGTGAGGTTTTTTCCTACCTTATTACTAGTTTTGGAAGGTGTTTCAAATTATTTTAATGAAATTGAATATCCAATTAATAGAACTGAAAAAATATTTTGAAATATTTAACAGAAAAATATTTCTCTGAATTAAGGAAAACTTTAAGATGCAGATTAGCCTGACATTCTGTACTGGGGAAAACTTTATATTGAATGACTTATTTAACTTGGTTATATTACTGAATTCCAATATCATGGAGTGCTTCAGGCATCCAAGCAAAAAGTGGAAATTACAAACCGGAGGTCATAACCCAGCCTGCCATTAGATTTAATGATAAAATTCGAAGTCTAGCCAAATCAAATTCATTAAAGATTTAACTCAAAGCTGCCAGGCAAGAAAGCTTTATTTGTGATAACAAAATTAGAGCTCTAAAACTTCTTTAAATTCTCATAATATACCTATTTGGTAGAGCATTATTTCTATCTTACTTTCAGTACTTTAAAGCAGAGTTCATACTGGCTTCAGATTTGTATATTATGTGATTTGTAGCATCTAGTAGTCAAGTATATTTTAAATAAATTTATGAGCCATCTTAATTTCTTACAACTTTTTATTTGGAATTGCTAATCTAACAGCGAAAACCTTGTGGATTTAAATGTGATCTTCAGCTGTTTATTTTAGCAACAATTTTTAATGCAAAGTTGGATGCCCTAAGAAGAGATGAGGTCTTTTACTGATAGAAAACATTTTCTTTTTAAGAAATTCACACACTTGAATCTTCCTACTAATTTATAGTTCTGTGACTTGGAAAATTTTGGCTATATTTGTTAATTATACATATGGAAGAGAGCAATGAGTATACGTACAGTAGTTGCAAACAATAGAGGAAAATGAGATAATTATAGTTTGTTATGCAGCTTTCGAAATCTTTTTGTACTAATCAAGCCATAAAATTATTGCATCTTCTACAAAAGTCTGCTCAGGAAAGAAGCTACATTATATAAAATAGATTCCATTAGATGTACAAATAGGAGGAAAAAGCTAAAATTAAGACTTTGAGCTTTTAAAAATCCTAGTGTAATAATTCACAATATGTTAAAAAATATGAAATTTAGTATTTTGGCATGTGTTTAGTTTCATTCAAATGGACTGAAATACCATGACCACTTTATTTGCATATGCACATTGTACTTACCAAAAATATAGCCCTATAGTATCAAAAAGATTACAGTGACAAGTCATTTTCCTTCTGAAATTGTTTTGACTTTCAGATTTTCTCTGAAAAAGAAAAAAAAATGTGCCTTTTCCCCTCTATGGTGAAAAACAGCATAAATCCGAATCCATATTTAGTTCTGAATGACATACTTGAGGTTCTAAAGTCTAGTTGTGGTTCTCAACCTTTCCCTTTTTGTACTTTTCATAAAAGATTGTAAATTTCATAATTTTAGTGAAGTTTATCCTGTAATTTTCAGAAAAAAAAATGTCAGTCTTAATCAATGACTTAAGGAATAGCTTTAATAGTATTTTGGAATTGTATAATCCCCATATATGATTGGCTGTTTTTTCTAACCACTGGACATCTATTCACCAAGAATCTCAGGCTTTGTCAAATATTTTTTATTAGTATAAATAGACTTCAGGTTTTGAATCCTAAAAATTTTATCTTATGGAGCCAATATTGTAGAAGGTAGAGTTTTCTAAATATGTTCCAGAAAGGGAAACATTTTTATTTAGTAATTTGTATAGCCACATTTATTCAGTAGGAAATAGAAGGCTTTGCTTTCATTTATTACATTTCTGACTCATTATTGCTTTGTGCAGGTCCGAGGCTCTGACCTATGCTATCTTTGTACTGACCAAAGAGCTTCCTTTAACATTTCTTATAGGGTAACTGGGTTTGGCAATAAATTCCTTCTCAGTTATTGTTTGCCTGAGAAACTCTATATTTTTGTTGTTGTTGTTTTGAGACGGAGTTTCACCTGCTGGAATGCAAAGGCATGGTCTCGGCTCACTGAAACCTCCCCCTCCTCGGTTCAAGCAATTCTCCAGCCTCAGCCTCCCAGTAGCTGGGACTACAGGCACCTGCCACCACGCCTGGCTAATTTTTTTAATTTTTTTTTTATTTTTAGTAGAGATGGCGTTTTGCCATGTTGGCCAGGCTGGTCTCCAACTCCTGACCTTGGGTGATCCACCCACCTCAGCCTCCCAAAGTTCTGGGATTACAGGCGTGAGCCATCGCACCTGGCTTTTTTCCTCTTTTGAAGGATTTTTTTGCTGTGTCTAACATTCCAACTTTTTTTTCATTATCTTCATTATTTTATGGCTTATGTTGTTTCTGATGAAAAGTCTGCTGTAATTCTTATTATTTTGCCTCTGTCTGCACACTACCACCACGATCCCCGAGCTGCCTTCAAGATTTTTTCTTCGTTTTTGATTTTGCACATGCTGTTTTTAGAGACTGGGATTTGTTATTTTTCTTGTTTGATATTCTCTGAGATTCTTGGACTTGCCTGTACCATGTAGGCCTCAGTGTTCTTCTCCCTAGAGATTACACTCTTTATTCTACAAGGGAGATAGAGGATGTAAGCAGATTTCAGTAGTGGTTGATGTTTTCCTGAAGCCAGCACAATGTCTCTGATCCTCTCCAGGAAAACCTGATGGATTTCCCAGAGGAAAAGCCTGAAAATGAGTAGGAATCCAAATATCAATGTTCCTCTGTAGACATCCTACTTTCATGGTAGTCTACATTCATCCTCCAACAATGCATTAAAATTTCCAGTTTCATTTATCTGTTGGCTTCTATAAGTTCTGGTGGCATCTTCCCCAGGAAAATAAATGCTTGGAATCTGGTTTAATCTGCAGGTATGGGACTCTCTGTTTCACGTTTTCAGGTTGGTTGCTTGCCTTATGACCTCAATTCTTTTATGGAGTCAAGAAAATGTGTTACCTTGGAATATACTCACCAATTTTTTTGCTGGCTGGGAGATAATGTTAGCCAGATATCTGCGTTTCTAAGCTGAAATAAGTAGTTCAAAGATAAATACTTTAATAAGTGCAGAGATCAATCAACAATAAAAATGCTAACATTCATTGGAAAATAAAAATACAAACAAAAGCATAGTATAATGTAATCTAAGATAAGGTCCTCTAAATTCACGTGTATGTGCTGTGATTGGAGCTTGTCAAACCTGCGGTTCTGTGAATTGAATATTGTCACTGCAGTTTGTCAGGTGTATGTTCAGTAATAGAAGAGAAGAGGACAGTATCCTTTTTGAAGTGTAAGCTTGGGAAACAATGGCAAAGTGTGAAGAATGTAGTCATTAGGGTCAAGGTAGGAAGAAAGAACAATAACAAGATGCTTTGTAGAGGACAGTTTGACAGTTTGAAAGGGTTCGAGAAGCCTATCCATCTAGCAGAGAACCCTGAAGAAAAGGTGAGAGATTTCATACAGATTTTATACACTTCTCTCTCCTTACCATTTCACAAAATTGATTTTTTATTTAGAGAAAGCTTTCATCTGATCAGGAATATTTTGGTTGTAGTTGGTATGATATAGTATTACTATGTATTTCTCCTTATGATACTTCTTATTGGACTTGCTAATGTGATTAAATATGGCACTGCAAGGTTTTTATGTGCCAACCAGGCTATTGTGGCATTGAATGACATTGGATTAATAACCTTGGTTACCTTAAACATTTTTAGGTAGAAGTATTTCTACTTTCAGTCGTGTTTCCTTAGAGTAAAAAGAAGGGGAAAAAATAACATTTCCATCAGTTCCATCATGTCTTGGCCAGAATACTTCTTGGACTAGTCTTTGACCTACTGAAGAATCCTAACTATTCTGCTGGACACATGTCCATTTTAGGAAGTATTGATTAGCTGCAAAGATAGGAATTAAGAAATTAAGAATAAAACCATAATGACTTGAAATCTTGTGTGGGAAGGAAAGGAGTGCATTAGATGGTTATAAGTAAATTCTAGTTTTTTGTTTTTTTGTTTTTTTTTTTGCTTTTTGCTTTTTGAGATCATCTCACTCACTGTGTTACCCAGGCTGGAGCAAAGTTGTACTGCCATACCTGACTGCAGCCTTGTCCTCCTGGGCTCAAGCAATCCTCTGGCCTCAGCCTCCTTGGTAGCTAGCACTACAGGTGTGTCACCATGCCTGGCTAATTAAAAAAAAAATCGTAGCAACAGTGTCTCACTACGTTGCCAAGACTAGTCTCAAACTTCTGGCCCCAAGTAATCCTCCTGCCTCAGCCTTCCAAAGCTCTGGGATTACAGGGGTGAGCTACTGCCCCCAGTCTGTAGTTTCAGTGTTTAAGTAGACTAATCCTGCTGTTGTTACTAAATTAAAACTAAAACCCCAACCTATGCATTAAATCTGCAGAGGAGCTTTACTTTCTTCTCTGCCTTTGTGATACATCTGGGGTATCCATATAGTAGATCAATAGTTCTGGAAAGAACAAGATTTCAAATAAAAAGTTTCATCAGTTTCAGATAACATTGCTTGGGAAAAATAAGGGAGTGGGGAGAGGTTTATGTTCAGATAATTTCCAGCAACTCTATAATCATACTTAAGAAGTGTTTTTTCTTTGGGGATTATCAGGGCTTTTAAAATATGGATGGTCGTAGTCAAGGTTAAATGTAAGAAATATTAAACATTAAATATAAGAAGCTATATGTTTCGGCCAGGCGTTGTGGTTCACACCTGTAATCCCAGAACTTTGGGAGGCTAAGGTGGGTGGATCACTTGAGGTCAGGGGTTCAAGACCAGCCTGGCCAACATGGTGAAACCCCGTCTCTACTAAAAATACAAAAATTAGCTGGGTGTGGTGGCACAGACCTGTAGTCCCAGCTACTCGGGAGGCTGAGGCAGGAGAATCGCTTGAACCCAGGAAGCAAAGGTTGCAGTGAGCCAAGATTGAGTCATTGCACTCCAGCCTGGGTGTCGCAGCGAGACTCCATCTCAAAAAAAAAAAAAATAAATAAAATAAAAAGCTATATCTTTCATGAGCAAAATATGTTTTTCTCTTAACTACCTTTGGCTATTTAAAGGTCGTTTACAGATATAGAAATCAACGCTTTAATGCACCCGTAAAATACCTTGTTTCTCATTTCCTTCCTTATACTAATAATGACCTAAGGTAATGTGTTCTGCATAAATATAGAGAAAAAAAAAAGATGTGGATTTAATTCTGTACAACATACTGATAGTATATTTTGAGATATTGGCTATTGAAAATTATGGGATTTTTCTGCTTCATACTCCAGAATAATTGAGGATTTTATTATCTGGAGAAGATCTTCTTATTTAAATCTGGAGAAAATTGATTTTTTGCATTAGATGTCAAACTGTATTAGTGTTAAAAAAAAATACCCGATCATTTGTTACTACCCATTTCTAGAAGATAAAATTTTTATAAGGGATGATCTTTTGCTCCCTCTCTGTTTGTAGTTACGAGTAGTCCAGCATAGATTGTGGGCTGTGATTCTGGAAAGCAAAGGACACAATTTGAAGCATCTCAGGATAGTTCTCACAGTGTTGGAGTGATTGCGGCTGGTATAATAAGAGTCATGTGCCCTGACAAAAATTATCTCAGAGATGGAGAGGGGTCTAGTGTCATTACTGAGAGGTGGTCATCTTTGGTATCTGTCCCCCGTAATGGTTTAAGTAGAGAATATCAAATGGGGTGAAAGGGATACTCTTCGACAAAAGTGGAGTATGGGTGGCACTGGGCAAGGAAAATATTCATAATGTAATAAAGCAACTTTGATAAAACATGAAAACTTAATGAGAAAAACATAGAAAACATTTGGAAATTTTAATTGTACGTAATACCTGTTTGAACTTTTATCTATTTGATTCTTTTCTCTTGTGTTTTAAGAAATGTTTTCTGAGTGGAAGTTGAAAATTCAACAGACAGGATTTTAATGAGAAATCAAAATATACCTGTTGTTGCATTCCTCAGCAAATTATTAAATGAGTTAAATTCAATGTTAGTATCTTCCTTTCTTGAGGACCTCATTGCTTTACTTAGCATTGCTGAAAAAAACTCTAGCAATTTGATGTATTTTTCCTTGGAAATTTATAATATCAAAGTTATATCATAATTTAATATTACAATAAATTGTTATCTTCGCTTTTCCAAGTATATGCTACAATATTGGTACATCAAACTCAAATAACTTTGTAGATTCACTGTTGATAGATACTTAGAGAACAGCATCTAATAATTTTTACTGTTTTAACATACAAAATGCTAACAAGAAAGGGGCAAGAATATTCTGCCTGAAATATCTGCCTTTTTATACCTGAGCAATTACTATACACCAAATTTGAAAATAATTTTACCAATGTAGAGCTTATATTCAGAAAGTCAGATATTATACTTTTTAAAAATCTATTAAAGCTAATATATGCTTCACTGATATTCAACGTTAACTGGTTATATTTTGGATAAATAATTTTGACAAACATATTAATTGGTATTTAAGTTCAGTAGTTTGATTTTTTAATACTATTCCACAATTGAGTTATATGCATTCACAAATAATTAAGCTACATCTAAATTTCTTCCTCAATATTTTCCATTATGTTACTTTGTAGTCTGTAAATACTATGATAAATGTTGTAAAGAAAACAGTCAATAATGAAGTTGAGCATTAGAATGAACCTTGGCTCTTCCACATAATTACGTGTACTTTTCACATATTCACCTGGGTTCCTCGGATGTAGTTTTCTATTTAAAATTTAAGTAATATCTATCTCAAAATGACTTCAGAAGATTAACTTAAATAATGTATTTTAAGCACCAAAAAAAAGAGTTTGGTACATAGGCACAAAAAATTTTATTTTCTTTCCTTCAAATTTATTATTGAATATTAAACTATAATCCTAAGAGACATTGTCTATTTTTGCCTTCATATTCCCATTTACCTTTCACTCCTTCATTTATTTATTCCACAATTTTTTAACACTATATGAAGCTCTGGGCATAGAATAACGAATGATAAATACAAATGTAAGCCTTTGGCAGGTCAGCTTGTGATTAAAAAATAAGGACAAAACAACCCAGCTGTGAAGGGGATAGCTGGGGGAGAGAAGGAAGGCAGTAAACAAATGCCAAGGATTTGAGGCAGTAAAATCAATTGGAGATGCCAAGAGTGCTAGCATAGCTAGAGTGAATGAGTGGAAAGAGTGTCTAATAGGAAAGCAGGTATTTGGGGCTGTGTCATCTAAGGCCCATAATCATTTACTCAACAAATTCTTACTTGGTACATAATGCTGTATTTGTTAGACGTTGAATTAGGGGCTTTGAAAACATTTGTGTTCTCATTAGGTGTAAAATTATGACATGGAAACTCATAATTATAGAAAACATAAGTGTTTTGATAGAGGAATTAAAGAATTCAAGGGAAGTTATATATATATATATGAAGGAATTGGAAGAATATTTCATGAATCGAAAGAGCAAATTCAGTTGAGACTCAAAGAAACAATGGGTGTTCTGCTGGTGACTTGACTGAAAGAAGGGCTGTAGAAAGGGTCAAAGTTAGTAAAAAGGAACCCCATTTATGAAATCAAGCTCCTATTGAACTGAAAAAATTATTTCTACTTGAGCACAGAGGTCATTTTCAGGCACGTTTTTACTTAATGATGCAATCTACAATGCTTTCATAAATAAATATTTGGAAATCATTTGTTCCTACTATCCTTTTTACAGTATGAAGTTCTTTTCTTCAGAGATTCTGTCACCTTGATACTTAATGTCAGGTTTATTTCATGGTACTTTGATGAACTTACTGTCTGGTCATAAATGCTTAGATACGTAAGCTGCTGTCTGCCGAGTTTTGATACGGGAGATGTGTATATAATTTCAGGTTGCAGCCTTTTCCCTGAATATAAAACTGATTTATGTCTTAGAGGCAGGCTTTGATCAGGTTTGCTATCCTTACTGAAAGTCAGTCTTTAAGGACATTAGCAAGAAATGTTCTACTGCTCTATATGTCATATGGCCGGACACTTTTATGAAGGGATTTTTTCTCTGCACATCTCATATTCACATGATACCAAAACAATTATTTGACACTCCTAAATAACCCTAGAGGATGTATTCCCTCAGCACACAGATTATGACACCAGGATCCCTAAGCAGCCACCAAATGGGACAGATGACACAATAGAGAAATGTGTAAGATGTAATTTCTTTTGGCATGAACTTTGACCAGTGGGAAATAGAAGCCAGGAGGAAACTAGGAAGATTAATTTTTTCTCCTTCCTCTGTGCTTATTCCTTCTTCTTCCCTATTTATCCTTCTCTTTTATCTCAATCTGACCAGACTGGCTTACGGTTGCATTTGTCACCCATTATTGTATATCCAGAACTTCAAATATTGTTTAATAAACAAATGTTGAATAAATAAATGAGTGAAAGATGGATGGGAATATGCAGGCAAAAAGATAAGAGATTTATCTTATGAGTATACTTTAATATGTAGTAATATATTTGAGGAAAATAAAATATGTCTATGGGCCGGGCGCGGTGGCTCATGCCTGTAATCCCAGCATTTTGGGAGTCCAGGGTGGGCGGATCACCAGGTCAGGAGATCGAGACCATCCTGACTAGCATGGTGAAACCCCGTCTCTACTAAAAATAACAAAAAAAAAAATTAGCCAGTCATGGTGGCGGGTGCCTGTAGTCCCAGCTACTTGGGAGGCTGAGGCAGGAGAATGGCATGAACCCAGGAGGCGGAGCTTGCAGTGAGCCGAGATCGCGACACTGTACTCCAGCCTGGGCGACAGAGTGAGACTCCATCTCAAAAAAAAAAAAAAAAAAAAAAAAAAAAAAAAGTCTGCGTACATAGGATTTAGATGGAGAAATCATGGACCCTAGAATAGATTCTCCATGCAGTCTATTCCAAAATTTCCTTTATGGCTGAGTAGTTAAACCAGTCAAGCAACTTCCTGTGTTTTCTTGTGGCTCATTGTGAAACACAGTAATCTATCCCAGGTATTTTGTGAGGTATCATTTCCTGTCTTACGTGCTTATTCACTCACTCTCACTGCTCTCAGGTTGTACTTCTTATAATGAGAATCAACAATTAATTCTCATCTCAGGCTTTTTATTTTTGGTAACTCAGGCTATGAACATTTGTAGTACAGGTGGTCCTCAAAAGAAAACATTCAGGATATAATTTTTTACTTTTACTTTCCAGCTGTCTGAATATAATAGATGCCCCATCATTAGTATGCTATAGCATTACAAATTAAGCTTTCCCTTGTGGCTAATTTTGATGAGGTATATATGGAAGAAAGGGTATTAGGAGATTAAATAACTTCAGCAATGAAGTGTTATGAAAGCAGTATAACTTTAAGGAAGCTGTAAAAGAAAAGAATAGACTCAGAGCTTTTGGCTGACTCTCAAAACCAGAATACCTTTATTGTACATTTAGGGAAGAACTTTATTTTCCTCGCTATGAAGCTGTGCCTATGATCTAATTTCAAGGTGGCAGAGATATAAAGGACACTAACTTACCAACTTTGTCAACTCTCTCAAGTAAAAGTCAAGGACCGTGTCGCCTATATAAAAGTTAGGGATAAGTGGACCTTGGACCCACAGGAGAGGAGCATTGGCTAGAGCCTGAAAGTCTCGAACACTCTAATTCGCCTGCATCCTACTATCTGGTAGAAACATTATAGTAAGAGGATTCAATCTGTGGTGTTGGCCAATCATGGTGTTTTTAGGGTAAAGCAAGTAACCTCTTATTTGCTAAAAGAACCCCCCTCCCAATCTGTGGATACCATGTAATATCCTCATATGGGGAAGTACCTCACAAAGTGATGCTTGTTTTCCTCAAAAATCACCCACATAACACCAGCTTGATAACAGAATAGGCAAGTACAATGTGGAAGTACAAGTGCTGATCTGGAAAACAATAGTCTACATGTCAGAGAAACTGTAAGACTTGGCTAATATATACTGGTAAAATTTGGAAATACGCAGATTTATATATTTCAATGAATTAGGCTAAAGTGATGTAAGGCTGGAAGAGGAAAGTTGATAGACATGAAGTTATGTTCTTTATGACAAGATTCAATGTTTTGGCAAGTACTATTAAAGTTGGCCTTAATAATCTTTCAGTGTTAGAAAAAAAATTTATTGGAAGGCCGTTAAGGTGAGATGGCTCCTGGGTGTTACATTTCTACATAAGCAAACTGAAGCAAAATGTAAAGAGTAAGATGAACCTAGAGATTTTACCAATTAGAAACCAAAAACACTACTTTAACTAGGGCCTTTCTCCTGTAACCAATTGAATATATTTTCTTTTTATAAGGTGTTCCGCAAACACCTTATAAAAGTTTCTGTCTCACATGAACCCTTCACCCAAATGGAGCACTGAACTGGTATTGCCTAATTCATGAGTCACTGTCCGCTAAAATAAACTTTAAAAATGTTAATGTGACTAAGTTTATTTTTTAATACCACAATAGTTCCTTGACATCTAGATTCAGAGATGATGTACATAATGAAGCAAGTATCCTGGAACTTCCTTGGCATAGTCTTTTAAAGGTTGATGGAAATACTGGGGTGGATTTTTACTACCTGGCTATTTTTCTTAGAGGTGAGCCCAGAGGACACTTTCTATTTTAGGGCAATAAGAAATCCTGCATTGAGATTTGGATTGATTTTACGGGATGCTTCCATAGAAATGGATGCCAAATATCAATGTGAATAATATGGATTATTTGATCACAGAATAGTAGGAGAAATGTGGCAGAATTTTATTTTCAAAAGCATACTGGACATTATTACAATAGGCAGAAAAGCTGGATTGGCTTTCAAGATTCCATTATTTGCAGGAATTTTTGGTGTTGGCTAATCGTGGTGTTTTTAGGGTAAAGCAAGTAACCAGTCACCTAGGATATTTCTTAACTTTCTAAAATAAGAAAATATCAACATCAGTGAGAAAAGGCCTGATAGCAGCTTCCATTGTGCAGAATCATTGCCCCTCATCTAAATTTGCAAATCTAAACTAGTTTGCTAATCCAGAGTACATTGAAGAGGAAGCTGGGACACCTTAAGGAAAGATCTTGAAATGTCACCACACATATATGCAGTAAGTATTTTAAACTGTTCCCAAGGAGACACATAGTCCTTCAGATGGATAAATATGGACTTACAAGGAGAATTACATAGAACTGACACATTTTCCAGAACACAAAATGCTACTGTAGTTCTCTGTCTTATTCAGAATTTACAGAAGCCAGGTGGTAAATATAGTTTTTATTTGAGTTCATTTTATAGTGCATCCAGTGCATCTGGAGACTTTACCCTATGTTTTTTTTTTCTGTTTCCAAATGTACAATTAGGATAAATATCATTAGCAGTTGATATAAAACCACATTTATTCTTGACCTGAATAGAGCCATTATAGCAAGAGGATTCAAGTGCAGGCTCCTTAAACTGTGCCTCTGCCCCTATATAATCAAGCGAGCAAATAAGGAAAAATACCGACATCGTGAAAATAAATTCTGGGATTAACACCCTCAGTCAAAGTGTTTGAAAATTCAGGGATAATAGTGCTATCCACATTTCTATTCAGTTCAGCTCCCCAGCTTCTGCAAAAAAAAAATGTGGATCATAGTAGGAAATGGTGGACTACCATAAAATTATCAGGTGGTGATATCAGTCACAATTGCTTTACTAGATATACGGTTGACCTTTGAACAACACAGGTTTGAACTGTGCTTCACTTAAATATGGATTTTTGCAGTAAATATATTGGAAAAGTTTTGGAAATGTGAGGTAGCTCAAAAAATCTTGCAGATAATCCATGTAGCATAGACATATTGAAACAATTAAGAAAAAGTTATGTCATAAATATGTAAAATACATGTAGGTAATATTTTATCATTTACTATCATAAAACTTACATATCTTATTATAAAAAGTTACAGTTTATCAAAACTTTTGCACCCAAATGCCCTACATGGTGTCATTCACAACTGAGATAAATGTAAACAAATGTAAAGATACAGTATTAAATCATGACTGAATGTACCTACTGTAGTACATACTGTACTATAATCATTTTGTAGCCACATCCTGTAGCTATTGTGATGAGCTCCTGTTGGGAATATCTGCTTAAAACACCATGTGACTCTTAAGTATCTCCCTGTTAGCAGTTCATCTTTCCAGTAAATTGCTCATCATAGTAAAAAGTGATTTCTTGAGATTCTCAAGTATTTTTATCGTGTTTGGTGCAATACAGTAAAGCTTGCCGAACACGGTGGGACCTATATGAAATGCCACTAGGTGATGCTGGAAGTGCTCCCAAGAAACAGAGAAAAGTCATGACATTACAAGAAAAAATTGAATTGCTTGATATGTATCATAGATTGATGTGTCTGCAGCTGTAGTTGCCTGCCATTTCAGACAGATGATTCATCTTGAAACAGACAATGTAAACATATGGTATTGATAAATATAGTACAGTACTGTAAGTGTATTTTCACTTTCTTATAATTTTTATAATATCACTTTGTTTAGCTTAAAACGGTAGTTGATTTTCTGTTCATGTGTGAATTTACTTAGGATAATGGCCTCAGGCTGCATCCATGTTGTTGCAAAGGACATGATTTCATTCATTTTTATGTCTATGTAGTATTCTGTGGTGTGTATGTACCACATTTCTTTTATCCAGTCTGCTGTCAGTGGGCACCTAGGTTGATTCCATGTCATTACTATTGTGAATAGTGCTGAAGTGAACATATGAGTGCATGTGCCTTTTTGGCAGAATGATTTATTTTTCTTTGGGTATATAACAGTAATGGGATTGCTGGGTCAAATGATAGTTTTTTATTAAGTTCTTTTAGAAATCTCCAAACTGTTTTTCACAGTGGCTGAACTAATTTGTATTCCCACCACTGGTTTGTAAGCTTTCCCTTTTCTCTGCAGCCTTGACTTTTTAATAATAGCCATTCTGACTGGTGTGAAATTAGCATCTCATTGTGGTTTTGATTTTCATTTCCCTGATGATTAGTATGATGAACATTTTTTCATGTTTGCTGGCTGTTTATATGCCTTCTTTTGATAAGTGTCTGTTCATGTCCTTTGCCCATTTTTAATGGGGTTGTTTTTGCTTATTGATTTGTTTAAATTCCCTGTAGATTGTTTATCAGACCTTTATTGGATGCATCATTTGTGATTATTTCTCCCATTCTGTAGGTTGTCTGTTTACCCTATTGATGGTTTCTTTAGCTGTGCCAAAGCTCCTTAGTTTAATGAGATCTCACTTGTCAATTTTTTATTTTTGTTACATTTGCTTTTTGGGACTTAGCCAAAAATTTCTTGCAAAGGCTGATGTTGAGAAGGTTATATGCTATGTTTCTTTCTAGAATTTTTATAGTTTGATGTCTTACTTTTAAATCCTAAACCATCTTGAGTTAACATTTCTATATAGTGAAAGACAGGGGTCGAGCTTCAGTCTTCTGCACATGACTAGCCAGTTGTCCTAGCACCGTTTATTGAATAGGGAGTCCTTTTCTCATTGCTTATTTTCATCTGCTTTGTCAAAGATCAGATAGCTGTAGGTGTGCAGCTTTATTTCTGTGTTCTTTAATGTATTCTATTGGTCTATGTTTTTGTTTTTGTACCAGTACCATGCTGTTTTGGTTACTATAGCCTTGTAGTATACTTTAAAGACAGGTAGTGTGATGCCTCCACTGTTGTTCTTTTTGCTTAGGATTGCTTTGGTTATTTGGGCTCCTTTTTGGTTCCATATGAATTTTAGGAAAGTTTTTTTTCTAATTCTGTTTAGAATGATATAAGTATTTTGACAGGAATAGTGTTGAATATGCAAATTGCTTTGGGCAGTATGGCCATTTCAACAATATTGATTCTTTCAATCCATGAGCTTACAGTTTTTCACTTTATTTATGCCATCTCCGATTTCTTTTCGCAGTGCTTTGTAGTTTCCTTTGTCAATATTTTTCACATCCATGATTTGCTATATTCCTAGATATTTTATTTCACAAGGCTATTAAAAATGAGATTGTGTTATTCATTTGACTCTTAGCTTGAACATTATTGGTGTATAGAAGTGCAACTGGATTGTGTACATTTATTTTGTATCCTGATACTTTACTGAAGTCATTTGTCAATTCTAGAAGCCTTTTAGAAGAGTCTTTGGGGTTTTCTATGTACAGAATCATATTGCCAGTGAAGAGAGATAGTTTGACTTCTTCTTTTCCTGTTTTATTTATTTTTCTTAGCTGATTGATCTGGCTAGGACTTCCAGAACTATGTTGAATAGGACTGGTCAGAGTGGCAAACTTTGTTTTGTTCTAGTTCTTAAGGGGAATGGTTCGAACTTTTGCCCTTTCAGTATGATATTGGCTGTAGGTTTATCATAATGGCTTTTATTATTTTGATGTATGTTCCTTCAATGCCTAGTCTACTGAGGGTTTTTATCTTGAAAGGACGATGGATTTTAATGAAGGGTTTTTCTTCATCTATTTAGATGATCATCTGGTTTTTGCTTTTAATTCTGTTTATGTGATGAATCACAACTTACTGATTTGTGCATATTGAACCAGTCTTGCATCACAGGAATAAAGCCTACTTGATCATGATGTATTAACTTTTTGATATGATGACAAATTCATTTGGCTGAGGATTTTTGCATCTATGTTTGTCAGAGATATTGGCCTTAAGCTGTCTTTTCTCATTGTGTCTGTGCCAGATTTTGGTATCAGGCTGATGCTGGCTTGGCAGAATGAGTTAAGAAGAAGCACCTCTTCCTCAATTTTTTTCAATAGTTTTGGTAAGATTGGTACCACTTCTTCTTTATACTTCTGGTAGAGTTCAGCTGTGAATCGATTTGCTCATGGCTTTTTTTGGTTATTAGGTTTTTATTACTAATTCGTTTTCAGAGCTTGTTATTCATCTATCTGTTCAGGTTTTTACTTTCTTCCTGGTTCAATCTGGGAGGTTGTGGGTTTTCAGGAATTTATCCATTTCCTATAGACTTTCTAATTTGTGTACATAGTGTTCATAATAGTCTCTGAGGACCTTTTATATTTTTGTGAGATTAGTTGTAATGTCATTTTCGTCATTTGTGAATGTTGTTCTTTGTATCTTCTTTTTATTCCTTTGTTAATCTAGCCAGTGTTCTGTTTATCTTGTTTATTCTTTCAAATAAGCAGTTCTTGGTTTCATTCATTGTTGGTAGGGATCTTCATGTCTCAATAACATTCAGTTTTCAAATTTTAGTTATTTCTTTCCTTGGGTTTGGGTTGATTTGTTCCTTTTTTCTTTGTTCCTCTAGGTGCAATGTTCAACTGCTAATTTGTGATGTAACTTCTTGATGAAAGTGTGTAGGGCTATAAATATTCTTCTTAATGCTGCTTTAGCTGCATCCCAATGATTTTTGTTAAATTGTGTCCTTTCATTCACTTCAAAGAATCTGCCTTAATAGGTCCCTGTTCACCCAGGTGTTATTCAGGAACAAGTTGTTTAATTTTCATGTTTTGTGTAATTTTGAGAGATTTTCTGGATATCAATTTCTGTTTTTACACAGTATGGTCCAAGATCGTGCTTGGTATGATTTTGATTTTTTTATTTTATTGATACTTGCTTCATTACTGAGCATGTGGTCCATCATAGAATATGTTTGTATATTCTGTGAATATACAATGAATGAATATGCATGAATATGATGCATATTCTATGCATCGTAGAATCTATCTATTTGCAAATGAGAAGAATGTGTATTCAGTTTGGTGGGGTATTCTGTAGATGCCTATTAGGTCGAGTTAGTCAAGTGTGGAGTTTAAGTGCAGAGTTTCTTTGTTAGTTTTCTCCCTCAATGATCTGTCTAATGCTGTTAATGGGATACTCAAGTTTCCCACATTATTGTGTGGCCATCTAATTCTTTTGTAGGTCAAGGTGGATTTGTTTAGTGAATGTGGGTGCTCCAGTGTCAGATGTGCATATATTTAGCTGAGTCTTTGTGTTGAATTGAAGAGTTTATCAATGTAATGACCTTATTTGTCCTTTTACATTTTTGAAAGTCTGTTTTATCTAATAGAAAAATAGAGCCTTCTACTCTTTTTTTGTTTGCCATTTGCCTAATAGATCTTTATTCATTCATTTACTTTGAACCTGTGGGTGCTTGTACATGTCTAATGGTCTCCTGAAAATAGTAGACAATTGTGTCTTGTGTTGTTATTCAGCTTGCCACTGTATGCCTTTTAAGTTATGTGTTTAGGTCATTTATGTTTAGGGTTCTTATTGATATGTATGGTTTTGATCCTATTGTCTTGTTTTTGCCTGGTTGTTTTGTGGACATCATTGTGTAGTTGCTTTGCAGTGTCTGTGGGATATTTTAAAGTGGGTTTTTGTGGTTAGTAGGTATTGTTCTTTGGTTTTCTCGGTTAACATTCCCTTAAGGACCTCTTGTAAGGCTGGTCGAGTTGTAATGCATTCCCTCAGTGTTTGTTTGTCTGAGAAGGATTTTATTTCTCCTTCATTTATTAAGTTTAGTTTGGTGGGATATGAAGTAATTTGTTGAGGATTCATTATTTTAAGGGTACTGAAAGTAGGACCCAATTTTTCTGGGCTTGTCAAACTTCTGCTGAGAGGTCTGCTACTAGCCTGATATGGTTCCCATGTTTGTGACATGCCCTTCTGTCTAGCTGCCTTTTATGACTTTTGGTTTCAGTTGGACTTTGGTGAATCTGATGACTATGTGCCTTGGAGATGTTTGTTTTATATAGTAGCTCACTGGGGTTTCTAGTATTTCTTGAATTTTCATGTCAACCTCTCTAGCAAAATTGGGGAAATTTTTATGGGCTATATCCTTAAATGTGTTTACCACATTGCTTACACTGTCTTTCTCAGGGATGCCAATAAGTCATAAGTTTGATTGCTTAAAAAATCCCATATTTTTTGGAGGTTTTGTTCATTATTTTTCTCTTTTTGTATTACTGAGTTGATTCAAAATCTGGTCTTCAGACTTTGAGATTCTTTCCTCAGCTTGGTCTGTTCTTCTGTTAATACTTCTGGAAACTGAAATGCCAGGGGTTAGGTCTAGGTCCTGCTGCTCATCACACACAAAACCAATTACTGAGATAAGTATTGTCAAAGACGAAGACTTTAATCAGGTGATGCAGCCGAGGGTGATCAATCTCAAATCTGTCTCCCCAAATGAGTAAAATTAGGGTTTTACACAGCAGGGAAGAAATGTGACTGTGTGTGGGAAAACAAGAATTAGAGAGGGGTAAGGAAGAGGATTTAGTCAACAGTAAGCATATGGGTGGTTAGGTAGTCTTGACAGGTGAGAGATCTGGCATCTCATTGTCCAGATGCAGTGATACAGAAAGTTTCATTTCTTTGATTCTGTCTGAGAGGCCTGATGGTTTGTTTCCTGAGGAAAAAAACTCAGGTAAGACAAATGGGATTTTCTTAAATTTTAAGACTAGGAGAGTCCATTTCTACGTTTATTCAAAAGAAAGTAGAAAAATCAGTTCTAAAGGACAATTCAGCCACAATTAGTGCCCCTCTTTCTGTTTATTAATTCCTCAATCATAGAGAATCTGATCATCTTTCTGACTGCTTCATGTTGAGGAGGTGTGTTGTTGGCAGCTCTATATCATGGGTGACTCTGTGGCCATCCAGGAATCAAAGGCTAATCTAATATCATAGTTTTCTTCTGAAATACAATATTTCTCTCTCCAGTTCCCAACTTTTACCAAAAGCAAGTCATAGCAAGACAAATCTATCTGCAAAATACGCTCATTCCCACTATATTTGGCCTGATTACCCACACAAAGTTTAGCAAGAATCATTGTCCATATAGGCCCTCCTATATTGGCTTTGCTGGAACCTCTCACAAGGAATCTGTCTTTACCTTCAAAGGCCTCTCAAGCCCAGCCAAGGATTCACCTACGACTGCAGATACCTGCATGAAATGGGTAAACCCTTCTCTTCTTGAGGACCTCAAAAAAGTTGAGGTTCCTGGGCCTGTAAGAAAGTGACACTCTATCACCACAGGCCAGGCATCCTGAAGAGGAACTACAGGAACTTCATAGACAAGGCACAAGACCAGTTTTTATCAAGAGCTCTGCTGGGCTCTATAAAGTCAATCTCAAATTCTCAAAGCAGTCTGCTTATATGTGAAAACATGCCATTTTAGTCAAACCTCTGAGAAAATAACCAGCTACTCTAACTGTATCCCATTATAAAAGAAAACTGATTCTTATTGAACTTATGTAAACAATCACATTGCCATGAATTAAGAATACTCACAAAGAGTTTCTGAATTAAGTGGAAACCAGGCAGATACACACACACACACACACACACACACACACACACACACACAGAGGTGTGTCTCATATTCTGTTTTCAAGAGTATGCTCTACTTACTTGTTAAAGGCTATACATAGCTCAAAAGAAAATGTTCTCTATACCCTAAGAAACAGCAAAAAGAATCAGTAATGTTTCCAACATAAAATACCATAACAATTATTTCTGTCTTTGTATTAGTTCAGTCAATGTAGTCAACTCCTGCTCTGCTTCAATGGTATTCATTCACAAATATTGCTAACCCAATTAGCCCAATTTAATTAGATTTCTGGAAGTTTTCTTTCTCAGTCAATGGCACAATTTTCAAATTATAAGAAAACTGCATTCAAGAGTTCTTTTCCTGAACTTTCTCAAAGAAGCAGTCCCTAGACTATAGCAGATTATAGGGTATTTTTTTAGAAGAATCTAAGAAAACAACCATTGTGGATGATAAAAGTCTTAGGATACCCATAGTTAAAGACACAGTTGAAAAAGAAATTTGGTTATTTCTCTGGCGTAGAACAATTTAACATAATAATCACAACAATTACTGACAACACATTTTAAGACAAAGGAGAATTTCAAGATCTCATACAGTCTTAGAATACATAGTAATAACACATTTATATAAATATAATCTACAGAAAGTTAAACACCATCTTACATTTGACAATTGTTCTTGTATAATTTCAACATACCAAATAAGCCTAATATGTCTCTTTTGGACTTCAGAAACTAACCAAGTTAAAAAAAGCTTAGTTTGAGGTGAAAAAGACCAAACTTAGAACTTGAAATTTGCTTTTGGAAAGTTTGTCAAATATCAAAGTTTTAAGACAGTTGAGATCACAAAATAGGATCACAGGTCATTATAAAGTAGTGATTCATTTAGTCAAAACAATAATTGGGAGACTTCAAAAAAAGCAAAAAGCTTTACTCTTTGATACAGGAAACTCAGTTTCCCAGAAATAAGAAAACATGACATCAACTAAATCTGTCTCTCCCCTCCTTTTTTCCCTTGCAGTTTACTCAAAGGGTAAACAAAAATCTTTTATTTTCTCTTATTAATATTACACAAAATTTTTCTCAAAATAGAAAACCAAATTTTACCTTTGCATTTTGTATTGTTAATGTTAAAAGTAATTTTATGAAAACTTATAAATAAATCTAATTTAAATCATATTGATCATAGGGTAACATTTCCATAAACCTTTTATAGCCTTTTATGAGTTTATAGTAAAGAACAATTCAGTGCTCAAAAAATATCCTGTTATTCCAACACATGGACCCAGATTCTAGCCTTACATCATTATGCTTTTGATATTGTTTGATTTATAGAAAAACTGAATTAATTTTGTCCCCCAGAATCAATTCTGATTCTGATTGTAATCTCACATGCCCATCTCTTCTGCAATAATCTCTGGGCATAGAATAATTTAATAGTTTCATTTTCTTGCCCTATGTCTCACAAAAGCAGTTTGTTTGTTTTTTTCTTTCGAGCTTTTAGATTAAAGGGATACATGTGCAGATTTGTTACTTGGGTAAATTGCATGTCATGGGGGTTTGGTGTACAGATAATTTTGTCACCTATGTAATTTGCATAAGACTTGATAAGTAGTTTTTCAACGCTTGCCCTTCTGTCACCCTCTACCCTCAAGTATGCCCCAGTGTCTATTGTTCTCTTCATTGTGACCATGTGTACTCAATATTTTGTTCCCCTTTATAAGTGACCATATGGCATTTTGTTTTCTGTTCCTGTGGTAATTGGCTTAGGGCGATGGCCTTCACCGCTATTTGTGTTGCTGCAAAGTACATGATTTTATTATTTTTTATAGCTGCCTAGTATTCCATGGTGTATATGTACCACATTTTCTTCATCAAGTCCTCTATTAACAGACATCTAGGTTGATTCCATGTATTTTCTAGTGTGAATACTGCTGCAATGAACATATGTATGTATAGTCTTTATGGTAGAACAATTTATATTCCTTTGGATATATACCCAGTAATGGGATTGCTGGGTCAAATGGTAGCTTTATTTTAAGTTAAGAAATCTCCAGACTGCTTCCCACAGTGGCTGAACTCATTTACATTTCCACCAGCAGCATATAGCTTTCCCTTTAATCAACAACCTGGCAAACTTCAGTTATTTTTTTTACTTTTTAATAATAGCCACTCTTACTGGTATGAGATATCTCAATCATGATTAAATTTTTATTCTCTAACAATTAATGATATTGAGCATTTTTTATAAACTTAATGTTCATGTCATTTGCCCATTTTGGAAGGGTTGCTTGTTTTGTTGCTTGTTGGTTCGTTTCAGTTCCTTGTTGATTCTGGATATTAGACCTTTATCTGATGCAAAATATACAAATATTTTCTCCCAGTCTATAGGTTCTCCATTTACTCTGTCGATAGTTCCTTTTCCTGTGCAGAAGCTCCTTAGTTTACTTAGGTCCCACTTGTCTATTTGTTTTTGTTACAACTGCTTTTGGAGTCTTTGTCATGAAGTCTTTGCTGTGGATTATGTCAAAATGGTATATTCTAGGTTTTCTTCTAAGGTTTTCATAGTTTTAGGTTTTGCATGTATGTTTTTAATCCATCTTGAGTTGATTTTTATGTATGGTGAAAGGAGGGAATCCAGCTTTAGTCTTCCATATATGGCTAGGAAGTTAGCACCATTTTTTGAATAGAGAGCCCTTTTCTCATTACTTTTCAGTGCCAGATTTTAAAAAAATCAGGTGGTTGTAGTGTGGCCTTATCTTCTTATCTTCTGACCTGCTTCATTGGTCTCTGTGTCAGTTCTTGTACCAATACCATGCTGTTTTATTTACTGGAGCCTTATAGTATAGTTTAAAGTTAGGTAGTGTGATGCCTCCAGCTTTGTTCTTTTTGCTTAGGATTGCATTGGCTATTCAGGCTCTCGTTTGGTTCTAAATGAATTTTAGAAACTTTTTTTTTTCTAATGCTGTAAACAATGTAATTGGTACATTGATAGGCATAGCATACAATCTGTAAAATGCCTTGGGCAGTGTGGTCTTTTTAACCATCTTAATTTTTCCTATCCATGAGCACAGAATTTTTTTTATTTGATTATTCCATCTCTGATTTCTTTGAGCAGTGTTTTGTTAATCTTGTAGAGATCTTTCTCCTGGCTGGTTAGCTGTATCCCTAGGTATTTTATTCTTCATGTGGCTACTGTGAATGGGACTGGATTCTTGATTTGGCTCTTGCCTTGTAGGTTATTGATGTATAGGAATGCTACTAATTTTTGCACCATGATTTCATATCCTGAAACATTGCTGAAGTTGTTGATCAGATCAGTGAGCTTTTGGGCAGAGATGATGATATTTTCCAGGTATAGAATCATATCATCTGCAAGCAGGGATAGTTTGACGTCCTCTCTTTCTATTTGGATGTGTTTTGTTTCTTTCACTTGCCTGATTGCTCTGGCTAGGACTTCCAGTACTATGATGAATAGGAGTGGTGAGAGTGGGCATCCTTGTCTTGTTCCAATTCTCAAGGGGAATGCCTCCAGATTCTTCCCATGCAGCTGATGTTGGCTTTGATTTTGTCATAAATGGCTCTCATTATTTTGAGGTATATTCATTTGATGCCTAGTCTGTTGAGGGTTTTTAACATGAGAAGATGATGAATCTTATTGATAGCCTTTTACATGTCTATTGAGATGATTATGTGGTTTTTGTTTTTAGTTCTGTTTATGTGATGAAACACATTTATGGATTAGTATATGTTGAACCAACTTTACATGCCAGGGATAAAGCCTACTTCGTCATGGTGGATTAGCTTTTTGATGTCCTGCTAAACTTGGTTTACTGATATTTTGTTGAGGATTTTTGCATCTATGTTCAGGGGTTATTGCGTTCTAAGTAAACACTGTCATTTCTGATTGTGTTTATTGAAATCTTCTCTCCTTTTTTCTTTATTAGTCTAGCCAGTGGTCTATCTATGTTATTAATTATTTTGGTGAATCAGTTCCTGGATTCATTGATTTTTGTATGCTTTTTTGTGTGTCAATTTCCTTCAGTTCTGATTTTGGTTATTTTTTATCTTCTGCTTGCTTTCAGGTTAGTTTGCTCTTGTTTCTCTAACTCCTCTAATTGTGATGTTAGGTCATTAATTTGAGAACTTTCTAACTTTTTGATGTGGTGTTTAGTGCTGTAACTTCCCTCTTGACATTGCTTTAGCTGTGTCCCACAGATTCTGGTATGTTGTATCTTTGTTCTCAATAGTTTCAATTCTTGCTTTCTGCTGTAATTTCATTATTTAATCAAAAGTCCATCAGGAGCAAGTCTTAAAATTTCTGTGTAACTCTGTAGTTTTGTGCCATTTTTTAGTAGTGATTTCGATTTTTATTGTGCTGTTTCCCAAGAGTGTGGTTGCTATGATTTTGGGTTTTTTGAATATTTTGAGGATTGCTCTATGTCTGATTGTGTGGTTCGTTTTAGCACACGTGGCATGTGCAGGTGAGAAGAATGTATATTCTGTTATTTTGGGGTGTACTGTTCTGTAGATGTACTACAGATCCATTTGGTCAAAAGTTGAGTTCAGGTTCCTGAATATCTTTGTGAGTTTTCTGCCTCAATGATTTGTCTAATATTAATACTGTCTATGGAATGTTGAAGTCTCCTACTATTATGTGGTTATCTATGTCTCTTCATAAGTCTCTAAGAACTTACTTTATTAATCTCAGTGCTCCTATGTAGGGTGCATATATATTTAGGATAGTTACCTCTTGTTGAATTGAGCACTTTGCCATTATGTAATGCCTTCCTTTGTTTCTGTTTGTTCGTTTGTTTGTTTTTGTCTCGCTCTGTCACCCAGGCTGGAGTGCAGTGGCGCTATCTCAGCTCACTGCAAGCTCCACCTCCCAGGTTCATGCCATTCTCCTGCCTCAGCATCCTGAGTAGCCAGGACTACAGGCACCCGCCACCACGCCCAGCTAATTTTTTTTTTTTTGTATTTTTAGTAGAGATAGGGTTTCACCATGTTAGCCAGGATGGTCTCGACCTCCTGACCTCGTGATCTGCCTGTCTCGGCCTCCCAAAGTGCTGGGATTACAGGAATGAGCCACTGCACCCAGCTATGTGTGTGTTTTTTAATTTTTGTTGATTTAAAGTCTGTTTTGTCTGAAATTAGAATTGAAACCCCTGCTTTTTTCTGTTTTCTATTTGCTTGGTAGATTTTTCTCCACCCCTTTACTGTGAGCATATGGGTGTCATTGCATGTGAAATGGGTCTCTTGAAAAACAGTATACTATTAAATCTTGCTTCTTTATTCAACTCGCCACTCTGTGTCTTTTGATTGGGGCATTTAGTCCATTTACACTTCGGGTTAGTATTTCCATGTGTGGATTTGATCCTGTCATTGTGTTGTTAGCTCATTATTATGCAGACATGTTGACATGTTTGTGTGGTTGCCTTATAGTGTCAATGGTCTATGTACTTGTTTGTTATTGGTATATAGAAATGCTACTGGTTTTTTATGTTTTTTTTATCTAGACTTTATTGAATTTGTTTATCAATTTCAAGAGTTTTTGATTGGAGTCTTCAGGTTTTTCCATATATAAGATTATATCATCTTCAGAGAGGGACAGTTTGACTTACTCTTTTCTAATTAGGATGCCTGTCATTTCTTTCTCTTGTCTGATTGTTCTGGCTGGGATTTCTAATACTATGCTGAATAAGATTGGTGAAAGTGGACATCTTTGTCTTGCTCCAGTTATTGGAGGAAAGGTATTCAATTTTTCTGCTGTTCAGCATGTTGTTAAGTATGAGTTTGTCAAATGTGGCCTTTACTATGTTGAGTTATGTTCCTTCTATGCATAATTTGTTGAGAGGTTTTTTTTTTATCTTGAAGAGATGTGGAATTTTATAAAATGCTTTTTCTGTGTTTCCTGACATGAACTTTTTTTTTTCTTGATTCAGTTAATCTGATGTTTTGCATTTATTGATTTGTGTATGTTGAAGCATCTTTGCATCACTGGGATAAATCTAACTTGATTTTGGTGCATTATCTTTTAGATGTGATGTTGAATTTGATTTGCTAGTATTTTGTTGAATATTTCTACCTCTATGTCCATCATGGATATTGGCCTGTAGTTTTCTTGTTGTTGTGTCCCTGTCTAGTTTTGGTGTCAGGCTAATGATGGCCATATAAAATGAATTAGAAAGAATTTCATCCTCATTAATCTTTTTGAGTCATTTGAGAAAAATTGGTGATAGTTCTTTTTTATAAGCTTGTTAGAATTAAGTAGTAAAATCATCTGGCCCTCAGCTTTTCTTTATTGGAAGACTTTTATTACTAATTCAATCTTGTTACTCCTTATTGGTTTGTTCAAGATTTCTATTTTTTCCTCAGTCAGTCTTGGAAGATTTCATGCGTCCAGGAATTTATCTATTTCCCCTAGGTTTTCCAACTTTTAAGTACATAGTTGTTAATAATAGTTTCTGATGATCCTTTGCGTCTTGGCTTCCCCAGCTGTAGTATCTCCTTTTCCATTTCTGATTTTACTCATTTGGGCCCTCTCTTGTTTTTCTTGGTTAGTCTAGCTTAGCAGTTTTATCAATTTTGTTATCGAATCATAAAAGTCAGCTTTTTGCTTTGTTGATCATTTGTATTTTTTTAGTCTCTATTTCATTTACTTCTCTGATATTTATTATTTTTTTCTTTCTACTAATTTTGGCTTTGGTTTTCTCTTGCTTTTATACTTCCTTGAGTTGCATATTTAGGTTTTATTTGAAGTATTTCTACTTTTTTGATGTTGGTGTTTATTGCTATAAACAGCCCTCTCTGCACTAATTTTCTTCTATCTCATTGGTTTTGGTTCTCATGTCTCAAGAAATTTTTTAATTTCCTTCTTAATTTCTTCATTGACTCATAGTCATTTAGGAGCACGTTGTTTAAATTTCAGGTTACTTGTATAGTTTCTGAAGTCCTCTTGTTATTTATTTCTAGATTTATTCCACTGTGGGCTGAGAAGAGACTTGATATAATTTAGAATTTTTAAAATGTGTTGAGACTTTTTTTGTGGCCTAATGTATAGTTTATTTCCATGTGCTGATGACAAGTACTCTGCAGCTTTTAGATTAAATGTTCTGCAAATGTCTGCTAGGTCCATTTGGTCTGTACTTCAGGCTGTGTTTGTTGTTGTTTTGGTGATTTTCAGCCTAATCTGTTTAATGCTGAAAGTGGGCTGTTGAGGCCTTCAACTATTATTGTATTGGGGTCTATTATTTCTTTTTAGCTCTAATAGTATTTTATTTATGTATCTGGGTGTTCCAGTGTTGGGTACACATATATTTACCTTTGTTTTATTCTCTTGCTGAACCGATCCCTTTATCTTTATGTAATGATTTTGTCTCTTTTTATTTTTTGACTTAAAGTCTATTTTTTCTTGTACAAGTATAGATATTCCTGCACACTTTTTAATCATATCTTTATTTTCAGCCTATGTGTGCCTTTATAAGTGAAACAAATTTCTTATAGGAAGCATGTAATTGGGTCTTTTAAAAATTCATTCATCTCATCTATGCCTTTTAATTGGAAAATGTATTTATTTATTTATTGTTTAAAAACATTAAATTATTATTTTTTTAACTTTTATTTTAGGTTCAGGGGTACATGTGTAGGTAAATGGCATGTCACGGGGGCTTGGCGTACAGACCGTTTTATCACCCAGATAATAAGCATATTACCTAATAGGTAGTTTTTCAATTCTCATCCTCCTCTCAGCCTCTACCCTCAAGTAGGCCCTGGTGTCTTTTGTTCCCTTCTTTTTGTCCATGTGTACTCCGTGTTTAGTTCTCACTTATAGATGATAACATGCCATGCTTTATTTTATGTTTCTCTGTTAGTTGACTTAGGATTATGTTCTCTAGATCTTAACAGAAGAATTTAAACCACTTACATTCAAGGTTGTTATTGATAAATGACCTCTTACTCTTGTCATTTTGTGATTTATTTTCTGATTGTTTGTATATCCTTTGTTCCTTTCTTCTTTTCTATTGTTTACTTTTATAATTTGATGGTTTTTTAAATAGTGATGTCTTTTGACATCTCTTCTCATTTGTGTACCTACTCTACTAGTGAGTTGTATACTTTCATGTGTTTTCCTGATGGTAGATATCATCCTTTTACTTCCAGATATTCGAATCTCTTTGCATTTCTTGGACGGCTGATCTACTGGTGATGAATTCTCTCAGTTTTTGCTTGTATGGGAAATACTTTATTTCTCCTTCATTACTGAAGTTAGTTTTTCTGAGTGAAGTAGTTTTGAATGGCAGTTTTTTTTTTTCTCTCAGTACTTTGAAGACTTCAACACATTGTTTCATGGCCTATAAGGTTTCTGTAGAAATGCACTGTTAGTCTAATGGGGATTCCCTTATATGTGACTTAACATTTTTCACTTGATGTGTTTAAAGCTCTCTTTGTCTTTGGCTATAATGTGCCTTAGAGTAAACCCTTTTTGTTTGAATATTTTTGGGTTGACTGTATTTAATTATCTTGTATCTGTAAGTCTGTATCTCTTGCAAGACTTGGGAAGTTTTCAGCTATTATTTCATGACATATGTTTTTTATGCCTTCCCCTATCTCTTCATATATCTATAAATCCCAAAATTTGAATATTTTGAATATTTTGTCATCTTATGGTATCCTATTTGTCATGTAGGCTTTCTTTATTGCCTCTTATTCTTTGTTTTTGCCTGACTGGGTTGTTTTAAAAGGTCTGTCTTCACCTTTATAAATTCTTTCTTCTGCTTTATCTAGTTTATTGTTAAAGCTCTCAATTATATTTTTTATTTCATTCATTGAAATTTTCAGCTTCAGGACTTCTGTTTGCCTTTTTGTATGATATCAGTCTCTTCGTTGAACTTCTCATTCATATTGTGTATTGCTTTTCTGATTTTCTTGATTTTTTGTGTGTGTTCTCTTGTATCTCACTGAACTTCCTTTATAAGATTGTTTTGAATGATTTCCAGTCATTTTTATAGATTTCTTTTTCTTTAAAATCTGTTACTGGAGAATTATTGTTTTCGTTTGGTGGTGTCATGTTTTCTTGTTTTTTCATGTTTCTTGTGTCCTTACCTTGATAATCTGTGCATCTGATTTAACAGTGTCTTCTTTGAATTTTATAGATTTGCTTTCATAGAGAAAGACTTTCCCTATAAATGTAACTATGATGAAGATTTGGTAGCATGCTTTTGCTTTGATTCCAGGTGGGTAAAGTAGTATATTCTCTTCCTTATTTCTTTGGGTATAATCAGTATCAGTGGTGTCTGTGTTCAGTTACTTGGGCTGCGGTTGTTAGTAGAGGCTCTGGTGAGGGTTTTCTGGGGATGGGGATGCCAGGTAGTTTGGTCCTCAGGCACCAGTGGTGGCCAAAATGGGCCAAGTGTGCCTGTTTTGGGGCCTCTGGGTGACATACATGAGTCCAACATGGTGGACCCAGGCAGGCTGGTCCTCGGGCCACTAGGTGGCATCCTTGGCTTCAGTGGTGGCAGTAGGTGCTCGTGGGTACCAGTGATAGTGGTGGTGGCCTGGTTGGCACAGTCCCAAGGCCCTTGGGTGGCAAGCGTGGCTGGGCATTGCTGGCACTTTCTGCTATTGAAGAGCCTCAAGATCAACTGGAGGTGAGAAATTATGTCCTTCTCAGGTTTTTCTTGACCATGCCCTCAGCCCCACACGTGTGTGGTCTTTTACATTCCCAGGAGTTTTTTAGCTTTTCTAAGTTCTAATGGACATGTTCCTATATTTTTCTTTAAATATTTTGCTTCTGCTTTTGCTTTCTTCAGCTGTTATCCATTTTCTTAGGCAGCTGTGAAGTCAAGAAATTTCCTTCAAGTTGTTTTCAACCAACATTTCCAGGGAAGAGACTTTTTCAGCTTAGGAGACCCAAGTCAGGTCAAAATAAAGACAGCCTCATAAGAGGGATCTTCCAGGATCCACCAGGTAGTTCAAATAATGTCAGTTATTTAAGAATAAGGTGTAAGAGCACTGTTCCAACCACATTATGTCCCCTCTAATGGCTATCAGGCTGCTGGTTTTACCTTTTATTCTTTCTTTCTTTCTTTCTTTCTTTCTTAAGACTGCTGAAGAGTTAGAGAGGGGGAGATGGGAATTGGGCAAGTTAAAATAATGCAAAACTTGTTATTCTGGCCTGGATTCAGCCAGCATTATGGGAACAACTGTTCCAGGTTGCTGCAAGCCTTCAGTTAATATCTACATTTCTGAAACATTTATTTTGACAATATGTATCATTTTTGTCAGCTTATTGAGAAGCAGAGAATTTTCAGTTACCTTACCCTGCCATATTTGTGGATATCACTCCACTGTTCACTTTTGAAATCCTGAAAAATTTTGATATCTACTCTGCTGCTTATCTCTGAAGCTGTTTTTAGTTATGTAATTTATTAACAACATTTTAAATAAAATGATCTGGTCTCAGTCCTTACCTCCTTTTTTCTTCTCAGACAACATTTGACAAATAAATCATTACCTTTTCTTTGAAAAAAAATTTTTTTTACTAGAGTCCTAGGATACTCCTAATGCATTTTATTCTACCTGTTGACCAATTCATTCTAAATACTTTGCTTTTTATGCCTGCCTTAAAGATCTCATTCATAATCATGGATTCAAATACCACCTATCAGTGACAACTTTATATTCATCATATTTCTTCAAGTTTCTGTATATTTGATTTTTAGTGTCTCCCCTGCATACATATGCTAGATACATCTTGCTCTGGACAACCTGATAGTACCAGATTCATTTTAGCTTCCTGCCTCCTTCTTCATTCCTCCTACTTGAGAATAGTCCTTCTCCTGACGGTGAACTTTTCAAAAACAGACCAAGCAATCCAAGTCTACACTCCCACCTACTTCACTTATTGAGATTTCATGCTTCAGGTCACTAAAAATCTGCCCTAATCACCCCAGGCCCAAGTGCCAGACAACCAGGCACAGCCCCTATGCTCCAGAGCCTGTTGAAGTTTCTCAAAACACCCAATTATAAGACCGTTTACCCTGCTTCACCTGTTTCTTTCAGTGGAAACCAAAATAAAGGCTCTTGTCCACAGTTCTTTCTTCCCTCTCTGCCTCATGACTGACACCAGTGCTTTCCCGTGTAGTGCCTCACGGTGCGACGTGTTTTCTCTCTCGGGGACTTGGAGTATCATAAACTATCTTTTTAAGGGCAGTAATTTCCTGGTCTGCTAGCCTTATCATACCTAAGTAATAATAAAGCTGATTCAAACGGATGCTCAAATGTATACTGACAACCTGGGCCTTTTATCTGAGCTTCATATTTTTATGTATGCTGATTCAATATGCCCAATTTTAATCACCATTACTACTTAAGGATATCCATAAACAAATTCCTATTTCCCTCAAATCCACTATATTTCTTTGATTTTTTTACTCAAAAAATGGCAACTCCATTCTAGTTTCATAGGCCAAATACCTTGAATTTGTTATTGATTCTTGTTTCTTTCACTCTTCTGAGCCAATCACTCAGTAAATTCTGTTGGTAGTACCTTCAAATTATATTTAGAATTCAGGCAGGGCACAGTGGCTCATGCCTGTAATCCCAGCAATTTGGGAGGCCGAAGTGGACGGATCACCTGAGGTCAGGAGTTCAAGACCATCCTGGCCAACATGGTGAAACCCCGTCTCTACTAAAAATACAAAAATTAGCTGGGCTTGGTGGTGGGCGCCTGTAATCCCAGTTACTTGGGGCTGAAGCAGGAGAATTGCTTGAACCCAAAAGGTGGAGGCTGCAGTGAGCTGAGATCATGCCACTGCACTCCAGCCTGGGCAACAGAGCGAGACTCCATCTCAAAAACAAAAAATAATAATAATAATAATTCAAGCATTTTTTACCACTTACATTTCTACTAGCCTGGTCCAAACCCCTTTTATCTCTGAGTGGCTTATTGTCTATTATTTGTTATTTCTGTTTTTGTCCTTTTTCTCTATAGTTTACACTCAACTGATAAATTCAAGTGATTCTTGTGAGACGTGTCAAACTATGTCGCTATTTTGCTGTAAAACCTCCATTGAATTCCTATCTTATTCATAATTAGAACTAAGGACCTTATATGATTTGTGTCCCCCTCCTATATCTGCCTCCTTTCTCCTACATATTTACCTGTTCTTCATTTTTCTGTAACCAGTTACCTCTTTTCTGTTTTTCAGAAATAGAAGCCTACTCTCATCTCAGAGTATTGTACTTGCTCTTTCCTCATTCTAGAGTTCTTTTTCTGGGTAAAATTACTGGAAATTATCTTAACTCTTTCAGATTTTGCTCAAAACCTCTTTCTTAGGGAATCTTTCTCTGGTTACTCTAATGAAAATTGCAGCCCACATCCCAACTCAAAACTTTCTCTGGCTTATATATTTTTTCATTAGGATTTGTAACAATCCAACTTTTATATATTTTATTTTATTTTTGTGTTGTTTTTTGTTCTCTTTTCCTACTAGAATATAAGCCTCTTTAAGGCAAGTAATTTTGTCTGTTTATTCACTGTTTTGTCTAAGCTTTGATCAGTGTCTAGCATAAAAAAGCTGAAAGTAGTTGTTGAGTAAACAAAATTTTTGAGGCCCATAATGAAATGATTAGATAGTGATAATATGTCTCACTTGAAAAATTATTTCTATAGTTTTTAAATCTAGAAACTTCGGGTCAAATCTCTGTTTTTCCAACTACTATTGAATTGGATATCACTCCACTGTTCACTTTTGAAATCCTGAAAACAAACAAGTGTTTTCACCAGTAAAAGAAGTCAAGCATTCTCAGTAATGTTCAAATAATTATAAATAATCAGCATATGGTACCTATCATACTGTGTAAGAATAGATCTTAAATTCTTGGCAGCCAGTAATAATTTTACTTTTACTGTAATTTCTACAAAGTTTTTTTTCTTGTTTAATTTATGAAGTTTCTCCATTATTGATGAGTCTGTCATCCACCGGATTAGTATAATTTAACAATTACAAAAACTTGGCAGATAATGAAAGATGTGGTTAGTTTTATAATGATTTTGTTTGCAAATGATTTTATAACAGTTATTTTTATGATGAATCATTGCCTACCATAGCCTTATTTCTTCTAGACTGTCATGCAGCTGTCGCCAGTATATCATTATGTAAAACAGGCTTTGTTCTTTACTTGCTTAAAGATACACATTTTTAATTTTTCTCCTGAGAATGCACAAGTCAATATAAGCTTATCTCATTTATATCATAGATGAATAGTTATTACAAACATCTAAACTCATGAAATTTAAGTCATGTTTCAGAGCCCTGCCAATATAATTTCCTTTCTTTCCCCTTGAATTTTAAACATTGATGTAATCCTCTTTTCACTGTCAGAAATTTAAGATCAGATAATTAAATGAGTAGTCTCTTTTCAGGTTTTAATTTAATGACATGTTTGGGAGTGCCGTTTAATTTTATCCACTGACAGGTTTAAAATGTTACTGAAAACAAGATGTGTGATAGAAATATTTTTAAATGTCACACTATGCACATTGAGTACTTGACCTCATTTGTATTTGTTTTTCATCTAACAGAGATAAAGAACATCTGGCATTTGGTATTTTGCATATAAAAATCTTACATAATCTTGTCATAGCCAAGTATATCCATCAACCTCTGATGTTCAACCATAAAATCTCTTAATATTAGGAAAAGTTTAACAATTTAAGATATTTGTACTTAATTTCAACCCCCTTTGACATGTAAATACTAGAGGAATTTTTGAATGCATATAGAAAGAAAAAAGTATTATTTAAAAATTACTGAGCTAGAGTTATAATATCCAACATATTTGTTGTTCTTTACTTTCTTAATTAGAATTATACCTTGGTGTTTCCATATCAGGTGCAGTCCATAGAACTAAGTATGCATAGAGCAATATTTAATTGAAGAACTTATTGGGCATTTTGTTGTAGTAACTTTTTATAAAATATCACTATATGTAGGGGTCATACGATACATGTTTCATATAGAGTTTCAAATAACAAATAATATTATTAAGTAAAAAAATAGCTTTTTTGGTACTCATATTACTATTTCTCATCCAAAGGCTTCAAAATTCTATTGCTTTTTTTTCCCTTTGAAGTAGCAGCCCGGATTACTAAAGGAGACCCCGGGAAATGTACTCACAATTAATTGATGAGAGAGACATTTTTCTCATAAAATGTAAAAAAACTGGCTAAAAGCATGCTAATTTTCAGTGTAAATAGTCTCATTTTTTTGCAAATGTTCCACACATAAGTTCCAATATGATTACCTCACTCCCCCCTCTGTCCATCCCAACTATAACAATATGGAAATGAATAATTGAAATATATATGTAGCTTCATGAGAAGAAAAATAGTCTGAATTAAGAGACGATAACCCCCAAAGAACAGGGATATGATTTTTTAAATTATCATAGCCAAGTGAAGCTGCCTTGAATTTATTTTGGTAGAGAGGAGATTGTAAATTGCAAATTGAAAAGAGGTAACATGAATAAGGGATGGAAGGCACTAATGAACAATTAATTCCCTTTGAATTCTGTGAAAATTAGACTATAACTCTAACCTTAAGCAAACAACTATTTTGTATGCTGTTTTTGACACCACGTAACTGCATGTCTGCATAATATTGGAGATATTTATAATTAACTGCCTATATTAGAAAAGAAGAAAGATCTCATGTCAATAACCTAAGTGTCGACATTAAGAAACAAGAAAAGAATAACAAACTAAACCCAAAGCAAACAGAAATAAATAAAAATAATTACTAGAGGTGAAATCGATAAAACAGAAAAACTATAGAAAAACCCAAACAAAAAAAGCTTCTTTTAAAAGTTTACAAAAAGTGTGCATAAACAAATTATATATGAAATAGCTATATGAAATAGAAAAATTCTAAAAGGATATGAGTTGCTAAAATTGACTTAAGGAAAAATGGAAAATCTAACAAGAAATTGAATTAGTTTTTAAAAATGTTTCCACAAAGAAAATCCTAGTACCATAATTCTGTGAAACATTTAGAAAAATAATAAGACCAAATTTTCACAAGTATTTCTAGAAATGGTGAGGGGGGAATATCTTTTTTGAATAAGTGGATTTATGTGATATATGCCAGGAAGACTTAATATCCAAAAATGAATTAATGAAATACATCATAATATAAATTAAATGACAGAGCAATACATTATCATCTCAACAGACAGATGCAGAAAAATCATTTGACAAAATCCAACACCCATTAGTGATTAGAAAAAATATGCTCAACATTTTTGGAATAGAAGTGCATTTCCTCAGTGTGATAAAAGGTATTTAAATAAAACAATCCTATGAATAACTTAAAAGAGTGAATACTTCTTTAGATCAGAAACAGTGCAGAGATATCCATTTTCATCACATACATTCAATTTTGTATTAAAAGTTTTGTAGTGTAATCAGGCAAGAAAGTGAAATGCAGTTATTCAGATTCAAAAGGAATAAGTAAAACTCTATTGACTCATTAAATAATACTGAATGCAGAAAATCTGAAGAGAGTCACACACAAAAGCAACAACTACTAGAACTAATAAAGTCACACTTCATATAACTTGTGATTTCATTTTTGGATTGTTTATACTATACAGAGATACAACTAATTTTTGTACATCGGTCTTTTATTCTGCAAAGTTAACCAATGTACAAAAATTAGTTGTATCTCTGTATAGTAAAAACAATCCAAAAATGAAACTAAGACAGTTCCATTCACAGTAGCATCAAAAATAATGAAATATTTAAGGATGATTTTACAAAAGTCTCATAAAGTTTGCACATTGAAAACTTAAAAAAGAAGCTGAAACAAATGAAAGAGGGTTTAAATAAAAGAGATAATATATTTTTACAGATTGGAAAACTCCATATTATGATGAAGGTTATCATCCCCAAACTGATTGACAGATTCAATGAAAACCCTATCAAAACTGCAGCAGGTTTTTCTTCGCCATTGTTGCCACCTCCTCTCCCTTCTCATCGTCCTCCTTTTCTTCTTTCTTCTTTCTCCTTCTCCTTCTCTCCTTCCCCCTCCCCTCCCCCTCCCACTCCTCCCTTCTCCCTACTCATTTCTCCCTCCTCTTCCCTCCCCTCTCCCTTCTCCCTCCTCCCTCCCCTCTCCCTTCTCCCTCCTCCTCCCTCCCCTCTCCCTTCTCCCTCCTCCCTCCCCTCTCCCTTCTCCCTCCTCCTCCCTCCCCTCTCCCTTCTCCCTCCTCCTCCTCTTCTCCTCCTTCCTCTCCTCCTCCTTCTTCTTCTTCCGCTTCTTCTTCCTCTTTTCTTCTTCTATTTCTTCTTTCCCTTCCCCTTCCCCTTCTCCTTCTTTCTCTTTCTTCTCCCTCTTGCATAAATTGACCAACTATTTTTAAAATTTCTATGAAAATGTGAAATACTGCTAATAGCCAAGCAATCTTAACATTTAAAGAAAGTGGAAGACCTAAACTTTAAGAATTTAAATGCTACTACAAATCTGATTTATAGATTCAATGGAAACCCTATCAAAATTTCAGCAGGTTTTCTTCAACACTGTTGCCACTCAGTAATCAAGACATTGTGGTACTGGTACAAGTTATAGACATATAGACCAATGAGATAGAGTTGAAAATAAAAATAAAGAAATGAACCCTTTCATTTATGGCAGTTTGATTTTCAACAATAACACCAAGGCAATTTATTTGCAAAAGAAGAGTCCTACCAACAAATTGTTTAGAGACTATTTGATTCCACGTGCAAAAAGATGAATTTAGACTCAAAACTTCTCATCTTACATAAAAGTCAACTTGAAATGGATCATAGACCTACGTAGACATATAAGATTAAAACAAGCAATACATAGAAACTACGTAAAACAGATAAGTTAATATTTTACAGCAGACAACACATATACATCCAAGTAATTTAATATTAAAGGTCAATGAAATGAAAATAAATAATATAATGACATTCATTTAATTCCCATTTCAAGGTTAAAAATTAAAATTTTAATAGAGGAAGTGTAGAATAGAATGAGAATCAATGCGATATCATACAGAATCAATGGGTGGGAATATAATTTGATGTAACCACTCTGGAAAACAATTAGACATTGAAGTGTAAGACACAATATTCACATACAGTATGATATAATCATACTACTGCTAGGACTTGGTGATAGTTTGGATTAGTTTTCAAAATTTTCACTTTCCTGTCTCTCCAATTGTAGGCAGGATATCCTTCCTCATTCTAATGATGTCAACTTTAGGTTTGGGTAAACCTATGTTAATGGATATAACATGATTGAAGGATTGAAATGTACTTGCACAATGGAGCTTCCACTATCATCATAAAAATACAATCTGCATAACTTTCTTTCCTAGGATAATTAGACACAAGTGGTATGACACTACCCTTGTATGGTCCCCCTAAGGGGACCATAGAGAAAGAACTGTAATCCTGATAATGAAGGCCTAGTTTCCTGTGCCATTGAGTTTTGACATTCATTCATGACACAGCAGTGGGCTGATATCATAGATACCTAAGAGAAACTTAGCACATGCATACAAGGAGATAATACTTTTATAGTACCATAGGTCATAATAGCAACATCTGGAGGAAAATAATTGAAAATTCATGTGCAGGAGAAGGGATACAATAAAAGTTGATAATACTGAATTAAAAAGAAGCCCAGAATGTTATATAAAAGTTGTTGTTGTTGTTGTTGTTGTTGTTGTTGTTGTTGTTTTGAGATGTAGTCTCACTGTCACCAGACTGGAGTGTAGTGGCACAATCTCGGCTCACTGCAACCTCCGCCTCCCGCATTCAAGCGATTCTCCTGCCTCAGCCTCCCGAGTAGCTGGGACTACATTGCGTCCCACCACATCCAGCTAATTTTTTTATTTTTAATAGAGATGGGGTTTCACCATCTTGGCCAGGGTGGTTTCGATCTCCTGACCTCGTGATCCACCTGCCGCAGCCTCTCAAAGTGCTGGGATTACAGGTGTGAGCCACCACGCACGGCCACATACAAGTTTTAATGTTGCTTACCTTAATGAAAATAATCAATAATCTCATATATGTTTTTTAAAAGTTCAATAATAAAATACTAAACCAATTTATTGTTTAGAGATGAATGCATATGTTACTAAACTTTGAAAATGGGAAGAGAAATATTAAACACAAATTCTTTACAGGACAATTCCTGTGAGAGAATTGGAGTTGTAATATGAAAGAGACACAATGAAAGATGCCAGTCGTTTATGAAGTAATAGTTCTCAAATTGGGGATTAGATTAATTGTAACTTTAATAAATTAAGTGATATAAATAAAGATAATTCATGAGCCAGTGACATAGTATTTCATGTACCATGATTATGAGTTAAAAAATAAAGTAAACTGAATACAGCAGATAAATTCCTGCAATAAATGTAGGATCAGAATGATATTTTAACAGAGAAAGAAGAAAATACCCAGTGGTGCTTAAGGTCATAACGTCTTGCTGGTTAATGAATAGATTAATATTCCCTTGACAAATATATACACAATAATCAATAAATTCTGTTTAGTTTTTGTCACATTAATGCAATCAATTATGAAATGTAGGTAGAGAACTTACTGGTGTTGACATAATATTATAAGGGTCTGATTATTATGGAGTAATTTTTTTATATTAATGCACATACAAGGATTCATCTGTTTATTACAAAATGTATACAGTCTATGCATCAGAAACACACACATTTGATTACTATGTCAATAAAATGGTCATTTCATAAATACAAATATGAGTATTATATATTGAAATGGTTTGGATTTGTGTCCCCAACCAAATCTCATGTCTAATTGGAAGAGGGGCCTGGTGGGAGGTGATTTGGTCATGGATGGATTTCCCCTTCACTGTTCTCATGATAGTGAGTGAGTTCTAATGAGATCTGATCATTTAAAAGTGTGTGGCACTCCCTCAATCTCCCCATCCATTGGCTCCACCATGGTAAGACATGCTTGCTTCCCCTTCACCTTCCACCATGATTGTAAGTTTCCTGAGGCCTCACTGTCATGCTTCCTGTTAAGCCTGTGGAACTCTTTGTCAAACTTCTTTTCTTAATAAATTACCCAGTCTCAGGTAGTTCTTTGTAGCCGTGTGAGAACGACTAATACATATACATATATACATATGCATTCAAGATGTATAATGTTACTTATTCTCATTTTGTAGGCATGCATTTCTGTGTGTTTTAAAAATCCTATATTAGACAAACTGGGTGGAAAAAAAGGCTCACATTTATGATCAGTCAAAATTGTCACAGAAATTTAAAAATGAAGTGAAATTAATGTATGGAATATTGTATCTGATTTATTTTTAGAATGCATAGGTGAAAATGATGACATAAAAGTAATTCATTTTTCTTGAGTATATGAGAGATTTTAATGTAAATTACTTCCTTGGAATAATAGAACAGGGTGAAAAATTCTAAATCGAGTTTCATAAAATTTACGTTTATGACAAATCTGGATTAATCTAGTCAAATTCAGATGATCAAGTCAATAGTTCCTGTTTCCTACTCTTAGGGACAATAGTTCAAATAGATTCTGAGTCAGTTTCCTACAGATGTCAGATTTTTCCTATACATGAAACTCCCCAGTAATCTAGTCTCTGTAGAACCAGCTTACTGTCCCTGACGGTTATAACATTTAATTTGCTGATATAATTTCTTTTTTACAAAATAAATTTTATTTTGCATAGTTGAGGTTTACAACATGATGTTATGAGACACATATAGTAGTAAAATGATTAATGTAGTGAGGTAAATTATAATGTATCTCATCTCACATAGTTACCTTTATGAAAGAAGCAGCTAAAATCTTATTTAACAATAATCCTAATACAATCTGATTTTATTAACTCTAGTGTTCATGTGTGCATGAGAGTTCTAGACTTGTTCATTTTACATATTTACTACTTTGTTTTTTTTAAGAAAAATTGCGTGGGTACATAGTACGTGTATCATACCTGCTATTTTGTCTAATTTGACCTACATCTCACCATTTCCTTTCCCGTAACTCCGCCCTGGTAACCACTGTTTTATTCTCTATCTCTATGTGTGTGAACTTTTATTTTCTTTAGATTCTATATGCAAGTGAGATCATTCAATATTTTTCTCTCCGTGTCTGGCTTATTTCACTTTGTGTAATATCCTCCAGTTCCATCCGTGTAGTGGCAAATGGCAGGATCTCATTCTTTAATTAGGCTGAATAATATTCCTAATATTCCTTCTATACTTAAAACTGTTACTTTTTGTTAAGAAAGGAAATGCAACTTTGTCAAATGCCTTTTATGTGTCAATTGAGATGATCATGTGGATTTTATATTTCATTGTGTTAATGTGATGGATCACATTGATTAATTTGCCTGTCAAAACAGCTTTGCATGCCAGGGATAAATCCCATCTGGTCATGATGTACAATATTTTTAATGTTTTGTTGAATTTAGTTTGCCAATATTTTACTCAGGATTTTAAAATTGATGTTTATTAGAGATATTTGTCCTATAGTTTTCTTTTTTTTTCCAGCATCATTGTCAGACATAAACATCAAGGTGATGCTGGCCTTGTAAAAAGTGTTTGGAAATACTTCTCAGTCTGTTTTTTGGAAGAGATTGTGAAGTATTAGTAATAATTTCTCTTTGAATATTTGAAGAATTCAGCCATGAAGCTGTCTAATCCTTGGCTTTTCTTTGTTGGCAGGTTTTTAATTACTGCTTCAATCTCTTTGTTATTGGAATGTTTAAACTTTCTTTTTCTTCTTGATCCTATCATGGTAGGTTATTTTTCTCTATGATTTATCCATTTCCTCTAGGTTATTCAATTTGTTGGAATAAAATTGCTCATAACGTTCCCTTATAATCCTTTAATTTGGAAGACATCTGTTGTAATGTCTCCACTTTCATTTCTGATTTTATTTACTAAGTCTTCTTTTTTTCTAACTAGGGATTTGTCACTTTGCTTATTTTTTTCAAAGAGCCAATTTTGGTTTTATTGATTGTTTTTCAATGGCTGATTTGGTCACCATTTGATTTATTTCAGTTCTGATCTTTATCATTTCCTTTTTTGCTAACATTAGGTTTAATTTGTTCTTTAGCTCATTGAAGCATAAGGTTAAGCTGTTCGTTAGGAATTTTTCTTCTTTTTTAATGTAGGCACTTAAACTTCCCTCTTGGAACTTGTTCTGCATTCCATAGGTTTTGATATGTTGTGTCAAAACCTATATGATTGGCATTATTTTGAAGATATTTGGAAATTTCCCTTTGATTTCTGCTTTGACCCTTGGTCATTCAGGAGCATGTTGTTTAATATCCACATATTTGTGAATATTCCAAGATTCCTCCTGGTACTCATTTCTGGTTTTATACTATTGTGGTCAGTCAGTACTAAATATTATTTCAGTCTTCTTGAATTTGTTAAGATTAGCTTTGTGGCCTATCATATGGTCGATCCTGGAGAGTGTTCTATTAGGTTGGTGCAAAAGTAATTGTTACATTTGCCATTACTTTAAATGGCAAGAACCACAGTTACTTTTGCAACAGCCTAATATGTACGCTAGAGAAGAGTATAAATTCTGCTGCTGTTGGATGGAAAATTCTATATATGTTTGTTAGGTCCATTTGTTCTAAAGTGCAGATCAAGCCCAATATTTCCTTATTAAATTTTTGTGCAATATATTCATTCTTTCAAACAGGGTACTAACATCCTCTAATATTATTATATTGCTATCTCTTTCTCCTTTAATGTCCATTAATATTTGGTTTTTATATTTAGGTGCTCTGATGTTCGGTCCATATATATTAGCAATTGCTGTGTCCTTTTGATGAATTGACCCATTTGTCATTAAGTAATGACCTTTTTTGTCTCTTATGAGAGTGTTTGACTTGAATTCTATTTTATCTGATGTAAGTATAGCCACCATGCTCTCTTTTGGTTGCTATTTGCTCAGAATAGCGTTTCTTCCATTTCTTCACTTTCAGCCCATACGGGTCCTTAAAGCTTAAATAGGGTGTCTTGTAGGCAACATATTGTTGGATTCCATTTATTTTATCCATTAAGCCACTTTACATCTTTTGGAAAATTTAATCCATTATATGCAAGATTATTATTTATAGGTAAGGACTTACTCCTGACATTTTCTTAATTGTTTTCTGGCTGTTTACTAGATCCTTTGTTCCTTCCTCTCTTGTTGCCTACCTTTGTGGTTTGGTGTTTTTCTGTACTGCTAAGCTTTGATTCCTTTTTCTTTCTCGTTTGTGTATCCTCTGTAACTTTTTGCTTTGTGGTTTCCATGAGGCTTACGTAAAACATTTTATAGTTATAATTGACTATATTAAACTGACAAAAATTTAATATCAGTCACATAAATATACTTCAGACTTTTATCCTCTCTCCACAATTTATATTTTTATCATTGTCTCTTTTTATATAGCATGCTTCTTAACAACTTATTATAACTATATTTTTGACCATTTTAACTTTTAGTGGTCATACCAGAGATTTTAAAAGTTTACACACTGTCATTGCAGTAATACCATATTCTTAATTTGACTATGTATTTACCTCTGCCAGTGTGTTTTATACTTTCATGTGTTTTCATGATACTGATTATCATCTTTCTGTTTCTGGTTGAGCTGCTATAAGCATTTCTTTTAAGGCAGGTCTAGGGATGATGAATTCCCTCAGCTTCTGCTTGTATGGGATAAAATGGCTGGCAGTTTTTTTTTCTTTTAGGATTCTGAGTATGTTATCCCATTTTTCTCCTGACCTATAAGATTTCTTCTGAGGTTAGCGCTGACAATTTCATGAGGCTTCTCTTGTATATTATTTGATCCATTTTTCTTGCTTTTTAAAAAATTCCTTGTCTTTTTTTTTTAGATGGAATCTCACTCTGTCACCCAGGCTGGATTGCAGTGGCACAGTCTTGGCTCACTGCAACCTCCACCTCCTGGGTTCAACTGACTCTCTTGCCTCAGCCTCCTGAGTAGCTGGGACTACAGGCAAGCATCACCAAGCTCAGCTAATCTTTTGTATTTTTTTTAGTAGAGATGGGGGTGGTTCATAATGTTGGTTAGGCTGGTCTGGAACTCCTGACCTCAGATGATCCACCTGCCTCAGCCTCCCAAAGTGCTGGGATTACAGGCATGAGCCTGACTGTCTTTTGATATCTTCTTTAATTTCCACAGTGTGAATATATGTTCACTTAACAGTATCCCTTAAGTCCTGTATGCTTTCTTCACTCTTTTCATTATTTTCTTTTTTCCTCTGACTAGGCTATTTCAAAAGATACGTTTCCAATTTTATGGATTATGTCTTCTGCTGGATCCAGTGTGCTGCTAAAGGTCTCTATTGTCTTTTTTTACATTATTCATTGAATTATTCAGCTCCCATGATTTCTGTTTTGTTCTTTTTTATGATATCTATTTCTTTCTTGATTTTCTCACTAACATCATGAATTGTTTCTTGATTTTATTGAATTATCAATCTGTATTCTCCAGTATATCACTGAGTTTTCTGAATAACATTATTTTGGATTCATTTTCAGACAGTTCATAAATTTCTCTTTCTTTGGGATTAGTTACTGGAGAATTTCTGTCTTTTGTTTGTTTGCTTGTTTTTTTCTTCTGGTAATATCAAGTTTTCTTGCTTTTTCCTATTTCTTGTATCCTTTCACTGAAGCCTGCGCATCTGGTGGAACTGTTACTTTTTCCTAAATTTATAAAGTGCCTTTTGGAGGAAAAGACTTCCACATGCAGGTGGGTCTTAGAGTGTTGGTGGAGTGTTGGCTCTGGTTCTGAGTGGGTACAGTAGCATAGTCTCCATGTAGCTTCTTCAGCGGTGGTCAAATTTAGTGATAACTGCAGGAACTTTAGTGGCCTAGGCCATAAAAGTTTGTGGCAATGGTGGTGGCAGCATAAGTTGTTATGAGTCTTGGTGGAAAGGGCTTTAGGGTTCCTGTTCTCATTTCCCTCACAGCAGGGTCTTAGTTGGGGAGATTCCCTCTTGGTATTGGGTCTGACACAGCCCACATGCAGCCACAGAAGCCCTGTGTTCTAGGGCACAAGTGTTCAAAATGGCTGTGGAGCTGGGTCCTGGGCTCCCTTTTCTGGTAAACTGTGACTACTGTGATGTGGGTTCAGTTTCACTCTCAGAAATGAGTGGATACAGCTCTTCTACAAAGCTTAGGATTCTGACTCTGAGGCACAGGCCATGAGCTCAACCCTGAGAGGTGGAATGTAGCATGACTCTGATTTTGAGGGCACAGCATGGGCACCAGTCCAAGGAAGAAGTGGTGTTTCAGAAGCTCAGATGCAATTCAGGACCTGAGGCCAACAGGGCACAGAGACAATGTGGGCACCAGGAGAGGAGGTTCCATGTAGTGGATATTCTGGACCCTGAGGTAGTGGGACATAGCAGTGGTCCAGCCTCTGTGTCGTTGGGTACAGTGGCAGCTAGGACCCTAGTATTATGGGGCACAGCTATTGTTTTGGCACCAGGGGCCATGGTGCAGCACAATGATGACTCCACTCTTCAGAGAGATGGAACACCTTAGTAGCTGAAACCCTGGAGGATTAGTCTAGATCCATGAAAGCAGAGCACATTGGGATTGTTCAGCCTAGAGGATAGGGTGGCAGAGCTTATCTAAGGCTGTCTGTATCTGTGGGGCCAGACTGCATCAGCTTGAGCAACTGAGGGCAAAAGTGTTCTGTTGGACTTGATCCCCTTTTCCCCAGGGGGATGGGACACCAGTTAGCTCAAGCTTCAGGGGCTATGGCTGCTATTGTGTTTCAGGACTCTTGGACCCTGAATGATGGTGAACATGTAAGTTCAAAGTTGGATGGCACAGCTGCTTCTCTGGGATGGCACTCCTAGTCTCCCAAGAGGCAATGTGCAGATCTTCTCAGGATCCAAAGGGTACAGCTACACTTCTGGGCTGCTATGCCCTGGTCTACAGGGGTCAGGGCACTACATGGGCTTGGGTCCCAAATAGGCAGTTGCTCTGCTGGACTGGGGCTCTGATTTCGAGGGGGCTAGGCACTGAGCTGGTTCAGGCAGGAATGGGGAAGCAGAGTCCATGTTCCACTGGTACTAGGCTCTAAGCAGCTGGGGTTAGGGGACTGCCACAACTGCGTTAGTGGAGATGAAGTGCATGTAAGGCAGTTTAGCACCAGGACGTAGGAAGCTGTAGCTATTCTGCTGGGGAATAGCACACTCCAGTGTGTGAGCAAGGTGCAATGATAGCAGAACCTCAGGGATGAAGGGATGCAGTGGTTACTGGCTCCCAAAGCAGGATACATTGTAGCCGTGGCTCTGATTTCAAAATAACTTGTGCAGTAGCAGGTTGGGGTATGAGAAGTGGGGAACAATGTGGGCCCCACATTGCAGAGGTAATGGGAGCCCTTGGGAGACTCCTGCCTTTTTTTTTTTTTTTTTGACGGAGTTTCGCTCTGTCACCCAGGCTGGAGTGCAGTGGTGTGATCTCGGCTCACTGCAACCTCTGCCTCCCAGGTTCAAGTGATTCTTCTGCCTCAGCCGCCTGAGTGACTCCCGCTTACCTTCCCCTATAGGGAGTAGTCCCTCCTGGTTCAGAGATGACCCCAGCTGGGGGATATGGTGGAAAAGGCAAGGTGTTTCCCCGCCATCTCTGTGCAGCCATCTTGAGTGTGCTCCAGAAGGTCTCTGCTTCTCCCTTGCTGTCCTCCAGCATTTCATTTGGAGACAGGAAGGGTAATAGGTAGAGTAGATGTGTGTAGAAATAGAAATGAAAATGCCCTAGACATAGGGAAATGATATCAGATGATATTTGGATCCAGCCAATGGAATGAAGAGCCTTAGAAAAGTAAACATGACAGTAAATATTAAAGTCTTTTTAAAACGTTTTTAATTACTTTAAAAGACAAAGCAAAGTGGCACATTAAAACAAATTCAAGTGTACAATTTGATGAGTTTTGACAAATGTCTGCAATCACGTAACAACCATCCCTATTCAGATGTTGAGCATTTCTGTTGTCTCCAAAATTTTCTCTGTCCTCAACTTTACCTTCTTTGGTTCCAGTAAATCTCTGGTTTGCTTTTTTATCATTATGTCTCCAGAATTGGTGGGTTCTTGGTCTCACTGACTTCAAGAATGAAGCTGCGGACCCTCGTGGTGAGTGTTACAGTTCTTAAAGGTGGCGTGTCCAGAGTTTGTTCCTTCTGATGTTCGGGTGTGTTCAGAGTTTCTTCCTTCTGGTGGTTTTGTGGTCTTGCTGGCTTCAGGAGTGAAGCTGCAGACCTTCACGGTGAGTGTTACCATTCTTAAGGCGGCACATCTGGAGTTGTTCATTCCTCCGGGTGGTTTCGTGGTCTCGCTGGCCTCATGAGAGAAGCTGCAGACCTTTGCAGTGAGTGTTACAGCTCATAAAGACAGTGTGGACCCAAAGAGTGAGCAGCAGCAAGATTTATTGCAAAGAGTGAAAGAACAAACCTTCCACACTGTGGAAGGGGACCTGAGTGGGTTGCCACTGCTGGCTCACGCAGCCTGCTTTTATTCCCTTATCTGGCCCCACCCACATCCTGCTGATTGGTCCATTTTACAGAGAGCTGATTGGTCCGTTTTGACAGGGTGCTGATTGGTGCATTTACAATCCCTGAGCTAGACACAAAAGTTCTCCATGTCCCCACTAGATTAGCTAGACACAGAGCACTGATTGGTGCATTCACAAACCCTGAGCTAGACACAGGGTGCTGATTGGTACATTTACAAACCCTGAGCTAGACACAGAGTGCTGATTGGTGCATTCACAGTCCCTTAGCTAGACGTAAAGGTTCTCCAAGTCCCCACCAGATCAGCTAGACACAGAGCACTGATTGGTGCATTTACAAACCTTGAGCTAGACACAGGGTGCTGATTGGTGTGTTTATCAACCTTGAGCTAGACACAGAGTGCTGATTGGTGCATCCACAATCCCTTAGCTAGACATAAAGATTCTCCAAGTCCCCACTAGACTCAGGAGCCCAGCAGGCTTCACCTAATGGATCCCGCACCTGGGCTGCAGGCAGAGCTGCCCGCCAGTCCCACGCCCTACGCCTGCACTCCTCAGCCCTTGGGCGGTCAATGGGACAGGGCACCGCGGAGCAGGGGGCAGCACTCACTGGGGAGGCTCTGGCCATGAAGGAGCCCACAGTGGTGGAGGGGGAGGCTGAGGCATGGCAGGCTGCAGGTCCTGAGCCCTGCACCATGGGGAGGCAGCTGACGCCTGGTGAGAATTCCAGTGCAGTGCCAGCGGGCCGGCACTGCCGGAGGACCCGGTGCACCCTCCGCAGCTGCTGACCCTGGTGCTAAGCCCCTCACTGCCTGGGACCACTGGCGCCAGCCGGCTGCTCCAGGTGCGGGGCGCACCAAGCCCACGCCCACCTGGAACTCGCGCCAGCCCTCAAGCGCCACATGCAGCCCTGGTTCCCACCCGCACCTCTCCCTCCACACCTCCCCGCAAGCTGAGGGAGCTGGCTCCGGCCTCGGCCAGCCCAGAAAGGGGCTCCCACAGTGCAGCGGCAGGCTGAAGGGCTCCTCAAGCGTGGCCAGAGTGGGTGCCTAGGCTGAGGAGGCCCCGAGAGCTAGTGAGGGCTGCCAGCACGCTGTCACCTCTCAATTAGATGTTAGATTTTCATTTTTTAGTTTTCTTACAGGTGGAATAATTCAGAATAAAATCTGCAGAATCTGTTTTTCCATACTCAGCATAATTATTTCATGATTCATCCATGTTGTTATGTGCCGCTTTTTAGTTTTTGCTTATGAATAATTTACTTCATAAATATGTAAAACCTGTCTAACCAAACCATTCACTTGCTGATAGAAAGTGTTATTAGTAAGTCAGACTTTTTTTTTTAAATGAAGTTGTGGTTAATCAACATGCTTGGACATTTCTACTTCTGGCAAAGATAAAATAAAAGGAACAGGATTTACCCTCCCACCTGAATTAAGCAGAATTCAGCAAAATGTATCAAACAATGGTTTAAAAGACACTGTACATAAGGCTACAAAGGATAATGTTCTCCAAGAGGCAGGAAACAGGTGAGCTGAGCCCTCTGATTGCTTATGCTTCAGCATTTATCAGTTAGAAATCCAGGCTATTAATCCTGCAAAGAATTGGTTTTAAAAAGTTGATTTTTTTCCCAGTAGAAGTTCAAGGAGGCTTGCCAGGGCTGATAGGCAGCTTTATGAATTCATTGTGGATTTCACCTCTTTCTAGGTCATTTCTTTACTGTGTAGTCTTAGTCCCCCTGATCCAGGATGGCTCCTTGAGTTTCAGATACATTGTTTGCATTTCAGGCTGCATGAGGGACAAAATTTCAAAGAAAGCCAAGCCTCTTCTTTATAAATGATGTGATAAAATTGTCATATTACATTTTAAATCTCATCAGTTCCTGTTACATCCTAATTGTCAGAATTTATTTTTATGGCTACAATAGGATGCATGGGAATCTGGAAAAAAGGAATTTTTAGTCATGTAGCTATATTCATTGTAAAGATATGAGTGTTAATAATAAGAGATATAGCAGCCTTTTTGCCAAGACCCAATTGGCCTACTGTACAGAAACTGTTTATTAACTATGGTAATTAGTATGCTATGGGATAGCCTTACCTTTTGTGCTTATTATTTCTAATCTTAAAGCTTCAGTGGAGTAGGATTAGTTTCTAATGTTCTATGATTCTTTTTGCATTTTAGCATATCAACTAAGAGAATGACAACATAGAGGATTTGCTTTTGTATGCTCTTATAGTATTAAAACTAAAATATGAATAATGTGACTAGCAAATGAACATTCAAAGACAAATTTATATATCATTATGCAAATGTATTTACTTATCCTTTTTCAACCAAAGACATATTACAAGTAGTAGAGAAAAGCAATAGGATAAAATTGTTTAGATATAAAGGTAGGTTAAATGCATAAATTATATACTTTTAAAGAATTTATGTTAGAACAAACATCAATTTATTTATATATGTTATGTTATTAATGTATGTATCTGAATTCTCTGAGACATTTATTCTTATTTATAGCATAAACTTTTAAATTAATTTAAATTTGGTCTGAAGCTGACTCTGTATTTTGAATCTTTATAGAGCAAACAGCAACGTAACTTAAGAGAATCTTCTTGTAAATAAGTAGTTGAGTCCCAAACAATCCCAGCAGCCAAATTTCCACCAATCAAAGGCTGCCAAGTGATCATTCTATATTCGTATAAGGCAAATGCCTCATCACACCATGCCCAAATATGGCTAACACCTGGCTGTAATCAATCAAGCTGTTTACTTATGTCAGTTATTTTTTTCTGTATGTAAATACTTCCTGTTTACATTGCTGGTTGGAGCTCTCAACCTTTCCTGGCACTGAGTGCTACCCAATTCATAAATTTTTTTTTTGTTCAAATAAACTCTGTTAAATTTAATTTGTCTAAAGTTTTTAGTTTAAAAAATGGAATCCCAAGGATTCAGCCTATTTCAACAAATTGAAATTATTTTGTTAGATGTTAGCAATACTTTAACATATCTGAATTTTCTTTACTTGCATGTGTTGAAACTTTAGATTTTTGTAATATTGATACTATCTAATGAAATAATTCCAGTTGGTTAAAATAAGCTTAACGGGAAATGAGACATTAGCCAGATCATATATAGATGCAGATTCAAGAAAATTCTCTTTCATGTCTATTATATTGTAGAAGTTTGAATTGATTTTTTAAAGCAAAACACAAAATTCCTACCTAATACTGCATAAACAAATTGAGATATATTTTTCTCATACAAAAAATCTGGTTTGTTTTTAATCAAAACAAATGCAACATCAATATTCAGAGAATGTGAAGCAAACAACAAAGTAAAAATAAAAATATTTCTGAAAGACTAAGTGAAAGTCTTTTGCTTTTATTCCCTAGACTTTTTAAAAGAAAATTCAACCTTGAATTTATTTAAAACATGTGATATTGTGGTACCAAAAGTACTAGAAAAATTAGCTACTTTAAGAAATTATTTAGAAAAGTAATAGTTTCTGCATTTGTATGAAGTTTTCACTTTTCTTTGAGATCCTTTTTTTAACCTTTTCTCCCCTATTAAGAAGAATGGAAATTATATTATTTGTCTGAAATGTACAAAGAGTATAAACTTATTATTAAAAGTTACTAAAAATTAAAAGATACTAAAAATCAATGTGCTAATCTTTTAAATACATTTATTGAGAAACAATTCATGTATCACACAATTTAGCTACTTGAAGTATAAAAACCAATTATTTGAGGTATATACATAGAGCCGTGCAACTGTTACCACAGTCTAATTTTTAGAATATTTCTTCATCCTAAAAAGAAGACTTTCACACATTAAATTGTCATTCTCCATTGACCACCTCCTCATCCCCATCATGTTAGGTAATCACTAATCTACTTTTTGTCTCTATAAATTTGCCAATTTTATACATTACATTTGGATTCTTGTGGCTTCATTTACTTAGCTACTTGTTATAAGTCTATTCTGATTTTCTATTTCTTTTTGCATCAGTTTCAGTAGTTTATATCTAAGAATTTATTCATTTTGTCTAGATTAATAATGCTGTCATACATCTTTTCATATTTTTTGTAATTCTCTTTTTTTTCAGCAAGGTTGATAGTAGCATCCTCCCTTTCATTCTTGCTTTCTTTATGCTATTACTGTCAAATATGTTACACTGCCACATGTTATAGGCCTAACAATGCAATTATATACATAGCTTTATTCAAATGCTTTTTAAATTACATAATAGAAAAAGGGAGAAATATCTAATTATGCTGTCTATTGCAGTGTCTTAAATAAGTACTTTTCTAGTACTCATTTTTGTGTGCGTATTTGAATTATCCTCTGGTAACCCCTGATATCATCAAGAAGACCTTTCTTTCTTATTTTTTGTAAGGTGGTGTGATAGCAATATTTTTTTTTAGTTTGTGCTTTTTGGGTGATGTCTCCATTTTTTACTTCATTTTTGAAAGAATTTTGCTGAATCTAAGTTTCTTCTTTGACTACTTTTTTTTCTCTCAGAACTTTGAATATGTCATCTCTCTGCTTTCTGACCTCTATTATTTCTCATGAGAAGTCAGCTATTTATCTTATTGAACTTCCTTGTACTTTATGGATCATTTTTCTCTGGTTGCTTTCATGATTTTCTCTTTATTTTTCAATATGCTTTTCCTGATTTGTCTGGGCTTTAATTCTTTTCTTTTTCTATTTATTATACTTATGCTTTATTGAGTTTCTTAGATGTGTTAAATTAATATTTTTCATCAAATTTGAGAAGTATTTAACCCACTTTAAAAATATTTTTATCTGTTATTTTTTCTCCTGTCTTTTGGTACTCCCATTGTATGTGTGTTGGTGTGCTTAAAGGTATCCCATATTTCTTTGTGCCTGTGTTCATTTTTCTTCATTCTGTTTTCTCTCCCTACTTCATATTACATAATCTATCTTCTTATCTTCAAATTTCCTGATCTTATTTTTTTGCTCAAGTGTTTTACTGAGGCCCTCTCATGATTTTTAAAAAATTTTACTAATTATATGTTTCGTGTCCAAAATTTTTATTGATTTTGTATAAATTCTGTTTATTAATATTATTTTTACTTTTGAGCTCATCATCATACCTACCTTTAATTCTTAATTATTTCTTTTAGTTCTTTGAACATACTTATAATAGCTGCTTTGAGAAATGTGTCTGTTAAATCCAACCTTTGAGCCCTTTCAAGGACAGAGTCATTTGTGTATTTGTTCATTTTGTTTTGTTGTGGGTGGGTGTGTATGCTTCTGTGGGGGAGCTGTCATCCTTTCCAAAATTTTCATATCTCCTAAATTGTGTTAAAATTTGATATTTTAAGTAATATATTGTAGCAACTTGTTATAAATCTCCCACCCCAACTTAGAGTTGCTGCTGTGTGCTTGCTTATTTATTTGCTTAGTGACTCAGCTGGGCTAGTTCTGTGAAATTTATTTTCCCTACGTTGTGCACCCTCTAATGTCACCCCAAGAGTGCGCAGCTCTGAGCATATGCACAGTAACCTTGATCCTCCTCACCAAGGGATGGATGATGGGTTTAATTAAGGTCATTTTGACTCTTTCATTCTCTGTACTCCTTTTTGTTTCTAGCTGGTCTACCTGCATCAGAATTACACCCAGCTGCTAACCTTCACTAACTGCTGGCTGATTACTCCATTGTTTTGACATTTCCCTTGGGCATAAATTGCTCCACAGTATGATGTAATTAAAGTTAGACTCCTTTGAGAGGGTTGTCTTTGAAATCAATATTTCAGAGTTTTCCCAATCCCAGGAGTATTTTTATCTCTGTTTCCCTGTTTTTCTTTGTTAACTTTTAGCTGCTCTACACTTTTGCTTTTTCCTACATTGAAGCCATTAGCCCCTTCTTAATTGCTCACCACAAAAATATCCATTGTTTTAGACATTTTCCTTAGATTTGAACTTCCGCAATCTCTGTTCTAAACGAAACCAGTCACCTTAGAGAGATCCATGGAGCTCTCTGGTCTTATGGTCTGTTTCACCTGCTGGAATGATCCCTAGAGAAGTTATTTCTGGGTACCTGAGGCAAGGACAGCTGACCACTTATTTTGAAATGAGACTCCAGCTATGTAAGTAGGGAGCTGTGTGGAAGTGATAGCTTCTAGGTTTGCCTCGCTAAACATGGAACTACTGAACTGTGAGCAAGTTGGAGTGGAAGCAATCATGGCCCAATATTCTCAGCTTGCCCAGGGTTAGAGTTTCTGCCTTGGGAATGGCGGCCTGGGTGGAGAAAGAGAGGCCAGACCTTTTAGCCATACTTGCCTGGAGCTGATGCAAGACAGGTGGGAAGGATGAGAAATGCTGAAAGATGGCCCCTTCTGGAGAAAAAATCATTGCCTTAAACTGGGAGCTGATGGGTGAGAGAGCCTTGTAGTCCGGCCACACCTGCTTAGAGTGTTATAGCTTCCATCAGCCTGAGCTGAGGAGAGAAAGGGAAGGAACCAAGTTGCAACTCAAATACCATAGACCTCACTCTTCTTACTAGGACAGAGCAGATTTTTTTGAATAAATATTTCCCAATTTGCTGTATGTCCACTGACCTATTTCCAGGAAGAGTTAGTTTTCTTGTCATTTTCACTAGTTGTTATTTCAGCGCGGACAGACTGTACAAGGCTCCTCATACTACTGTTCTGGAAGTGCCTCTAATTCTGATTTATTTTTAAGTATAATCGAATCATGTAATGGTGTTTTAATATTACAGTTGAAACATCATGTACAAATATGCACATTCAATTATAAATAAATATGTAAATATAATTTGTAAAAGTATAAAATGGTCTATAAAAAAGGAGATAAACATTGTAGTAATATATTTCTCAACAGGAATACTATTCTACATTTTATTTCAGTAAAACTAATATTTATTTCTAATATCCCGAGGGGAGATTTTCTGATAGAATGATCAGAACCATCACCATAAACAAGTTTATTTTCTATTTCTTTTCTTTTTTTTTAGTCACTCTTAATTAGTTATCAATGCTAAGGAAGAAAGTGGACATTATAAACTATCAGTGAACCATCATAGATTTTTTATTTTTTTGAAACAGGGTCTCACTCTGTGGCCCAGACTGGAGTGCAGTGGCGCGATCTCAGCTAACTGCAACCTCCACCTCCCAGGCCCAAGCGATTCTCCTGCCTCATCCTCCCATGTAGCTGGGATTACAGGCATGCGCCACTACCACCTGGCTAATTTTTTTGTACTTTTAGTACAGACGGAGTTTCACCATGTTGTCCAGGCTGGTCTTGAACTCCTGACCTCAAATGATTCAATGCCTCAGCCTCCCGAAGTACTGAAATTACAGGTGGGAACCAGCATGCCCAGCCCATCATGGACATTTGAAATGAACTATTACCATTTTTCTTTTCATTATTATATTTTAGTTTTCTTATTGAGAAAAAAATACAATTTAATGTGAAGATATCTAGTTCAATAAAATTTACACGGATTAAAATATAAAATCAATCAATTACACGGATTAAAATATGAAATATAAAATCAGTGTATTGAAAACTAAATTAATTCCTTCTATTATGAAATTATGCACTGTGAACTCTTATTCTTTCCAGACTCTTATTTTAATGCTGTTTTAGCTATCTTTGAATGGGAATACAAATAAGTTATATAGTCATTTCAGATGTGGGTTTAAAAAGGCTATATGGCATTAAATAAAAATCAATTATTCTGAATTATTAATACACAAAACTGGCTGATATCAGTACATGTCAATTACTCTATAGTAGTCATTTGTGTTTAATTTGGAAATATGTCAAAAATTGGGTTTCAAAATAACACGATAACATAAAGAAAAAGGTGCAAATGTTTTCCTACGTAAATTTAAAGACAATAAGTTGCTGTGTTAGGATTTAGTAACTTACCGTTTTATTAAATGGGCTCAAAATTTCTGTTTGTGTGTGAAAAATATAACTTCAAATTCTTAGCCAAAACTTATGCAACACATTTTTTAGGTCAACAAGGTTAATAATGCAATAGAAAATAGTGTTTTGAGCCAGCAGGCAACTTCGCTATTGTTCTTTTTTAGCTTTTGCAAAATCCTTAGGTCCTATTTGATCTCATTGGCTGGAAAAGATAAAATGTTATCTATTCTGAATAGACAATGAATAGTATTTCTTTGTAACATTAAATCATGTATTTCATACAACACAATTCAACTAAATTAAAAACAGTGATACTATTAGGAAAATGGGAAAATAAAAGAACAATCTTAGGCATGCCTACTGCATAAATAAGCATAATATTTTGAAGATAAGCTGAGGGCTATTTAGTATGCTATCAAGTTATTGTTTTGGTATTTTTACATTAGTAGATTTCTTTAACTGAAATCCAAAACATCTTTCTAGGCACGCCTCTCACTGTTATCCAAAATGGAAAATCAGTACACTTGTAAATTCTACATGTGCATTAGACTGTCTCCTTTGTTTATACTTTTTGGAATATCTTAATTTTTCTATCTCATCCCTTCTCTCTTTCTCTTTTACAATTTATTTGCCAAATTAAAATAATTAATAATGAAAATACTTCATGCATTTATCACTAATATAATGAGAATACAAGTTATATACTAATAATCACATTAATAAATACCTAGATTTTAGCCAGGCTCCTTGGAAACTTTTTAAAAAGTAATAATGTTAAAAACCTATATTTTCCAGTTTCTCCATGAACCCTAGATATGGATGTGGCAATGTTACTATTTTTGGCAATCAATAGATAAATGTAACGACTAGGTATAGTCTGATTAAGAGGGCTCAAAAGGAGCTAAAATAAACAAGTAGGAGCTCCTCTTCATCAGTCTTCCTTACTATAGCCTACAGCTGGGACTAAACACTGAACACTAAACACTGAGGATGATGGGACAGGAAGTTAGGAGGACCTAGAGCATTCGATGACACCATGATGCTGCCATCCCTGGATCATATCACTGAACTATTTTTAAATGAGAGAAAATCAACATCTGTTTTTTTTTTTAAAACCGCAGTAATTTTTTAATTTTCTGTTATATGTAGCAGAACTTAATAAGTGCGAATTGCTGTCACTCAAAAATAACAGCATATAAAAGATAAAAAGTGGCTGAAAAAGCATTAATGCATGCATCAATACAAGCATCAATAGTTTGATAAAAAACTGTTAAGATGGATTTGCTTATACAAAAGAGATGTTTATCACAATGAGGAAGAAAGACAGAAGGGTTATAAAATATTATACAACTATCAAAGTACATTCTGATCACTTTTATTTTTAAAAGGTTACATGGAAACTTCAGATGATAAAGAACATACGTGAAAGATGCATACATCTATATGATTAGTATTATTAAGACTGACATTCCAGTAGCTGGAAATTCATAAAGGTGTAAAAGGAAATTTGCATTGCAGCAAGGATATAAGAGACATGTTAAAGCTGATGCTGTAACAGGAATGGGTGGCAAACTGAGAATTGAGTCATTCAAGTCTCATGGGTATTTTTTTCTGTCAAGGGAAATCAGTGCAAACCCGAAGAATAAAAATTAGAAACAAAGCCATCTTTGGATATGTAAATAAAATAAAAATAACATGTAAAACTGAAACATAATATATGAGGATGAACTTGTACGTGAGTGAAGTTCAGTTAGAATTTTAGGAAAATAGGCAGAAAAAGTTAATAAAATGCAATAATCTACTGAGAAAGTGCACTGCACTGAAGAATAATTCAAAATTTCTATTTAAGACTATAACCTCTACGCCAACCCACTCTAGAACACACATATAAACACACACACACAATTAACAGGTCACTGACTGGAGATTTTTAAAACATTTAAAAACAGAAAGCATGCAATAAATAATGACATGGAAAACGTACTGATATATTTGTTACACAAATACTTTAAGTGGATTAATTTCTGAGAAAAAGAATTTAAATCTTTTCTCAAGACCAATTCCATACTGTATATGAAACAAAAAAATCAAGAAAGTTATTCAGAAAAACTTGAATAGAAAGAGGTGAACAAATTATGCCAGTGAAACCATACAAGCAAAGAGAAGGCAGAGGTTGTAATCTTAAACTCAGATCAATTGGATTCCAGAAAAAAATGATCAAATCTAGGAAGAAGGAAACTTTCCAATGCTAAATAGTGCAATTCTCAACAAAAATATTACAGTTTAAAAAGTTAAAACAAGATGATGGGATAGAAGGCTCTACTGTTTGTCCCCCACACAGAGACACCAATTTAACAACTACCTCCACACACAAAAGCACCTTCATAAGAACTAAAAATCAGGTGAGCACTCGCAGTACCTGGTTTTAACTTCATTTCCCTAAAAGAGGCACTGCAGAGGTAGAAAAAATAGTCTTGAATCCCTGACACCACCCATTCCCCACTCCCCAGCGGTACTGGCATGGTGCGCAGAGTATTTCAGCATGCGGGAGGACGGAGAATGCAGCAATTGTGAGGCATTGAACTCAGTGCTGTCCTGTTATAGCAGAGAGGAAAACTGGATCAAACTCACCTGGTGCCTCCCACGGAGGGAACATTTAAACTGACCCTAGCCAGAGGGGAATTGTCTATCCAGGTGATTCAAACTTGAGTTCTTGCAAGCCTCACCACCATGGGCTAAGTGCTCTGGGGCTCTAAATAAATTTGAAAGGCAGTCTAGGCCACAAGGACTGCAACATCAAGGAAATGCCTAATGCTGACCTGGGCCCAGAGCTAGTGGACAGGGGTCATACAACCTACTGAGACACCAGCTGGGGTGGGTAAGGGAGTGCTGACATCACCCCTCCCCTGACCCCAGGCTACACAATTCACAGCTCCAAAAGACACCCCTTCCTTCTGCTTGAGGAGAGAAGAGGGAAGAGTGGGGAGGACTTTGTCTTGCATCTTGGATACCAGCTCAGCCACAGCAAGATGGGAAACTGGTCAGTGTCCTGAGGCCTCCTTTTCAGACCCTTGCTCCCAGAAAAACACTACTAGACACACCTTACACCAGAAGGGAACCCACTGCCTTGAAGGAAAGGACCCAGCCCTAGCAGCATTTATCACCCGCTAACTGAACAGCCCTCAGGCCTTGAATAACCAGCAGTGGTACACAGGTATTATGTCAAAGGCTTTGGGTGAACCTTTAAGACATGATAGCTTCAGGTGAGGCTCAGCACATTCCCAGCTGTGGTGTTTATGAGGCAAGTCTACTTACACTTGAGAAAAGCAGAAGGAAAAGTAAAGTGGACATAGACTTGCCCTTAGGTAACAGCTCAACACACTTCACTTATAAAGACACACTTAGACTGAATACACCAAAAATACAGGGATGTAAAAAGATAGTCCATGCCAATGGAAACCAAAAACACGCAGGAGTAGCTATATTTAGACAAAATATATTTCAAAACCAAAACTACAAGAAGAAACAAAGAAGATCACTATGTAAGGGGTCAATTCTACAAGATGATCTCTTCTATAACAATTGTAAATATATATGCACCCATGCTGGAGCACCCAGATACATAAAGCAAATATTATTAGAGCTAAAAAGAGAGATACACTTCAGTACAATAATAGCTGGACACTTTAACACCCCACTTTCAGCATTCAACAAATCTTTGAGACAGAAAATAAACAAAGAAACATTGGACTTAATCTGCACTATAGACCAAATGGATCTGATAGATATTTAGAGAAGATTTCATCCAACAGTTGTAGCATACACATTATTTTCCTCAGCACATGAATCATTCTCAAGGATAAATCATATATTCTGTTACAAAACAAGTCTTAAAACAATCAAAAAGGTTGAAAAAATATCAAGCATCTTCTCTGACCACAATGGAATAAAATTAGAATTGAGTAACAAAAGGAATTTGGGAAACTCTAAAAACACATGGAAATTAAGCAATATGCTCTTCACTGACAAGTAGGTCAAGGAAGAAATTAAGAAGGAAATTGAAAAATATCTTGAAGCAAATGATAATGAAAATTCAAAAATACCAAAACCTATGAGATATAGCAAAAGCAGTATGAAGAGGAAAGTTTATAGCTATAAAAACCTACATCAAAAAAGTAGACAAACTTCAAATAAAAACCTAATAATACATCTTAAAGAATTAGAAAAGCAAGAGCAAACCAAATCCAAAATTAATAGAAGAAAATAAATAATGGGTCAAGGCAGAAGTAAATGAAATTGAAATGAAGAAAACAATGAAAAGATCCATAAAATAAAATGTTGATTTTTTTGTAAAGTTAAACAAAATAGACAAATCTTTAGCCAGACTAAGGAAAAAAGAGAGTAGATGCAAATAAATAAAATCAGAGATGAAAAAGGAGACATTACAAGTGATACTGAAGAAATTCAAATGATCATTAGTGACTACTATGAGCAACTGTTTGCCAATAAATTGGAAAATATAGAAGAAATGGACACATTCCTAGATACATACAACCTACCAAGATTGCACCAGGAAAAAAATCTAAGGCCTGAACAGACCAATAACAAGCAGTGAGATCAAAGTTGTAATAAAAAGTCTCTCAGTTAGAAAAGCCTGGGAACTGATTGTTTTAGTGCTGAATCCTACCAAATATTTTTAAAAGAATTAATACCAATTCTACTCTAAATACTCCGAAAAATAGAGGAGAGACTATTTCCAAACTCAGTATACAAGCCCAGTATTACCTGATACCAAAACCAGATAAAGACACATCAAAAAAAAGAGAACTACAGGGCAGTATCTCTGATGAATATTGATGCAAAAATCCTCAACAAATACTAACAAATTGAATTCAACAATACATGAAAATATTATACTTCATGACAAATAGGATTTATCCCTGGGATGCAAGGATGGTTTACCATATGCAAATCAATCAATGTAATGCATCACATCAACAGAATGAAGGGCAAAAATTGTTATTTCAATTGATGCTGAAAAAGCATTTGATAAAGTTCAGCATCCACTCAAGATAGAAAAAACCCTCAAAAATTGAGTATAGAAGAAACCTACCTCAACATCATGAAAGCCATACATGAGAGACCCACAGCTAGTATCATACTGACTGGGGAAAAACTGACATTCTTTCCTCTAAAATCTGGTACACCACAAGGATGCCCACTTTTACCACTGTTATTTAACGTAGTACTAGAAATCCTAGCTAGAGCAATCAGACAGGAGAAATAAAGGACATCGAAATTGGAAAGGAAGAAATCAAATTATCTGTGTTTGCAGATGATAAGATTTTATATTTGGAAAAACCTAAAGACTCCACAAAAACAACAGTTACAACTGCTAAACAAATTCAGTAAAGTTGCAACATACAAAATCAACATACACAAATAAGTAGCATTTCTATATGCCAACAGTTAACAATCTGAAAAAGAAATTTAAAAGGTAATCTCATTTACATAGCCACACATAAAATTAAATACTCAGGAATTAATGGAAGAAATGAAGGATCTCTATAATAAAAACTATAAAATAATGATGAAAGAAATTGAAGACACCAAAAAATAGAAAGATATTTCATGTTTATTGATCGGAGTTAATATTGTTAAAATGCTTATATTATCCAAAATAAACTACAGATACAATGCAATCCCTATCAATATCCCAATGACATCCTTCACAGAATTTGAGAAAACGATCCTAAAATTTATATGGAACCAGAAGAGATCCAGAAAATCAAAGCTATCTGAAGCAAAAATAACAAAACTGGAGGGATCACATTACCTGACTTCAAATTATACTACAGAGTTATAGGAACCAAAACAGCATGATCCTGGCATAAAAACAGACATGTAGACCAATGGAACACAGTAGAGAACCCAGTAACAAACCCACACACCTTGAGTGAGCTCATTTTTGACAAAAGTGCCAAGAACATACACTGGGGAAGACAGTCTCTTTAATAAACGGTGCTGAGGAAACTGGATATCCATATGCAGAATCTCTCACCATACATAAAAATCAAATAAAAATAGACTAAAGACATAAATTTAAGACCTCAAACTATCAAACTGTTACAAGAAAACATTTAGGAAAATCTCCAGGACATTGGTCTGGGCAAAGATTTCTTGAATAATACCTTGCAAGAACAGGCAACCAATGCAAAAATAGACAAATGGGATCACATTTAGTTAAAAACTTCTGCACAGCAAAGGAAACAATCAATGAAGTGAAGAGACAACCCAAAGAATTGAAGAAAATATTTGCAACCTGCCCATCTGAGAAGGGATTAATAACCAGAATATTTAAGGAGCTCAGACACCTCTATGGGAAATAATCTAATAATCCTATTTAAAAATGGGCAAACATTTCAGTAGACATTTCTGAAAAGAAGACATACAAATGACAGGCATATGAAAAGATGTTTTCAACATCATTGATTATCAGAGAAATGCAAATCAAAACTATAATGGGATATCGAGTCACTTCAGTTAAAATGGCTTATATGCAAAGGACAGGCAATAACATTTAAATTCTGGAGAAGATGTGGAGGAAAGGTTTACCTTTATACATTGTTGGTGGGGATGTAAATTAGTACAACCACTATGGAGAACAGTTTGGAGATTCCTCAAAAAACTAACAGTAGAGCTACTATGTGATCCAGCAATCCCACTGCTGGGCATATACACAAAAGAAAGGAAATCAGTATATTGAAGACATATCTGAACTCCTGTGTTAGTTGCAGCACTGTTCATAATAGCTAAGATTTGGAAACAACCTATGTGTTCATCAACAGATGAATGGATAAAGAAAATGTGTTATGTATACACAATAGAGTACTATTCAGCCATAAAAAAGAACGAGATCTTGTCAATTGCAAAACATGGATAGAATTGGAGATCATTATGTTAAGTGAAATAAGCCTGGCAAGAAAGACAAAGATCACTTGTTCTCACTTGTTGTAGGATCTAAAAATGAAAACAATTTAACTCATGATGATAGTAGAAGGATGGTTACCAGAGGCTGGGAAGAATAGTTGGGGGTGGAGGGATGATTAATGGGTACCAAAAAATATTTAGAATGAATAAGACCTACTACTTGATAGCACAACAAGGAGACTATAGTCAATGGTAATTTAACTGCACATTTAAAATAGCTGAAACAGTATAATTGTGTTTTTTTGTAATGCAAAGGATACATGCTTAAGGGGAATGGATACCCCATTATTCCTGATGTGATTATTGTGCATTGCATGCCTCTACCAAAACTCTTGTGTACCCCATAAATATATAGTACTGTGTTCTCACAAAAATTAAAAATTTAAAAATTTAAAAAAAGTCCATGATTGCAATAACATATTCCCAAATTTGTTAAGCAGTAATTACCAAAAGAAAATAGATAATAGATGAAAAAATGAAGTGTCTTTTATTTACCTTTTCAATTATGATAGACTTAAATGAACAACAAATAGTCTAATTAATAAGGTCTATCTTAATAAATATTACAGCCTTAGAATGTATACCTTCTTTTCAACAGTCCATAGGACATACATGATAATTGAACCTATAAGTAACAATGAAAACTTAAATGGGTTATATAAAGCAACAATATACAATAAACCATGTTCTGATTACAGTGCCACAACTCTAGGACTCACAATTATTATTATTAAAATTCTTTCCATTGGAGTATTTAAGCTGTCACTTAGAAAATGCTTGTGCCCAAGAACATGTGAAATGAGGTTTGATTCTCCCTAAGCTTCTGCATATTTAAAACTTGTCATATACTTATCTTTTTTATGAGAGCATTTAAAATGTACTGTACATTGTCACCTATTAAGATCCCTATCAAGGCGTTCAGTCAATAAATAAGGAAATAGGCTCCTTCTTCCTGGCCCAAGAACAAATATAAACTAAAACCAATTAAAAAAACTAAAATTTTGCACAGTATAATATCTTGGTTGCATCTAAGGTGATCCTCAAAAGAAAATTTGTAGTTTTAATATATTTATAAATAGCAAAGTCTAAACTAAATAGATTAGGCATTTTATAAAAATTATAGAATAAAAATTATAAGGCAGAAAATGTAAATGATAATGAAACCAGTGATGCAGGAAGAAGGAGCCTATTTCCTTATTTATTGACTGAACCCCTTGATAGGGACCTTGATAGGTGACAATGTACAGTATGTTTTAAATGCTCTCATAAAAAAGGATAAGTATATGACAAGTTTTAAATATGCAGAAGCTTAGGGAGAATCAAGGCTCATTTCACGTGTAAAGCACTAGAAAAACAACAGGACTCCGTATATTCATTTATGTGTAGGCAGAAAAAGGCATAGATTTCCTTGCAGCTTTTCCCTGAGTGGCAGAGATCTTCCATACCTCAGAAGATAATATGTCTGAATTCCTACTTTGCTTTGTGAAAACAGAAACAAAACTTATAGGCACTTGCAAAACAATCTTATTGTAAAAATTCTTTATTGCAGCTTATGATTATTTTCCCAAAGTTTTATAGGTATTTCACCCACACTTGTTCAACAGCAGTTATTTGCCACAATGTAATCTTCCAATGCACTCTATTTCAGTATAATAAAAACAAATGTCCCCATCTTATTGTACTTATATTCCATGGATTTATGTGGCATTAAATTAAATATGTAATTACAATAAAATACAACTAGCCTAGAAACATCTGAGGACAATCACGATGGACTCTGAGTAGTCAGGCTTCATGGAGCAGAATGTGCAAAAGTATTAAGGAGTAAGATACTTCCTCTAGAGTTCAGATCATGAGCAGATATTTGTATGTCTAACAGAGCAAATGAAAAAAAAAAGCTTTTAATTTGGCAAGATGATAAATAGAAATTCACTTGAGAATTTAAATCATTATAATACAGTGTAGTAGCTTCCTACCCCTTTAAGAGGCTGCTGAATTAATTTAGATAAAATAAGTATTTTGTTACTAGGAGTTATAATCCATACGTTAGCTTTCAAGATCATTACATACAGACCAGTAGATACAAACCAGTACATTGAAAGCTAAAGTATGGATTATAACTCCTAGTAAGAAATACTTATTTTACTCCTAGTAAGAAATACTTATTTACTCCTAGTAGGAAATACTTATTTTATCCACATATAAGTATGTATCAGTAGATGACAAGGTTGGTCATCTGAACAACAGAGACAGAAAATGATGTCAGATTTCTTCAATTTATCCAAGAATAGTACATAAATAGTCCAATCAAGGGGAACAGAACAAAAGTTAGTTCAAATATAATGGATACTTTAGGACATTATGGCTTAATTTTCTAGTGAAACTTGGTAGAGAAAGGAACTATTTAAATATCATACTCTCAGCTACTTTTTATCAACTCTTGGTAACATGAAGCATTGGAAGACTGTTCCATTTAGTGTATTGTTTAAGACAATTTTGTGAAGAACTTATGCCCTTTAAAGTGGAGCATATTGAACTAAATTTCAACAAAGTTTTGAACAGTATTTCAAACTAATATATTTACAAGGAGTCAAAAGAGATTATCAAAAACGTTATTGGATTTCTGATACAAATTTACATATACACTTACCTTGCTTTATTGTGCTTTGCTTTATTCTGCTTTATAGATCTAGTATTTGTTAAAAATTGAAGGTTTATAGCACTCTGCATCTATCCAGTCTATTGGCACCATTTTTCCAACAGCATGTGCTCATTTTGTGTCTCTGTGTCACATTTTGGTTATTCTCAACAATATTTTAATTTTCTGTTCATTATTAAGGTGTCTGATTTGGAGACCTGTGATCAGTGATCTTTGATGTTACTAGTGTAATTCTTTTAGGGTGCTAGGCACTGGTGCCCATAGAAATGGCAGACTTAAGCAAGAAATGTGTGTGTTCTAACTGCTCCACTGACAGGCAGTTCCCCTGTACTTCATCCTTTCCTAGACCTCTCTATTCCCTGAGACACAACAATATCGAAATTAGGCCAGTCACCCTACAATGGCCTCTATGTGTTCAGTGAAAGGAAAATTAGCACATCTCTTATTTTAATTTAAAATCTAGAAATGTAATCATTAATATTAAATGTAATCACTAAGCTTAATAGCTTAGTGAGAAAAATCATGTCAAAAGCTGAGATAGGCCAGAACCTAAGCCTCTTGCACCAGTTAGTCAAGTTGTGAATACAAAGGAAAATTCTTGAAGGAGATCAAAATTGTTACTGCAGTGAACATATGAATGATAAGAAGGCTAAAATGCCTTACTGCCGACATGGAGGAAGTTTTAGTAGTCTAGATGGAAGATAAAGCCAGCTATAACATTCCCCTGAACCAAGGCCTAATCCAGAGCAAGGTCCTTTCTCTCTTCAATTCTGTGAAGGCTGAGAGAGGAGAGAAAGCTGCAGAAGAAATGCTTGATGCAAACCGAGATTCAGTCATGCGGTTTAAAGAAAAAAGCTGTCTTTTTAACATAAAAGGTCAAGGTGATGCAGCAAATGCTGATGCAGAAGCTGCAACAAGTAATCCAAAAGATCTGAATAAAATAATTGATGAGAGTGATTACACAAAACAAAAGATTTTCGGTGTAGACAAAACAGCCTTCTATTGGAAAAAAATATCATCTAGGACTTTAATGGCCAGAGAGAAGTCAATACCCAGCCTCAAAACTTCTTCAAAGGACAGATGGACTCTCATGTTAGAGGCTAATGCAGGTGGTGATTTTAACTTGAAGCCAATGCTCATTTATCATTCTAAAGATCTTATGGCCCTTAAGAATTATGCTAAATCAACTTTGCCTGTTTTCTATAAATGCAACAAAAAACCTTGGATGACAGCACATTTATTATATTTACAGAATGGTTTACTGGATATTTTAAGCCCCATGTTGAGACCTACTGCTCAGACAGATATTCCTTTCAAAATATTACTGCCCATTGACAATGCACTTGGTCACCCAATGACTCTGATAGAGATATACAAGGAATTTATGTTGTTTTCATGCATTTGTTCATTCTGTAGCCCATGGATCAATTTTGATTTTCATTTCTTACTGTTCAGGAAATACATTTTGTAAGGTTATAGCTGTCATAGGTAATGATTTCTCCAGTGAATCTGGGCAAAGTAAATTAAAAGTCTTCTGGAAAGCCTTCACCATTCTAGATATCATTAAGAACCCTTGTTTTTTTGCTTTTTTTTTTTTTGGAGGAGCACAAAATATCAACATTAACAGCAGTTTAATAACAGGAGTATAAAGGAAGTTGATTTCAACCCTCATAAATGACTTTGAGGGGCCCAAGACTTCAGTGGAGGAAGTTTCCACAGTTGTGGTGGAAATAATAAAAGAACAAGAATTAGAAGTAGAGCCTGAAGATGCTTTGTTGCAATCTCATGATAAAACTTGAATGTATGAGGAGTTGCTTACTGATGAGTAAAAAAATTGGTTTCTGCAGATGGGACCTACTCCTGGTAAAGATGCTGCGAGGATTGTTGAAATTAGAAAAGCATTTAAAATAGTATAGAAACATAGTTGATAAAGCAGTGGCAGAGTCTGAGAGGATAAACTCCAGTTTTTAAAAAAGTTCTAATATGATTAAAATGCTATCAAACAGCATCACATGCTACAGAGAAAACTTTTATAAGAGGAAGAGTCAATTGATAAGATAAATTTCATTGTTGTCTTATTTTAAGAAGTTGCCACAGCCACCTCAACCTTTAGCGACACTACCATCCTGATCTCAGCAGCCATCCACATCAAGGCAGGACCTTCCACCAGCACAAAGATTACAAATCACTAAAGGCTTAGATAACTGTTAGCATTTTTTAGCAATAAGGCAATTTTAAATTTTTTTAATTAAGGTGTGTACTATTGAACACTTAACAAACTATAGTATAATATAAACATATTTTTTATATGCACTGGGAATTCAGAAATTTGTGTGACTTGCTTTATTGCGGTATCCACTTTATCGAGGTGATCTGGAGCCAAGCTCAAAATTTCTTTGCTTTATCCCTGTATTGTTTATTTCTAGTAAAACTATGATTTGCAGACAAATTAAGACATAAAAAACGGGGAATCATGGCTCCCTGGTATTATATTTGTAGCATGCACCCACACCTACACACCCACACCAACACCCACACCCCCTCACACACTGTGAAATATGTAGAGCATCTCTAATCTGAAATCTAAAATTCAAAATACTCCAAATTCCTAAATGTTTTGAGCACTGACATGACACCAGAAATAAATGAAGGTGCACAACTGTTTATTTAGTGTCTGCAAGGGAAAAAAGACCCTTCCTGCCTCCATCAGCTGCCACATATCTTTTCCGAGCATGCTCAGATTCCCCTACCCAATCATGCCTACAAGGTTAATAAAATGGCACAAGGGCAGGCTGGATGCACCAGTGGCAACTTTATGCAAAAGTAGTTGTATAAAATTACCTTGAGGTTATGTGTATGAGCTGTATATGAAACATAAGTGAAATTTGTGTTGACTTGAGTCCCATCCCCACGATGGGATAGATATATGCAGATATTCTAAAATCTGAAAACCTCCAAAATCCAAGCAATTTGGTTTCAGCTATTTGAGATAAGGTGAACTAAACCTGTATGAGTTAACTTAGAAACTAAACTGAAATCATTATCTGGGCAGGTGGCTCAAGTTTTATTAAACAAGGGACTGGGGCAAGGATGGGGTATATATATATATATATATTTTATAAACTTACAAGGTGATACTGATACTGCCTTTCCCCATCTTTCTTGAGATATCTGGAGATACTTGAAGCTATGTATTATAGGCGCTTTGTTCTCTGTTACAAAATACAGAAGGAACTATTTCAATATTACCATTATTATTTTAGATTTGATTACAAGGAAATACTTATTTTCAGAAATCTTTGCAAAAATCATGACTTCTTGTCTTTAGTTCTAAAGAAACTGTCACATTTTAGAATGTATTGGGATGTTAATATCCCTATTTTTCTTTCAGATATGTAATCAAATAGGCTACAAAACCATTTCTACAATAACACCTTTCTTGATGACATTCAACCTTAGAGTAACAGTGCATTTTAAAATTGGTATTCAATGTTAAGATAGTATCAAGCACGGGGTTTTCTTGGCATTAGCAGCACATTAATATACCATTTCATAGATTCACCTTTTTTGTACATTCTTTGGACACAGAAAATGCTCAAATTGAGTTTTCTTTAAATGATCATTGACTTCTTTTAGATATATCTTATATATTAGCAAATTCTACTATTATTAAAAATGTGAAATAAAATGTATTATTTGTTTATATTCTGATGTAAATGTTCCTATATATCAAATAATTATTATATCTCTGTCCAGAGATTTATGTCATCATTACATAGTGAATATTTATTATCTTGATGCTATTATATCTGCAGCAGAGATTACTTATCTTTATACTTATGATCTTATAATTTAATTAAAAATTCCGGAATATGGTTGTATACAATTCTGTAAAAGCCTAGCCACATTTTCCCACAAAATGTTAAACACTAAAAGAATTATCTGTGTTAGATATTAACAAATGACATCAGAAAAGAAAGTGGAGAGTGGCAGAATATGCCACCCCATAATAGGCCACTGAGTCCTAAGTATTATTTTGAGCTAAAGGAACTTGAAAAACAGCAAATGCAAGAAAGGCATTCTAATCTTCTTTTCTCCCTGAAAACAAGAGATAAAAAGGCCTCCGTGAAAGATGTCTGAGCTGTACCAGCTGAAAAGACACATTCTTCAATGGAGAGTCATAGCTGAGAGAATTATGTAAAAACAGACATTGGTAAAATAACTGTTATTTTCCTTCAGCCTCCCCATATAATTTATTTACTTTTCCACAATTGCCTCTCTTCGTTCAACCTAACGCAAAAAAAGATGAGTCTTGCCACTTCTTTGAGTCTTCATTTTCTTATGCGGGCTCCTGTGTCATCTAAAATTTACATTAAATTTGTATGCTTTTCTTCTGTTAATCTGTTTTATGTCTATGTAATTCTCAGGCCCATACAGGACCCTAAAAGAGTAGAGGTAAAGTTTCATCTCCCTTACACAAGCTTAACTGCTAAATTAGTGTTGCAGACAAGTCACTTCAGACACTTTTTGAATTGAATAAACAAATGTTAAATTGAAAGAACCAGAACTCAGTAATGAAGTAAGCTGGAAAGGCCACACAGATTAAGTAAAATTGTACTTGGATATTCAAGTCAGTATGAAATTCAAATAATCAAGAAAGAGGAGAAAATCATTCAGGAACAGGAAGGAGCAAGAATGAATTGTTTTTTCTTTTTTTTTTTTTTTCTTTAGAGGAGAAGGATGACCCCTGAGGTGACTTGTTGGAATTGTTTGTAAAGCACATTTGGAGCCAGGTTATATAGGTCTTTGATTTCCAGGCTGAGGAATTTGAAATCAATCCAGGAAACAATAAAATAAGAGATCATGAGTCACAATACCTGAAATTTGTTGAGTGTTTACTCAGTTTCTAGTAGTAAGTGCTTAATGTATGTCTATAAGGTTCTGTAATGAGAATATGCAGAAAAATAAGCAACTTTTTCCATATACGCCGCTAGTGTCACACCTGAGAACTGAGCGCAGTCAGGTTGACTTTACAGCCTGACTTCATGATAAAAGGCATTTTTTGTTGGAGAATATGTTAATTCTTATTGCTATATATTATTCTTATTGGGTTGAATAACACAAATTTGTTTCCTTAGAGTTCTGGAATTTAGAAGTCAGAAATTGGTTGCATGGCTAGAATGGAGGTTTAAGCAGGGCTGTGTTCCCTGAAGACACTTTAGGAGAACTTCATTTTCCTTTGAATTTTTAGCTTCCAGAGGACTACTGCATTCCTTGATTCAGGGTCTCTTCCTCCATCTCCAACGCCAACAATGTAATATAGTCAAACAATTTTGCCCCTCTTCCTTGCCCCATCTCTGCTTGCATCCTCACATCTCTTTCTCTGACTCTGATACTTTTGCCTAAGTCTTACAAGAACCTTTGTGAATACATTCAGCCCATGTGGATAATTCAGAATAGCCTTCTCATATCAGGAGTCTTAATCATAACTGCAAGTTCCCTTTTGCCATAAAAGGTAATACATTCACAGTATTCACAGGTTTTGGGGATTAGGATGAAAACATCTTTGGGGAGCCATTATTACACTCTAGAAGGCTCTGAGCCTACCTAGAGAAAACAAATAGAAAAGAGTTGGGTTAGTCCATCTTGCGTTGCTATAATAGAATACCTGAGGCTGGGCAATTTATAAAGAAAAAAGGCTTATTTAGCTCACGGTTCTGCAGTCTGGGAAATTTAAAGGGCACGGGATTGGCACCTGCTTGCCTTCTGGTAAGGGTCACATGCTAGGTCAAAACACAGGGAAGAAGGTCAAAGGGAAGGTGGACACGTGTGAAAAGGAACCAAACATGAGGAGGGACTTCACTTTGTAACAATCTGCTTTTCTGAGAACTGATCCATTTCCTTGAGAGCAAGAACTCACTAACTACTGAGAGAAGGGCACCAAGAGGCCCATAAGGGAAAAGTTGATATGACCTGAACTCTTCCCAGTAGGCCTCCTCCCTTAAGGTTCCACCACTCAACATGGTTACATTGACAATTAAATTTCAACATGAGTTTTGGTAGGGGGTGGTGCAAACCACATCGGAACCATAGTAGTAGCATTGAGAATTTTTTCTTTAAACACTTACATGGAGAAATGGATTAATGAATTTATTAATGGTGACTCAATTTTGATTCTGGAAATGTTATAAATATATTTTGAAATTATCGTTTAAAATTATTATTTTTATAACCAACATTAATAAAAAGTGGCCATTGATTTTCTTTCTTGGTTTTAGTATGAAAATTTATAAAGATTATGCTTTGAAATAATCCAAGTAGTCATTCCTTTTTTCTTATTGTCTGAAAGAAATTGTTTAAAGCTAAAGTCAGTGTTCTTTGAAGTCTTGTCAAACTTACACATAAAATTGACAAAGTTTGATATTTTTGGAAGAATATTCTAACTTCTTAGGAAGGGAATGGTTAAGCAACATTTCTACCATTTATTCTGTTTATAACAATATTCCCTGGATAATTCCGTTGATGAAGGAAGGAGAAAGTGGATAAAAAGAAGGAAAGTAAGGACAGAAGACTGGAAAGAAAAAGGAAGATAATGAGAAAATCCTATTCTAAAATGACACTTTGCTTTTTGCCTGAAAAAAACAATAACCAGAATTTGCTCTTGCATTTTACAGAACTAATGAAGGCAGATCTTTGGTGCCAGTCTACACTTCTTCCATAGGGTTTATAAAGCAGGATTAGAAAACCGGGTAAGGGAATGGATAACATGATTTCTTGTCCTATTCCACACCCACCTATCCATGACTCTAAGTGCCCATAAATAATTCTACTGCACTCAGGAATTTCCTCAAGTTAAAAATAAAATATGAAAATATGTTCATGCAGATCTCACCACCAGATACATCAATCCATGTTCAACAGTTAGAGTCATTTGAGTGTCTTGCAACAGAAGGAAATACAAAATGCCTTACACAGTTAAAGTGAGGATGAGATCAGAAATTGGAAAATTTTTTACAGATAGCATGAGTTCTGGGAAAGAGTACTGCTCTATATGCATGATAATTTTAGTTTTGGAAGGAAGTCTTTTTGGCTTCCCCTTAAGCAAACAAAATGGTAACTGGATCAAAAAAATTTGAAACTATTTTTTCCTTAATGCTTTTCTAATTATTTTAACTTTTATTTGAAAATAAACCTAGTCTTTACCATCATATCAATACTATGTATATACTATATAATATTTAATATATATACTATATATACACACATATATGTATATATGGGAGTGATGACTAATATATATTAATTATAAATGTATGATACTAATGCATTGATAAAAAATTACATAGTTGTATTTATTTGAAACCAAAGCCCAAAAGCCTCTTGAAAAAAAAACTCTAGAACCACTTTGCAGTCATTATTTGTTTGTACAGCTGTGTGAATTTTAAAGCCCACAAGACAAAAGATTTTTTACCCAGTGAAATTCCCCATAGAATGGAAAATGTTTGAGCTGCTTGATGTGTAAGTTAATTTAGACTAACTTCTGAACACTAATTAGATCTTAAAGCTATAAAGTAATATTGTCTTGCTTCCTATAATTAAATTTGCTAATGAGAATATCTGATGAAACACCTCCTACAATTGCAGATAAATTAAACCTTTGTGTGTTTTCCAACCTCTTTTTGACATTTTGATGTGATTAAGAGTATATTTAAAGTTCAACTCTAAATTATAAGATTAAATAGCTGTTGTGTAAGCTGTTTTGTATGCATATTTCTTATTTTAGCAAACATCAATTCCAGCTCCAAAGTTTGTCATCCAAGTATAACAAACTGCCTAATAGACTTGGAACACACGTAGTCCAAATTAGACTTATAAATCATAGATATCTGAGAATAATATATTTCAGATAAATGCATTAATGCTAACAAAAATATAGTAATGGAAGTAGATGAGCTTAGTATAAATCCATATGCTGTCTTTGTCAACACATGAAATAAGTACACTTAGAAACTAGAGAAAATAAGAAGTGTACAGGAAAGATATGACTCAAATTTGAACTGTCAGTACTTACAGCATTTAAGAAAGTGTAAAAAAAATAAGAGAGTCAACTTGACCTTGAGTTTTAGAACAATTTAATTTTAGCAGAGAGATTGATTGAAAGAATTATATTTTTTTCACAATAAGCAAATTTGAAAAAAAAGATGATTTTGCAGGTCAGGGTCACAGCAGGAAACAGATGGCTTACTCAATTTAGGATAATTCAAGGAGGGTTAATTAAAGGGCTGTTAACAAATGTGCGTCATCATTTAAGAAAACCACAAGGTTTACTGCAGTACTCTTAGCTAGTAGGAACAGAGAAGAGGTATTTACCAAGCCCTAAGAAAATAGGAAGAGCATTTTCAGAAACTTAGAAGGAGAGAGTAATATAGAGAGGGCTGCTCAGAAGGACATTATGAGCTTCGATGAAGGGACAAAGCCAGTAAGAGCCAGTACTTCATGAAGGGAGCCAAGGGTGGGGAATAATAATAAGTAATAATAAAAGCTTCCCTTTTTCTCTCAGATTTCCTGTTTAGAGTCTCAGTTGGCCAAATACATCTGAAATCTAAAGAGAGAGGGGGCTTCATGCTGCTGTCAAGAGATGTCAGACTCTCAAGGTAGAAAGCAGAGTAGAAAAAGGTGTAAAATAGATCCTTACAACTCTATATAAATGGGTAGATAAAAGTTATAGAGCATGTCAGAAAATAAGGTTTATAAAAATAGAAACAGTTTAATGTCCCAATCTTAGAATTAGCCTATGGGCAAGCACAGAAGGTTAATTATATAATAAAAGAGATTACACATTTTATAAACTTTGGATAAAGGCAAAAGTTGTATGTAAGAAGAAGACAATGATGAATTAGAAAAGCAAAAAATAGATTGGATAGGGAGAATAAGGCAAAAAGGAGTCACCATATGAACACTGGAGGAATAACAAGCATTTTTGTGCATGTGAGTTTATTTTTAAGAAAACATGCAGATGTGAGTTGTATAATCAGTTTCTCACACATTCTGTTAGGATGCTTTAGGATATCCAATTGTGATATAGAGTAAGCAATTGAACATTGAAGCATGGACCTCAAAAAATGCCAGTGTTGAGATAAACATTTATGATTCTGCACTTATAAATGATTACTAAAATCATGGAAGAGGCAAAGATCACTGAAGAAAATAAATCAGAAGGTAAAAAAAAGCCTTAGTAATCAAGCCCTTTTATTTCCACCAGGTGTATCTTTCTAGCATATCCTTTCCACACTGCCCAGTCCTTCTCATCTGTGCCCCAACCTCTCACACAAGTTTGACTGTGATTTAAGATGGCATGCATATTTTAGAATTTATCTTTGTGAATTGAAATGCCTAAAATGTTTAAAGGCATATAGCAGGTGATCTAAATAAATATTTAACAAATGCATAAATTACTGGTTTATTGATGCTATTGTCTATTGGGGACTACTGTATTGGAGAATAAGGAACTTAATTAGAAATTTAAGAATTTATTATATGTCAAGGATTGTTAAGACAAGCTGTTTTATCATTAGGAAAAACTTGGATACCAGTTATTGCCTCCCCTGTCTACCTTTACATTTTTGGTGTTAGCTCTTAGAGAATGTAATCAAAGCAGTAGAATGCAATAGTTACAAGTAGACTAACCCATTGTCTCAAAGCTACCATACCAAGAAAAGAGCTCTATTTTTTCCCAGTGCTATTTTTTTCCATTCAGCAAAGAATTCCAGTTATTTCAAGTGAAGGAGATGAGCAGAATAAACATTTAATTTATTTGTATTGACTGGTCAAGTCTGAAGGAGGTTTAATAGTTCTGAAGAACCCAAACATCCAGGCTCAGTAAACAGTCTCTTATTGCAAACTCAAGATCTTCCTTAATGTATATCCTATCAGATTCCTCCTAAGCTACTCCCCAGCCATTCCTCCAATATTGCTTTTCTAATTTTAATTTTGAATATTGAAAGTGATTGCACAGCCATGTGTTTCTGAAGTCAAATATGCATAGTTCAGCTTTTTCTTCTTGCTCCAGGCTCCCAAAGCATTCTTTGATTTTACACAGTCATAGAGGCAGACATGTAGGCTTGTTTTCCTTAGTTTTGACAGACATTCAGACTTTTTTCCTTATTTTATTAATGAAAACATACACATTGCAATTTTTAAATCCTGAAAGTATTTATACCCACAAAATCAAGTAAATCCTCTTTATAAAACCTCTTACCAAACGTAAATGTAACTCATTAAGCCTGTATGCATTTCGTTCGTGTATTATTCTAATACAATGGATTTTTAAAAATGTATCTTCCATGATGAATATATAATAGAGAGAAGCTGTGCATTCATTCCCTAATCATTCATTCATGTATTTCATAAATATTAACTGAATGCTTCCTGTATTCCAAGCGCTTTTCTTGACACTGACGCTACATCAATGAATGAAACATTAAAAAATATGCTTGCCCTTAATGATCTTACATCATTCAATGAAGGGAGAGATGAAATACACAACAAACATAATAAATCAAGCAGTTCTACAGTATGCTATCAGGTAACTAGTGCATTGATTTAAAAAGTAGAGCAGTATAAAGAGGATTAAGATTCTAGGGGTAACTGGAAGAGATAGGGATCACATTGCAATTTTAAATACAGTAGTCAGAGATTGCCTCATTGAGAAGATGACACATAAAGACTTGGGGGAGATGATGAAAGTAACCAGGTGGATGGGCATCACAGGGAAAAATGTTACAGGCAGAGTAACTGTGAAACAGAATACTAGCATGAGATTGAGGTGTTTGACAGACAAGTAGAAAGCCAATGACAATGGCATGGAGTGGGGAAACATAAGAGAGAAAGTCAAAGAAACAGTGAGAGTCTACATGATTCCGTAAGAATTTACTCTAGCCCACTGCTCCTGCTGAGTAGCTTAGCAGCATCCTCCAAGGTACCTTGTAAAGATGATATCTGACTTAAATATAGCCTGGTGAAAACACTCAGAAAAGAAGTCTGTTGACTGTACTCAATCTACAGTTCAGTTAAAGGAACACCCACAACAGAGATGAGAAAGAAACAATGCAAGAACTCCAGTAGCTGAAATGGCCAGAGTTTGTATGTCCTCCAAATTACCACACCAGTTCTCTCCAGCAAGGGTTCCTGACCAGACTGAACTGGCATAAATGACAGAAATAGCATTCAGTATATGGATAGGAATGAAGATCATCGAGATTTAGCAGGATGGCAAAACCCAATCCAAGGAAAGGAAGAATCCCGATAAAGCGATATAGGAGCTGAAGGATGAAATAGCTGGTATAAACAAAGACCCTAATGGGTCTGCCAGAGCTGAATAATACAAGCTTTTCACAATGCAATCACAAGTGTCAACAGCAGAATAAACCAAACCGAGAAAAGAATCTTAGAACTTGAAGACTGGTTTTCTGAAATAAGACAGACAAAAATAAAGAAAAAAGAATGAAAAGGAATGAACAAAACCTTTGAGAAGTATGCAATTATGTAAAGAGATCAAATCAACAAGTCACTGGCATCCCTGCAAGGGACAAGGAGAAAGTAAACAACTTGGAAGACATATTTTAAGATATCATTCACTAAAACTTCCCCAGCCTTGCTAGAGACGGTAACAATCAAATTCAGGAAATACAGACAACTCCCACAACATTCTACTCAAGATCATCCCCAAGACAGGTATGTAATCATCAGATTTTCCAGGGAAATTTTTGTGGACGATATCCTCAAATATATTTACCAGTTTGCTTGTTGTCTCTCCTTTGCTCTCAGGAATGCCAATGTGTCATAGATTTGGTCTCTTTACATAATCCCATATTTCTTGCAGGCTTTGTTCATTTTTCTAATCATTACTTTTTAAAAATTTCTGTCTGACTGTGTTGATTGAAAGAACTAGTCTTTGAGCCCTGTGATTCTTTCCTCAGCTTGGTCTGTTCTGCTGTTGATACTTCCAATTTTACTGTGACATTCTTCTAGAGAATTTTACAGCTTAAGAAGTTCAGTTTGGGTCTTTTTAAAAATGGCTATTTCTTCTTTCAGCTCTTGAATCATTTTACTGGATTGCTTGGCTTCCTTGGATTGAGTTTCAACTTTCTGCCTGGTCTCGGTGATCTTCCTTGGCATCCACATTCTTAATTCTGTATCTGTCATTTCAGACATTACAGACTGGTTAAGAACTATTGCTGGGGATCTGTGGACTCCTTTGGAAGTCACAGGACACACTGACTTCTTTTATTGCCAGAGTTCTTGCCCTGATTCTTTCTCATCTGGGTGGGTTTGTGTCCTTTTCACTGTGGTATAAATTGAGCATAGTCCATTGGCTTAATTTCTGGAAGTTTTCAGAGGACTAAGTCTCTGTACAGGGTCTTTGTTTTTGAATTCTCACTCCTGGTTTCACGATGGGAAGAATTAACGGTGGTTTTTGGTGCTGTAGTTTGGGATGCAAACAAGTCAATGGTGCTTGAGGGCAATTGGTGGTATACTGGCTCCTACTCAGCCATGTGGCTCCTTTGTGTATCCTCGAATTTGCAGCTGTGCTCTGAAGTGCAAAGGGGAGAGAAGGAACCCCTCACTTGGTCTGCTCCTTGGCCTTGGGGGAGCCATTTCTGATCACTGGCACTGTGCCCATGATTTTGTTATTGTTTTTGTTAGGTGTTTCAGGGCACGGGGCTCCCACAGGCAGAAGGTCCAGCAGGGACAACCCTGTGGAAGAGGCACACCTAGGTCCCATAGTAACTGGCGAAACTAAGACTCTCCCCTTTCAGTTTTGAGAGTGTGGGCTCCTTCCCCACTTGAATGGTGGGCACAGATCCCAGCTCAGGACTCCTGAGCACAGGCTGTGGCCTTGGGGCATGAGGATCTGCTCGCAGCACCCTCTTCCAGACCATAATGTTTGGTTTCCAGTTGCACTGGGGTCACAAGGGCCCCCAGGCTGCAGGGGTGCACTCAGATGGAGCAAAGCACACAGGCTTGGCAGGAGAGGCTGCACTATGCCCACATTCCTGTGGGTGCAGCCAAGCAGGAGCCTTGGACAGGCAGGTCTGCAGGATGGACTGTGTCCCAGTCCCATTGGAAGCCAGCCCTAGTGTCTCCTGCCCTGGCAGTTAGCTGGGGCTGTAACCTCTCAGTGAGATACAGGGAGCCCTGGGCGACTGGCACTTACAAGCAGCCAGGCTCCACCAGAGCTGTCCTGCACACAAAGGCCCCAGTTTCGTGCCTGCTGCAGCACAGTCTCCATTAAATCTCTGGGAAGATCCTCCTGCCGGGTTAAATGTCCATGGGAGGCTTACTGCAAGCTCCGCCTCCCAGGTTCATACCATTCTCCTGCCTCAGCCTCCTGAGTAGCTGGGACTACAGGCCCCCGCCACCACGCCCGGCTAATTTTTTGTATTTTTAGTGGAGACGGGGTTTCATCGTGTTTGTTAGGATGGTCTCTATCTCCTGACCTCGTGATCTGCCCGCCTCAGCCTCCCAAGGTGCTGGGACTAGAGGCCTGAGCCACTGTGCCCAGCCTGTATGGTTCTTATTTTAAAATGTTAGTATTTTATAGTTAACCATTCAAAGGTTTTATATTTTTTCACAGAAACCATGTATATTTACTCATAGTTTAACAATATGACTATAATATTAATAGTATTTTATACAAATAATATTTAAAATGCATACTTTCATTTTTTTGAGGAAAATATCCCAGAAGTAAACTTAATTGATAGATACTGCTCATTGCCTTGTTTCCTATAAAATACTACATTTGACTCTGTTAAGTTACTATAGTGGAATGCTTCAAGAGAATGAGAATCTAAATGCCATATAAATTAATACTTAGATAACTATATCATAATTTTTAATCTAATCACTGCCAAATTGGAAATATGCCTATATAATATCCATTTCAATAATTCAGGCTTAATTATATTTTGGGAATAATTGCTTTCTTATGTATAGGATAAGACATTTATTTCTTGATAGTTCCTCTAAAATATTTTTATTCTAATATTCATATCTATTAGAAACAATTAAAATTGAAGCTAATTTTCTGCAAAATACTCAAATAGTTTGGGCTCTGATAAAATTGGTTCTGATAACTCTAAGTTGCCTGTTTAGTCATGAATTTGATATACATTACTCAGATGTGAGCTTAACTTTGATAATTTAAGCAGAGTAACATCAAAAATATATGTAAGTTCATATTATTGTATATTATAGAGGATTCAATATCTCTGGACAGTTAGAATGCAAAATTATAAGGTATTAAAGCTGGAAGCGATCAAATAATTTTTTGTCAATCTTTCCTTTTATGAAAGCTCAAGACGGAAACTAGAGAAGAGTGAAGGAACACAGGGGTGATGAGTGTAAGATTCATTAGTACTGCAGAATATTGCTTCAAATGCATAACTTTTTGGGGAGTTAAATGACTTTCATCACTCTGAACGCAGAAAATTATACAGTTAAATATTTTATCTACTATATCTGTGAAAGTCTAAAGAAATCCTTTAAAGAAATCTCATGTAATTATGTGCGATACATAGTTCACGAAACTTGGCTTTCTATTAGAATATACATCGTATTTGGTACAAGTCTCTCATCATATCTGGCAGAGATACCAATTCTTATGGGGAATTTTTATCCTTACATAAAGTAATTGCATATTTTTTACTCTCACAATCTAATATTAATATGATGTATTTCCTCTGCTCTCTTATCAGATGACAAAACAGGAAACTTTTCTAAACTTTATTTTTTAGTCACCAATTTTAGTAACTAAACCTTATTACCAAATTCTTTTTATCTTTTAAATGTAAAAAATAGCATAACACAGAAATAAATTATGTAAGTGATAAAGGTGGTAGCTATTGTAAGTCAGACATGGTTGTTAGAAGTATAATTAATAATGGACATTTCAGACATAAGCATTGGACCATTCCTTTATCTTAGTAAGACTTAAGCAATCTTCTGGTATGAAGTTTGCCTTTAGTTGATAGCATGATTTCCCAGGGCTATGCAACTATTTAACTTTGAAAGAGGACAAACATTAAAGTAAAACCAATGTGAACAGTGACCAGCTCCTTTTATTTTATTTATGAATTCCTTTATGTTCCATATAACATTACCAACATATTTAGAAGCAAAGTGTTTATCTAGAAATTTTACTTCCAACTTTATCACTTGATTGTCAACCTTTTCTCAAGTTTTAATGAAATTACAAAAGTCAGTATTTTCCAAAGTGGTTGTACTAGTTTACATTCCTACCAACAGTGTAAAAGTGTTCCATTTTCACCACATTCACCACAACATCTATTATTTTTTTATTTTTTTTATTATGGCCATTCTTGTGGAAGTAAGATGGTATCTCATTGTGGTTTTGATTTGCATTTCCCCGATCATCAGTGATGTGGATCATTTTTGCATATGTTTGTTGGCTATTTGTATATCTTCTTTTGAGAATTGTCTATTCACATCCTTTGTCCACTTTTTGATGGATTTTTTTCTTGCTGGTTTGTTTGAGTTCCTTGTAGATTGTGGATATTAGCCCTTTGTCAGATGTGTAGATTATGAGGATTTTCAAACACTCTGTGTGTTACCTGTTTGCACCACTGATTATTTCTTTTGCTGTGTAGAAGCGTTTTAGTTTAATTAAGTTCTATCTATTTATCTTTGTTTTTGTTGTGTTTGCTTTGGGGTTCTTGGTCATGAAGTCATTGCCTAAGCCAATGTCTACAAGGGTTTTTCCAATGTTATCTTCCAGAATTTTTATGGTTTCTGGCTTTAGATTTAAGTCTTTGATCCATCTTGAGTTGATTTTTGTATAAGGTGAGAGATGAGGATCCAGTTTCATTCTTCTACATGTGGCTTACCAATTATCCCAGTACCATTTGTTGAATAAGGTGTCCTTTCCCCACTTTATGTTTTTGTTTGCTATGTCAAAGATCAGTTGACTGTTAGTATTTGGCTTTATTTCTGGGTTCCCTATTATGTTCCATTGTTCTATATGCCTATTTTTATACCAGTATCATTCTGTTTTGGTGACTGTGGCCTTATAGTATAGTTTGAAGTCGGGTAATGTAATGCCTCCAGTTTGTTCTTTTTGCTTAGCCTTGCTTTGGGCATGCAGCCTCTTTTTTGGTTCCATATGAATTTTAAAATTGCTTTTTCTAGTTCTGTGAAGAATGATGGTGGTATTTTGGTGGAAATTGCATTGAATTTGTCTGATTGCTTTTGGCAGTATTGTGTCATCTATGATTTTTTTCAGCAGCGTTTTGTAGTTTTCCTTGTAGAGGTCTTTCACCTCCTTGGTTAAATATAGTCCTAAATATTTTATTTTATTTTATTTATTCTTGCAGTATTTGTAAAAGGGGTTGAGTTCTCGATTTTATTCTCATCTTTGTTGCTGTTGGTGTATAGCAGGGCTACTGATTTTTGTGCATTCATTTTGTATCCTGAAACTTTGCTGAATTCATTTACTAGTTCTAGGAGATTTTTTTGATGAGTCTTTAAGGGTTTTCTAGGTATATGATCATATCATCAGCAAACAGTGATAGTTTGACTTCCTCTTTACCAATTTAGATGCCTTTTATTTTTTTCTCTTGCCTGATTGCTCTGGCTAGGACTTCCAATACTACGTTGAATAGAAGTCATGAAAGTGGGCATCTCTTACTTGCTCCAGTTCTCAGGGGGAATACTTTCAACCTTTTCCCGTTCAGTATAATGTTGGCTGTGGGTTTGTCAGAGATGGTTTTTATTACCACAAAGTATGTCCCTTCTATGCTGATTTTGCTGAAGGTTTTAATCATAAAGCAATGCTGGCTTTTGTCAAGTGCTTTTTCTGCAGCTATTGAGATGATCGTGTAATTTTTGTTTTTAAGTCTGTTTATGTGGTGTATCATATTTATTGACATGCATATGTTAAACCATCCCTGCATCCCTGGTATGAAACCCACTTGATCACGGTGGATTATCTTTTTGATATGCTGTTGGATTTGGTTAGCTAGTATTTTGTTGAAGATTTTTGCATCTATGCTCATCAGGGATATTGGTCTGTAGTTTTATTTTTCTTATGTCCTTTCCTGGTTTTGGTACTAGGGTGACACTGGCTTCGTAGAATGATTTAGGGAAGATTCCCTCTCTCTCTATCTTTTGGAAAAGTGCCAGTAGGATTGGTTCAGTTCTTCTTTGAATATCTGATGGAATTCATATGTGAATCCATCTGGTCCTGGACTTTTTTGTTGTCGGTAACTATGTAGTTACCATTTCAATCTCGCTGCTTATTATTAGTCTACTCAGAGTTTCTATTTCTTCCTGGTTTAATCTGGGAGGGTTGTATGTTTTCTGGAATTTATTCATCTCCTCTGGGTTTTCTAGTTTATACACATAAAGGTGTTCATAGTATCCTTGAATGATCTTTTGTATTTCTGTGGTATTGATTGTAGTATCTCCCTTTTCATTTCTAATTGAGCTTATTTGGATCTTCTCTCTTCTTTTCTTGGTTAATCTCACTAATGGTCTATCAATTTTATTCATCTTTTAAGAGACCCAGCTTTTTGTTCATTTATTTTTTGTATTTTTTCTGTTTCAATTTCATTTAGTTCTGCTCTGATGTTGGTTCTTTTCTTCTGCTGGGTTTGGGTTTGGCTTGTTCTTGTTTCTCTAGCTCCTTGAAGTGTGACCTTAGATTGTCTGTTTGTGCACCTTTTAGACTTTTTGATGTAGGCATTTAATGCTGTGAACTTTCCTCTTAGCACCACTTTTGCTGTATCCCAGAGGTTTTGATAGGTGTGTCACTCTTATTGTTCAGTTCGAAGAATTTTTTAATCTCCCATCTTGATTTTATTGTTGACCTAACAATCATTTAGGAGCAAGTTATTTAATTTCCATGTATTTGTATGGTTTTGAGATTTCCTTTTGGAGTTGATTTCCAATTTTATTCCACTGTGGTCTAAGAGAGCACTTGCTATAATTTTGATTTTCTTAAATTTGTTGAGACTTGTTTTGTGGCCTATCATATGTTCTATCTTGGAGAATGTTCCATGTGCTGATGAATAGGATGTATATTCTGTAGTTGTTGAGTATAATGTTCTATAAGTATCTGTTAAGTCCATTTGTTCTGGGGTATAGTTCAGGTCCGTTGTTTCTTTGTTGACTTTCTGTCTTGATGACCCGTCTGGTGCTGTCAGTGGAGTATTGAAGTCCCCCACTATTACTATATTGCTGTCTATCTCATTTCTTAGGTCTATTAGTAATTGTTTTATAAATTTGGGAACTCTAGTGTTAGGTACATATATATTTAGGATTCTGATATTTTCCTGTTGGGTAAATATCATTATATCATTATATAAAGTCCCTCTTTGTCTTTTTTAACTGCTGTTACTTTAAAGTTCATTTGTTCTGAGATAGGAATAGCTACTCCTGCTCGCTTTTGGTGTCCATTTGCATGGGATATCTTTTTCCACTCCTTTACCTAAAGTTTATGTGAGTCCTTATGCATCAAGTCAGTCTCTTGAGGACAGCAGATACTTGGTTGGTGAATTCTTACCCATTCTGCCATTTTGTATCTTTTACCTGGAGCATGTAGGCCATTTACATTCAATGTTAGTATTGAGACGTGAAGTACTATTCTTTTCATCATGTTATTTGTTGCCTGAATACCTTGGGTTTTTTTCATTGTGTTGTTGTTTTATAGGTCCTGTGAAATGTATGCTTTAAAGAGATTCTATTAGTATTTTGGTGTATTTTGAAGATTTGTTTCAAGATTTAGACATCCTTTTAGTTATTATAGTCCTGGCTTGGTAGTGGTGAATACTCTCAGCATTTTTTGTGTGTGTGTCTGAGAGAGACTGTATTTTTCCTTCATTGATGAAATGTAGTTTCACTGGATATGAAATTCTTGGCTAATAATTGTTTTGTTTAAGGAGGCTAAAGATAGGCCCCCAATCCCTTCTCACTTGTAGGGTTTCTACTGAGAAATATGCTGTTAAACTGATAGCTTTTCCTTTATAGGTTATCTGATGCTTTTGCCTTCAGCCCTTAAGATTTCTTCCTTTGTCTTGACTTTAGATAACCTGATGACTATGTGCCTAGGTGATCTTTTTGTGATGAATTTCCCAGTTGTTCTTTGAGCTTCTTATATTTGGATGTCTAGATCTCTACCAAGGCCAGGGAAGTTTTCCTTCATTATTTCCTCAAATATGTTTTCCAAATTTTTATATCTCTCTTCTTTCTTGGGCACACCAACTATTCTTAGGTTTGGTCATTTAACATAATTGCAAATTTTTTGGAGACTTTGTACATTTTTTTTAATTCTCTTTTGTTCATTTTTTAAAAATGTAATTCTATTTGTTCTCTAATTTAATTATCTTTGTTTTAATTTAATTCTTTGTTCATTTTTTTAAAATTCTCTTTTGTCTTTTTTCAGATTGAATTAATTCAACACCCTTGTCTTTAAACTCTGACATTCTTTCTTCTGTTGTTTGATTCTACTGCTGAGAATTTCCAGTGCATTTTGCAATTCTCTAAGTGTGTCCTTCATTTCCAGAAGTTGTAGGTTTTTTTAATTTATGCAATCTATTTCACTGGAGATTTTTCTATCTATATCCTGTATTTTTTATTTATTTATTTATTTATTTATTTAAGTTGGACTTCACCTTTCTCTGGTGTCCCTTGATTAGCTTTACAGCTGTCATGAATTCTTTTCCTGGCAATTCGAGATTTTTGTCTTGGTTTGGATCCATTTTTGGTAAAATAGTGTGATCTTTTGGGGGTGTTAAAGAACCGTGTTTTGCCGTATTACCAGAATTGTTTTTCTGAGCCCTTCTCATTTGGGTAGATTATGTTGGAAGGACAATTTGGGACTCAAGGGCTGCTATTTAGATTCTTTTGTCCAACAGAGTGATCCCTTGATATGGTGTTTTCCCCTTTCCACTAGGGATGGGGCTTCCTGAGAGCCAAGCTGCAGTGATTGTTATTTCTCTTCTGGAACTAGCCGCCCAGCAGAACTACTGGGCTCCAGGCTGGTACTGGGGAGTATATGCAAAGAGTATGTGATGTGATCCATCTTTAGGTCTCTCAGCCCATGGATACCAGCACCTGCTCTGTGGAGGTAGCAGGGGGTGGACTCTGTGTGGGTCCTTGGCTGAATGTTTGTTAAGTGCACTGCTTTTGTGTTGACTGGCCTCTAGCCAGGAGGTGGCGCTTTCAAGAGCACCTCAGCTGCGGTTGTTTAGGGAGGATACAAATTTGCCCTAGGGTCACCTTTGGATAAGTATTAAGGTTTCTCAGGCGGTGGGCAGGGCCATAGAGCTCCCAAGGGATTATGTCCTTTGTCTTAGGAGTTCCCCTGCTGTTCTGCTGTCCCACAGAACCAGTAGCAGCAATCCACCTCCTTCAAAAGGGTCTGTGGACTCTCTTACTTTTTCTGGTATGTTCCTGTGGTAGTTCTTGGAGCAAAAGTTCATAATGTGGGTCTCCACACACTGCTCTGTCTGAGTGAGAGCTGCAAGTTATTTTTGCCTCCTACCCACCATTTTCCCCCCAATCCTGGCATAATTTTTTTTTTTTTTTCGCTCTGTCGCCCAGACTGGAGTGCAGTGGCGCGATCTTGGCTCACTGCTGCAAACTTCACCTCCTGGGTTCAATGCCTCAGCCTCTTGAGTAGCTGGGATTACACATGCGTGCCACCACAGCTAGCTAATTTTTGTATTATTTTAGTGGAGATGGCGTTTTAGTGTAATGGCCAGGCTGCTCTTAAACTCCTGACCTCACTAAGGTGATCCACCCGCCTCAGCCTTCCAAAGCGCTGGGATTACAGGCATGAGCCACCCGGCCCGGCCAACTTTCTAAAAGCAACTTTACAAAAATTCTTAAGATTTAAATTACAAATGCCAGAGAGACAGCATTTACTTGCTGGTTTACAATATTTGTTTGTATAGCTTATAGAACGAGACCTCTGTACAAATTCCTCACAAATAAGGCCATAAAATACTTAGGTCTACAAAATAAAAAGGAGTTCTTGAGCTCTCTTTTCAACAATTCCTAACAAATTCCCGTAAAATTTCATGATTAAAGTAATTATATTCAAATAACAATATCAATGTGTTGCCTTAAGAGATTATTCTGTTTTTTAAGAAACAATTTCCAAGGAATATATTTGACAAATCTTAAAGATAATTCTTTTGCTTAGAGTTATTCTTTAGGGTCTTACATAATTTAATTTTATTAAAGAGAAAACTAAAGAATAAGCTGAGTAACAAATATATTGTGGACTGTATGGTTTTTAGAGTTTATTAGACCTCCAGTAGAATAAGTTTTTTCCTTAAAACCAAATTACATTGTATGAGATTAGTTCAACAGCCTAGGGTAATTGAATCATTTTCTAAGTTCAAATAAATGTTTTATTCAATGCCAGATATAAAATGTTGTCATATTGTGTTTGCAAATTCCTTTTGTCATAGCAAAGGCAATTATAGAAGCTAAAACAAAAAAAAGCCCATATGTAGAGAGCTTGTCAAAGGTTGAAGCATCATTTCTATTGTGTAGAAGACACTGAGCTGGTGCTAGGGATGCATTTTTGGTTTATTTTGTATTCTTATTACCAAAATGCCTGGGACTCAGCCTACATCCTGCTGCTTACTGTTGTCTCTCTCAACCAACTAAAATTTGGGGTTTACACAGTGGAGGAGGAATGTAGCTCCATGTAAGGAAACTGGAATTTGGGAGGAGTAAGGAAGCAATTATGTTGGATGAGGGCTTTGGTATCCCATTGTTGGGGTGCAGTAGTTTGGTGAGTTTCGGTTTCTTGCCTGAGGGTCAATTTCCTAAGGAAGGAACTCAGATAAGACAAATATAAGTTAAAAACTGTAAACATCAGTTCTATGAAACAGTGGGGGTGGTTTCATTGCCTTTTATCCATATGGACAATGATGCCTGCCCGGAGATACACCAAATTTAGTATGGGAGTCTATTTCCACTTGAATTTTTTGTAATGTTACTTAAAGTCACAGTGGTAGACTGAAAATAATTTTAGTTCATCGGCTTCTTCTTGTCTTAAATAGACATGGAACCATTGTAAAATATGTGGCCTTGCTTTTTAAACTGAGGCTCAAGTTCAGTTGTTTCTCTTTATTTCTTGTATTATTTAATATAGCTTTCCAGTTATTGCTGTATATTTGATAGTATTCCTTACATTTGATTTTTACTTTTCATTTTCACCAATATTCTATGTGTTAGTCTATTTTAATTCTAAACCTTTTATTATATAAAAACATGATATATAAACTTTTATTATATAAATGTTCAAACATATACAACATATAAAATTATATAGTGCAATGAATTTCTGTGTACCCTTCAGTTACCTTTAGTAATTATCAATACATAAGTAATATTGTCTTACTCTTGCCTCTCACTCATGGTTATTTTAAACAAATTTTAGACATTATTTCATTTCATCTCTATTTTCTAGTAAGTTTCTCTAGAAGTAGAACATTTATGTACTTTTATTCATATAGTTAAATTGCCATCCCAGATACCAAGAATGTCTCATCATTCCTTGATTACCATTCATTTTTCTTTCCACATAGCAAGCTTCTTTCACCAGCATTATTTCACAGTATTCTCCCCTGAAGGAAGGTAATTCTTCTTAGAGACTCTTTCAGATAATGAATTTCATTCATTTTTGTGCCTTTACATTATCATCTCTCAAAGTAGGATAATTTTCCCTCTCATCCATCAATTTATGTGGGACTGATATTGAGTGTTGCCAAAATGTCTTTTCCAGGTAGCTTTCCTCTCTAAACAGTCTTATTCCAATTATTAGTACCTAATTTGCAAGCCAGAGCTTCAAAATGGAAACCCATGGGCCAAATTCAACCCTCATATATGGTCTAGGAAAGCAGTGCTTTCCCTCAGGTAACTTGATTCTGTACTGTTGACTTTTCTTGATATGTCTAAATTATTCATCGGGATTGACTTTCAGATTATCTAAATGGTCTTCCCTTAAGGAGAAACAATCACACAACAGAGGGCCTTTCTTTGCCTTTTGGTAACTAGCCTAAGGAAGATATTTTACATTTTATCATAATAATTCTTGTGTCATCATTATTAGGTCATGATTATTAGGTTTCTGATTGCTTAGGAAAACTGAGATTTCAAAGGTTTTTACATCCATGTGACTTTCTATATTGCTTTTAAAGTCCTTGTGCTGTTACATCACAGGGCTTTGACTCCCGGATCTGAAGAAAGCATTGACTCCTGCCAAGTCTTGAATGTTGACATTAGTCAACACCTCTTTTTCAGACCTTGGAGATAGCAGCAATCGAAATGAACTGCTTTGCTAAAACACAGGGTCAGAAATTAAAACTTCTCAATCCCTCTAGGCCCAAGGACTATTGCAGAAGAGGTGGTGCATGAGATTGTAAAGGCCTGTTTTGAGGGATAAGAATGGTTCAGAGTTTTTCTATAAATTAAACATTAATATCAAAGGCACAGTGATGCGAGACCAGTGTCTGGGTGCGCTGATCTTTTCTTTAATAGAAAATAGTAAAAGGTCATAAAAGGAAATCTTACATTATGGTCAAATATTAAAATTAGATTTACTTATAAGGTTTTATAGGCTTGAACATTAACAATATACTATGCAAAGGTAAATTCTGGTTTTACCTTTTGAACAAAATTTTCATGTAACATTAATAAGAGATATAAAGATTATTGTTTACCTTTTGAGTAAACTTCAGGGGCATAAAGGAGGGGAGGGAGAGAGATTTAGTTAGGCACATGCTGTCTTTATAAGGTCTTATTGTTTGGGAAACTGAGTCTCTATCAAAGAATAAAGGTTTTTGCTTTTAAAAAAATCTTGGAATTATCATTTTGGCTAAGTGAATGACTATTTTATAATGACCTATAATCCTATTTTGTGATAGTAAGTGTTTTAATCCTTTGATATTTGACAAACTTTCCAATATCAAAGTTTCAAGTTCTAAATTTAGTCTTTTGGATGTTAAAATAACTTTTTAGATATTACATCCCCTGAAGTCCAAGAGAGGCATAGTAAGCTTATATGGTATGTTAAAATTATAAAGGAAGCATTTTCAAACATGAAATGGTGTTTAACTTTCTTTGGGGTTATATTTATGTAAGTATGTTATGAACATGTGTTCCAAATTTGTATGAGATTCCTAAAATTCTGATATGTCTTAAGTATATGTTATCAGCAATACTTATGATTATTATTGTTGTATGCCAAAAAAATAAGTGAATTTCCTTATCAATTGTGTCTTTAATTATGGCTAACCTAAGGCTTGTCTTTAACCAGAACTGTCCTAAGACCTTTATCATTCAAAATTATTGTTTTACTTTGATGCTTGTCAAAAAAGTGGCTTACAGTTAGCTACAGTTCCAAACTTCTTTCTTTAGGGAAATTCATGAAAAAAACTGTTGAATGCAAGTGTTTGATAACTTTGCAATGGCACAAAGAGACTAGAGAGATAACTTTCTCTCTCTAGAAATGTGCCATTGGACTAGAGAAAGAACTTTCAGGACTCTAATTAAAAGACTGATGTGTTCAGAAAGATTGTTAACCCAATGTGAAGCAGGACAAGAGTTAATTGCATAGACTGAACTAATAAAGGACCAAACTAATTTTGTATGGCTTTTTTATAATGAAACATTGGTGTTTTGTTTTATTTTTGAGGGTTGATAAAAGATTTTTTCTTTATTTTTAGATATTTATAGCCTTTAACAATTGAATATATTCTTGTAAACCAATTTAATGCATATTTTTCTTTCTCTACCTGATTTCTCCAGATTTTGGAAATCATCTATGAATATTCTTAATTCATGGCAATATGTTTATTTGCATATGTTCAATAAGAATTTGTTTTCTTTTGTAATAGGACACATTTGGAAACACTGGTTATTTTCCCAAAGCTTTGACTGGAATGATATATTCTCAGATATGAGCAGAATGCCTTCAGAGATTGAGGTTGATTTATGGAGCCGATAAAAGTTCCTTGGAAAGACTGGTCTAGTATTTTGTCTAACTGGTCCCTTTATAAGTTTCCTGATCTGTGATGAGTAAAGAATGTCACTTTCTGACAGGACCAGGAACCTTAAGTTATTTTGGGACCTTGAGAAGAGAGGAATTCACCCAGTTCATACAGACACCTGCTGGCAGAGATAAATCCTTGCCTGGGCTTGAGAGGCCTTTAATAGTCAAATCTGAGATTCCTTATAAAAAGTCCAGCAAAGCCCCAATATAAAAGATCCTATATGGACAATAATTCTTGAGGCACATTATGCAAATAACCAGGCCAAGTATGATAGATGGAAACTTATATTGCAAATAAATTGGTTCTACCACAATTTGTCTTTGGTTGAAATTGTTGACTAAAGAGAGAAAAATTTATGTTTCAGAAGAAAACTATAGTATGCCCTCTATTAGATTAGCTTTTGATTCCTTGGTGGAAACCTGGTCACCTATTGTGTAGAGTTGCAGTTGTGCTGCGTTCAGTTATTTAAGATAAAAGCTACCATGGAATTTAGAGATAGATTCTACTCCCAGGGAATTAGTTCACAGGATGCATAAGGAAATGCAAACGAATAAAGAAAAAGCAAAACATGCAATCCCTTGGTTTGTTATCTATAATAGCTAAAATGAAAGTAAGAGAATGCTGAGTTGGGTGTTGGGGCTGGACCAACTCAGATGTGGAACTTTCTGAGCTCAAATAAGTAGCCTCAAGACTACCCACAAAAGGAAAAATTATGCCAGAGCACCAGAAAGTACCTCTGAGACCTGCCTTTTCCAGAAGGTAGGCAAAGTGGGGGAAGGAAGGGGAACATCACACACTGGGGCCTATTGTGGGGTGGTAGGAGGGGGGAGGGATAGCATTTGGAGATATACCTAATGTTAAATGACGAGTTACTGGGTGCAACACACCAACATGGCACATGTATACATATGTAACTAACCTGCACGTTGTGCACATGTACCCTAAAACTTAAAGTATAATAAAATAAATAAATAAATGGAAAAAAAACAGAGGGTACAATGTAAAGAAATTGTTTCATTTTGTAGATTGGTATCATCAGCTTTTCTAAAACAGATTATGAGATTAACGAACCTGGGAGCACTGACTTTGGTTTTAAATGGTGTAGAATGGAAATGCATGTTTTGGTTGATGCAGGACCTACAGCTCACTGTTGAACAATCACAGATGGGTATATGTAATTCAGACACACAGGAGGTTATTTCCGAGAGAACAGCCAGCCTGGTGGATTGGATAAATGCCACCGTAAGATCTGTTTACCCCGAGAGGGAGAATTGCCAAACTTCACATATCAATGCCAAGTGAAACACCCCAGATGAAGCAGCTGATATGCTTCATATCCAAGTCACGGGAGACTGGCTTTAAGATGAAATATATTTACTACTCATACTCAGTTAAAACCAAGCCCTTTTTGATCCCTCCAGGGGAAACAGGTCATGGGCTTATGAACCCTCAGAGGGCCAAAGTTAGTATTCAAAGCCCAGCCAAAGAGCCTGGATAAGAAATCATAAAGGGACCATGTGCTTTTCAGGTTGTTGCTCTTCCTGAAACCATAGCTTTATGCATGCAGGATGTAATGCATCAGGAAAAGTTTTTGGTAGCATTAGAGTTACACTCTGGGATTCCCCAGGGGATCAGCTCCATATTCTCTGGTATTTTAAAATTTGGTTTTATTTTAAAATTTGGTTTATCTATGTTACTAAGCATCCTAGGCAATGTGGCTTACTATGTTGTTCTAAACCAAGATAAAACTATCTAGGTCATGGTGCTCCAACAAGCCAGATGCTGGTCAGGTGCTCATGAGTGCTTTCAATTACAGGAGTAAGGTTTGCATTCCTCAGCATTATCCCATAATAGCTCTCCTCAGCAAGAAGCAGCCAGAAAGATTGACAACCAGATTCCCCATGATGGAGGAATTGATAAATAGAAAGGGGATACTGATACCAGCCAAATTGTCCCATACAAAAAATATCTATAGGTTTTTAAAAATAGACATAGAAATTGACCCTCCCTTGTCTTAAAACTTGCAACTTACATTTATCTCATCTGAGTTCCCTCCTCAGGAAACCAACCCTCAGGTGAGGGACTGAAACTCACTAGATTACCACATCCGGATCAGACAAAAAGATGCAATAAACTTCATTCCTCATGATTGCTTCCTTACCTCTCCCTAATTCCTGTTTTCCTGCCTTCCCTGCTATATAAACACCCCATTTTTGCTATGTTAGAGAAACAGATTTAGAGACTGTATTACCTGTTATTCTTGGGTGCAGCACCCAAAGTAAAGCCTGGTTCCCTCATGTATTAGTCTGCTCTCACACTGCTGATAAAGACATACCCGAGACTAATTTCCAAAGAAAAAGAGGTTTAACGGGCTCACGGTTCCACATGACTGGGGAGGCCTCAGAATCATGGCGGAAGGTGAAAGGCACCTCTTAAACGGCAGCAGACAAGAGAGAATGAGAACCAAGCCAAAAGGGTTTCCCCTTATAAAACCATCAGGTCTTGTGAGACTTCTTCAGTACCACTAGAACAGTATAGGGGAAACTGCCACCATGACTCAGTTATGTCCCACCGGGTCCCTTCCACAATACATGGCAATTATGGGAGATACAATTCAAGATGACATTTGGGTGTGAACACAACCAAATCATATCACCTGGCAATCCTTGTTAACTCAGTGATTGGCTTTCTGTGCAGTGAGCAACAGGACGTAGACCTGTGATGTTTCAGTAACAATCTTATTTAATAATTAAAATAATATTTTAGTTTTATAGCTGAAGACACTGAGGCTTAGGGTGATGAAAACATGCAGATAGCATGACTATTAAGAATGTGATATTTTTATAGCATGATATATAAACCACTAAAATTTATAGGGGAACTTCAGTGTCATAATTCAGGCCTGACTCTTATCATTATACCATGCTACCTGCCGAACAAATCTTTGTAGAAAGTAGAATGCTTCTACGGGAAGGAAGCAAATGAAACAGAAAAAGAAAAAAGAGAGAGAGAAAATGTTCAAATGTGGGCATGATTGAGTATTAAAATACAATGAATGTTCATCATTTTCCAAGCATAGAACTTAGAGATTTCCCTTCCATACTTGACTGATTGTCAGGCTCAGATACCCTGTCTTTTAGTCTTAATGCAACATACAATACATTTAAACCAACAATATGAAAGAAGCCATAAAGATATATATTATATATTCTAAATATTGGGCATATGGGAAATTATTTCCTTGAAAAAATAAACATTTATGTTATTTTGAAAAATAATCAAAGAGATGTTTTTGTGGCAATGGTTACTTCCTACTCTTTTTACATTGGATCATTTATTGTTTGTAGAAAGATGTTTTGATTCAACATCTCACTTGCAGCAGTGAAAAAACTCAGACACTGAGAGGGAAAAGTCCTGTGACGTGTTCAAAAATATTTCTGTTTACTAATTCAGCTCATAAATCTATTCTCTGATACATACAAAAATAATATATTTAACTCTAGACAATATTATTTGTTTAGTTTTATGTGTTTATGTCTTAACGTAGCGATGTGTAGCCAAAGATATGGACATTCCCAAAACATCCACTGCTCTGGAAACATGCACTCTTTCAACTTCATTTTTAAAGTTTTACTTAAAATTTGTCTTGTATTTATATAATCTTCCCCTTTGGTTGTGGCAGATTTATCTGAAAACAGAGTAACCTATGTCAAGCTTTGAACGTGGGGGTCTGAGAAAACACTAGGGCCAATCACATGAGTTCTAAAAGAGTATGCTTTGTATCATGTGGAGAAGTGCATAAAAATGATTTGCCACAATAATGAAAAGTGAGGGCAACTTGGCAGCAGGTGGAGGGAAGAAAAAAAATAATAGAAGCAATAAAAGGAGAAAGATCAACTTAATATTTATTTTCTGTTTATAGATTTTCTTGAGGCTATTTTGTGAAATACACCAATATATTTCTAATAAATTAACCTTTTACCTTATGATATTTTTACCTGTTATAAAGATATTATTTTATTATTTATACAGCTTAAAATATTTGCTTTTTATATTTTAGCCTAAAGCAATTGAATTTAGAATTTACATATAAAATTGATGAGATGTTACTACAGTAATGTGAAGATCTGTACTAATTAGCATAAACTTAATACAGGACCCTTCCTGGCATACATTCCATGGAGACTGCTTATCACATATGCTTTACAGCTAATCTCTTAAAGATTTTTGGAGAATGTATAAACCACCAGAATTATTTTCTTTGGTATCTGTCAAATATATGTTAGAATCATAAAATTACTCAGAACCTTGAAAATGATATTTCCCTGGGAGACCAATTGTTAATTAATCCTGTTTTTGTTTTAGTGGATCAATATTTTAAGTTGATAACAGGGTCTCTGTTTCTGCTTTGTATTTTTTTTTTTTTTGGTTTATCAAAAATAGCTCCTCTAAAGGGGACAAAAATGGACATCATTTTCTGTTTTAAAAATACTGAAAATTTTCTTCAAATTGTAATACTTTAATACTCCAAGAGAGAACTAATAAATCAAATGAGAACTCATTGTCAATGGGCATGTAAGAACAATTCCTAATTTGTAGGCAGTTAGAAGAACAGTCTGTACAAAAAAATTAAGATAGGCTGAATGTATTCTATTGGCATTCATTTGCTGACATCTACTTTAGGTAAAGATTTAATTTAGATCATTTATTAGTGATATTTGCATAATAACACTTTCTAGGTAAGGCAAAATATCTAAATCATATTATTTTGACCTTGTTTCTCATGTATAGACATTACGTTATGGTCATTAATTAATGGATTAGAGGATGTATAAATGATTTTGGATAATGTCAACATACAAGTTTATTTTTGCTCCTATAAAATTATAAAGTGGATATCCAATGTATGCTCATGGAATACCATAGCATGTAGTTTGGGGTTACTTGTCTTTTAGTTTTCTCTGTCAATTTTTAAGGAAACAGAAGTTGGATACTTTGGTTACTGGTTGTAATTCAAATATCTGGTTATACATTGTTGATACTATACTTGTACTATTGTTAGACATGAAAATATGTAAACTGGGTCGTAGTATATTCACCTGCTTTTTGAGACACTATGCACCTTTTAATGTTTTTGCTGCCATTGCAGTATTTTAAATCATTTTAATAGAAGTTACTTATTGCTACAGGGACTTACTTTTGTTGCTTTCTACTGTGTTAGCTTTAAGTAATCTCTCTCTAAAATAAAAAGTAGCAATTTCCTTGATTTTAATCAATTACAATATCCAGTATCTTAATCAATGTTCTCAAATCTTTTGCCTTTTTCAATTCAGCCTCCAAATCTGGAATTATAAAAAAAAAAAAAAAAAAAAAAAGCTGTTGCAATGTCTTCTACATGTTAACCCTCTGGGGTTTCCCAGATAGATACTGACAACCAAAGAAGTTGGTTCACTGATTGTATTAGTTGGTTCTCGAACTCCTATAAAGAGATAACTGAGACTGAGTAATTTATAAAGAAACGAATTTGTATTGGCTCACGGTTCCACAAACTGTAAAGGAAGCATGTCTGGGGAGGCCTCAGGAAACTTACAATCATGGTGTAAGGTGCAGGGGAAGCAGAAACATCTTCACATGGCCAGAGCAGGAGTAAGATAGAGAGGGGTTGATGCCACACACTTTTAAACAAACAAATCTTGTGAGCACTCACTGACTATCATGAGAGTAGCATGAGATTTGGGCATGGACACAAATCCAAACCACATCATTCTTCCCTGTGTCCCTCCCAAATCTCATGTTCTCACATTTCAAAATACAATCATGCCTTCCTCACGGTCCCCAAAACTCTTAACTAATTCCAGCATTAACTCAAAAGGCCAAAGTTTAGTCTTATCTGAGACAAGGCTAGTCCCTTCTGCCTATGAGACTGTAAAATCAAAAACAAGTTAGTTGATCCCAAGATACAATGGGAGTACAGGAATTGGTTAGATACTCCCGTTCCAAAAGGGAGAAATCAGCCAAACTAAAGGGGCTAGAAGCCCCATGCAAATCCAAAACCCAGCAGAACAGTTATTAAATCTCAAACTCCAAAATAATCTTTTTTGACTCCATGTCTCACATCCAGGCCACACTGATGCAAAGGGTTGTCTCCCAAAGCCTTGGCCAGACCTACCCCTGTGGCTCTATAGGGCTAGTCCCCACAGCTGCTCTCATGGGCTAACATTGAATGCTTGCCACTTTTCTAGGTGCACGGTGCAAACTGTTGGTGTATCATTCTGGGGTCTGGAAGGTGGTGGCCCTCTTCTCACAGCTCCACTAGACAATGCACCAGTGGGGACTCTGTGTGGGGGCTCTTAACCCACATATTGTCTCTGCAGTGCCCTAGTAGAGGTTCTCCATGAGGGCTCTGCCTCTGCAGGAGTCTTCTACCTGGACATCCAGGATTTTCCGTACATCTTCTGAAATCTAGGCAGAGGGTCCCAAGCCTCAACAATTGCACTCTGCATAGCCACATGGAAGCTACCAAGGCTTATGACTTGCACCTTCTGAAGCAGGAGTTTGAGTACCTGGACCCCTTTAAGGGACAGCTGGAGAGCTGGAACAGCCAAGATCCAAGAAGCAGTGTCCTGAGGCTGCACAGGGCAGGGGGGGCCCTGGGTCTGGCCCATGAAACCATTGTTCCCTCCTATGTCTCCAGGCCTAGGATGGGAGGGGCCACCACAAAGTTCTCTGATATATACTCAGGACCTTTTCCCCATTGTCTTGGATATTACTACTTGCTTTCCTTTTAATTTTGAAAAATTCTGCAGCTGGCTTGAATTCCTCCCCTGAAAATTGTTTTTTTTTTCTACCACATGGCCAGGCTGCAAATTTTCCTAACATCTACGCTCTCCTTCTTTTGTAAATTTAAGTTTCAGTTTTGCATCATTTCTTTGCACATGAATATGAACATAGAAGGCTAGAAGCATCCAGGCTATATCTTGAACACTTTGCTACTTAGAAATTTCTTCCACCAGATACCCTAAATCACCATTCTCAAGTTCAAAGTCCCACAGATCCTTAGGGCAGGGGCACAATGCTCCCTCAATTTGCTAGTGCATAACAAAAGTGACCTTCACTCCAGTTCCCAGTAAGTTCTTCATCTCCATCTGAGACCTCGTCAACGTGGCCTTTGCTGTCTATATCACTATCAGCGTTTTGGTCACAATCATTCAACAAATCTCTAGGAAGTTCTAAACTTTCTATCATCTTCCTGTCTTCTTCTGAGTCCTCCAAACTCTTCCAACCTCTGCACATTACCCAGTTTCAAAGTCACTTCCACATTTTCAGCTATCTTCATAGCAATACCTGACTCCTAGTACCAGGTTTCTATAGTAGTTTTTTCTCACACTGCTATAAAGGAATAACTGAGACTGGGTAATTTATAATGAAAAGATGTTTCATTGGCTTATAATTCTGCAGGCTGTACAGGAAACATGGCTGGGCAGGCCTAAGGAAACTTACAATCATGGCAGAAGACAAAGGGGAAGAAGGCACATCTTCACATGGCCAGAGCAGGCACTGCGGGGAGGAGATGGGTTCAGGTAGCACACAGTTTTAAACAACCAAATCTGGATTCCTCACTCATTATCATGAGAACAGCACCAAGAAGGAAATCCAGCCCCATGATCCAATTACCTCCCATCAGGCCCCACCTCCAACATTATGGATTACAATTTGAGATGATATTTGGGCAGAGACACAAATCCAAACCATATCACTTACTTTATAATGTGAGGGTTACTAAAATATTTAGATGTGTTTTGTATTCTCTAAATTTTATGTAGTTCAGCCACTCTACAAGCTGACTAAAATAAATGTCTTTTGAAGTCCAGTTAGTGAATGGGGTGTTTCCATTCTTAAACAGATATTGTAGTAAGAACTGAATTGAGATATTTGAACTTTGCTAAACCCTGTTAAACCTTTTATTATCTTAGTGTTTATAAAACAAGATTATATATCAGTAGTACTCTTTCAAATTTAGAAAGTCATCTAAAGTCAATTGTTTACCTTAATTTTTCTTTTACCAAAGCTAAAGATTATGTAACTTGTCATGTACTACACTCATCAGGCCAATAATACCCAGTACTTTTAGGCTGGCTACATTACTACCCATGATTATTTTATTGTCTGCTTTCTGCCTCAATGCTTATTTGTTGTCCCCTTTTTAATGCTGTACTCTTAATTAATAACTCCTGAAACAATTGTGATATTGGAATGTTTTGTCAGACAAAAATACAAAAATATATTTCTTATGAATATAGAACAGGTATTAATTTTCTGTTTGGTCAATCAGAATAGAGTAAATGGACTCATAAGATTTCACACAAACTTGGTCTCTTTAGCAGCCAGATACTTAATTCCCCTAAGATGCTATCAATAATAAAAAAAATTGCTTGTTGCCATGGATTTCTGCTCTCATTTTTTTTTCTTTTCTCTGCCTTGCCTTTTATAAGAGTTAAAGCCAGTACAGCTGAGAAACAAGTGAGTTATTTTTCGTTCTTTGACGAGTGCTTCATGAACTCCTTCCTTTCTTTGGCCCAAGGCCAACTAGACTATCGTGGAGATTTTGTAAAACAGTATTTGTTTTACAAGTCATGTTAAAATATATATAACATAAAATGTGCCATTTTAACCATTTTTAAGTGTGAAGTTCAGTGACATTAAGTATATTTACATCGTACAACCATTGCCACTATTTGTCCTCAGAACTCTTCTCATCATCACAAACTAAACCTCTGTACCTAATAAGCAATAACTCTCTATTTCCTCTTCCCCCAATCCAGGCAACTACCATTTTACTTTCTGTCTGTATGAATTGTACTACCCTAGGTAACTTAAATGAGTGCTATCATATAGTATTTGTCCTTTTATGACTGGCTTATCGCTTAGCATAATATCTTTAAGGTTCATCCATGTTGTAGCATATGTCAGAATTTCCTTCCTTTTTAAGGCTAAATTATATGCCACTGTATGTATGTACCACATTTTGTCTACTCATTCATGAATGGACATTTGGGTTGCTTCCAATTTTGGCAATTCTGGATAATGCTGCTACTAATGTGAGTGTACAAATATATGTCCACGTCTCCATTCTTAATTATTTTGCCTGTAAACTCAGAAGTGAACTGTTGGATAATATAGTGATTCTATTTTTAACTTTTGAGGAACAAAATAATATTTTCCATAACAGCTGCACCATTTTACCATCCCATCAGCAGTTCATGAAGTTTCCAATTTCTCCATATCCCCTTCAAAAATTAATATTTGATTCCTGGGATACTAGGCATCCTAATGAGGGTAAAGTTGTATCTCACTGTGGTTTTGATTTATATTTTCCAAATGATTAGCGATATTCAGCATCTTTTAATGAGTTTTTCAAGATACAGATGACCATGGGTATATTTTCTTTGAAAAAAATGTCTGTTTTATTTAGTCCTTTCCCCATTTTTGAATCGGGTTGTTTGTTTATTGTTGTTGTTGTTGCTGTTGTTGAGTTTTATACATTCTCTATATATTCTGGATATTAATCCATTATCAGAATATGTGATTTGCAAATATTTTCTCTCTGGGTTTTTTTTAACTGTATTGATAATATCCTTTGATGAACAAAAGTTTTTCATTCTAATGAATTCCTATTTGCTTATTTATTCTTTTGTTGCCTGTACCTTAAATGTCATATTCAAAAAATCAATGCAAATTCTAATGTTATGAAGCTTTTCTCCTGTGTTTTCTTCTGAGTGTTGTATAGTCCTAGCTCTTGCGTTTAGGTCTTTGATCCATGTTGTGTATTGTTAGGTAAAGGTCCAATTTGATTCGTTGCATGTGACTATGCCATTTTCCCAGCACCATTTACTGAGAAGACCACCCTTTCCGCTTGAATAATCTTGGTTCGCTTGTCTAAAATCATTTGAACATATCTGCTGTTAAATAGTTCTCCACACTAAATTCATTTATCTTATTTTCTCTTCCTAGTATGCATACATGTTAAGACTATCTTGAGTCATCTTAACTAAAAATAATGTTCTTAATCTTTAGGACATATACTCAGGTTTACATGCTTTACAGATTTAAAAAAATAGAATCTCTTAAATGGGCAAGCTGAAGAAGCCAGCCATCTGATGCTGAAATTTTTTTTGACAATGGTTTATATGGAGATTAATTTTTTGAGGGAAGAATAAATAAATGAACGATTAAACATATGTGGTTATAGTGTTTTCAGTGTTTTCCTCAAGGGAATTTTTTTAACTTTTATATCAAAAATATTCAACTAATGATAGTGAAAAAATGAAAAGCCTTATTTTTCCTTAACCTCTTGAGTTCAAACTATAATCTTACTCTATTTATAAATACGGAAAACTTTTACCAATAATTTTCATGGAGGATTTTATGAAATAACCAAAATCTATTAAAAATGCTTATGCTGAAAAATATAAAATATTCAGTTTTCTATTAAAAAATTTAACTATCTTATGATAAAACTTTCCTAAGTACTTAAGTAATTGGTAAATCAGATAATATCATTTGTAAAATCATTTTAAAAACTTTGATAGTAAATAGTGCAGTTCTATCTCAACTAAATAACTACACACTTGTGATTATAACCTCAAGTGTAATCAGAAAATAATTTAAAATGCCAATTACTTCAAATGTTACAATGTACTCAAAATGTCAAAAGTGCTAAATTATTTCTTAACAGAAATTATGGGATTGATTTGTTATAATATTTCAATCTAGAATTTCTTGGCAATAAATGTATTTACCCCTAAGAAATATATTATACTATCTAAAAATTTGGATGTTTCCCTGCCCAAATGATTTCTTTGGTTTTGTTTTCTTAATCAGATGGCTGAAAAATCTAGCAATTGGAGCACAGACAGGTCTAGAATCAAGACCAACTTTTTGTCCACAAAACTTATGAAAACCATTTAGTTTTATATATAGCTCTGATAATAAGAACTTTATAACTTGAAGGAATTGGAACCATAATCCTAATTTAAAGGTATGAGGAAGTAACACCTTTAGAAATGTATCCTCTACCACGTCTGCAAACAACATTAAATTTGTGGTTGATACTTTAATGCTTTGTTTCATTTTTGTTTTTGCATTTCTTAAGATATTTAAATGACAGATAATTAGATTCTATTTTTCTCCACTGGACTTTTCTGAATCTGCTTGCATAATTTTCAGGGACATTTGATGTCTATGGTATTTGTGATAAATTCTAAGGGCAAAAAACACAAGTGGATTCAGATTGACAGCAAGTGATATCTTAATAAAGTAGTTAGAAACAGATAATGTAATGCCTTGTAAGGCAGCCAGATGGTTATCTAGAAGAGAGTACAGGGCAGAAGGAATGTCAAATGCAAGGGCCCCTGGACAAGAATGAAATTACATTGGTAATTACTAGAGTGATTTTAAATGATCAATACTGTTTCCTGCAATCTCTAGTTCCCTTGGCCTCTGCAAATTCACAACTTCATCTCCTCCAAGTCAAGGAGATTGTCAAGCTCCAGTTGGACTCTTCTTATATGGGCTGTTGGTGAGCTATTCCCTCAGGCAGTATGTGGGGGCAATTGCAGGGCTCCCCTCACATTTCTCCTTTCTCTTTCTCAGGTGCCCTTTCCTGCATTGCCTGTTATGCTGTCAAACCTCCCATTTGGGCAGGCCTGAGGAGAGACAGCTCACTCAGTATCAGCTTGGGCAGCTTGAAGACCAGACTGAGGTCATCTGAAGGCTCTCTATTAAATTTTTTTAATAGAGATAAAAATGTGAGTATCCCAGAAGGAAGCTTTTATGACAGCATAGAAAGTCACATAGCATCAATTCTGTTTTAGTCACAGACCCTCATAGACCCAAGATCCTTCAAAGAAAGAATGAGTGTTACATAAAAGATGATAATATTGGATGGGGTTGCAGTTTGCTTAGTCCCTAGCTTAGTTAGGTCCAAGTTCTTGTCAAACAACCAATAAGAATAAGGGACATGGACACCAGAGAATGAGTAGAATAGGATTTATTAAGCAAATTGAAAGCTCTTAGCAAAAAGAGGGGGCCTGAAAGCAAGTTGCCAGAAATGGGGCTGAGTTCTGTGTTTTTGATATGGCAGAAGTCAGGATGTTTTCTGTGGGTTTGTGACTTCATGTTTGTTATTACCCATGAATACCTAAGCAAAACCGAGGGAGGGCTAACACAACAATACTAATGCCATGTTAATGACATTATAATGAGCTGGGTTAAGTTAAGTACATTTAGGTTGATTTATTGTGCCTGTGCCTAAGTTGGAACAGTCCCTTTGGGCAACATCCTGGCACAAGGGGAAATTCTTAACCACGTTTCTTCCCATTAGCTGCAGAGGCAGTGTAGGTGCTGTGTTGAGGTTGTTCCTGTGAACATTGCCTTTCTCTGTCCTTCTCCCGAGACCCTCCCTCTTTGTCTGCCTATCCAGCCCCTAACCACCTCCTCCCTCAATGGAATGTGTTAATACCACCACCATAATTGTAAAATAAAATATTCCAGTGAAATAGAAGGTAGTTTCTCTTTTCTCTCTCTCTCATTGCTATTATAGTTAATTCTTTGTTGATGAGGTAACAGTTACACTAAACATTTGGATAAATTAAGATTCACATATAATCAGTGTCTTTAAAAATCACTGGAATATTGAAATACAAAAATGTGTTTAATTTGAGGGATTGGTTAAATGCATTGTAGGGGAGAAGTGCTCCAAACCGGAAAGGTTTAAAAACATTTATATTTTCATTTAACAAACATGTACTTATTCTTACAGACTGTACAAGACCCTAAGGAGGTCTTTATATTACTGAAGAGCTACACATGCCTATTTTTAAAAAAATAATATTTTCTTTCAAAATATCCTTTCTGAATTTGAAGTGAGTGGTTTCAATTTAATGTGGCTTTATTTGTTTGTGTACTGGTATGTTCACTGCAATTTCAAATCCTTCAAGAGGTGCTTCTCAGAATCCCTAACAATGGTAATTAAAATAACCAAAGTTCATTTGACTTTTCTTTCTTTAACTTCTTTTCCTCTTATTCACCTGTACATATAGCAGTGATTGGCCATAAGTTGATTTTGTAGAAAAAAAAAAAACCTGAATAGGAAAAATTCTTCTAAAATAATTTTAAAAACTCCTCTAATTTGTGCTGGTTTCCATCTCGATAGGATTGCTTGCTGTGTCAAAGAGAAGGGAACATGCTAGGCAATGCACTACCACATTAAAACTTTTGTTTACATTTTATTAGCTAAACCTTTCAACTGTCATTTAAAAGTCTCATTGGGCAGGGTGTGGTGGCTCAAACATATAATCCCAGAACTTTGGGAGGCCAAGGCAGGCAGATCACTTAAGGCTGGGAGTTCAAGACCAGCCTGGCCAACATGGAGAAACCCATCTCTACTAAAAAATACACACACAAAAAATTAGCCAGGCTTGGTGGCATGTGCCTGCAATCCCAGCTGCTTGGGAGGCTGAGGTATGAGAATCACTTGGACCAGGGAGGTGGAGTTTGCAGTGAGCCAAAGATCATGCCACTGTACTCCAGCCTGGGTGACAGAGTGAGACTCCATCTCAAAATAAGAAATAAAAAAAATGAAAGTCTCATTGGCCAGTCTGATTTGAAGGAAGAACCCAGAGATACAAGTCCTAGATACATTGATTAATGATACTAATTACTACCAGAGGATATCTCTTAAATGATTCAATTGTGCTACAGTTGAGCTTGGTTACAATCTAAAGAAGACAGTACTGGCCAAAGTAGATATAAGCCTGAGATTTTAAATTCATAGTTATTTTCCATTCAAATGACACACTGTTACAGGTTGGGTTCCGGGGGAAGCAGACTCTGAGATCATAGTTGGAATTTAGTGTGCAGGATGTTGATTAAAAGATGTTCTATTGCTGGGCATGGTGTTGTGCAGCTGAAACCCCAGCTCTGGGGAGGCTGAGGTCGCTTGCGTTCGGGAGTTCAAGACTGCAGTGAACTGATTGTGCCACTGCACTCCAGCCATAGTGAGTGTGAGACCCCATCTCTTAAAAAGAACAGAATTGCTCTTGGGCTCAACACCTGAAGATGAAAAAAAAGGAATCATGCCTTAGAAGCAAATCAAGCAACAGCAGTGGCTCAATGACTAATAGAGAAAACCCTCTGCTGACCACACCACAGTACATAAAACTATCTGCTGACCACAGTGCAAGAAGTAAGAAACTAGGGCAAGACCTTCCCTGATGCTATTATACACCTCTTTCTCGTGTTTTGCCTTTGACTAAGAAGGAAACGTAAAACAGTATGACTGTTTTCAGAGGAATCTACATATTTTGTGTGCTTGCATATAAATGTGCATAGCTTAGACCATTCTATAACAAAGTGTGATGATTTGAAGTAAATAGATATGTATCTTAGACTTATAATTTGTAAAGGAATTTAGAAGCAATTAGAATCTTCATTTTTAATAGGTAGAATAGTAAAGATCTTCAGATCACGTCTTTTTTCTCATCTTTGCATAAAATAATATATTCAAGTCAATCTAATTTAATAATATGTATTCTGTGAATACGTGTAATCTACTGATTGTGTCAGAGGTAGTAGCTCTTCTGGCAGGTCAGTTCACTCAGCTCTATGGGACTTATTCCTTACAGCCAGTCTAGAACCAACAAGCTATCCCCTTGCAACAACTGAGACAGTAAAGATGGGGCTCTGCTTCAGCTCACCCCACTGGAGCATTCTTTCATGCATTTCCAGTGATGACAAAACCCACACCATACCACGCTGCTAATAGTCCTTTTAATTAAAAAATTCCAGGAACTGGCCTTAGAGATAACAAAAGTTGGAGAATGTCCCACCTCAGGAAGGAATGCTGAACAGTTCATTTACAGCTTTGTTGCCACTGGCCAGACCATCAGGTCACCAGTTATGGCCAGTCAAGATAACTACGGCAGCCTGATAATGCTGACCTGCATACCCTACCCATCACTTGCTTTGCCCACCCCAGCTTATATACATACTTGACCCCTGATGTCAGTTACCTTGCTTTGACTAATAAAAAAAAGCCCTACCAACTCTCTGTGGAGAGTTGGGGAATTCTCTTTCTTGTACAGCCTCCTTTATGCATGGGTGTAAGCTCCAATGAAGCTTTGTGTGGGAAAACTCTTTTGGCCTCATGTCAATTTCTGTTGCATTGAAAGCCCAAGAATCCATGGTCAGTAAAACAACCATTTTAAGCATTAATTCCTGGTCTTTCCCATAGGAAACTCTCAGTCTACTGAAATCTCTTTTCTCAAACCTCTGCTGACTAAATACTCTGTCAACTCTGTCCAGCTCTTTCTTGTTTTCATGATTTTTCTTTCTTTCTTTCTTTCTTTCTTTCTTTCTTTCTTTTTTTTTTTTTTTTTTTTTGAGTTGATATCTCAGTCTATCTCCCAGGCTGGAATGCAGTGGTGGGATCTCGGCTCACTGCAACCTCTGCCTCCCAGGTTCAAGCAATTCTCCTGCCTCAGCCTCCTGAGTAGCTGGGATTATTGGTGCCTGCCACTGTGCCTGCCTAATTTTTTTATTTTTAGTAGAAACGGGGTTTCACCATCTTGGCCAGGCTGGTCTTGATCTCCTAACCTCATGAACCACCTGCCTTGGCCTTCCAAAGTGCTGGGATTACAAGCGTGAGCCACTTTGCCCAGCCGTTTTCATGATTTTTCTGTGCCCCAAAACCATTTCTTGGGGGAAAAAAATGCAGCTGATTGGTCTTTCACTGCATCTTGAAAGGAAACAAAAGATGGGACAACGTCTCACTATAAGGCAAGATTAGAAGTATCTATGCTGTAATCAGCCATAAAAATGGTTGTTTTTTCTTCAGTATACTTCATTCACTCAGTATTTTTAGCTAAAGGATTCACGCTAGGTTGGAGAACTGCTCATCTAGCCAATTAGTCTCCAAAATAAGACTTTCTGGCATATGACCTATTTTCAGCTGGTCACTTTGACTGCTTTCTGCAAGAAAAACATACATCTATGAAGGAAATCTCTATTTGTAAGGGTGTCTTTATCTCTACAAGCAGAATATGATGAGTACTAAATATTAGCAATGCTCTCAATGGAGAGCACATTGGCTTAAATCTACATAACAAGTCTTACCTTTGTTTAAGGTGCTTTGCTGGCTTAAATCTACATAACAAGTCTTACCTTTGTTTAAGGTGCTTTTCTTGGCGATCTTGTCTTAACTGGGCTTTTTCCTATACTCCTCTTTTTTGCAATAGGCAAATTATGATATTTAGCCTTGAAGTTACAGCTCTGTGCCTTTGAGATGTACATTTTCTACATGATCTTACCTAAGGGCTATTCCCTTTGGAAATGCAAATTTCGAGGTGATGACATAGAAGAAGAGAAAAGAGAGAACAAAATAAAAAAGCACTATTTGGAAACTGATGAATGAAAAATTCTAAGTCATTTTTTTTTCCTTTTCCTTTTTCTTTCTTTCACAAATGTAAGTGAAGCATTTTGACCATCTGGGCAAGGGGTCTTAATTCATCAGCCAGAAAGAAAAAACAATCTGGATACAGGTATTCTTTAATAAACTAGCGAGCTTTGTATTTTTGTACCTGTCCATATGTTTATGAATGATACATATATGTGATATTGATAGCAGCAGGAGGCAGAAAAATTCTAAGCAGACAGGGGCAGTTCCTGGTGAAACCTGATCTTCAAACCAAAGACAGTTTAAAACCTGAAAGCCAAACTACAAGTCTTGGATAAATCCATGGACCCGATTGAGAACGTCTCTTCCTTTTTGGCATGTTATCCCCAATTGATCTCCACTCTTCACCTATTTTACACATAGCTACCCTTCCCTAATTGTTTTTTAACACAGTATTGTCCATCTTTCAGTGGTGTCTTTGTTTTAGGCTTTTTTGCATACTCACAAGCCAGTCAACAGACATTCCTTCATTCTGAGCCCATAAAAGCCCTGGACCCAGCCACAGTGGGAGACAAACTACCTGACTTCTGGTGGGGACCACCCTCTTTTCCCCTCTCCACTGAGAGCTGTTTCATTGCTCAAAAAACTCTTTTCTGCCCTCTTCGCCCTCCAGTTGTCAGCATGATTTCATTCTTCTTTGATATGGGACAAGAATTTCAGACCCTGCCAAACACAGGTAGGAAGCAGGCAGTAGCACTGTAGCCTGCTGCCCTACATCATGGGAAGTAGAAGTGGGAAGTAGCAGTGGGGCTAGGCCAGCCCAAGAGCTGCAGGCCAGAGTGGAGCAATGGGACTGACAGAGCTGTTAACAAACCCATTTGGGTTGCCAGTGGTGGGACTAGAAGAGCTGTTAGCACACTGTAACATGCCCTCTGGAGCTTCAGGGTCACGGGCATTCCTATTTGGGTATCACCACATTCCCCTCGTCTGGATGCTGGAGTCCACCGAGGGAGTCACTTGCAACATGCTTGGTCCAGCCCAAGCCTCATACAGAGCCCACTCCAGTGCTGGCACTTGGAGTGGCCAGCTGGACCCCACTCGCTTGCTTACACATCCACTCCTGCTGGGATCTGAATATGGATCCCACAGCAAACATGGAATCTGGACTGGAGTGCAAGTGAGGCACAGCCCAGCAGGGTGAGTGGGCACGGCACCTCCTGTAGTGAGCCTGGGACTGACTGAGGCCTGGACAGGGGCATTGCCTGGCACAGAGGTCTCTGGCTGGCAAAGCTCAGCCAAAAAGAAAAAAAAAGCATCAATATTTTTCTATCTTCTTATGATATTGGCAGAATTAAATTGTAGAAGAGATTTATTTAACTAGTGTAAAGAAAAACAAACACATTTATAAACTAAATATTCTCTCAGGAAAATGAAAACTGTCCCCCAAACTTTCAAGTTTATGTGTCTTGAGTAATCTTTGGTAAATAAAAATTTTCTTGGTTTGATTAAGACAAGCACATCCTCAGTGTCCTCAGCTTTAAATATAATACAGATGTACAATTTCTTTTACCTAGGTTTCCTGATAAAAAGCTCATCTTAACACCATATTACAAAATTTGTCACCAAGAAAAGATGATGGCAAGCTATTTAATGTCTCATCTTTATGAATAATGTAAGCATAATTGTTTTAATAAGTTGAGTTAAATAGATGTAAGCAAAATAAAATTCCCATATGAAATATGTCCTCCCTGTAACAGAAGGTTTTAACATTCTTACCACCAAGAATGGAAAGTTGAGGCTGAGGGATAGCTATACAAACAATTGATTCTCATGCCTAGCCAAAAAAACCTAACACAGGTACGTTTTGCCTCATCTACAGTTTCTTATCAAAGATACTAATGTTTTGTGCCACACTGACAAATTGTAGTTTGGGAAACACATATTTCTTGAAATTACAATTCTTAGATTTGCTGATCTACAAATTGCTAGCAAGAAAGATGGTTTGAAATTCTTTGCTTCCTAGTGTTTACTGGAAACTAAGGTCACTAAGGGTTAAGAATTCTAATACTATGTGTAAATAAAACTGTTAGAAATAATAAGGGAAATAACTCTCTATGCGAGTATACAAGGAAGGTAAGATGTGTCTTTATATGCAAAAACTATAAGGTATGAGGATGTTTTGTTAAGGGAAGAAGAAAGTAATTTTTTTTCTAAAGAATGACTAGTTCTAAAATGAGAAGAGGGAAAGTATATGATAAAAACTGAATGGATAAGGAAGTCAGAAGGTTTGTGGAAGATGAATCTTGTGAAAGGAATTTTATGTGTGATTAAGCTAGATAAACTTAGAAAGGAATTATTTATAAGTTTTTCTAAAAATGGAGTATTAACACCAAAAGTACACTGATATGAAACTAGAATTTTGAGCCTTGTGTTAAACAACAGTTTTCTTGGAATTTTGGTCTGTTCTTAAAAGAAACCGTGAAGGGATTTTCTTTATCTCTCTTTTTTTTTTTTTTTTTTTTTTTTTGATGGAATCTCGCTTTGTCGCCAGGCTGGAGTGCAGTGGTGTGATCTCTCACTGCAACCTCTGCCTCCTGGGTTCAAACGATTCTCCTACCTCACCCTCCCGAGTAGCTGAGACTACAGGCATGCACCACCACACCCAGCTAATTTTTGTATTTTTAGTAGAGACAGGGTTTCACCATGTTGGCCAGGATGATCTCAATCTCTTGACTGCATGATCCGGCTGCCTGGGCTTCCCAAAGTACTGGCATTACAGGCGTGAGCAACCATGCCCAGCCTTCTTTATCTTTTAGTTAAATGGCCTAGGCGATAGAAAACAATGATTCTGCGTTTTACTAAGATAACTTCTTGCACTTCAGTGTTTACTAGGTTTTTGTTGGCTTAAGAAAACTGCCTTCTTTATTGAAAGAACTAAAATTTTTCTACAACAAACTTTCTGTATTTGCCTTGGAAGTCTTTAAATTATTACTTTGATTAAATTAACAATGATCATACACAGTAGCCTGTGATCCTATTTTGATCCAGTGTTTCACATCCTTCATATTTTTGACATACTTTCAGAAACCAAATTTAAATTAAGTCTTTTTTTTTAATCTCAAATTAACCTTGAGATTTTTCATGGGTGCTATTGGAAAAATCAAACAGGTATCTATCTTTGTGAAAAGAGAGATATTAAGTTAATTTGGCTTATTTGATATATTAAATTATGTGAAAGCATTGCCAAATAAGTAAGTCCAAACCTTCTTTGAATTATATTTGTGTAGATGTGTTATTATGTATTCCAGAAATTACATGCCTGTCTTAGAAATCTGATCATACTATTGTACCAGGTAAGTATTCCCAAAAACTCTAATGAAGAGACTGACTGATTCATAAAACTGCTAACCAAAAATCAAGTAGAATAAGAGTTAATTAAATACCAAGGAAATGCGTAGTCAGATTTTTATGCTAAGTCAGTCAGTACTGAAATTGTTATTATATGCAATTTGAATGAATTTCATAAGATAAATCCAAGTCAAATTACCTATAATAACTATTTAATAAACAGTGCTACATGCCTTACTTGGAGGGAAAAAAATCTAGTATTTAAAAATATGTAGATCTAATGTTAAGTGGAGACTTATGGAGGCTTTGATAGCTGCCTGATCTTTCCTGACTTTTTAAAGTTTTCATTATTAAAGACAACACTCTGACTCATTATGGAATAGATGAGATGATACAAATCATGAAAAGAAATGATGGGGTGACTATTCTAAAACTGCTGAAGTGGTTTATAACCATTGTTGGGGTTGTCAAACCCATAATTCTAGTAAGAAAATGACCTCAGTTGATACATTTTTGCCACTTACTGGATCACTTGAATATTTACAGAGGGATTTTACTCAATTGCCAACTTTGATGACTCTTTTCTGTTTGTATAAAATCTTTCCCATGCGAGAAGGCTGAATCTATAACATAAGCAAAAAAAAAAAAATTATTAGAAAATGTGTTTTGTTTATGGGGCATTCTTGGAGAAATCTTCAGCAATGAAGGTATTCATTTCACTAGAAAAATTATAAAAGTGTCAAATAAGGAATTGCAAACACAAAGCCATTAAGCAAAGCTAACTGAATCGAATGGGTTGCTTTGATCAAAGTTACTACTGATTGATGATCCACTAGAAAGTACAGACTGACCGCTTATGAAATAATTACTAGAAGGACCATGCCCCTAATAATTGGACTTCATGTATCTCACACTCATGAACTCTGAAATGACTCGATATTGCAAGACCTTAATGGATTATGCCAAAGTATATTTTTTCCACCGAAAAGAAGCCCTTTGTGAACCACCAGCAGATATCTGCTACACCATTAATGATCTAGAGTCTGGATGTTGAGTCTTTTGGAATGAACACCAGAAAAAGACTGCCCTTGGAACCCCTTGGAAGTACAACTTCGGTGCCTTGATTCTTGGATTCATGTCTCAACTTAAGAGAGCCATTCCAGACTCCTGGGATTGTACAGTCATTGGAGACCTCATGGTCAAACTGGCCAGGGAGGTTTCTTCAGAGAAGCAGATGACATCCTAGGTGTAGACAACCTTCCCAAGATCACAGGTGAAGTTACCTGCATGAAACTTTTGTCCTCCTGACTTTTTTCTCTGTGTTTCTTTTCTTTCTATACATGACAAGATAATGCAGTAATTAAGATGTCATATTTGATAGCATCCTCAGGTGTTGCGGGAAGTCAGGGACCCTGAATGGAGGGACCAGCTGAAGCCATGGCAGAAGAACATAAATTGTGAAGATTTCATGAACATTTATTAGTTCCCCAAAATTAATACTTTTATAATTTCTTATGCCTGTCTTTATTGCAATCTCTGAACATAAATTGTGAAGATTTCATGGACACTTATCACTTCCCCAGTCAATACCCTTGTGATTTCCTATGCCTGTCTTTACTCTAATTTCTTAATCCTGTCCTCTTCATAAGCTGAGGAGGATGTATGCCACCTCAGGACCCTGTGATGATTGCATTAACTGCACAAATTGCTTGTAGAGCACATGTGTTTGAACAATATGTGGGCACCTTGAAAAAAGAACAGGATAACAGCAATGTTCAGGGAACAAGAGAGATAACCTCTAACTCTGACCGCCGGTGAGCCAGGCAGAACACAGCCATATTTCTCTTCTTTCAAAAGCAAATGGGAGAAATATCACTGAATTCTTTTTCTCAGCAAGGAACATCCCTGAGAAAGAGAATGCGTCCCTGAGGGTAGGTCTCTAAAATGGCCGCTTCGGAGGGCAGCCATCTTTTATGGTCAAAGCTGTAGGGATGAAATAAGCCCCAGTCTCCCATAGCACTCCCAGGCTTATTAGGATGAGGAAATTCCCACCTAATAAATTTTGGTCAGACTGGTTGTCTGCTCTGAAACCCTGCCTCCTGATAAGATGTTATCAATGACAATGTGTGCCTGAAACTTCATTAGCAATTTTAATTTTGCCCCAGTCCTGTGGTCCTGTGATCTCACCCTGCCTCAATTTGCCTTGTGATATTCTATTACCTTGTGAAACACGTGATCTCTGTGACCCACACCCTATTTGTACACTCCCTCCCCTTTTGAAAATCACTAATAAAAACTTGCTGGTTTTGCGGCTCAGGGGCCATCATGGAACCTGCCGTCATGTGATGTCTTCCCCCGGACACCCAGCTTTAAAATTTCTCTCTTTTGTACTCTGTCCCTTTATATCTCAGACCGGCTGACACTTAGGGAAAATAGAAAAGAACGTACGTGAAGTATCAGGGCTGAATTTCGGCCGATATCTGGCTGAATTTCCCCCGATACTCAGGGAACTTAACTGAATTTTGGATATGTCATGTGAAACGTAAGTCCTTATATAATCTTAGCTTCTGGTTCACTCTGTAACTGGTATTTCAAATATGATTTCTGATACTTTCTAGACTTATGTATTCAGTTTTCTTGTTTAAATGTAACAATAGACAAAACTAAAGTGATGGTTTTGCAGTTAAACTCTGCCATAAGTTGAATAAGAAGACGAAAGGAAAAATAATTCAACAATTTGTACACAAATGTGTAACCTATTCCTTTAATTTTTGGAAGCATCAAAGCATTCAGTGATTCAGTAATGGAGCCTGGCATAAATGCTGCTAGTGTTTCCCTACTGATGACTGCTCACACACAAGGCATCCCACAGAGAGCTGTTTGTTGTGCCTTTCCAGGATGTATATTTATCTGTGAAGGATTTAACAATATTGTCATCATTTAACCATGTGCATGGCAACCCTATGTTTCAGTAAGTGGCTAATGAAGGACCAATGTAGATGAGTGATTTTAATGCTACCACTGTCACTCTATAACCAATTGAAAACTGATCATTGGGCCACACTTCTTAATTTGCACTATAGAATAAAGAGGAATTTGCTAGCAGACATAAATCCTTCCAAATAGGCATCTTTTTGAAGGGTGATTTTCCCTGGCTTCGCATTAATGTCATTTAAGTTATGATTATAGAAACCTATCTCAAATATTAGGTACCATATATAGCTGACTCTACTGCAAAGGTTACAGTTGCCCAAGGAAATTTCTTGAAACTTTCTTACTAATGTTGTCCTTAGATAACATGATTGCTTTGGACTATCTATTGATGGCCTAACAAGGGGGAGCATGTGTGATAGCTAACACTTCTGATGCCCTTGGATAAATACATCTGGTATGGAAGAAATTCAGCTGCAAGAAATCAACAAACAAGCTGAATGGCTAAAACAAATAGATTTCTCTTGTGGTTCATATTTTATATATTTGATTTTGATCAGTTTGCTTATTTGGGGCTCCTGTTAGAGTGTATTTCATTTTCTTAGTATTATCCTCCTGATAGCCATCATAATGGTTTCTCTGGTGCACCAGATTCTCTCAAGAGTCTTAAATGTTCTTATGCAGCCATCTGTCATATGCCAAGTGATCTTACTACAGTTTGAATAGTGAAAACCTAAAAAGAACAGAAGAAACATTCAACTAACCCAATTGTGAATTATAAATTCCATACTGAGACCAAACAAGATCATTGTGATGGTGACAGAATGATGTCAGTGCCCAAGGTTTTGGTCAATCTTTCCAAATTGAGAAGCCGACCAAATGGGGACATTTTAAATTAAAATAAATATGGCCTAAAACTCCCTCCATACTTTGAATTCCTTCATAACAGAGTTCAACCTAATGTTGTATTTAAAAAAAAAAAACTGCTACCTAACTTAAAAGTATATTCCTGCAACAAATGGCTGAGTCCTAGCCAATCACGGCAGCTGAGCTTCAGTTAATCACAGGGTGCCAGCTGATCAGACCATGTCCACATAAGGCATATGCCTTATGACATCATGCCCAAATAAGGCCAATGCCCAGCTGTAAACAATCAATGTGCTTCTATACACCAGTTACTATTTTTGTCTACAAATACTGAATGGCCATGTTGCCTAGTGGAGGTCTCTGAATCTCTCCTGGTTCTGAGTGCTACTAATTCATGAATGATTCTTTCTTCAAGTAAACTCTGCTAAATTTTATTTGTCTGAAGTTTTTGATTTAACAATAAAAATCATGTACAGACTGAGAACTACTGCTGCTGCCAAGGTAAAAGCTTTTACTGAGCCAATGCTGACATGAACAGCTATGAAATGGTTATCTCAGGTTTCTAGTCTGCCTCTAGCCGCCCCATTGGAAGACACTAATAGAGAGAGGACTGGCAAAGAAAAGCTGTTATTGTATAGGCACCCATCCTTCTTGTGACAAAGCAGATTGGAAAAGGGAAGGAGTTTTGAAATTGAGAGACAGCACATTAAAATTAAAATGCACATATATCATCCATGAGCCCGGCCTTTGCTCAGGAAACATGTGACTAATTTCATGAAAAATAAACCACTAAAATTACTTAAAATAATGAAAAGTATTAATATTCTAGTACTAACTTTTTCATTTAATGGCTACTATTTGTGATTATTAAATATAATAGATCTCTGGGATTTTCTTTCAATGATCTCTGACATACACAATAACATTTCTACTGCCAGGTCATTAAAAATTAACAGACGAAAAATTTCATTAGGAATTGGGTTTATTTTCTGAAATAGTAAATTTTTACTATTTTTTTCTTTTTTTTTTTCTTTTATTATTATACTTTAAGTTTTAGGGTACATGTGCAAATTGTGCAGGTTAGTTACATATGTATACATGTGCCACGCTGGTGCGCTGCACCCACTAACTCGTCATCTAGCATTAGGTATATCTCCCAATGCTATCCCTCCCCCCTCCCCCCACCCCACAACAGTCCCCAGAGTGTGATGTTCCCCTTCCTGTGTCCATGTGATCTCATTGTTCAATTCCCACCTATGAGTGAGAATATGCGGTGTTTGGTTTTTTGTTCTTGCGATAGTTTACTGAGAATGATGATTTCCAATTTCATCCATGTCCCTACAAAGGACATGAACTCTTCATTTTTTATGGCTGCATAGTATTCCATGGTGTATATGTGCCACATTTTCTTAATCCAGTCTATCATTGTTGGACATTTGGGTTGGTTCCAAGTCTTTCTATTGTGAATAGTGCTGCAATAAACATATGTGTGCATGTATCTTTATAGCAGCATGATTTATAGTCCTTTGGGTATATACCCAGTAATGGGATGGCTGGGTCAAATGGTATTTCTAGGTCTAGATCCCTGAGGAATCGCCACACTGACTTCCACAAGGGTTGAACTAGTTTACAGTCCCACCAACAGTGTAAAAGTGTTCCTATTTCTCCACATCCTCTCCAGCACCTGTTGTTTCCTGACTTTTTAATGATTGCCATTCTAACTGGTGTGAGATGGTATCTCATTGTGGTTTTGATTTGCATTTCTCTGATGGCCAGTGATGATGAGCATTTTTTCATGTGTTTTTTGGCTGCATAAATGTCTTCTTTTGAGAAGTGTCTGTTCATGTCCTTTGCCCACTTTTTGATGGGGTTGTTTGTTTTTTTCTTGTAAATTTGTTTGAGTTCATTGTAGATTCTGGATATTAGCCCTTTGTCAGATGAGTAGGCTGCAAAAATTTTCTCCCATTTTGTAGGTTGCCTGTTCACTCTGATGGTAGTTTCTTTTGCTGTGCAGAAGCTCTTTAGTTTAATTAGATCCCATTTGTCAATTTTGGCTTTTGTTGCCATTGCTTTTGGTGTTTTAGACATGAAGTCCTTGCCCATAGCTACGTCCTGAATGGTAATGCCTAGGTTTTCTTCTAGAGTTTTTATGGTTTTAGGTCTAACGTTTAAGTCTTTAATCCATCTTGAATTGATTTTTGTATAAGGTGTAAGGAAGGGATCCAGTTTCAGCTTTCTACATATGGCTAGCCAGGTTTCCCAGCACCATTTATTAAATAGGGAATCCTTTCCCCATTGCTTGTTTTTCTCAGGTTTGTCAAAGATCCGATAGTTGTAGATATGCGGCATTATTTCTGAGGGCTCTGTTCTGTTCCATTGATCTATATCTCTGTTTTGGTACCAGTACCATGCTGTTTTGGTTACTGTAGCCTTGTAGTGTAGTGTGAAGTCAGGTAATGTGATGCCTCCAGCTTTGTCCTTTTGGCTTAGGATTGACTTGGCGATGCAGGCTCTTTTTTGGTTCCATATGAACTTTAAAGTAGTTTTTTCCAATTCTGTGAAGAAAGGCATTGGTAGCTTGATGGGGATGGCATTGAATCTGTAAATTACCTTGGGCAGTATGGCCATTTTCACGATATTGATTCTTCCTACCCATGAGCATGGAATGTTCTTCCATTTGTTTGTATCCTCTTTTATTTCCTTGAGCAGTGGTTTGTAGTTCTCCTTGAAGAGGTCCTTCACATCCCTTGTAAGTTGGATTCCTAGGTATTTTATTCTCTTTGAAGCAATTGTGAATGGGAGTTCACTCATGATTTGGCTCTCTGTTTGTCTGTAGTTGGTGTAGAAGAATGCTTGTGATTTTTGTACATTGATTTTGTATCCTGAGACTTTGCTGAAGTTGCTTATCAGCTTAAGGAGATTTTGGGCTGAGACAATGGGGTTTTCTAGATATACAATCATGTCGTCTGCAAACAGGGACAATTTGACTTCCTCTTTTCCTAATTGAATACACTTTATTTCCTTCTCCTGCCTAATTGCCCTGGCCAGAACTTCCAACACTATGTTGAATAGGAGTGGTGAGAGAGGGTATCCCTGTCTTGTGCCGGTTTTCAAAGGGAATGCTTCCAGTTTTGTCCATTCAGTATGATATTGGCTGTGGGTTTGTCATAGATAGCTCTTATTATTTTGAAATACGTCCCATCAATACCTGATTTATTGAGAGTTTTTAGCATGAAGCGTTGTTGAATTTTGTCAAAGGCCTTTTCTGCATCTATTGAGATAATCATGTGGTTTTTGTCTTTGGCTCTGTTTATATGCTGGATTACATTTATTGATTTGCATATATTGAACCAGCCTTGCATCCCAGGGATGAAGCCCACTTGATCATGGTGGATAAGCTTTTTGCTGTGCTGCTGGATTCGTTTTGCCAGTATTTTATTGAGGATTTTTGCATCAATGTTCATCAAGGATATTGGTCTAAAATTCTCTTTTTTGGTTGTGTCTCTGCCAGGCTTTGGTATCAGAATGATGCTGGCCTCATAAAATGAGTTAGGGAGGATTCCCTCTTTTTCTATTGATTGGAATAGTTTCAGAGGGAATGGTACCAGTTCCTCCTTGTACCTCTGGTAGAATTCAGCTGTGAATCCATCTGGTCCTGGACTCTTTTTGGTTGGTAAGCTATTGATTATTGCCACAGTTTCAGATCCTGTTATTGGTCTATTCAGAGATTCAACTTCTTCCTGGTTTAGTCTTGGGAGAGTGTATGTGTCGAGGAATTTATCCATTTCTTCTAGATTTTCTAGTTTATTTGCGTAGAGGTGTTTGTAGTATTCTCTGATGGTAGTTTGTATTTCTGTGGGATCGGTGGTGATATCCCCTTTATCATTTTTTATTGCGTCTATTTGATTCTTCTCTCTTTTTTTCTTTATTAGTCTTGCTAGTGGTCTATCTGTTTTGTTGATCTTTCAAAACATCAGCTCCTGGATTCATTAATTTTTTGAAGGGTTTTTCGTGTCTCTATTTCCTTCAGTTCTGCTCTGATTTTAGTTATTTCTTGCCTTCTGCTACCTTTTGAGTGTGTTTGCTCTTGCTTTTCTAGTTCTTTTAATTGTGATGTTAGGATGTCAATTTTGGATCTTTCCTGCTTTCTCTTGTGGGCATTTAGTGCTATAAATTTCCCTCTACACACTCCTTTGAATGCGTCCCAGAGATTCTGGTATGTTGTGTCTTTGTTCTTGTTGGTTTCAAAGAACATCTTTATTTCTGCCTTCATTTCGTTATGTACCCAGTAGTCATTCAGGAGCAGGTTGTTCAGTTTCCATGTAGTTGAGCAGTTTTGAGTGAGATTCTGAATCCTGAGTTCTAGTTTGATTGCACTGTGGTCTGAGAGATAGTTTGTTATAATTTCTGTTCTTTTACATTTGCTGAGGAGAGCTTTACTTCCCAGTATGTGGTCAATTTTGGAATAGGTGGGGTGTGGTGCTGAAAAAAATGTATATTCTGTTGATTTGGGGTGGAGAGTTCTATAGATGTCTATTAGGTCCACTTGGTGCAGAGCTGAGTTCAATTCCTGGGTATCCTTGTTGACTTTCTGTCTCGTTGATCTGTCTAATGTTGACAGTGGGGTGTTAAAGTCTCCCATTATTAATGTGTGGGAGTCTAAGTCTCTTTGTAGGTCACTCAGGACTTGCTTTATGAATGTGGGTGCTCCTGTATTGGGTGCATATATATTTAGGATAGTTAGCTCTTCTTGTTGAATTGATCCCTTTACCATTATGTAATGGCCTTCTTTGTCTCTTTTGATCTTTATTGGTTTAGTCTGTTTTATCAGAGACTAGGGTTGCAACCCCTGCCTTTTTTTGTTTGATAGATCTTCCTCCATCCTTTTATTTTGAGCCTATGTGTGTCTCTGCACATGAGATGGGTTTCCTGAATACAGCACACTGATGGGTCTTGACTCTTTATCCAATTTGCCAGTCTGTGTCTTTTAATTGGAGCATTTAGTCCATTTACATTTAAAGTTAATATTGTTATGTGTGAATTTGATCCTGTCATGATGATGTTAGCTGGTTCTTTTGCTCATTAGTTGATGCAGTTTCTTCCTAGTCTCGATGGTCTTTACATTTTGGCATGATTTGGCAGCGGCTGGTACCGGTTGTTCCTTTCCATGTTTAGTGCTTCCTTCAGGAGCCCTTTTAGGGCAGGCCTGGTGGTGACAAAATCTCTCAGCATTTGCTTGTCTGTAAAGTATTTTATTTCTCCTTCACTTATGAAGCTTAGTTTGGCTGGATATGAAATTCTGGGTTGAAAATTCTTTTCTTTAAGAATGTTGAATATTGGCCCCCACTCTCTTCTGGCTTGTAGGGTTTCTGCCGAGAGATCCGCTGTTAGTCTGATGGGCTTCCCTTTGAGGGTAACCCGACCTTTCTCTCTGGCTGCCCTTAACATTTTTTCCTTCATTTCAACTTTGGTGAATCTGACAATTATGTGTCTTGGAGTTGCTCTTCTCGAGGAGTATCTTTGTGGTGTTCTCTCTATTTCCTGAATCTGAACGTTGGCCTGCCTTACTAGATTGGGGAAGTTCTCCTGGATGATATCCTGCCGAGTGTTTTCCAACTTGGTTCCATTCTCCCCGTCACTTTCAGGTACACCAATCAGACATAGATTTGGTCTTTTCACATAGTCCCATATTTCTTGGAGGCTTTGCTCATTTCTTTTTATTCTTTTTTCTCTAAACTTCCCTTCTCGCTTCATTTCATTCATTTCATCTTCCATCGCTGATACCCTTTCTTCCAGTTGATCGCATCGGCTCCTGAGGCTTCTGCATTTTTCACGTAGTTCTCGAGCCTTGGTTTTCAGCTCCATCGGTTCCTTTAAGCACTTCTCTGTATTGGTTATTCTAGTTATACATTCTTCTAAATTTTTTTCAAAGTTTTCAACTTCTTTGCCTTTGGTTTGAATGTCCTCCCGTAGCTCAGAGTAATTTGATCGTCTGAAGCCTTCTTTTCTCAGCTCGTCAAAGTCGTTCTCCGTCCAGCTTTGTTCCATTGCTGGGGAGGAACTGCGTTCCTTTGGAGGAGGAGAGGCACTCTGCTTTTTAGAGTTTCCAGTTTTTCTGTTCTGTTTTTTCCCCATCTTTGTGGTTTTATCTACTTTTGGTCTTTGATCATGGTGATGTACAGATGGGTTTTTGGTGTGGATGTCCTTTCTGTTAGTTTTCCTTCTAACAGACAGGACCCTCAGCTGCAGGTCTGATGGAGTACCCTGCTGTGTGAGGTGTCAGTGTGCCCCTGCTGGGGGGTGTCTCCCAGTTAGGCTGCTCGGGGGTCAGGGGTCAGGGACCCACTTGAGGAGGCAGTCTGCCCGTTCTCAGATCTCCAGCTGCGTACTGGGAGAACCACTGCTCTCTTCAAAGCTATCAGACAGGGACATTTAAGTCTGCAGAGGTTACTGCTGTCTTTTTGTTTGTCTGTGCCCTGCCCCCAGAGGTGGAGCTTACAGAGGCAGGCAGGCCTCCTTGAGCTGTGGTGGGCTCCACCCAGTTCAAGCTTCCTGGCTGCTTTGTTTACCTAAGCAAGCCTGGGCAATGGAGGGCGCCCCTCCCCCAGCCTCGCTGCCGCCTTGCAGTTTGATCTCAGACTGCTGTGCTTGCAATCAGCGAGACTCCGTGGGGTAGGACCCTCTGAGCCAGGTGCGGGATATAATCTCGTGGTGCGCCGTTTTTTAAGCCTGTCGGAAAAGCGCAGTATTCGGGTGGGAGTGACCCGATTTTCCAGGTGCTGTCCGTCACCCCTTTCTTTGACTAGGAAAGGGAACTCCCTGATCCCTTGCGCTTCCCGAGTGAGGCAATGCCTCACCCTGCTTCGGCTCGCGCAGGGTGCGTGCACCCACTGACCTGCGCCCACTGTCTGGCACTCCCTAGTGAGATGAACCCGGTACCTCAGATGGAAATGCAGAAATCACCCGTCTTTTGCGTCGCTCACGCTGGGAGCTGTAGACCGGAGCTGTTCCTATTCGGCCATCTTGGCTCCTCCTCAACAAAGTTCTGGAGGGCGGACCGGGAGGTGGTGCCGGGTCTCGGTCCCAGTGCTCTCCTAGCGTGGACTGGCGCGAGGCACACGCGTACTCTCACTGCCTCCGCTCTTGGAGTGGCAGCCCGGGGTGCAGCCTCAAGTTGCTACTGCTAACTGCTGCTGCTGCTGCCGCTGCTGCAGGAGGAGGTGGAAAGACACTGGGGGCAGTACTCGGTCTAGAGCATCCCCACACTGCAGCTTCTCCAGGAATCCCCTACTATTTTTTTCTGAAATAAAGTTTAAAGATTTTGCTCTTTGTTCATAATTGAAAGTTGAACATTTTGCATTTCTTTATTAGGTGAAGTTTGAACAGTTTGCTTTTCTATCTCAGGTGAAGTTTGAACAATTTGCACTTCTTTCTTAGATGATGTTTTTCTCTCTTTCTTTCTTTCTTTTCTTTCTTTCTTTCCTTTCTTTCTTTCCTTTCTTTCTTTCTTTGTTTCTTTCTTTCTTTTTCTTTTGTTGTGTGTATCACTGAAAGCAAAATTAACAAACAGTAAAACAAAAGAGAAAAAGGAATTAAAAAATTACTATCAAGAAAATCCTTTTGAACAACTCTTTCATCTTTTTGGGGTGGGCAGGGTATAGGTCACTATCAACACTACCTCCAGTGCCCTGTATCAGGCAATAAGTATTTTCCACCTTTGGTTGCAGTGGCACTAATGTTTATGGTTGCAGATTCCTCTCATATTGCGGGTCTTAGAAGAAGAAGTACTTTTCCAAAATGATAATGAACACACTTCCTGTCAATGTACGCTTGTTTTGGACCATACTCTGTGCTATTTTTCACTACACCAATATCAGTTATTGTCATCCCCAAATGAAAGTCAGTACTGTAGCTGGTAACACCACTGATGTGAGTTCAGTGCTCAGTAGTGTGATCTCTCAAATGGGTAATTTCTTTCACATTCTCACATTGAACTCTCCCACAAAAGATATCTGAGATATTATATCTTACATGTCCAGCCTCAGATACCACAGTGACCAAAATGGTAACCACAGGTATTAATTTCTCTGTAGCAACTCTGATTTGCACTGTTTGCTTCTTTGCCAAAAATTTGCCTACACTGTTCGTAGTTAATACATCCCTTTTCATAGCAATAGACACTGCCCATGCAATGGATCCTGTTGTGCACATTCATATCTGCTGGACAATATGTGAATTTCTATTGAAACACTATGAGATAACGCATTCATTGTTCTCTTCTCTGCACATATTGCCTGACAGCATGAATTAGCAGGCTTTGCATCAAAGCCCAAAAGCACAAGCAGCCCCAGATTTCAGAGTGTAGTTTGCCAAACAACATGGATATTTTGCACACAATCGTAAGGATCCACAGTCACACTTCTCTCCTTCTTCAACCACACCATTGCCACAGCACTTCTCTGCAATGATGTTCTCTGGATTTCAGTATACAAATAGTGCTTAGATAAAAGGCTGACCAATATAGAATAATTTCTGTGTCTGAATAGATGACTTGTCTTTGATATATATATATATTTTTTTTTTAAGACAGGCTCTCACTCTGTCTCAGGCTGGAATACAGTGGCACAATCACAGCTCATTGCCAGCCTCAATTTTCCTGGCTCAGTGGCTCAATGGATCTGCCCATCTCAGCCTCCTGAGTTGCTGGGACCACCACATCTGGATAATTTTTTATTTTTTGTGGAGACGATGTTTCACCTTGTTGCCCTTTATATTCTTGAAGACATCGTGCATGTTTCATGACCACAAGAACAATCTTTACCATCATTCTGCATACCAAACCTATGACCTAACTCGTGTACCAACAGCAATGCAAATGATATAAATTCAGTACCTTGGAACTGTATAACTCTATAATTAAAACCAATATTACAGGTTGAACCAATAATGGTATAGGATAATAATCTACCATATTTATCCTTTACTGCAAGTTCTACACCATCATCAGATATGTAGAAATTATAGCTATTTATTTCCATTTGCCAAAGTTATATAAGAACACATAGGTCACCTGCTGTAACTTGGTTTTCTTCATTCCAGATCTCAAGTACAGTTAAAATCACATTAAGTCCTATGGCACTATTAAACAACATTTAATTTGTTGGCAACAACTATTATTTCCTCCTGCCCAAGGGAGGTATTACTTTCCAAATAATGAATAGTCTACCACTATTGCCAGTTCAAGAAAAAATGCGTGGGTTCTCCCTCCAGCCCTCATAGCCACTTTGCATCAGAGTGGAATTATCACATTCTTGAAACTTTAATTCTCTTACTATATCTTCTGTTAATCCACGTTTCATGGTTGGGAATTTTGTCTCCTGACTACCCAGCTTTTTATACCAGATGCTCAGATGTGGCAGAAGGCCTTTTGGGTGTCATTTCATAATCAATGTAATTTATCTGTAGCGTTCCTTGAAAACCCCCAAAACAGTTGCTAATAGCAACCAGGGATTCTGGATCCCTTTCCACAAAACTATGATAGCAGCAGTCATTCCAGACAATAGGGTGATCTTCCAGGAGAGCATGTTGGTCTTTGTAGGTGAACACTGGGAGGTGTTTGGAAATCAAAAGCTTCTGATGTGGACAATATGTCTCTTTTTCCCAAATTACAAGCTACAGGAGAGCCAGCTTAGAAGATTCATACCACTACCAGTGCAAGTTACCCTCAGGGTTATCACCACTTCTGGGGGGCTGTGGTCTTGTGCCCAATATGGGCTCATCAAAAAAGGAAGAGAAATATCCTCAGTGAGAGCAGCAGGTGTGTGATCCTCATATGCAGCAGGGCCTCACCCGCAGCCTTTATGGAGCCACCATGATGGAGCTATGAGTGAGAGCAAAAGAGGGGAAGGCAGGAGGCAAGATTCGTCTGTCTTTCTCCCTTGGGTTGATTTTATGCAATGCTGACCCTTAGTGGTCTGTTTTCTGACAGTCAATCTATCAGAGCAGCCAAATTAAAAGACAAAATAAAAAGAAGGGAAGACACACAGGTGGTGTTATGAATAGGCCAGGGTGAAGAAGAAACAGGAATATATGGGTGAAAATGGATTAGTGTTTGGCTCAACACATGACTCAATATATAATACTACATTGGATTGGCTTTTCAACATTGGTGACGCAAACTCAGACTGTATACTAAAAAATGACAATTGCCTGCCAGTTGATAAATCCCGAACCCAGATAAAGAACACATGGATTCATTATGCTGTTATCAAAATATATGTATATGTGTGCACATTTTCACAAATATTTAAAAGGAAAGGCTCTTAAAAGCTGAACGTATATCTTGTTTTGATAAGGGAATCTTGATTTATACATATTGAATTGGAATAAATATCAATATTCTTCCTTTCAGTTTCAAGTGATACATTATTTAGTTACATTACTCTGGAGATATATATATATATATGAAATACTTTCATATCTTTTTTCATCTTTCTTAATATATACTTCCATGCAACAAATCATTACTTGTCCTATCTTCACTTCTTCCTGTCAAATTACAAAGCATCAGTTGCTCTTCAAAAATAGTAGTATTTACTGTAGTGGATACCTTTGTGGAATAACACAATAAAAAAATAGTGGAATTAAATGAGGTAGTACCATGTGTCCATAGATAGATATTACTCAAAGATGTATATATTTAGTTATACCCTTAATAAAAATAACTCTTTTCAAAGCCTTTGGCTATGAAAAATGAAAAGGAAATAAAACAAGCCAGGAAAGTAACGGTCAGAGATGTGAAAATGCTGAAGACAAAACAAACTGCCTTCAGAAATGAAAAGGAAATTAATGAACCCCAAAAAGGGGGAGGAAGGCTTTGGGGAAGGTAATATTATGCTGGAACAAAGGCATCAATGTCCCTTGCAGTTTTAAGACGATAAAGTCACCAGCTCCTGAGATTGACCTCCAAAAGTATTTATGTCATATATGAAAAAACATTTACATAGCTTATATAAAAATACAATAAAAAGTTTTACCTAATAGTACAAATTTATTACCACGTATTTGTGCAAATGAGAAATCTAGTATGGCTGGCAACACTGATTTGTTGCTTTGCTCTTCAATAACACATTAATTAAACCATGTAATATGTAGACACTAAGCTGCATACTTAGAAACAAAAATGAATGATACAGGCCAAAATAAGTTAATGATACGTAGCATAAATTCAGGCAGAGTGTTTGGGGCAAAGATACACTTTAGGAATTTGTAAAATTCCATTCCATATTTTACATAGAAAATGCCTAGTTTTATTTAGCTAGTGAGAGTATTCACAGTGATTATCAGGCTATTAATGATGAGATTATCAAAGTAATGAGATTAAGAACTACTGGCTTAATTGAAAAAAATCACAGGAGAAAGTGAAATCTGCTATGAGGAATCTAAAACACACCGATTAAATACCACTTTCAATGGTAGGTAATACAAAAATCAAAAATGCTAGTTTCAGCACCTGTCATCTTCTATACCTGGATTCTTTTCTACTTAATTATGTTTTATCTTGATGTTTGACCTCTTTTCTCTGGAATCATTTTCCTGTCACTTACAGAACCTTTCTTTCATGAAAAGCCACAATAATCTCTTCTCCACTCGTATCTCTTTATGGAGAGCTCATTATTGCTACTGAAGTTTACAAAACTTATATCTCAACGATGGGAAGCCCAGCAGAGAGGGAGTTTTCTATTCTCAGCATTCTCATATTCCCTATAAACCAGATGTTTGGCCATAATTTGCTTTGATTGCCAAAGGCCCTTACAAACCACTTAACTGGCAGCCATCTCATTATATTATTATCTACTTTTCTTCCTTACTATTACACCAACTTCCCAAATCAGTCCTGCACAAACCACAAATAAATGGGTGTCTGATACTACTTTCTTCTCTGCCAATCATCTTATCCAATTATGCCAATAATATTTACTGTGTTTGCCAAGCATGGAAAACCCATACAGCACCCAGTTTTTTGTTTGTTTGTTTGTTTGTTTGTTTGTTGTTACCTGTACATCTCATCTTCAATAAGCTTTTGCTGTTGACCTATGGCCATCACCTCTATGGTGTTACCATCCTTGACCATCCTAATTTGGATATATTAGTTAACCACAACTTGTATTCTTAATTGAAACTTACACATCAAATTCATAGAGGATTAAAATCACTTTCTTTTCTTTTTTCCCTCTTTCCAAATTCCCCTCCTGTGCCTTCCATCCCCATAGCCTAGCTCTGGACTTCTTCAGTTCAACCACTGTTGACCACAATCCTCAAGTGAATCTAGATTAATCCTTTGTCTGCTTTGGCCACTCCTACAGCTCACTGCCAACACTTCTGGAATAATAAATCGCAGAATATATTTAGGGGTGCTTAAAAAGGGGAAACATAAAATTAAGATCAAATGGCCTGACATTTCACCCTTAAATGATGAAATCATGGACAGATATTTTAAACACTCCTATGCTCTTAATAATTTTTATTTTGTTCACATTTTTTCTTAACTAGCTGTTTTTCTAAGTTTCCTCATTAATGCATAGGACCCTAAGTGAAAATCAACCTTGTCTTCATTTTTATGAGTTACTATTGTTATTGCGTATCAGTGATTTTAAGTTATAAAACCAAAAATTTTTCATTTCATGTTTGTTTAATATAGGATTAGATATTTAGTATTTGGTTTGTCATTGTACGTATGTAGCAGCGGATTTTTTGCAGGCTGAATATGTTATCCTTCTCACTAAAGTGAAAAGAGTGGCTTGATTGCTTGGGTAAAGTAATCAAGTGATATAAAAGGGAGGTTTACTTCACAAAATGCCAAGAGGCCACAAGAAGAAAGCCACATCAGTAGAAGAAATCTTTGAGGACAACATCTATACATTGTGAGTAAAATTTTGTTACGCTGATTTTCTCTCCATATCTCTCTTGATATATATTTGTTAATTTTTATGGAGTGTGGATTTTTGTTGTGATGGAAAAGGATTATTTTTCATTAATGTAGCCCCATTGAGAGTGAACTTAACCAGTATACATCTTTCAGAATTTGTTTATAAGAACTTATCTTGCAAGCAGTAGGAAACAAATTGAAAAAAATATTTGAGCCAGACTGCCTTTGCACTTATTACATTATCTTATACAATGACTCCAGAGACTACACCTCCTGAGAAAATATAATATTTTCATTAATAATGTGGTATAGTGCTATAATAGTAGAGACTTCAAAGTAGTTGGTCATACATTACCCTTTACAAAGTTTGGGTTTTTTGTCTCCACACTCATTGAATTCATCATTCTCTGTACCCTAATTACCACATCCCTCTCGCTCTCATTTATAGCCTAATTCACTGTTTATAAACTATGAGTAAAATTTTAAAAAAATCCTTAAAAACATGTTAAAGATTCTGAAGCAAGTAAGTAGACTACCAAATAATTGAGTGTAAATCCTCCTGAATATCTGAACACTTGGTAAAGAATTACATTGTGCGTGTATGTGTATCTGTGTGTATTCATGCATGCATAAGTACTGGTGCTTCTCTCTTCTAGAGCTAAACTTTTGAATGACTTACCAACAGATGAATTGTCAGCTCCAATTGTCAGATCTTATCTAATTGTAGCCCTATTCGTGGACTGGGATTGTTTATACACTCATCTTTGTGAATATTTTTATTTGAGGCCTCACATGATGAAGAGAATCATAAATTCTCTCCTTCAATTGTCTCTCATTTAAGTTTTAGATTAATTGCCTAGCAACAGGAGTCTCTCAGTTCTATAGAATATAGCAGTTGGGTAAGATTTATCCCTACTCTAGCTGCATTATCTCTACCAAATTTTATAATTACTCTTTAACATTAATAAATATAGTTTCTTTGTTCTCATTCTGTGTGCTCCAGTAACTCTTCAGTATTAAGAAATCTGATTTCCTTCCTCCGTTTATATACCTGATAAATAATCTCTTTACCTTCTGTACTTTAGCTCATACTATTACCTGGTCACAGATTATTTCCTCAAAATTGAACCATATAATGGAATACTTCAGGTATTTTAAATTCTAGAAAAAAATTCAACCTCATTTAAAACAATTTTTAAGGAATTCAACTATCAGTAATCATCTATATCTTTTTGTCTAAGGTCAATGAATAACTGAGAGACATTTCACATCTATACATACATATGCTTCATTTCTTATGGAGGGCTGTTGTCAGTAAGAAAAGACAAAACAAAATTTGAAGAAGAGAGCGATGAATAAAGTAATAGTGTGGGAATATATTTGATTTGGTAAGTTGGTTAGCTGGTGGATTTTAAGTACCAGTCTGAGAAGACTGCATTCCGCATGTTGGCTTAGGGAAATCACGGAAACAAGTTCAGTCTCTATTATGCTTGAGAGTTTACTTGTAGGGCAGAGGGGCTGGTAATATCTACAAGTGTGATATCTGCTAGTGCGTTTCCATTGCCCCTTCATCTTAGTAAGTTAAGCTCTATACCTTTTCCTTCACTGACCTTTTTACTTTTACTCTATATTTTATTGCAGTTATTTTTTAAAGGACCACAGTTACACATGGTGATTTTAATGTCTGTGTTAGTTTGCTAAGGCTTCCATAACCATGTAACATAAGATGCATGGCTTAAACAATAGTCATCAATTGTCTGACAATTCTGAAGACTAGAATCACAATATCACGGCATTGTCAGGGTCATACTGCCTCAGAAGGTGCTAGGGAAAGATCTCTTTCAGGCTTTTCTCGTACCTTCCGTTAGTTTCTTGGTTTCTGGCAGCGTAACTCCAAATTCATCTGCTGATTTCCTTGTATCTGTAATTCTCCTCTTCTACAGCGACACATACTTACATCAGACAATAAAAACATTAAGCCGGCCGGGCGCGGTGGCTCACGCCTGTAATCCCAGCACTTTGGGAGGCCCAGGCGGGCGGATCATGAGGTCAGGAGACCGCGACCAGCCTGGCTAACACGGTGAAACCCCGTCTTTACTAAAAAAAATACAAAAAGAAATTAGCTGGGCGTGGTGGCGGGCGCCTGTAGTCCCAGCTACTCCGGAGGCTGAGGCAGGAGAATGGCATGAACCCGGGAGGCGGAGCTTGCAGTGAGTGGAGATCGAGCCACTGCACTCCAGCCTGGGCGACAGAGCGAGACTCTGTCAAAAAAAAATAAAATAAAATAAAATTAAGCCAAATACTGTTACAGGAGACAAAGAAGGTCATTGTGTAATGATAGACAGGGTCAGTTCATCAGGAAGATGTATAACAATGATAAATATATATGCACCCATCATCAGAGCACCTAAATATGTGAAACAAACATTGACATAACTTAAGGGAATAATATGCAGCAGCACATTACTAGTAGGAGGCTTCAATACCTCACTTTCAATGATGGATAGAAATCCAGATAGAAAATCAGTAAGTAAACAGCTTTGAGTAACACTGTAGAACAAGTGTATTTAACAGATGTACGAAGAACAAGCCACCCAACAGCAACTGAATACATCTTCTTCTCAAGCACACACAGAACATCTTTGAGTATAGATCATATGTCACATCAAAAAAGAAATTTTAAATTTAAAAAGATTGAAATCATGCCTAATGTCTTTTTCAATGTTAAAGGAAGGAAACTAGAAATCAATAACAAAAGATAACTAGAACAATGTATAAATATGTGCAAATTAAACAATACAGTGAACAACCAATGGGTCAAAAAAGAAATTAAAAGGAAAATTTAAAATATTTTGAGACAAAAGGGAAAACAGAACATCTCACAACTTATGGGTTGCATCAAAAGCATTACCAAGAGGAAAGTTTATAGTGACAAATACCTATTATAAAACAGAAGAAGAATCCCCCCAAAACAACTTAACTTAGTATACCCGAAGGAACTAGAAAAAGAAAAAACAACTATGTCATAACTGAGCAGAAAAAGAAAATGACAAAAATTAGAGCAGTCATAAGTAGAAGAAAAAATCAACAGGAAAATAATTACTAGAGTTTGACATTTTTAAAAAATAACAAAAATGGTAATCCCTTAATGAAACTAACAAATAAAGGGAAAACTCAAATAAATAAAACCAGAAGTGAAAGAAAAAACATTATAACTGACATCATAAAAATAAAAAGGGACTAATATGAACAATTAGATGCCAACAAAGTGGAAAAACTAGAAGGAATACATAAATTCCTAGACACATATCACCTATGTACTATAGCTGAATCATAAAGCAGAAAATAGGTTTTTGAACATACTAAAACAGATAAGGAGATTTAATAAGCAATCAAAATCTTCACAACAAAGAAATACCCAGGACCAGATGGTTTTTCTAGTGAATTCTATCAAACATTTAAAGAATTAACACTAGTCATTCTCCAGCTCTTCCAAAACATTGAAGAAAATACTTTCTAACTCATTTAATAAGGCCAACATTAACCTTATACCAAAGCTAAATGAAGGCACTACAAAAAAAATAACTATAGGTCAATATCCGTGATGAACCTAGATACAAAAATCCTCAACAAAATATTAGTAAACTCCTGGGTGCAGTGGCTCATGCCTGTAACCCCAGCATTTTGGGAGGCAGAGGAAGGAGGACAGCATGAGCTCAGGAGTTCAAGTCCTGCCTGGGCAACATAGTGAGACCCCAATCTTCATGAAAGGGAAAAAAAGACAAAATACTGTAAAACCAAGTTCAATAGCACACTAAAAGGATCATACATCACGAACCAGCAGGAATTACCTCTGGAATGTAAGAATGGTTCAGTATATGCAAATCAATCAATGTGGTACATCACATTCACGGACTGAAGGATAAAAAATACATGATCGCCTCAACCTATACGGAAAAAGCATTTGACAGAATTCAACATTCTTTCATGACAAAATCTCTCAAGAAAGTATATATGGAAGGAATTTACCTCAACATAATAAGAACCATCTATGAAAAGTCCAAAGCTAATATACTCAATGATGAAAAACTGAACCTTTTCCTTTAAGAACAGGTACTAGACAAGGATGTTCACTCTTGTCAATTTCATTCCACATAGTAGTATAAGTTCTAGTCAGAGCAGATAAACAAAAGAAATAAAAGGCATCCATATCAGACAGGGATAAATATCTCTTTTTGCAGATGGCATGATCATATATGTAGAAAATCTGAAGACTCAAAACAACCAAACATTTTTAAAACTAATACATAAATTCAGTGATGTTACAAGATGGAAAATTAATATTCACATATCACTGATATTTGTCTATATTAACAAATAACTATCTGAAAATAATTAAGAAACATCCCATTTACGATGGTATGAAAATGAGTAAAGTACTTAGGAATAAATTTAATGAAGGAGATAAAAGTCTTCCGTACTGCTAATAGAAAACCTTGATAAAAGATATTAAAGAAGACACATAAATGGAAAGACATCTTGTGTTCATGTATTAGAAGATGTAGTGTTGTTAAAATGGCCATAATACCCAAAGCAATCTAGTGATTTCATGTGATCCTCATCAAAATCCCAGTGGCATTTTTACAGAAATAGAAAAAAAATCCAAGAAATCATAGGGACCTACAAAAGATTCCAAATAGCCAAAGTAATCTTGAGCAAGAACAACAAAGCCAGAGGCATTACATTTTCTGATTTCAAAATATAACACAAATTACAGCAATTAAGTCAATTTGGTAGTGGCATAAGATAGACATATTCACCAATGAAATAGAGTGGAGAGTCCAGAAATAAGCCCATACATGTACAGTCAACCGATCTTTGACAAGGGCACCAATACTACACAATGAGGAAAGCATTGGGGTTTTTCAACAAATGGTGTTATGAAAACTATATTTATATGCAAAAAGATGAATTTGGATCCTTTTCTTACACTATACACAAAATCAACTCAGTACAGATGAAAGACAAATGCCTAAGACCAGAAACTGTAAAACTTTTAGAACAAAACAGAGGGAAACCTTCTTGAAAGTGCTTGTTACAATGATTTCTTGGATATGACACAAAAAGCACAGGAAACAAATGCAAAAATAGGAAGAGAGACTACATCAACCTAAAAAGCTTCTGCACAGCAAAGGAAACAACAGAGTTTAAAGGCAGCCTAAGGAATAGGAATAAATATTTGCAAGCCACAGACCTGATAAAGGGTTAATATTTAAACCATACAAAGAAATCACAAAACTCAATAGAAAAGCAACCCAATTAAAAAATGCACAAAGGGATTCCATAGACATTTCTTCAAAAAAGACATACAGAAGGTCAACAGACACATGAAAAGATTTTAAACATCACAATTCATCAGGGAAAAGCAAATCAAAACCATAATGAAGTATCACTGCACATGGGTTAGGATGGCTATTATAAAATAAGACTATAATGATATAAATGTTGCCAAGGGTGTGGAGAAACTGGAATGCTTGTATAATGTTGTTGCAAATGTAAAATGGTGCAGCAACTATGGAAAATAGTATGGAGGTTATTCAGAACATTAAACATGCAACTATCATATGATCCAGCAATCTCACTTCTGGGTATTTGTTCAGAAGAATTGAAATCACGGTCTCAAAGAGATGTTAGCACTCTGTCACTGCAGCACTATTCACAATAACCAAGAAGGGGAATCAACAACCTAAATGTCGATTAATACATGAATGAATAAGTAAAATGTGTCATATACCTACAATGGAATATTATTCAGCCTTAAATTGGACATTCCATAATATGTAACAACATGGACAAAACGTGTGAACATTATGCTAAGCAAAATTAGCCAGTCTCAGAATGACAAATATTGCATGATATTTCAGTTATTTAAATTAGTCAAACTCAGACACAGAGGGTAGATTGGTAGTTGTTAGGAGGTAGGGGGAGAAGGAAATGGAGACTCACTGTTCATTGTTTCGGTTATGCAAGGTGAATAAGTTCCAGAGATTAGGTATACAACATTATGCCTATGGTAAATACTGTATTGTGCCCTTAACTCGTGAAGAGCATAGGTTGATCTCAGATTAAGTATTATCACAATAAGGAAAAAAAGAAAAAAAAATCCTTATGTGAATAAGATAACTAAATTTATTAGATGTTAAAGTGAAGAGAAAAACAAAATTTGAATCAGCTAGAATATCATGTTAATTTTATTTCTATATGTAGATAAAATGAGAGAGAGAGTGAGTGAATATAGTTTTATAATCCAGCTATTTAACAGGTACAATTTTTCCATTTATTATCTTGATCAGGAAGGTTGCATTAACTCGTAAAGTAAAATTACCTCTGAAATATTTTATTTTATGTTACTTAGAATAAGTAAACTTCCCATTAGTTATTTGCTTCTTATTTTATAATTCAGTAACAAAGGCCAGTAGCATTATGAAAGCTTAAGCAGCTTTCTCTGCTGGAGTTATAGGAGTAGCATAAAATATAACTGGAAGACTTTTCCTAGAAATCCTTGAGTTTCCTTTATTTAAATCTATAAATATAGGGCTTATAGTTTCTATAAGCCAGGCAAAACAGTTATCTTCCTGAAATTACAGGAAATCACATAGTTAAATGTATTAATTTACTCCAGAAATAGAAAAGTTATGCAAATACGTTTTTCAAAAAAATTAGCTTGTACTCCCCAAACAAAATTTTTAATTAACCTTGGGCAAGTTGTTATAAAGTAGCAAGCCTTAAAAGTGGAACAAAAAATATTGTTTTTTATTTAGAATATTGACTAAAGAACAAAATAACAGTATAATTAACACTACTGGATCCTTCAGTGGAGTGTTAGGAGTGTTACTGGTAAAATATGAAAGTTTATAAAAGTCCTTATGAATCCAGCAAGGATAGTTATTTTTCCAGTTGGCAGAGAACACAGTGAGAGGCTCCCAGCCAACGGACAGTAATAAGCCAGGACTGTCAGACATAAAGTTGCAAGAAAATGAATTGTTCTAAGACTGAATGAGCTTGGAAATGGATTCAATCTCAGTTGAGCCTCCAGATGAGAACACAGTCTGGCCAACCTCTTCATTACAGACTTGTGAGATCCCTGAGTAAAAGATCTAACTAAGCTGTGGTCAGATGCCTGATTCACTGAAATTCTGAGATAAATATGTGTTATTTTAAGTCACTAGATTTGGGATAATTTTTTAATACATCAATAACTATTGTCCATTTTAGAAAATAGGTTCCCTTTCTCTGCTTTCTGTAGTATTATTTAAAGAGGTTTGAAGAGATAATAGTGCTACCCAATAGTTGCTTTGCATGTTAATTTTTAAAAAAGCTGAACACCTTCTGCTGGAATTTTGTTTCTTCTGACACACAATTCAAAAGAATATCATTATAAGAGATTCAAAATTTCACATATGGGGACATTTTTATACAAACATCATCTTTGGTGTAGGAATTCCAATTCTGTGGATGTTGTTAACTATCTGGTGCCATAATTATTAAAGACAAAATGGGTGGATTTGAGAGGTATAAAGAAAACAACCATTTTGGGGATTAAAAAAATCATAGTTTCATGTAACACCAGACAAAGACAGATGGCTCTATAATTGGAAAGTGAATAAACTAATCAATTCTAAAACTTTGGATATCATTAAACTTTGGAATCCAACTAATAAAGTAAATAAGAAAAATCCAAATTTGTAGTCCTCTGCCACTTGAAAGAAAATAGACTGTCACCTAACAGAAATCTTTAAATGAATATACCATGAAATTAAAAACCAGAACACATGCTGATTAAGGAAGACATAATTATCAGTGTGTAAATCAAAATCAGACCAAAAATATTATTTTATAAGAAACACTTAGCACTTTTAGAAGGAATTAAGGATAATGAGCTAAATGCTTAAATGTTCTAGGAGTGTCAAGTATTTGTTTCAACAGCACCTTTTATTTTAAGTATCTCAGTGAAACCTCCTGATACATGTCAAAAATAACTCAAAGACATATATAATTGTCTAGTCAGAAACCGAGAGTATATTTTGGTGGAGCGAATCTTAGGGATATTTTGGCCAACAATCAAGGGAGTATACCTCCATGCTTAGACACAAAATAGCTTACAGAGTTGGGGATTTTTTGTTTGTTTATTTTTGTAACAGGAAGGTTCCAATCCCTAAGACATCACTATGAAGCAGAAGCATTTTCAACAAAGCTCTTTTCATTTTTTGTTAATACTCAGATAAAATTCATATTGATTACCTCCAAGATACGCCACAGAGGCTCCTTTTCTTGAAATGTTTATATATTAAAGTAGAACTGGAGACTTCTCTGTCTCTGGGTGGGTAAACAAAGAGAAGTTTGCCCAGAGGAAAGATTACTGAACAAAATATGTTACAGGTTACTTATTTTCCTATAAAAAATTAGTCTAACTTAGTGACTTATAACAAAATTTATGTTATGATTTCTCACAAATTTATAGGCCAGGAATTCCGGCAGAGTTTGGCTGGGCAAGTTTTTCATATGTGATGTCAACCAATGTTCATCTGGTGGTATTCAGCTGGTAGTTTGGCTGATGTTGAGGGTCTGAGGTACTTTTATTCAGTCTATGACTTGAGCAAGATGGCCAGAAGTCTGGGTTTGGTTGGGCCTGTGTATTAGAGAGGCTACATAATACCTCTGTAGCAGTTTCTCCTTACATTACCGTGTTCCAGGAGCAAACATTCTGGTTGGTCTAGCCAGACACTTGAAAGTCTTCTTATGATTTAGCTTCAGAAGTACCAGAATGTCAAATTTGCCAAGTTATATTACTCAAGCAAGGAGGAAAGCCAGGTCAGATCCAAGTGTGGTTGAGAAGGTGATGAAGAGGAGGAAGATATACTATTTCACATGAGAAAGTGGCATGTATGTTTGTATAAGGAATATATAGATAACATATGTCATAAACACAAACTACTTAAGTCCATACTCTGGCTTCAACAATTCAAATTTGGTGTTGAATTTTTTTAATAGACTATAATATTTGGAGCAGTTTTAGGTTCTCAGCACAATTGAGGGGAAGGTAGAGAGATAATCCAAATAGCTCCTTCTCACATACATGCACACATCTTATCAACATTTCTCTCCAAAGTGGTATATTTGTTACAATTGATGAATCTATATTGACACATTATCACCCCAAAATCATCATTTATATTAGGGTTCACTCTTGATGTACATTCTATGGGTTTGGACAAATACATAATGACATATATCCAACATTGTAGTATTACAGAAAGTCCTTTCGCAGCTCTAAAAATCCTCTGTGCTGTTCTGTTTATTCCTCCTTCCCCACCAACACCTGAAAACCACTGACCCTTTCAATGTCTCCATAGTTTTTTTCAATTTTAGCTGTTGTATTTGCATTAAAACAGTATGTGATCTTTTCAAAATTGGTTCCTTTACTTAGCAAAGGATTATGCATTTAAGTTTCATAAAAATCTTATGCATTTAAATTTCCTTCACGTATTTTTGTGTAGCTTGATATTTCATTCTTTTTTTTTTTTTTTTTTTGAGACGGAGTCTCGCTCTGTCGCCCAGGCTGGAGTGCAGTGGCGCGATCTCGGCTTACTGCAAGCTCCGCCTCCCGGATTCACGCCATTCTCCTGCCTCAGCCTCCCGAGTAGCTGGGATTACAGGCGCCCGCCACCACGCCCGGCTAATTTTTTGTATTTTTAGTAGAGGCGGGGTTTCACTGTGTTAGCCAGGATGGTCTCGATCTCCTGACCTCATGATCCGCCCGCCTCTGCCTCCCAAAGTGCTGGGATTACAGGCATGAGCCACCGCGCCAGGCCATATTTCATTCTTTTAATAGCTGAATAATACTACATTGTCTGGATATGCTACACCTTATTTAGCTGTTCACCTACTTAGGGACATCTTCTAAGTTTTGGCAATTATGAATAAAACTGATATAATATCCACATGCAGATGTTTGTTTGGACATAAGCTTTCACCTCCTTTGAATAAATTCTAAGGAGTGCACTTGCTGATCATATGGAAGAATAAGCTTACATTTTTAAGAAACTGACAAATGTATTGCAATAGTTTTTTAATATTATGAATTTAACCAAAAATCAATGAGAGTCTATCATGCTCTACACCATCACTAACATTTGATGTCATCAGCATTTCAGATTTCGGCCATCGTAATATGTAATATGGTATGTTACTGTTGTATTAATTTACGTTTCACTGATGATATAGTATGTGGAACATCTTTTCATACATGTTTGTTTGCCATCTGTATATCTTCTTCATCAGTTGTCTGCTAAAGTCTTTGGCATATTTTTAATCAATTGTTTTCTTATTTTTGAGTTTTAAGAGTTATTTCTCTATTTTTTAATAACGATACTTTGTCAGAAACATCTTTTGAAAATATTTTATCCCATTCTGTCTTCTCTTTTCATTCTCTTGACAGTGCATTTATAAAAGAAGAAATTTTTACTTTTAATGAAGTCCAGCTATCAATTCTTTCTTTCAAGAATTGTGTCCTTGCTGTTATATCTAAAAAGTTATAATCAAGCTCAAATTTATCTAGATTTTCTCCTACCTTATGTATTAGTTGTATAATTTTTTATTTTACATTTAGCTATATGATCAATTTTGAGTTTATTTCTGTGAAAAGTGTGTGGTCTACATCTAGATTCATTTTTGGCATGTATATATTTTTTTTCAGCACCATTTGTTGGAAAGGCTATCTTTTCTTCATTTTGTTGCCTGTAAGCCATGGCCTGAGCTCTACTTTCACCCCTTTTAGCCATGGCTGGAGCAGATGGGAAGCAGAGCACCAAATGCTTATACTGCAAACAGCAGAGGGACTCTAGGCCCAACCAATGATGCCATTTTTTTCTCTTAGTCCTCTGGGCCTGTGATGGGAGGGGCTGCTGTGTAGGTCTCTAACATGCCCTGGAGACATTTTTCTTGTTGTTTTGGTGATTAAGATTCAGCTCCTTGTTATGCAAATTTCTGCAGTCAGCTTAAATTTTTCCTCAGAAAATGGGATTTCCTTTTTTATCACATTGTCAGGGTGCAAACTCTCCAAACTTTTATGCTCTGCTTCCCTTTTAAAACTGAATGCCTGTAACAGCACCCAAGTCAGCTCTTGAACACTTTGCTGCTAAGAAATTTCTTCTGCTGGATACCCTAAATGATCTTTTCCAAGTTCAAAGTTCCACAATTCTGAAGGGTAGGAATAAAATGCCACCAGTCTCTTTGCTAAAACATAAAAAGGGTCACCTTTGCTCCAGTTCCCAACAAGTTCTTCATCTCCGTCTGAGACTGTCTCCGACTAGATTCTGCTGGAGCCATGTGGAGCCTATGCCATAATACCTCCCTGTTTTCATAGCCCTGGGCCTTAACCCAACCCCGCCAACTGACATCTCTGTGCAACCCCTGGAAATAGCTCCCATGTTCTCCCACAGGACCAGCATTGTCATGCCCCTCTGCACCTGGAACCACCACAAAACCCATAAAGTTGTTGCCCTCAAGCCTTTTTACAGGTTAAGGCTTTTTTCTGCTAAAGCTAGTCTGTAAAGTCTGGAAGAGGAGCCACCTTCTTCAGATGATCAAACACTAAGACAAGGCTACAAGGAACACAAAAAAGTATTCATACAATACCAAAGGAACACAAATTTCTGCTAATAAACCATAAAGAAATGGAGATCTGAGTTGCCAAAAATAATTCAAAATTATTGCTTTAAAGAAGCTCAGCAAGCTATAACACAAAAAGACAAATCAGCAATTTCAACACAACAACACATAAACAAAATTAGAGGTTTAAAAAAGAGTTAAAAATCATAAAAGAGCCCGTTTTTGGAGTTCATACAGTTAATAGCCTGGGAAACATAGTGAGACTCTGTCTCTACCAAATTTTTTAAAAAATTAGGTGGGCATGGCAGTGCATACCTGTGTTTCCAGCTACTCAGGAGGCTGAGGTTGGAGGATCGCTTGAATCCAGGAGGTCATGGCTGCAATGAGCCATGATTATACCACTGCATTCCAGCCTGGGTAACAGAGCAAGACCCTTTCTCAACACACACACACACACACACACACACACACACACACACACACACGTGCTGTAATAGAAAGTGCAATAAAGAGTTTCAACAGTAGACTCAGTCAAGCAGAAGAAAAAAATAGTGAACTAAAAGCAACGTCATTTGACATTATATAGTCAGAAGAGAAAAGAGAAGAAAAGAATGAAAAATAGTGAAGAAAGCCTATGGGATATATGTGCCATTATCAAGTGAAGCAATATATGCATAATAGAAGTTTCCCCAGAGAATAGAAAGGAGAAGGAAGTGGAGTTATGTGACATTATTAAGTGATGCAATATATGCATAATAGAAGTTTACCCAGAGAATACAAAGGGGCAGGAAGTTTATTAAAATAAATAATGACTGAAAACTTACCTAATCTGGAGAAGAAAACGGACATCTTAGAAGATCAAAGATCCAAGAAGCCCAAATGATTCCACATATGTTGAACATAAAAATGTTTACACCAAGACACATTACAATTAAGTTGGCAAAAGTCAAAAGCAGACAGAATTTTGAAAGTAGCAAGAGAAAAGCAATTTGTAATATGCAAACCTCTGTGAGATTATCAACTGATTTCTCAGGAGAAATCTTGCAGTTCAAGAGAGAGTGGGATAATCTATACAAAGTACTTAATGAAAAGAAACAAACTGCCAATCATAAACACTATACCCAGCAAAACAATCTTTTAAAATGAAGGAGAGGTAAAATCTTCTGCCAAACAAACACCGACAGAATCGTTACCAGACCTTCCTTACGAGAAAAACTTGAGAGTTTTTAAAATGGGAACAAAATTATGCTAATGATTTTGCATATAAAAGGGTATTTTACCAGTAAATGTAATATATAGACACACAGTAGTGACACTAATGTTGGTGCATAAATTAATGTTAACTCTAATATAAAAGTTAGACAAAAATATTAACTATAACAAAAAATTTATTAATGATATATAATATTAAAATAAGTAATTCTGACTTCAGTAATACAAGTATGTTTGGTGGTTGTTTAGGTTTTTTATTTTCTGAGTACTCCTTAGGATCAGTTTGTATCTCTAGAAACCTTGATGTGATTTTTGGCTGAGAAAACAATGAATCTGTAGATCATGTTGGGAAGAACTGACATTTTAACAATAGTGAATCTTATGATCAATGAATATGAACTATATCTCTATGTGCTTAGATATTTGATTTCAGTAATCAACATTTGGTTTATTTCTGCATATAGATTCTGAATATATTTATATTTTTAAGATTTCTACCTAAGTACTTTGGGTTTGGGGTGCTTTTAAAAATAGTATTATTCCTATTAAACTACTATTGACATTCTTCACAGAACTAGAGAAAACTATTTTAAAATTCATATAGAGCCAAAAATAAAAAGAGCCCGAATAGTCAAGGCAATCCTAAGCAAAAAGAACAAACCTGGAGGCATCACACTACCTGACCACAAACTATACTACAGTAACCTAAACACCATGAACTAGTATAAAAACAGACACATAGACCAATGGAACAGAATAGAGAACTCAGTAGTAAGACCATGCACTTACAACTATTTGATCTTTGGCAGGATTCCCTATTCAATAAATGGTGCTGGGAGAAACTGGCTAGCCATATGCAGAAGGTTGAAACTGGATCCCTTCCTTACACCATATACAAAAATTAACTTCAGATGGATTAAGTACGTAAATGTAAGACCCAAAACTATAAAAACCTCGGAAGACAGCTTAATCAATACCATTCAGCACATAGACACAGGCAAAGATTTCATGATGAAGATGCCAAAAGCAACTGCAACAAAAGTAAAAATTGACAAATGGAATCTAATTAAACTAAAGAGCTTCTGCACAGCAAAAAGAAAGTATCAACAGAACAAACAGACAGCCTACAGAATGTGAGAAATGTTTTGCAAACTATGCACCTGATGAAGGTCTGCTATACAGCACCTATAAGGAACTTAAATAAATTTACAAGAAAAAAACATAAAAAAGTGTGCAAAGGACATGAACAGACACTTCAAAAGATGACATACATGTGGCCAACAAGCATATGAAAAAAAGCTCAACGTCACTGATCATTACAGAAATACAAGTTAAAACCACAATGAGTCACCATCTCATGCCAGTCAGAATGGCTATTATTTGAAAGGTCAGAAAATAACGGATACTGACAAGGTTATGGAGGAAAAGGAATGCTTATACACTGTTGGTGGGAGTGTAAGTTAGTTCAGCTATTGTGGAAGGCAGTGTGGCGATTCTTGAAAGACCTAAAGACAGAAATACCATTTGACCCAGCAGTCCCGTTACTGGGTATATTCCCAAAGGAATATAATTATCCTATTACAAAGATACATGCACATGTATCCTCATTGCAGCAATATTCACAATAGCAAGACATGGAATCAACCCAAATGCCCATCAATGATAGATTGGATAAAGAAAATGCAGTGCATATGCATTATGGAATACTATGAAGCCATTAAAAAAAATGAGATCATGTCCTTTGCAGGGCCATGGTTGGAGCTGGAGGCCATTACCCTTTGCAACTAACACAGGAACAGAAAACCAAATACTGCATGTTCTCATTTATAAGTAGGAGCAAAATGATGAAAACACATGGACACAAGGAGGGGAACAACAGACACTGGGGACGACTTGAGGATGAAGGGAGGGAAGAGAGAGAAGATCAGGAAAAACAACTAATAGGTACTAGGCTTAATACCTGGGTGATGAAATAATCTGTACAACAAACCCCCGTAACACAAGTTTACCTGTGTAACAAATCTGCATTTTTGCCCTGGACATTAAAATAAAAGTTTTTAAAAATGATGCACATTTCTTTATTTTTGGAAAAATTCACTTACCTGAGACTGGCTAATTCTTTGTAATGCTCATTCTTTAGTGTCTTTAACGTTTATTGTTAATGTCGGCTAGTATCTTGGTTTGTTCAATAAACTTCTTTATCAAAATTGTCAAATTTATTTGCTAAATGTTGTTCCTTCCAAAAATTGTATAGGCTGTGTTATGGTGTTCTCTTTTCATTTCTGCTATTGTTTTAGCTCATGTTTTCATAAGTTTTTAAACTTTTATGTTTCAAAGTGTATTTGATTAAATTTTGCTTTCATTTATTTTCAATATTTTGCATTTGTTTCATATTTTGTTGTTTCTTCTCCTAGTTTTATTATGGCTATATTTCTAATTTTCTCAGACTTAATATGTTATTTTCCTGACTTCTCGACAAGAAAAGTTAAATCATTGGTATTTTTTCAGTATTTTTTTAAAGTATATATATGGCTATACATTTTCCTTAAACCACTGCTTTAGTTTAATCCTATGGTGTTTCCATATGTTGTGCATACTTATACCTTAGTTAAAAAATTATGGTTTCCATTCTGATTTCTTCTTTACCTATACATTAATTAGAAATGGAATCTGTCATTTCCAAGGAATTGGAAGCATTATCTTTAATGCTGTTGACTTACCACTTAATCTTATTGTAGATAGAAAAAACATTGTTCATCATTTCAAACTTACAAAACTTATTGAGACATATTTTGGCTAAATACATTGTTTATTGCATTAAACAGACCATATGAAGTTGAACTAAAGTGAGTTTTGTCAGTTTGGGGCACACTGATATATTACATATAATCAAGTTCACAACTGTGAACACACACACATGTTAAGGGTCTTCAAAAAGTTCATTAAAATGTGTATTTTGAAAAAACTACACATGGATTTCAAGATTTTTTGCACCAAAATACACTCATATTAACTTGTTAGAACATGCCTTAAGAGGATCTAGTTTCAAGCACTAAGACATCGGTATGAAAAGAGCCTCTATCAGAGCAACATGAATTCTGATAAAATTAAAGCAAGAACAAACTTCCAATTTATTGTGAAGCTTGAGTGTAAAAACGGTGAAATAATTGATGCTTTGTGAAAAGTTTATGGGGATGATGTCTCAAATAAATCAGCAGTTTACAAGTGGACAAATGTATTTTAAGAAGGGAAAAGATGATATTGCAGATGAAGCCCACAGCAGCAGACCATCCACATCAGTTTGCATGGAAAAAAAAAAAAAAAAAAAAAACTCATCTTGTCCATGCCCTAATTGAAAAGTACCAATGATTAACAGCAGAAAAAATGACGAGCACTATAGATGTCTCGTTTGGTGCACCTTATGCAAATCTGACTCAAACATTAAAACTGAGGAAATTTTACACTCCAGTCAATGGCTGCCAAAACCATTGCACCCAGATGAGCTGCAGACAAGAGCAGAAATTCCAATGGAAATTTTAAACAAAAGGAATGAAGAACCTGAAGCATTTTTTTGAAGAATTGTAACAGAAGATGAACAGTTTTACCAGTGTGATCCTGAAGACAAAGCACAAATCACTGGCTACCAAGAAGTGGAAGTGATCCTGTCAAAGCAAAAGCAGATTGGTCAAGAGCAAAGGCCATGGCAACAGTTTTTTTGGGTTACTCAAGTCATTTTCCTTGTTGACCTTCTGTAGGGCCAAAGAACAATAACATCTGCTTATTATGAGAGTGTTAGCCAAGACTTTAGCAGAAAACAACATCCAGAAGAACTTCACCAGAGAGTCCTTCTCCACCATGACAGTGCTTTTACTCATCTTATCAAACAAGAGCAATTTTCTGACAGTTTCAGTAAGAAAGTTAGGCATCTACCTTATAGTCCTGATATGACTTCTTCTGACTTGTTTTTGTTTCCTAATCTTAACAAAATATTTAAAGGACACCTATTTTTCCTTCAGTTAATAATGTAAAAAAGATTGCCTTGACATGGTTAAAATCTCAGGACCTTCTGTTCTTCAGGGATGGACTACATGGCTGCTATCATCACTTACAAAACTGTCTTGACCTTGATAGAGCTTATGTTGAGAAATAAAGTTTATACTTTTTATCTTTTTATTCCATTTTCCGTGAACATTTTGAAGTCTTTTTGTACTATACATATAAGATGATCAAGTTTACAATTATATATTGAAGATCTTCTCTTCTTAAGAGATTTTTCTCTGCTTCTTCAACCACTGTTGAGGAAGTGGGTTAATCTCTATGATTGTGAATTTGTCTATTTTCAAATTTTCCCCATATATGTTAAAGTTATGTTTGCAGATAAATACAGTAGACCCAGTTTATCCACATGGGATATGTTCCAAAAGCCCCAGTGGGTGCCTGAATTGGGGAAAGTATGGACCCCTGTATATACTATGTTTTTTCCCTGTATGTATGATTGTTTTAATTTATAAGTTATCACACTGACAGATTAACAATAACAACTAATAATAAAATAGAACATTTTAACAATATGCTGCAATAAAAATTATGTGACTGTGGTCTCTTTCCCTCTCTCTCACAAAATATCTTCTTACAATGTACTCATCTTTCTTCACTTGGTTAACGGTGGGTAACTGAAATCACAGAAAGCAAAACCACAGAAAGTGAAACTGGATGAGGGGGAATGATATGTTGCAACATATTTTCTTATTTCTATTCTTGCTTCTTTCCATAAATCCTTAATTATCTAATATTAGTAGAATTCCATCTTCTTATGGTTAAAATTTGCAAGGCATAAAAATTTTCACACACTTTCATGCTCTGTGTTGTTATTTTAAAATTACATGTCTTATAAGCAGCAAAATGCTAGCACACTTATTTCATTGTGAAATATCTCAAAATTGTTTGCTTTATTTAGTCTATTTTACATAGGTCTTATATCTACCAGTTATGTTTGCTTATTTTTACAAATGTCTTGTTTGCTTCCCTTCTTTCTTGCCTGTATTTATAGTCATCAAATATTTATTATAATTTTTCTGTGTCTTATATTTATATTTTTTATTATTTTAATGGTCCCACTAGAAATTGAATCATGCATCCTCACATTAATATAATATAATATAATATATATCATTAATTCACCATTTCTTATTACTACTGGAAACTTAGAACCTTTTGTGTACTTACATGCCTCCCAACTTTTGTGGTATTTTGCATTTTTGTTTTGCATATGTTTTAGAATCTATAAGATATTATTAATATTGATTTTTGCAGTTAATTTTTATTATATATACCCACAAATTTACTCTACCTTGTGTACTTCATTGCCATCTTCACATTCACATTTCCTGATGATGTCTTGCTCTTAAATATAACTGCTGACCTAGTTACTTACTCTACCTGAAGAACAAGTAACTAGGTCAATAGTTTATATTTATGGCATACAATTTTTATTCCGTTGTCTTCTGCACTTCATTTTTTGAGGCCACCCATCAATCTTATCATGCTGTCTTTTAAAATATAGGCCTTCTTTCTATGGCTGTTTATAAGATTTCTCGGTGTCTCTGGTTTTCAACAGTCTTACTATGACCAGGTGTGTTTTCTTTGTGTTTATCCTGTTGGAATTCAGTGAGCTGCTTGAATGGGATGATATCATTCCATACTTTTAGAAAATTCTCAGGCATTGTATGTTTTTACATAACTTTTATTCAATTCTCTTTGTTTTCCACAAATTGGTCCCTATTTTATGGGTTTTAGGCTTTTTAATATGGTGTAATTATTACTTATACTATTTTTTAAATGTTTTGTTCTGTCAGTTGAGATGTTTTTCATTATCTCTTCTTCTAGTTAACTAATCCAGTATTTTTAACTATGAGGCCTATAATTCAAATGATTTACTGATTTCTTTACATATTTTGTTATCAAATATATACATAGCAAGTGAAATCTATAGAATCAGATTTTCTGGTGAAATGAATCTATCTTCCCTCATGTAATTTGTTCATTTTTCTTTCATTTTCTCTAACAGTGGGATTTTTGTGTGTGTGTTATCACCTTTTTGACTCTATAGATCATCTCTTAGCTTCTGGCTTCTTTTTTCTATCTTTGTTGTTTTTTCTTTGTGTTATTGTCCATAACTTTTTGCTTTTGCTATGTGCAGTTTTTATTGTATGCTTTATGTTCTATTTAATAAAGCAGTAGAAGCTTTAGGTGGTATTGCTTTCGACTTAGGAAGTTTCCATCTTCTGTTTTGAAAAAGGGCTGAGTAACTGACAACTTCAGCACATTTTAAATTAAATTAGGCAAAAAAGTGTAGTTTTAGTAAGACTCAGATACTCTACAGAATTTCTCTCAAGAGCCAGAATAACTCTATTTTCTCAGCTTTGAAATACAGTAAATGATTGATTTCTGGTACTCAGAGCTTCAAATCTCAGTCCTCTAGCCTATGTCCCAAGCTTATTCAAAACCAGGTAAATGTTTTAAAGGGGAGGCAGCACATGTGCTTGAGACAAGCCTTCTTTCCATTCGATCTTTGTTTCCCAAGTACAACAGGATTATAGAAATTTCTGCCTTAAGAGCTTCACCCTGCCTCCTCAGCCTCCCTCAAAGGATGTAAACTCAACAAATGTGGCATAAGAAAAACTGATACTGAGTTTGATATCCCTTAATTTAAAATTTATCAATCTAATCTTTTCTAGGCACTAAGGGGTCTTCAGGTTTCTCTTTTCTCAATAGAGGAACTCTAACTGGGTTGGCCAAGACTGATATTTAACTTGTATTCAGAAACATCATATGTTCCAAGGAAAGAAAGTGCTGACAGTTCAGAATTGTTTTCCCTTCTCTGCAATTATGGCGCCTTCTGCTTTTCATTTAAATCCTCCTTCATCCATTTAAAATAATTTTTTAATTGATTTGGCATGGTATAGTTTTTCCCCTAGAAGAATCACTTGCTTTTCTAGAGTTACTACAGTCTACCTAAAATATAAGTACCTTATTTATTTATTTATGTATATCTTTCATTTTAGATTCAAGGGGTACACGTGCAGGTTTATGACTTGGCTACATTGCATGATGCTGAGATTTGGGATATGACTGATCCTGTCACACAGGTAGTGAGTATAATACCCAATAGGTAGTTTTTCAACTCCTGCCTTTCTTCCTCACTCCTTCCCCTTCTAGTCCCATGTCTTGTTCTCCATTTGTGTCTGTGTGTACCCAGTGTTTAGCTCCCACTTATAAGTGATAACATGCAGTATTTGGTTTTCTTTTTTTGTAAAAATTCACATAGAATAATGGCCTTCAACTGCATCCATGTGGCTGCAAATGACATGACCTCGTTATTTTATGTGGCTGCATATTATTCCATGGGGCATATTCAAAACATTTTCTTTATCCATTTGTGATGGTTAATACCAAGTGTCAACTTGATTAGATTGAAGGATACAAAGTATTGATCCTGGGTGTGTCTGTAAGACTGTTGCCAAAGGAGATTAACATTTGAATCAGGTTGGGAAAGGCAGAACCACCCTTAATCTGGGTGGGCACAATCTAATCAGTTGGCAGCATGGCTGGAATATAAGCAAGCAGAAAAATGTGAAAAGAGAGACTGGTTTAGCCTCCTAGCCTACATCTTTCTCCCATGCTGAATGCTTTCTGCCCTTGAACACTGGACTCCCAAGTTCTTCAGTTTTGGAATTCAGACTGGCTCTCTTTGTTCCTCAACCTCCAGACTGCCTATTGTGGGACCTTGTGAATGTACGCTTTAATACTTAATAAACTCCCATATACATGGGTTACATATGTATGAGATATATATAGAAATGTACATATACATATAAAGTGGAATATATATTCCATTAGTTCTGTTCCTCTAGAGAACCCTGACTAATATAGATTTTGGTACCAGAAGTGGTTCTAGAAGAACATAATATTAAGGATGGAGTTCTTTCATTGGTTTGGAGGTTTCTGGACTTGGCTGCTTAACACGATTAGACCCAAAAATGCTAAGGACTTTACGTCTAATAGTAGGGAGAACACTGATAGTTCTTGACATGAACTGTTTAGAGCGTTATGCAAAATAAATGCATGTGGCACTCCTGATTCATCACTCGTGAGAGGCAAGGAATTTAGTGACACAATAACTTTGACCATATGTGGAGAACCAAGGAAATAATGATGTTAGTTGGTTGCTCCTAAGTTCAGTGGACAAAGTGATGAAAGAAAATGATGAACTCAGAGATTCTATCTCCCAGCTTCAGTAGGGAAAGAGCTGCAATTATGGAATAACAGACACAAGTTCTTATCATGCAAGTGGCTGACCTGCAATGAAGGGTGCATGCATAGCCTCACCAGGTGTCTACTGTTAAAGTGAGGGCATTGATTAGAAAAGAATGGGACCTTGCAACTTGGAATAAGAACGTGTAGGAGGACCCTGTTGAAGCTGTGAACACTGAGTGTAAACTCTGATGAACCCTTTTTGTCATAAGAAACAGCTTCCCCATCCTCAGTAGTGGCAACATCCCCTCTCCAACCCGTGCTGGCATCAGCTTTTTCACCTTTGTCTGAGGAGATAAACCCTGTGCTGACTGAGGCAACAGTGGTGGCCTCCTCTGAGGCAGTTGCCAAGCAAGATAATGTTGATTCTCCTCAGGAGCCACTTCCAACACTCCTGTTTGCTTCTAGACCTATAACTAGACTAAAGTCCTGAAGGACCCCTAGAGGTGAGGTTAGAGTGTGACCCATGAGGAGGTGTGCTATACTCAAAAAGACCCACTTGAGTTCTCTAATTTATATAAACAGAAACCTGGAGAACAGGCATGGGAATGGATATTAAGGGTGTGAAATAATGTTGGAAGGAACATAGAGTTGGATCAGGCTGCATTTATTAATTTGGGCCCACTAAGTTAGGACTCCACATTTAATGTTGCAGCTTGGGGAGTTAAAAAAATTCTAATAGTTTATTTGCTTGGTTAGCTGAAATACGGATTAAAAGATCACCCACTGTGAGCAAGCTGGAAATGCCTGATCTGCCTTGGTTTAATATGCAGGAAGGGATCCAAAGGCTTAGGGAGATTGAGATGGTGGAGTGGATTAGTCACTTTAGATCTACTCATCCCAGCTGGCAGGATCCAGGAGATATACCCTTGACTGATGCCTTGTGAAATAGATTTGTGAGGACAGCACCTGCATCTTTGAAGTGCCCTGTAATTGCTCTTTTCTGTATGTCAGATCTAACAGTGGGAACTGCAGTCACTCAACTACAAAATTTAAATACAATGGGAATAAATGGATCCCGAGGTGCCAGGGGCCAAAAGGCAGCACTCAACCATCATAGCCAATGTGGGCATAGCTACCATAATAGACAGCAGAGACAAAACAGCAATCAGAATAGTCTGACTTGTGTAGAGCTCTAGCATTGGCTAATTAACAATGGTGTTCCTAGAAGTGAAATTGATAGGAAGCTTACTGCATTCCTACTTAATTTATATAAGCAAAAAACTTCTAGGTGGAAGGGATGAAAGAGTAATTTGAATTATAAAAACAGAGAATCATGGCCTCAATCAATTTCCAGACTTGGGGTTCCTGTTTACAGACCCAGAACCCCTTGAATGAAGGGGAGTCTGGGTCCCCTTGAGGAAAGATCCCACTACATTACTGACAATTATTGCAGTGAATCTTTCTCCAATCATTTCCCAAGGAGACCTTCAGCCCTTTACCAGGGTAACTGTGCATTGTAGAATGGAAAGAGTTCAGACATTTTGAGGACTACTGGACACTGGCTCTGAGTTGACGTTGATTCTAAGGGGTCCACAAACTTCACTGTGGTCCTCCAGTTAAAGTAAGTGCTCATGGAAGCCAGGTAATTAATAGAGTTTTAGCTCAGGTCCAACTTACAGTGGGTCCAGTGGGTCACCAGACTCATCCTGTGGTCATTTCCCCAGTGCCAGAATGCACAATTGACATAGACATACTTAGCAGCTGGCAGAGCCCCCACATTGACTCCCTGACTGGTAGGGTAAGTTCTATTATAGTTGGAAAGGCCAAATGGAAGGCTTTAGAGCTTCTACCTGGAAAAATAGTAAAACAAAAACAGTAACGCATCGCTGTAGGGATTGTGGAGATTAGTGCCACCATCAAGGACTTGAAAGTCGCAGGGGTGGTGATTCCCAACACATCCCCATTCAACTCTCCTATTTGTCCTGTACAGAAGACAGATGGATCTTGGAGAATGAGAGTGGATTATGGTAAGCTTAACCAAGTGGTGATTCCAACTGCAGCTGCTGTACCAAATGTGGTTTCATTGCTTGAGAAAATTAAAACATCTCCTTGCTGGGAACAAGCCCTAAGCCTGTCATAAGCAGGCCTTAAAGAAACTGGCCATAAACAGGATTTCTGCAGCAATGTGACAAGCTCGTGGTGGCTATCACACATACTGCTAGAAGTTGTTGGTTTACTGCAGCAGGGCAAGGAACACCTGGCCCGCCCGGAGCGGAAAACTGCTCAAACTACAAATAATGGCAGGAGCAGCCTGTACCTTAACAATATATTTTTGCTGCAGATAATCAGCCAGAGCCTGTTTCTCTACTCCTCACTAAGAAAGCTTTGTTTCCTGTAAGGAATACTTTTAGTTAATCTATAATCTATAGAAGCAATGCTTATCACTGTCTTGCTGTCAATAAATATGTGGGTCAAACTCTGTTCGTGGCTGTCAGCTCTGAAGGCTGTTAGCCCCGATTCTCACTTTGCACTCTATTTCTGTGTCTTTGGCTTCAATTCCTCTAGCACCACTGGGTTGGGGTCTCCACAACCGAGCTTGTCTCGGTAAGTGGCGTCCAACGTAGGGGCCTGAACCCGGGTTGAAGCATCGCCAGAGTGATGGTTGGAGAACGTGGAACTATGCTGGAGGACACCCAAGTACTCTTAAGCAATCTCCGTGGTAAGTAAGAAGAGGAACTCAGAAGCACCAGGGTAACAATGGGACAAGGGTTGAGCAGGCACAAGGCTTATTTGAGTCTGCTTTGGAAGCTCCTCAGAAAAGGGGGAGTGAAAGTTATCACTAGCTGACTTACACAGCTTTTTAGTGCAGTAGAGAAATATTGCCCCTGGTTTCTGGACTGAGGAACTATGAATGTAGAGGTCTGGGAAAATGTAGGCAGCACACTGAAAAAGGCATATAAGGATGGTGCTGAGGATATTCCTATAACTGTCTGGTCAGTATGGGCTCTGATTCGTTCAGCCTTGGAGCCTTTCCACACAGATGATGAGGAGAAGGAATCAGAGGAAGAAGGAGAGTATAATGAAGTACCAGAGCAGGTTTGCTTGCCAACTAAAGCGGTAAAGGAGGGAGAGGTTTGTCCCTACTCCTCTGCACACCCTCATTATTTTGAAGAAAAGGAGTGGCCTGACCCTCCAGATCTTTCTTTTCCAGAGGACACTGGGCAACAAGTAGTTGCCCTAGTGACTGTTCGAGCAGCGCCTCAAGCGACCACTCTCAGTTCTATTCAGGCAGGAATCCAGCAAGCTAGACGAGAGGGTGATATAGATGCTTGACAGTTCCCTGTTAGAATACATAGACCTGATCAACAGGGGAATATTATAGCTACATTTGAGCCTTTTCCTTTTAAAATACTTAAATAATTTAAACAAGCTATTAATCAATATGGACCAGGTTCTCCTTTTGTAATGAGACTGTTAAAGAATGTTGCTGTCTTCAGTCAGATGACTCCTACTGACTGGGGTGCTCTTACTTGAGCTTGTCTAACTCCTGCTCAGTTCTTACAATTTAAAACTTGGTGGGCAGAGGAAGGTTCCACTCAGGCTGCTCACAATGTCCAGGCCCAACCTCAAATTAATATAACTGCAGACCAACTTTTGGGGGTCAGCGGCTGGGCTGGTTTAGATGCACAAGTGGTCATGCAGGATGATGCCATAGAGCAGCTTAGAGCAGTGTGCATTAGAGCTTGGGAAAAAAATCACTTCAGGAGGAGAACAATACCCTTCCTCTAGTGCTGTCAAACAGGGACCAAAAGAACCGTATGCGGATTTTATAGCTCAGTTACAGGAGTCTCTTAAAAAGGTGATTGCAGATTCAGCTGCTCAGCATATAGTGTTGCGGTTATTAGCTTTCGACAATGCCAATCCTGAGTGCCAAGCCACTCTGCGACCTATTACAGCAAAAGCACATTTAGTTGACTATATTAAAGCTTGTGATGGTTTTGGAGGTAATCTGCATTAAGGCTACTCTGCTAGCCCAGGCAATGGCAGGACTGAGGGTGGGTAAAGGAAATACCCCATTTCCTGGAGCTTGTTTTAACTGTGGGAAGCATGGTCATACCAAAAAAGAATGTAGAAAAAATCAGCAAGTCAGGCCGCCAGTTGGGGGAAAAAAGAAAACTGCTGAGTCTGAAATATGTCCAAAATGTAGAAAAGGAAAACACTAGGCTAATCAGTGTCACTGTAAGTTTGATAAAGATGGGAACCCAATTTCAGGAAATGCCATGAGGGGCCTGTCCCAGGCCCCGGTTCAAACTGGGGCATTCCCAGCTCAGGCCATTCCCTCACCCCTGTACAATGCCTGTCCCCCACCACAACTGGTAGTGCTGCAGTAGATTTATGCTGTACAAAAGCTGTGAGCCTTCTGCCTGGGGAACCTCCTCAAAAAGTGCCAACAGGAGTCTGTGGACCCTTGCCAGCAGGGACAGTAGGATTACTTCTAAGCAGGTCTAGTTTAAATTTAAAAGGGGTACAAGTGCAAACAGGAGTCATTGATTCAGATTACAATGGGGAAATTCAAATTGTTATATCTACTTCTGTTCCCTGGAAAGCAGGGCCAGGAGAGCGCATATCACAGCTCCTGATTGTGCCATATGTGGAAATGGGGAAAAGTGAAACTAAACAAACAGGAGGATTTGGAAGCACTAATAAACAAGGCAAAGCAGCTTATTGGGTGAATCAAATTACTGATAAACGTCCTACCTGTGAAATAACTATTCAGGGAAAAAAATTAAAGCATTGGTAGATACAGGAGCAGACATTTCAATCATTTCTCTACAGCACTGGCCATCCATGTGGCCAATTCCACCCGTTCGATTTAACATAGTTGGAGTTGGTAAAGCCCCTGAAGTATATCAAAGCAGTTATATTTTGCATTGTGAAGGGCCCGATGGACAACCTGGAACTATTCAACCAATTATAACTTCTGTACCTATAAATTTATGGGGAAGAGATTTATTACAGCAATGGGGAGCACAAGCGTTAATTCCAGAACAACTATATAGCCCTCAAAGTCAACATATGATGCATGAAATGGGGTATGTCCCTGGTATGGGATTAGGAAAAAATTTACAAGGGTTAAAGAAACCACTTCAAGCAGAAGGACAGAATCCTCATCAAGGTGTAGGATATCATTTTTGATGGCAGCCATTGTTAAGCCTCCAGAACCTATATCTTTAAAATGGTTAACAGATAAGCCAATTTGGACAGAACAATGGCCGCTGAGTAAAGAGAAACTGGAGGCTTTAGAGGACTTAGTTACTGAACAATTAGAAAAAGGACACATAGCTCCAACATTTTCCCCCTGGGATTCTCCAGTCTTTGTTATTTAAAAAAAAAAAAATCAGGTAAATGGAGAATGTTGACAGATCTTAGAGCCATTAATTCAGTTATACAATCTATGGGCGCTTTGCAGCCAGGATTGCCTTCTCCTGCTATGATTCCAAAAAATTGGCCTTTAATAGTCATGGATTTAAAAGACTGTTTCTTTACTATCCCTTAGCTGAGCAAGACTATGAACGGTTTGCATTTACAATTCCTGCGGTAAACAACCTGCAATCTGATAAGCATTTTCATTGGAAAATGTTGCCACAAGGCATGTTAAACAGTCCAACAATTTGTCAGACTTATGTAGGACAAGCAATTGAACCTACTCATAAAAAATTTTCAAATTGTTACATTATTCGTTATATAGATAATATTCTTTGTGCTGCCCCCACTCGGGAAATATTACTCTAATGTTATGATCACTTGCAAAACTCGATTTCTCATGCCAATTTAATTATAGCTCTTGACAAAATTCAGACTACTACCCCTTACTCCTACTTGGGGACCTTAGTAAATGGCACTACCATTGTGCCACAGAAAGTAACCATACATAGGGATCAACTGAAAACATTAAATGACTTTCAAAAATTACTAGGGGACATTAATTGGATACAATCTGCTCTAGGCATTCCTACCTATGCCATAAGTAATCTATTTTCTATCCTTATAGGAGATCCTAGTCTCACTAGCCCTCAGCAATTAAAGGAGGCTCAGGCAGAGTTACAGCTGATTGAGAAGCAAGTGCATAAAGCTCAAATAAATAGAATAGATCCAGAAAAGACTTTAGACTTATTGATTTTTCCAACTCAGCATTCACCTACTGGTGTTATTGTTCAAGAGCAGGACTTGGTAGAATGGCGTTTTCATCCACATACTAATTCACAGACTCTAACTCCTTATTTGGATCAAATTGCTACTCTGATAGGAAATGGGAGAACTCAAATTGTTAAATTACATGAATATGACCATGGAAAAATTATTGTCCCTCTTACGAAGGCACAAATACAACAGGCCTTTATAAATAGTCTTACTTGGCAAGCCCATTTAGCTGATTTCATAGGTGTTCTTGATAATCACTTTCTGAAAACAAAATTATTTCCATATTTGAAATTAACTCATTGGATTCTCCCTAGAATAACTAAATTTAAACCAATTGAAGGTGCTGAAAATGTTTTTACAGATGAATCTAGTAATGGTAAAGCTTCTTATTCTGGATCAAAAAGCAAAGTTTTCCAGACATCCTATACTTCAGCTCAAAAAGCGGAGCTGGTAGCTGTAATTGAGGTGCTGACTGCTTTTGAGATGTCTGTTGATGTAATTTCTGATTCTTCATATGTGGTTCATTCTACACAGTTAGTTGAAAATGCTCAGCTACGATTCTACACAGATGAGCAACTGATGACTTTACTTACCCAATTGCAAACAGCAGTTAGGAGTACAATGTACCCTATTTACATCACTCACATTAGGGCTCATATATCTCTTCCAGGACCTTTGACTGCAGCGACTCAAATGGCTGATTGTCTAGTTGCTACTGCATTATCTAATGCTAAACACTTTCACAATTTAACCCATGTTAACACCTCTGGTCTCAAACACAGATACAGCATAACCCAGAAATGAGCTAAAGCTATTATCCAGTGATGCCCAACTTGCCAAATGGTGCATTCCTCATCTTTTACAAGAGGAATTAATCCTCGAGGATTGGAACTTAATTCTCTTTGGCAAATGGATATCACTTATGTTCCTTCCTTTGGTAAATTGGCTTATGTACATATATGTATAGATACATTTTCTCAGTTTGTTTGGGCTCCTGCCAAATGGGAATCTTCTGCCTATGTTAAATGGCATCTTCTGAAATGCTTCACAGTCATGGGCATTCCAGATTCAGTTAAAACGGACAATGCCTCAGGCTATACTAGCCAAGCTCTAGCTACATTTTTCTCTGTAAGGAATATTAAACACATTACTGGCATCCCATATAATTCACAAGGACAAGCCATTGTGGAAAGAATGAATCTCTCCCTAAAACAGTAGTTACAAAAACAAAAAGGGGGAAACAGTGAATATGGGACTCCACATATGCAATTGAATCTAGCATTATTGACTTTAAATTTTTTGAGCCTATCTAAAGGCCAGATGCTATCAGCAACTGAACAGCATCTACAGAAACCAGCAGCAAAGACAGAAGCAGAACAACCGGTTTGGTGGAGAGATCCAATAACAAAAAGTTGGGAAATAGGTAAAATAATATGGGGTAGAGGTTATGCTTGTGTTTCTCCAGGCCAAAACTAGCAGCCAATTTGGATACCATCAAGACACCTGAAACCTTATCATGAGCCAGATGCTGAGGAAGAGATTTGGGAGGCACCCCGAAGACTCCCCAGTTGCAACCATGTCGAGACTGATAATGAGGCCTCTTTCCTGCTTGTAGTGGGTGATTTAAAACTTGATCTCACTAATCATCATGTGACTTGTTAATAATGTATATTGTCTTCTTGTGTGAATTCTTCCTTGTATAATACTGATCATTCTATTTTAGCGGTAAGAGCCTGAGAAGGAGTATGGATACCTGTAAGAATTTCCCATCCTTTGGAAGTCTCTCCTTCTGTGCATATTATTACTGAAATTCTTCAAAAGATTTTGAGGCGCTCTTGGTGTTTCATTGCTACTTTAATTTTAATCATTATGTGATTGATTGCTGTCACAGCTACTGCCATGGTAGCTGGAGTTTCTTAGCATTCCACAGTACAAACAGCAGACTATGTAAATAATTGGCAGAAAAATTCTACTCTTCTGTGGAATTCCCGTCTGGGAAGTGAGGAGCGCCTCTTCCCAGCCGCCCTGTCTGGGAGGTGAGGAGCGCCTCTGCCTGGCTGCTGTGCAATCTTCCAAGTGTGAAGTGACAGCATTTCTGGAGGTGTACCCAACTGCTCCAAAAAGACAGCAACCATCGAGAACGGGCCATGATGACGATGGCAGTTTTGTCGAAAAGAAAAGGGGGAAATGTGGGGAAAAGAAAGAAAGATCAGATTGTTACTGTGTCTGTGTAGAAAGAAGTAGACATAGGAGACTCCATTTTGTTCTGTACTAAGAAAAATTCTTCTGCCTTGGGATGCTGTTAATCTATAACCTTACCCCCAACCCCGTGCTCTCTGAAACATGTGCTGTGTCAACTCAGGGTTAAATGGATTAAGGGCGGTGCAAGATGTGCTTTGTTAAACAGATGCTTGAAGGCAGCATGCTCGTTAAGAGTCATCACCACTCCCTAATCTCAAGTACCCAGGGACACAAACACTGCAGAAGGCCGCAGGGACCTCTGCCTAGGAAAACCAGAGACCTTTGTTCATGTGTTTATCTGCTGACCTTCTCTCCACTATTATCCTATGACCCTGCCACATCCCCCTCTCCGAGAAACACCCAAGAATGATCAATAAATACAAAAAAAAAAAATTTTTTTTTTTAAATTCTACTCTGCTGTGGAATTCCCAAACTAATATAGACCTGAAACTAGCTAATCAAATCAATGATCTCCGATAAATTGTAATGTGGCTAGGAGATCGAGTAAGTAGTTTAGAATATAGAATACAGTTACAATGTGACTGGAATACTTCTGATTTTTGCATTACTCCTCATTTGTATAATGAAACAGAGCATGAGTGGGAAATAATTAAGAGACATTTAAAGGGTCATACTGGAAATTTATCTTTGGATATTGCAAAACTGAAGGAACAAGTATTTCAAGCCTCTCAGGCACATCTGACGCTAATGCCAGGAACTGAAGTGTTTGAAGGAGCTGCAGATGGATTAGCAGCTATTAACTGGTTAAAACGGACCAAGACACTCGGAGGCTCTGTGATTTCAATGATGATTGTGCTTTTAATTGGTGTTGTCTTTGTGTAGTCTGCAGATGCGGATCCTAAATTCTGCAAGAAGTAGCCCACTGTGAAAAAGCTGCCTTTGCCTTTATTGCTTTGCAAAAACAGAAAGGCAGACATGCTGGGAACAATCCCTAAGCCTGTCACAAACGGGCCTTAAAGAAACTGGCCAGAAACAGGATTTCTGCAGCAATGTGACATGCTCTTGATGGCTATCACACACACTGCTAGAAGTTGTTGGTTTACTGGAGCAGGGCAAGGAACACCTGGCCCACCCGGAGTGGAAAACTGCTCAAACCACAAACAACAGCAGGAGTGGCCTGTACTTTAACAATATATTTTTGCTGCAGATAATCAGCCAAAGCTTATTTCTCTTCTCCTCACTAAGAAAGCTTTGTTTCCCGTAAGGAATGCTTTCAGTTAATCTATAATCTATAGAAGCAATGCTTATCACTGCCTTGCTATCAATAAATATGTGGGTCAAACTCTGTTCATGGCTGTCAGCTCTGAAGGCTGTTAGCCCCCTGATTCTCACTTTGCACTCTATTTCTGTGTCTTTGTCTTCAATTCCTCTAGCGCTGCTGGGCTGGGGTCTCCTCGGCTGAGCTGGTCTTGGTATCTCCTGGTACCTGATACACAGCCATTGAATTGGCAAATTTGTTTTCTCCATTCCTGTCCAAAGCCCCACCAGAAGAAATTTGCCTTCAGTTGGCAAGGCTCACAATATACCTTTACTATTCTACCTAAGGGGTATGTCAATTCTACAGCTTTGTGTCATAATCTTATTCAGAGATACCTTGATCACTTTTCACTTCCACAAGATATCACACTGGTCCATCACATTGGTGACATTATGCTGATTGGAGCCAGTGAGCAAGAAGTAGCAAACACACTGGACTTATTGGTGAGATATTTGCATGCCAGAGGATGGGAAATTAATCTGACTAAAATTCAGGAACCTTCTACCTCAGTAAAATTTCTAGGGGTCCAATGATGTTGGGACTGTCGAGATAATCCTTCCAGGATGAAGGATAGGTTGCTGCATTTGGCCCCTCCTACAATCAAAAAAGAGGCACCACACCTAGTGGGCCTATTTGGATTTTGGAGGCATCACATTCCTCAGTTGGGTGTGTTACTCCAGGCCATTTATCAAGTGACCCGAAAAGCTGCAAGTTTTGAGTGGGATCCAGAACAGGAGAAGGTTCTGCAAGAGATCCAAGCTGCTGTTCAAGCTGTTCTGCCACTTGGGCCATATGACCCCACAGATCCAGTGGTGCTTGAGGTGTCAGTGGCTGATAGGGATGCTGTTCGCAGCCTTTGGCAGGCCCCCATAGGTGAATCAGAGCAGAGGCCCCTAGGATTTTGGAACAAGGCCCTGCCATCTTCTGCAGATAACTACTCTCCTTTTGAGAGACAGCTCTTGGCCTGCTACTGGGCTTTGGTGGAAATTGAATGTTTGACTATGGGTCATCAAGTCACCATGTGACCTGAACTGCCTTTCATGAACTGGGTGCTTTCTGACCCATTTAGCCATAAATTAGGTCATGCACAGCAGCATTCCATTATCAATGGAAGTGGTATGTATGTGATCGGGCTCAAGCAGGTCCTGAAGGCGCAAGTAAGTTACAAGAGGAAGTGGCTCAAATGCCCATGGTCTCCACTCCTGCCACCCTGCCTTCTCTTCCCCAGCCTGCACCAATGGCCTCATGGGGAGTTATCTATGATCAGTTGACAGAGGAAGAGAAGACTAGGGCCTGATTCACAGATGGTTCTTCATGATATGCAGGCATCACCCGAAAGTGGACAGCTCTAGCACTGCAGACCCTTTCTAGGACATCTCTGAAGCATAGACCTGAAGGGAAGTATTCCCAGTGCACAGAACTTCAAGCAATGCACCTGGTTGTGCAATCTGCATAGAAGGAGGAATGGCCAGATGTGCAATTATATACTAATTCACGGGCTGTAGCCAATGGTTTGGCTGGATGGTCTGGGACTTGGGAGAAGCATGATTGAAAAGTCGGTGACAAAGAAATTTGGGAAGAGGTATGTGGATGGAACTCACTGAGTGGTCAAAAACTGTGAAGATATTTGTATTCCATGTGAGTGCACCAACAGGTGACCTCAGCAGATGAGGATTTTAATGATCAAGTGGATAAGATGACTCTTTCTGTGGACACCACCCAGCCTCTTTCCCCAGCCACCCCATCATCACCCAATGGGCCCATGAACAAAACGGCCATGGTGGTAGGGACAGAGGTTATGCATGGGCTCAGCAACATGGACTTCCACTCACCAAGGCTGATTTGGCTAAGGCCACAGCTGGGTGCCCAATTTGCCAGCAGCAGAGACCAAAACTGAGCCCTCTATTTGGCACCATTCTTCAGGGTAATCAGCTAGCTCCCTGGTGGCATGTTGATTATATTGGACCTCTTCCATCATGGGAAGAGTAGAGGTTTGCCCTCACTGGAATAGACACTCCGGATATGGATTTGCCTATCCTGCATGCAATGCTTCTGCCAGACTACCATCTGTGGACTCACAGAATGCCTTATCCACCATCGTGGTATTCCACACAGCATTGCCTCAGACCAAGGCACTTACTTTACAACTAAAGAAGTGTAGCAGTGGGCTCATGCTTCTGGAATTCACTGGTCTTACCGTGTTCCCCATCATCCTGAAGCAGCTGGATTGATAGAATGGTAGAATGGCCTTTTGAAGTCACAATTACAATGCCAACTAGGTGACTATACTTTTCATGACTGGGACAAAGTTCTCCACAAGGCTGTATGTGCTCTGAATCAGCATCCGATATATGGTACTGTTTCTCCTGTAGGCAGGATTCATGGCTCAAGGAATCAAGGGGTGGAAGTGACACCACTCACCATTACCCATAGTGATCCACTAGCAAAATTTTTGCTTCCTGTTTCCATGACATTACGTTCTGCTGGCCCAGAGGTCTTCGTTCCAGAGGGAGGAATGCTGCCACCAGGATACACAACAACGATTCCATTAAACTGGAAATGAAGATCGCCACCTGGACACTTTGGGCTCCTCCTACTTTAAGTCAACAGGCTAAGAAGGGAGTTACAGTGTTGGCTGGGGTGATTTACCCAGACTATTAAGAGGAAATCAGTCTATTACTCCACAATGGAGGTAAGGAAGAGTATGCATGGAAAACAGGAGATCCATTAGGGCGTCTCTTAGTATTACCATGCTCTGTGATTAAGGTAAATGGGAAACTACAACAGCCCAATCCAGGCAAGACTACAAATGACCAGACCCCACAGGAATGAAGGTTTGGGTCACTCCACCAGGGAAATTAAAAAAAAATAAAAGGGCCTGCTGAGGTGCTTGCCAAAGGCAAAGGGAATACAGAATGGGTAGTAGAAGGTAGTCATCAATACCAGCCATGACCACGTGACCAGCTGCAGAAATGAGGACTGAAATTGTCATGAGTATTTCCTCTTTCTTTTGTTGAAAACGTTTTTGTGCATGTATACACTTGTACTAAGAAAATATCTTCATTTTATTTCTTTTCTCATTTATCATGTGACAAGATTTATTGACTTCATATCAGCATTTAAGTATTGTTAATTTTATGTAATAGTATTTGGATTGGAGATTGGTGCGTTTCCAGTTGTACAAAGGATAGTTGTATTATTTTAGGCATAATTATGACTGTATTATTGTCTTTATTTGAAGATTATGCATGATCTCAAGAGATGTGTATGGGTTCAAGTTGACAAGGGGTGGACTTGCAATGGTTATTACTGTCAATTTGATTGGATTGAAGGATACAAAGTATTGATCCTGGGTGTGTCTGTGTGGGTGTTGCCAAAAGAGATTAACATTTGAGTCAGTGGGCTGGGAAAGGCAGACCCACCCTTAATCTGGGTTGCCACAATCTAATCAGCTGCCAGCACAGCTAGAATATATGCAGGCAGAAAAATGTGAAAAGAGAGACTGGCCTAGCCTCCCAGCCTACATCTTTCTCCTATGCTGGATGCTTCCTGCGTTCAAACATCAGACTCCAACTCCTTCAGTTTTGGAACTCGGATGGGCTTTCTTTGCTCCACAACCTGTAGATGGCCTATTGCGGAACCTTGTTATTGTGTGAGTTAATACTTAATAAACTCCCCTTTCTCTCTCTCTCTCTCTCTCTCTCTCTCTCTCTCTCTCTCTGTGTGTGTGTGTGTGTGTGTGTGTGTGTGTGTGTATTCCATGAGTTCTGTCCCTCTAGAGAACCCTAATACACCATTTCACCATTGATGGGCACCTAGGTTGAGTCCATGTCTTTGCTGCTGTGGATAGTGCTGTGCTTCATGGCATTTTATAACCAGAGGAACCCAGAAGTTGAAAGAGAACTGTTATTATTATCCCACCTTATTTTGAGGTAAACTGTCTATAAGTTTAAGTAATTTTCCAGAGACAGTGAAGGGCAATGATAAAAAAAAACCCTGAAAATTAAAAGTAAATTTTAAAAAATAAAGCATAAGATGCCTTCTCACTCCTGCTTCATCCTTATATCAAGATTAGTACTATAAAGAGCTTAGTCAGAAAAAGGGAAACCACATGAGTGATTTTGGAGGGACATAATTAAATATAAGTAATTGGGTAAACAGCAATTGAAGAACAGAACAAGTTAAGGTAGACACCACGCTACTAATTGGCTACTAAATATGAACTACTAATTGCAAAAAAATGATTCCATTCATGAAGCTAAGTAGCAAATGGAAAAGACTGGAGTTAGCTGAACCTGGAAGATGGTAGGACTGGCCCCATGGATCTCACACTCAGAATTCTAACAATAGGTATTGCTCAGCCAGTGCTGGAAGTTTGAGACATTTGCATAGAGCTCAAAGAACTGGAATCCAGAACCCTGAGTGTAACACAGCAGACAGCAGACAATGAAGTTTTTCTGGAGTGAGTTTTAAAAAGTAGGGGGAGATTAAAATCAAGTATTGTTACCAGTGTAAAACCTATTATTCAGGAAATACTGATAAACGAAGAAAACAGATCTCCCAGATTTCTAATTTCCTATTCTTTCTCCCTGTTGCAAAACTCTATAGGATGAGGTCTGGTTTAGCAGAGATACGGTTCCTATAAAGTAGAGTGAAAAAGAAGAAAGGATTTGGAAGCTGAAAGACAACAAGTTAAAAATTGGTATGCCACACATATGCCATGGCTTTTTTAGGAAATACAAAGTGTCAAGTTTTTCAGAAAAAATAAACGTTCAAATTATTTAAAACAATGAAGAGTAAGTAGAAACATACTAGGAATTATTTTTTTAATGTACCTTTTCTGGATACAGTTTTTGGAATTGGTACTGATTGCTTTTGTTTACCACTTTTACTCCGGTAAGGTGTCACATGAGGTTGACTCTGGGAGGGTGTCACCCGAGGTTGGCTCTGGGAGGGCGTCACAGGAGGTTGACTCTGGGAAGGCATCAACTGAGGTTGGCTCTAGGAGGGCGTCACAGGAGGTTGACTCTGGGAAGGCATCAACTGAGGTTGCCTCTGGGAGGGTGTCACAGGAGGTTGACTCTGGGAAGGCGTCAACTGAGGATGACTCTGGGAAGGCATCACAGGAGGTTGACTCTGAGAAGGCATCACCCGAGGTTGACTCTGGGAGGGTGTCACAGGAGGTTGACTCTGGGAAGGCATCACCTGAGGATGACTCTGGGAAGGCGTCACAGGAGGTTGACTCTGGGAAGGCATCACCCAAGGTTGACTCTGGGGAGGTAACTCATGAGGTCGACGCTGAATTTTTTCCTCTTCTTTTGCAGATGGAGTTTGAACATCTTGCTGCTTTTTTATTGGTTTACTTTTTTTACAAAGTCGATAAAGACAACATAATAAAATAAACAAAACAATAAGCAACAATATACACAGATAACAGAACTTCTTTTTCTTCTTTCTCTTAGGGGGTGGGCCACTGTCAACACTACCTCCATAGCCTTTTATCAGGCAGTTGGGAGGGTCCCACAGATAATTGCAATGGCAGTGATGTTTATTGTTGCAGATGCCCCTCTTGTTACAAAATGCAGGTGAGCAATTACTATTCAAGATGGTTATATGGACACAGTGCCTGTGGATGCATATATGATCTATCCCACACTCTGTTCCATCTTTCACTTCACCAATATCAGGTCCCTTCATCCCCAAATGGTAATCAGTACTCCAGCACATTATGTCATTGAAGCGAGCCCAATGCACAGTAGTATGATCACTCATATTGGGAATTTCTGTCACATTCTCACACTGAATTCTTCCACACTGGACATCTGAGATATTACACTTTATATATGTAGCATTTTTGATACCACAGTGACCAACACGGTCACCTAAGGTGTTCAATTCTTTGTAGCAAGTCTCACTTGCAGTATTTGCGCCTGCACCAAAAATCCTCCTACACTGTTCATTGCGGTCATGACAGCTCTTTTCATAGCAGTAGCCCCTCTCCTTACAGGGAATTCCATCTTCCACATAAAAGTCATCTGGGCACTTATGGGAAGTACCATTGCACCACTCTGGAAGATCACATTCATTGACCTCCTTTCTACACACTTTCCCTGATGGTAGGAACTTGCAGTCTTTGCAACAAAGCCCAAAAGCACAAGTAGAACCATCAGTCAGAGTGCAATTTGACAGACAGCAGGGATCTTTTGCACAATGCTTTAAAGGTCCACAGTCACACTCTTCTCCTTCTTCAACAACACCATTCCCACAGCGCTTCACATTAAAGATGTCCTTTGTGTGTACTGTTTCAAGCAAACACTTTGTCCTCTCTACAGTATATTCCCAAAAATCACCATAACTACAATTGCTAAATTTAGTTATTGGTGGGTTGCCTTCATGCATTATGCATCTAGGTTGTGAACAACGACATGTATCCTCATCATGGTTCATGCCCAAATTATGACCTAGATGATGAGCCACTGCAATTGAAAAAGTGCCCAAAGTTTTGTTCATGAAAGTAACAATTGCACAACTACGGTGTGGTGTACACATTCCTCTAAAAGCTCCTATGCCACTTAACCCTCTTAATCCTAGAGTTGTGAAAAGATGTGAGGTGTCATGTTGCATCCGGGGCGTAATGTTCTCCGACTTCCACTTGCAATACAGGTGCACAGATTTCCTTACATCATCTACTACAATGAGGTTTTTATTGGTCCAGATCTCCAAACCAAATAATAACACCTTAACACCAATGACATCCAAAATGGAATCCACTATATTAACAATAACATATAGATCCTCCAGCAACTTTGAGTCGTTCCTTTCATAACGAATGTACAGATAATTATCAATGACGACTACAATTTCAACAATCCTAAAATGGATCCACCAGCCCACATAAGAACTTTGCTTCTGAGTGGAATTATCAATTTCTTCAAATTCCATTCGGCATGTTATTTCATTTTGCATAAATCCGGATCTCATGGTTGAAAATTGTTTCTCCTCACTGTCCATCTTGTATACCAGATGTTCAAACGTGGTAGAAAATGCTAGGGGCTTGATTTCATAAGCAAAGTCATTTATCTGTAATATTCCTTGAAAACCCCCAAAACAGGTACTGAGGGAAACCAGGGATTCTGGGTCCCCTTCCACATAACCATGATAGTAGCAGTTATTCTGGACAAATGGCTGGTCCTCAAGGATAGCACCCTGGTCTGTGTAGGTGAACACAGGGAGGTGTTTGGAAAACAAAAGCTTCTTGACCTTTATGTGGATAATGTGTTTCTGGCCTCCAAAGGGCAGGATATAGGAGAGCCAGCCTGGAGGTGTCATGCCTCTGGTGGTGCCAGTTATCCTCACAGGAATCACCACATCCGGAGGGCTGTGATATTGGGGGTGCTCATCCTGGATGTGTCCAGAACAGGACAGAAACACCCCAAGGCAATGCAGCAGGAGTAACATCTTCATGTTCAAAAAGGCTTCAAATCACAGTGATTTTGAAGTCCCTGTTATGGAAACACTGGTCCAGAGCAGAAGTCAGGGCTGGAGTCACAGGTGGTGTGGCTCCTTCTTCTGAGTTGGTCAGTGTGTAGTGCTAATCATTAAAGATCCATCTTTTGGCAGAGTTGAACCATCAGAGCTGCAGCACTATAAGTAAAACAAAAAGCAGCATGTGGATGAGTGTACAGAAATTCTTCTTATAAGAGAATCCAGTGGGGAAGAGGAGAAAGAGAAAAAAACATGAGATAAAAGTGATTAGTGCTTTCATCAAGGAATGACTCAAAAAATTGCCTAGAATTTGCTCTGAAATATTGATAGGGAAAAGGGAATAGGGAGTGTACAGAAAATAAAACTTGGCCATACACAGATAGTTATTGAATATAAACGGTGGGAAATTGATTCACTATACAGTTCTTTAAATATGTAATTATTTGCAAATATTTCCACAATAATTGAAACAAAATTTTTTAAGGGTAAGCTGAACTTATATCTTCAATTTCTGAGACAGTTTCAATTTACACGTGTTAAATTGTCATAAGCATTAATAGATTTTCTATTCCATTTCAGATGATAAATTAGTTGAAAACATTATCTAAGAGACATTTTTAAAAACCATTCTTATGTTATTTTAAATTTTTGGTTCTTATCATATACCTTTCTATGGCACAATATTTATTTAATTTTCTGTTTCTTCGCTAACTTCCTCTTCTCACTAGCCTTGTCAGCAGGAAGATCCTCAAGAGCATCATTTGCATCTTTCACAAATATTAGTGTCTCATATAATGCCTGGTTTAATTCTTTATGTAATAAATAATGGTTGACTTGAAGCTGATTGTTCTTGGAGTGAAATAAGTATTACTCAAAATATGTTTACACTTTATTATGTTTTTAAAGAAGAACATTATTCAACATCTATGATAAATGCATGCTCTGGAACAAAGTTTTGTAGTTTCAGTTTTTCCTTATCCTTCGTTCTAAATACAATTTAATACTCTGAAACAAGTCAATGGACAACAACAAAAAGACTCTGAAAACTCATGGACATAGAGAATAGAAGGATGGTTAATAAAAAGAAAAATTCTGACTAGTGACCTTTGGACTTGAGGAAGGTCAGTTATCTGAGTTTCTTCTTATCTTTCATGTATATCCCAAACTGGGTGCTAGACAGATCTTTAACCCCAAACCTCCAACAGGCATAGACAAAAATAATAACAATAATAGCTAAAGAAAAGCTTTCACTTTCTGGCCAAATGACTAAGAATGGAAAAGCTCGGCAAAGACATGGGGAGTTGCTCCAGCCCCTTCTTTAGAGTCAGGGAGTCAGGACACATGTGTGTGTTGATTCACCCACAGTGGCCATTTCAGACTTGGCAGGCCCACCAAACACAGTCCACATTCAGTGCACTGGTGGGCTGTCCATTCCACCCATATTGGCAACATCACAGCACTGGATGACTAACCTAACCGTCATTCGATAACCAGGTAACTAGCTAACTGATCTGCCTTCAGAGGCATCAGTGAAGGCCTACCTAGCTGATACAACCCTGCTGTAGAATAAGGCCAGTGAAATGCAGCCTGAATGAGCCACAGAAGTATTATCCATCAAACTTGATATTTCCTAGCCCTCTATCAAATGACATAGGAAGACCAAAGCCTCGTTGTTTTTGTTCCTTCCATCTTCAGGCGTCAAAGTGGCCCAATGACTTGAATGGCCTAGAAAGGGCCTTCTGCCCCAGATGGCACCAGCAATGATTGAGCTGAAACCCCTTCAGAATTAAAAAAGCAAAGTAAAGTATAATAATATTGAAAGAGCTATCAAAATTAAACATTTTTGGAACTCAGCCCACAAAAGCACACCAGAATATAAATACTCTAAACATAGAAAGGCAACTATCTTCTAAAATAGAAAGTTTAAATAGGATCAAGCATCTCCTACAGAGTGACATCAGCAAAACGGCAGAGTGGGAAGTTCTGCACCGTCCTACTCCCCAGAACATATTTCAACAACAATTTGAACAAATTATCTTTGTAAGAAATTCTGAAGCTAATTGAATGACTACCACATCCTGGGAAAATGAAAAATCAGAGTTACCAAAGTTGGTAGGGAGATTCAGAACATCCTCTCAGTGGAGTCCCTGTCCCCAGTGTACTGCCATACAATCAGAAAGAGAACCCCTAGTTCCCAGCTTCACCCAGTCATTGGAAGAGATTGATTTGTGTCCAGTACTCCAAAATTTTTAAAGGGGCTTTATACACGAATTACGTCTGTCAGTTGGAGCTCTGACTGGTCTACCACAATCTAGCTTTCTGCAGAGGATGGAGATGGTGGTTTCATCTGGTGGATGCCACAGACCCTGCCCCCCCATAACCCAACTTCTTGGCATACAGTAAGCAGATAAGAAATCTCAGCTTTCAGCTTCCTGCTGTGGAGGAAGAGTGCTGATCTGTGTATCTGACACTCCAACTTTTCAATGGCTGCCTGAAGATCTAGCATCTATCTAACTAGTTTTAGAGCTCGAATGGGTCTGGCACAGTCTAGACACCTGTGGGAGAATGGAGATGGGGCTTGAGCTGGTAGACAGCATAGATCTTCCCTACTTCTCAGTACATAGAGAGCAGACAAAAAATTCCAGCTCTCAGCTTTCTCCTGGGATTGGGAAGGGTGTGGAAGACTTGACTGGTGCATCCAACACCCAAATTTCTCCAGGGCTCTCCAAAGAACTGGCATCTTACTGACCAGTCTTAGAGCTCTGAGAGGCCTATCACAGTCTAGCCACCAGGGAAGAAAATAGATGGAAGCTAGTGCTGGTGGACACCATAGATACTCCCTCCTGCTCAGCACAGAGCAAGCAGAAAAAATATCCCAAGTGTCAGCTTTCTTCTAGAGAAGAAAAGAATTGATCATGAGCCCAGCACCCAACCTCTCCAGGACTACACAAAGAACTGGTAAGAGACTTGCCACTCTTGGATCTCTGATGGGTCTGGTACAGTCTAGACACCTGGGATAAAAGATTAATAGAAATGGTAGTTTGGACTGGTTGATACAATAGTTTCCCACCCCAGGTCAGCACAGAGGAGTAGACAAAAATCACACCTGCTTCTTTTCATGGAGAGAGAGAGTTATTAGAAGGACTAGAATCTCTGGCTTTGCTGGTTGGTGGAGGTTTCCTCCTATACAAGGCTAGTCTGTAAAGACTGAGAGATGACCTTCTGTGTCTAATGTGCAAATATCAACACAGATAACTAAGGAAAACGTAGAAACAGGCAAAGATGTTCCAAACAAAGAAAGAAGAGATAAATCTTCAGAAACCAACCCTAATGAAACATCATTATATGATTTACTTCATTTAGAATGCAAAATATGATATAAAGATGTTTATGGAGGTCAAGAGAAAAATGCAGGAAAAAAGTTAGAATTTCAACAAAGCCATAGAAAATATTTTTAAAGTACCAAAACAGAAATCTTGAAGCTGAGGAACGCAATAACTGAATTAAATTATTTAATAGAGAGCTTCAGCAATGGACTAGGCGAAGCAGAAGAAACAATCAGTGAACTTGAAAACATATCATTGGAAATGATTCAGTCAGTAGAGTAAAAAGAACAAAAATGAGTGGAGAAAACTTAAGAAACTGATAGGACCTCTTCAAGGACACCAATATAAGCATTAAGGAAGTATCAGAGGAGAAGAGAGAAGGGGCCAGAAAGCCTATTTAAAGAAATAATGGCTGAACACTTCCCAAATCTGAGGAAGGCAATAGACATTCAGATCCATGAAGCCCAAAAGTTCCCAAATAAGATGAACTCAAACAAATCAACATTGAGACACATTGTAATCACATTGTAAAAAGTCAAAAACAAAGTGTATTTTGAGATAAAGAGAAAAGTAACTTGTCATATAAAAGAAAATGTCCATGAAACTATCTGAATTTTCAGCAGAAACCTTGCAGGCCAGAGGGAGTGGGATGATACATTCAAAGTTCTAAAAGAAAAGAAACTGCCAACCAAGAACACTATACCTGGCCTTTAATAGTGGAGGAGAGATTAAAAACTACTTAAAATAAACAAAATCTGAGAGAGATCATCACCAATAGTATATTACCTGTCTTAGAAAAAATGCTAAAAGGAGTTCTTCAAGTTGAAATGATGGGATACTAAACAGCAACACCATAGCATAAGAAAGTATGAAACTTGACAATAAAGGTAAGTATAGGGACAGATACAGATATTGCATTACTGCAATAGTGGTGTATAAATGACTATTATTTTTTATTCATTACAAATATGTTATTGTACATATTTAAGGTATGCAACATGATGTTTTCATATACATATACATAGTGAAATGATTACTACAGTAATAATGACTTTTAATTCTAGTATAAAAGTCAAAAGACAAAAGTATTAAAAAAAGAAATAAAATATGTTAAAAGAGACACAATATGAATGGATGTAAATTGCAGCAACAATAAAATAAAGTGTGGGGTAGGGTGTTAGAGCTCCTGTGTGTGACTGCAGAGATTATTCTAGAGTTTCTGTGTGCTATTGAACTTATCAGCTTAAAATAGACTATTAAGCAGTTTTTAAAATAAAGACAAACAAAATTCATAAATGTTAGCTAGATAAAGAAAAAAAGAAGACTCAATATCAGAAATGAAAGAGGCAACATTACTACAGATGCCACAGAAATAAAATGGATCGTAAGATAACACTATGAAAGGGATTTTCATGGAATGTTTTGGCAACAATATAGATTTTAATACTACCATAGCATGTTTATTTTTCTTTTAGCTTTTCTATTAGTTTCCTATGGCTGCTGTAAAAAATTACCACAATCTCAGTGTCTTAAAGCAACACAAATGTATTACCTTATAGTTCTGTAGTTCTGGAGGCTAAAATGAGTTTCATTGGCCAAAACGAAAGTGTCAGCAGGACTGAGTTTCTTTTTGGAGGTTAAAAGGGAAAAACCTGTTTCTCATTCCTTTCCAGCTTCTAGAAGCCACCCACATTAATGGCTCATAGACTTATTCCTTCAATTTTCAAGGGTGGTTTGAGGTAGCAGGTCAAATCATTCTCATATCACTTCATTTTGACTCTGCCTCTTCTGTTTCCCTCCTTCGCTTATAAGAACCTTTGGAATTGCATTGGACTCACGGTATAATACAGGGAAATCTCCCTATTTTAGGGTCATCTGATTCACAACCTTGATTCCATCTGCAACCTTAATTCACTTTACCATGTAAATTGGAATCTTTGTCGGTTTCAGGGATTAGGACAGGAACATTTCTGGGAGACAATTATTCCACCCACTTCATCCTCTTTATTGTATTCATCTTCTTAATAACTAATCCTATTGTCTTTTAATCTGTGTATATTCTCTTTCTGTGAATTTTTCTTCCAGGAATGTAGGGTCCATATTTTTTTTTCTTGTACCTATCAAGGTGTTGTAATATAAACATGGTGTCACTTAACAGTCAGTGAGGATGTGGAGACAGGTGCCTTCTAATACAGAATATAGAATGATAAATCAAGCCCCACACTGCAGAGAAAATGTGGCAATATGGTCAAGATCCAGAGTTTCCTTTTAAGAAATTATTCCAGAGTAATATTAAGTAATTTAATCAAATATTTATGGGAAAAATATCATAGCATTATTTATAATAGTAAAAATATGTAAAGATTCTCAACTTTGGGTAAATAAATTAATGATATTTCATTTTTATATGGAAAAGTAATTAGTATAAATTATATTTTCAAAGGATATTAACTGACACATCAAAATACTTGGTGTTTATTTTGAAATGTAAAAGCATGATAAAAATAACTAACCTAATTTTAACTTTAAAAAATTATGTTGGTATAGCATTCTTTTATGTATGTACATTACTATAAATATTCCTATATTTTTATTCATTTATTTTATATAGTTTACTGTGAAGTACACACAAATATTAACATTGGTTTTCCCTGGAATTGTGAGTTTAATTGTTACTTGTATTTTCTTTCTAAGGCCTTCCTCTAAAAATTTTTTTCAAATACATATAAATTCAATTTATAATCAGAAAAAAAGATATTTTTTAAGTGAAGACATTGAAAATAGGTTCAATTTTAATTCATTTTAGTAGTTAGGATTCTGACATCCTATGTAGAAGTTTTTTTTAATTTTTACTTTGTTTTTGGTTCTGTAATTTTATTTAAAATATATAATGGTATAAAGAAGACAATGATGATGGTGATGAAGAAAAATGAAGAGGATGAATTGCCACACTGTCTTCAACAATGTGCACATGTACCCTAGAACTTAAAGTATAATAATAAAAAAAATTTTAATAAATAAATAAAAGAAAAATGAAGAAGAAGATGATGTTAATTTTTCCAATACTGGAAAATAAGAGACTAAGTTTTCTAATGACAGATCTGACTATGTGATGGAAAGTCTTTGTGAACGTTGAATTTTCTAGGGTGAAGATCCTCTCATCTTTCTTTTTTTTTCTAGAACCAATCCCCTTATGCAAAAACACGAATAGCAACAATGATGTAGAGAGGATTTATGTGAGTTTAAATGTAGGAAATGAATTTCATAAAATTCAAGGTACTAATACTTGAAGACAATCTATGATAGTGGCAATTTTGTTTTCCTAATTGACTTACAGATATAAGACAAACACGATCTAAATTACATTAAGCTGTGTGTGTGTGTGTGTGTGTGTGTGTGTGTGTGTGGGCGGAAAGTGGCAAACTGATTTTAAAGTTTATATGAATGTTCAAAGTACCTAGGAATATCCACAATAATCTTTATAAAGAAGTACAAAGTTGATTATTTATGCTACTTATTTCCCTATTCACTGGATAGTCAGAATGTGCTGCAGAATAGAACATGACATGAATGTGGCCAAAGTTAAAAGCAGATAATTGCCACCCAGAGAAGAAACCAGCACATGATTCAAGATTGCTGAAAACAAAAAACATGCACACTAAGGTCAAGTCTAAAGTGCTTACGTACAAAAAGTGGAGAGAGACACTGTACACAAGATCCAGTCCTTTGCAATGCATTGGACCCCACGGCCAGAAGATCTGATCCACAGTTGGCATGGGCAGTGTGACTGCAGACATTTAACTTCCTGCTGCAGTGCTAGAGCCTTAATCCTTCCCCGATGTAGTCTGAAACACAGTAAGCTAGAGCTGTTCCAGAGGGCCACTGATGCACTTGCTTAAGTCCTCCTGCTTGATAGGTCTTTGGATTATAAAGGTGTGTGCAATTGTCAAATGACAGTGAATGCACACTTTGTCTAGTGTAATTCATTGTATGTATATTTTAACTCAAAAGAAAAAGCTAAACAAAATTCAGATCTAGCTCATGGTGTTCATGACGAAGTATTTAAAGGCAAGTGTACTGACACCTGCAATGTACTTAGAAAGAAACACGAAGGAAAAATCATGGTTTTATAGAGGAATTGACAAATAAATAATAAAGCGAGTATAATGAACAAAATAATTCAGTTTCTGTTAAGATTTTAGGTATTTGATAGCAAAATTATTCTGGGAAGAAATAATTTGTGAGTATTAAATCAGAAGAAAAGGCCATGAAACGAAGACATTCCAAGTAGTGGGTGTCTGTATTGGAGAAACCATATCTATACTGGAGAAAGCATATCAGTTTGTGCGATTGTTTTTGTCTTAACCACCCAACAATTCAGTGTTTGTTTATGAAAATCAATAAGCATTAAATGAGTCCAAGCGGTTTCATGACAGGACTTAATTCTAGAGAACTGCAGTACCTTCTTGGATGAGCCAAACTGTTTTAATACATAGGGATTGCAAATAAATTGCACTAGTTATTACCAAACTCAGGAAATATCCAGTGCTTTTCCTTTCATACCATTTCTTGCTATGTGCAGTGTTTCCCCTTTCATCATCAAATCCATTAAGGTGGGTCAAAAGCTTTTGAAGGAAATTAGCACATTTTGAAATATTACAGATTTTTAAAGGATGTGAATTAAATGAAGCAATATATGAGAGCCACTTTGTGAGCAACTTAACAAATTTTGGAAAATAGCAAAAGAGGGTAGACAGGATATAAATGAAGTATTCAGACACATTTCTTAGAAACTCCAAGTACCAAAGCTAATTCAGGTAACCACCACTACTGCTTTTATAGTAATAATAATAATAAAATGAAGAGATAATAAAAGAAAAATCTTGTTACCTCAATGATTGAGATGAACAAGTTTACATATACATTTAATTAGAATGTTGAGAGAATAAAATAAGAAAAATAAATTAACAGTTTGAAGCCCCTTTGATTCACTATTTCAAAACTTCAGAGGTGGGCTTCTGATTTAAAACAAACTCAAAAATGTTAGAAGTTCCATGGCTTTCTATTGAATTATCTTAGAAAGAGGTGAAGCTGCAATAAGTTTTAATAAGGGAGGCACTAGCAAACTCATACAAATGAAAGCTAGCACAATTAAATTTTCTATACAAGTATGTACACAAAGTGCTTAGATGGGCGATATATGCAGGAAAACGTACACACAGGATTATATGAGCAGGCACACTACCAGTTTGAACTGAAAGGGAAAGTGATGGGATGAAATGAAGGAAAGCTCTTGGATTTCTATTTTTAGGACTGAATTATTTTGCCATTCTGCTACAAATATATGCTATTCTTCAAGAGAATGGAAGAATTATCCCAAAGGCAATTCAGAGATCATTGGGGATGCCTCTTTGGTCTCAAAGAGTGAGGGACATGATCTTGACTAACCCAGGCCAGCTACCAGGCCCCACAAATCCTTGGGGGTACGGCCCATGACCAGCAGAGCCATGGAGGCAGAAGTGCTGCCCCAGTGGTTCTGAAAGGCAGAGCATCAAACCAGACAGGATTAACATGTTAATATTTAATGATATTTGCCTTGCTAGGTTTTGGACTACCTTGAGATAAATTATCCATTTCTTTCTTCAGATTTTTACCTTTGGAATAGGATGTCTATCCTACTCCTGTCCCATATCTGTATTTTGAAATTGCATACCTTATCTAGTTTCACAGTTTCATAGCTGGAGGGATATTTAGTTTCAGCATGGATTTTTGCTTGGAGTCTCACCCATATCTGATTTTAAAAATGCTTAGAAGAAGCTTTGAATTTTAGACTTCAGAGTTGATGCTGAAATGAATTAAGGCTCATGCGGCTGTTAAAATGGAATGAATATATAGTCAGCCTTCTGTATCTGTGGGTTCCACATCCATAGATTCAACCAACTGTGAATCAAACACATTTGAAAAAAAATTGCATCTGTACTGAACATGTGCAGATTCAGTTTTCTTGTCATTTACCCCCTAAACAATAGAGTATAGCAAATATTTACACAGCACTTACATTGTGTTAGGTATTATAAGTAATCTAGAGATGATTTAAAGTATATGAAAGGACATGCACAAGTTATATGCAAATATTACACCATTTTAGAAACTTGAACATCTGGGTTTTGGTATCTGCGAGAGGTCCTGGGACCAATCCTCCTTGGATATCAAGGGATGACTGTATTTTGCTTTTGAGAAAGACATGAATTTGTTGTACCAGGGCCCAATGCTGTGGACCAAATTGTGTACCCACTAATTCACATGTTGAAGCCCTAATCTTCAGCATAATGTTATTTGGAAGTGGAGCCTGTGGATGTTAATTAGGTTTAAATGAGATCATGAGAGCAAGGCCCCCATGATGAGATTCATGCCTTTATAAGAGGATGAGGACACCACGTCTCTCCTCCTCTGAAATACAGACACAGAAAGAAGGCAGTGGTAGGCAAACCATTTTTTTAAGAGCAAAAGAGGGCTCTCATCAGACATCAAATCTGCTGCTGCCTCTATCTTCGTATTTCAAGGCTCCATAATCACATGAGCCAATTTCTTATAATTAACCTCATGTTTCTTATAATCATATATAAGTACATAGGTAAGTAAATAGATGATAGATGATAGATAGATAGATAGATAGATAGATAGATAGATAGATGATAGATAGAGCTTGATGTGGTTTCTCCCCATGAAAACTCATGTTAAAATTTGATCCCTGATGTAGTAGTATTGGAAGTGAGGCCTGGTATGTGATGTTCAGATCATGGGGGTAGACCTCTTATGAATACATTAATGCATTTATTTGGGGGAGTGAGTTCTCACTGTTAAGAGAATGGGTTATTTCTCATGAGAGCTGGTTGTTCAAAAAGGGTCTGGCTTCCTTGGTTTCTCTCTCTCTTGCTTCCTCCCTTACCCTCTGATCTTTTTGCACCCTTCTGCTTTCTGCCACGGAGGAAGCAGCATGAGGGAGTCCCTCACAAGACCTAAAATCATAAGCCAAATAAACCTCTTTTCTTTATAAATTATCCAGCCTCAAGTATTCTGTTATAGCAACACTAAAAAGACTAATATATAAATAGTCCTCTTTTTCTCTGTGAAATGATAACTAAAGATTTTGGTAGTGTGAGTCAGTAACTAATAATTGCTGGAGCTGGCTCTAGAATCCAGTTCTCTTTGACTTCCATAAACCACCATCTCCTGTTCATTGATTTTCTGTGTTTTTTATTTTTTATTTTTTTTGCCTACTCACCTGGCCAAACACTTATGAACATATACATAAAGAATTTTGCAAACACAAGAAAGATTTCATAAATCATCTTTTAAAAAATAAGGTACCCATAATCTTGTGGTTAAATTCAACTTTCTATGTTAAGAGTTTTACTCAAGTTTATATTTAATTTTTAATTAAATTTCTTAATTTATCCGGCCACTGCATTCCATTAACTCAGTTTTAACAAGGTGCAATACTGTATTAATGCATTTAAAATTTGTCCTTGAGAATGTAAGATCTAGTCCAAAAAATATTAGTTACATAGTAAAATATTTTTAGTAAAATAGATAGATTATGGTCTCCTAAGAATCTGTACTAATTTCCTTCATGTTTCATATTTTCTTAATTATTTTGGGGTTTCTTATCTTTACACTTCTGCATTCTCTGCAATGCTGTATTAGTTTAGTAGGGCTGCCAAAACAAAAGTATAGTATCACAGACTGAGTGGCCTAAACAATTTATTTTCTGTTATGGTATCTAGAAGTCTGAGATCAAAGTGTTGGCAGGTTTGGTTTCTCTTGAAACCTTCCCACTTGGCTTGTAGATGGCTGTCTTCTGACTGGGGCCTTACATGGTTTTTTTTTCTGTACATACAATCTTTGATGCCTCTTGTGTGTACTAATTTTCTCTTCTTATAAGGACACTGGTCAAATTGGATTCGAGCCCACCCTAATTACTTCAGTTAATCTTAATCACCTCTTTATAGAAGCTATCTCCAAATGCAGTCACATTCTCAAGTACTGGGGGTTGGGCCTTCAAACCATACATAATTTATAGAAAAAAAATTTTATTATCCTAGATAATACTGTATTTAATCAACAAATGACCCATTAATTGAGTCACAAAAGATAGCTTAAGAGGAAGTATAAATAAGATCAAACTATGTTTAAATTAACATTTGCTAGGCCAGGCACAGTGGCTCATGCCTGTAATCCCAGCACTTTGGGAGGTTGAGGCAGGCAGATCACGAGGTCAGGAGTTCGAGACCAGCCTGGAAACCCCGTCTCTACTAAAAATGCAAAACTTAGCTGGGCACAGTGGTGGGCACCTGTAATCCCAGCTACTCGAAGGCTGAGGCAGGAGAATCGCTTGAACCCAGGAGGCAGAGGTTGCAGTGAGCCGAGATCGTGCCACTGCACTCCAGCCTGGGTGACAGAGCAAGATTCCATCTCAGAAAAAAAATAAAAAAACCTTTACTATTTGTCCTTCAAGTTTTTCATTCTGTTTCTGTCAGTGAAAATATTATACTATACAAAATTTTAATAAAACTTAAAATATATATTTAAAGTAGTGAGGAAAGTACAGTGAATCTCTTTATTTCCCAACTTATCAGGATTTTGCTATATGTGGTTTATATGCATCCCTTCATTCTTTTTTTTGCTAAGGCCTTTAAAGCAAATTCCACATGTCATTTTACCACTGAATCTCTGAACAGAGGACACAGTCTTACTTAATGGTAAAGCCAGTATTTTTCAAGAAAAATTATCAAGTGTTTCCTTTATATAAATTTACACATAATCAATAATCAAATTTGTCTGATATCATAAAAATTACACCGTGTGTTTATGTGAATCAGGATCCATAAAGACCACCTATTGCATTTATATTTGATGTGTCTCTTAACTTTCTTACAGTCCAGATTTGTCCCCCTCACCCTGTTAGCCATCCATTTGAATGTACCATATCCTAATGTGTCTGTCTATTTTTTAGTTGCATTTATATTTTTTTTCCTTATTATGTGTTTTCCCATGTACATGGAAGTTAATCTTAGAATTTTGATTAGATTCAGGCCAAGTATTTTAATGAGACTACCTCATAGATTGTCCCATGTACTTCATACTGAATTTCATCAGGAAGCACAAAACACTAATTGTCTTATTTTCTGAGATGCTAAAGTTTTTCAGTGGATTTGGGTGGTAACAGCTTCATTTTTGCATTGGTAGAGCATTCTAATAATTTTTCATGTTATTTTATTGATAATTCGTGCTTGACTCAATTATCAACACTAAATTGCTCTTCACTATACTAGGAAATCATGATTAATTAATACAAACAAATGTTGAATCAAGTAATTCAAAGTTTTTTTTTCTTTCAAATTTATTTTTTTCATTGACATATAAAACTGTATGTATTTACTGTGTACAGCATGATGTTTTGAAGTACATATACGTTGTGGGATGGTTAAATCTAGCTATTTAACAAATGTATAACCTAACACAGTTATCATTTTTGTGGTGAAAACACTTAAAATCCACTCTAGCATTTTCCAAGAATACAATATATTGTCATCAGTTACAGTCACTCTGATGCACAATGTCTTGAAAGTACTCCTACTCTGTAAATCTTTTTTTTTTTTTTTTTGTGACGGAGTCTCGCTCTGTCGCCCAGGCTGGAGTGCAGTGGCGCGATCTCGGCTCACTGCAAGCTCTGCTTCCCGGGTTCACGCCATTCTCCTGCCTCAGCCTCCCGAGTAGCTGGGACTACAGGCGCCCCCCACCACGCCCAGCTAATTTTTTTGTATTTTTAGTAGAGACGGGGTTTCACCGTGTTAGCCAGGATGGTCTTGATTTCCTGACCTCATGATCTGCCCGCCCCGGCCTCCCAAAGTACTGGGATTACAGGCATGAGCCACTGCACCAGGCCTCTAACTGTAAATCTTTTTAACATGATAGCTATAGAAAACATGAATTGATAATTTCAGATGCAAACTTTACATATGAAGTTAATAATCAGTATTTACTTTAAAAGTTTATGCAAATTTTACATATGAAGTTAATCAGTATTTACTTTAAAAGTTTACATATCAAATTATTATTTTTATTTTCTTTCCTTGTCTTTCTATTACAACATACATACTACTTGCTATGAATGTTTCTATAAAAATGGCACCACTTAAAATATAATAATTAATAGAAAGAAAAAATACAGAACACTATATAATTCTTAATTGGAGAAGGTCACCATAATTCTTAAAGACAGAAAGTGTCTGAAGGAAAGATGAAGAAGCCAGTGAAATCTTTATGGAGTTGGTAAGGTTTAAGCAAAGTGTGTGCTCTGACTGGATAGGCTGTATGGTAATACAGTAATCCCAAATTCATCATGATAATTAAAACAAGAAAGAATTGCTGTTAGCATATAACTTATCTGAAAGCCAGTGATAAAAAATGTTTTTCTAATTCTTGTTTTATTTCTTATTATGAAATGGTTTAGATCTTTTTTTCTTAGGTATGTTTGTTTTAAATTTGGAATGTATCTAATGTAGTAATAACGAGAAATGATTTTTAAATATTTCTTTTAAACTAAAACTTAGTTTTTAAATTTTTAGCTTGGTATGGAATCTTTCTCATTTGTACTAATGAGCACGAAATGATTACTAAAAGCATTAGAATCACAAGATAGTCATTGTAACTATGTGGGTCATTATAATTTTAGACTTACTTCTTACTTCCTTATAATGAGTCATTAACTAAACCTGCAGCATAAAGTTTCACTGTCTAAAGGTGAAATATAAGAGAACTCTCATATTTAATATTATCAATAATATATCAACTATATAATGAATAATATCTATTATAGATAAATATATCATAATATCAAATAAGATGAGCTTCAGAGTAAAATGTATTACTGTATGTAAAAAGGGATATTTTCTAGCAATATAATGAGAAGTTTATAAAAAATAACCATCATAAATGTGTCAAAAGACAATATTACAACAAATTTAACATAAAGATATAATTATTTTTTATTTTTAATTCTGGAATCAGGAAACACCTCATTTTATAAAATAGAATGAATATTCCACAGGCCATGCCAGAATGGTTGGTTTTTGTAAGGGAGGAGCAAGAAGGCAGAACAATTTTAGAAAGCAGATCAGTTAACGTAAAGTTACTACAGGTCACTTTTCTTGTAAGGTTGAAGCAAAGGAGACAGTTCTTATCACACTGACTCAGGTAGACTGGGCTCTTTTTGATTGGTTGCTATGAATCTCCTGTCTTCAGGGAAAACTGGTCTATTTGGGGATCTACCTACTTCCTTGCACATAGTATAAGTTACACCATTTTGGTTTGGCCTGGTTTGATGAGACCTAGTTCAGGAAGTTAGTGCAAAACAATGCCCTCCTGTAAACCTTGTTTAACAAATATGTTTACACTTAATAACAGAGCTTCAAAATGCACGAGAAAGATAGTGATAGAATCAAAGAGGCGTCCAAAACAGCAAGCGTGGAAATTTTAGCATGTCTCACAAAGCATTTGATAGAGCAATTAGAGAAAAAACTACTAAAGATGTAAATATTCTTAGGTCCCTTCTCATCCAGAATGATTTAATTGAGAATTGTAGAACAATATACCTAAAAAATACAGAAAACTCCCTGCAGATGATACATACACAAAGTCCACATAAAAAATCAAACAAATCTAAATACTTTTTAAAAAACTGAAATTATACAGTGAATATACTTTGATAATAATTAAATTTGTCATAAGTAATAATAAGATATGATACTTAAAATTTGGAGATTAAACAACTTCTAAATAATCCATAATGATAGGAAGAATCACAAAGAAAATTAGTAAATATTTCATACTAAAAAGTGATGAAAAAAATTAACAGACCAAAGTTTATTATTTCCAACACCAGGAAAATTGATAGTAGCCTAGGTATATTATTCGAGAAAACACTAAGTGAGCAAAAAATTATCAATATCAAGGATAGAAAGATTATCACTATAAATCACATAGACACTTGAATGTTAATAAGAAAATATTATAAACAACTTCATAACACCTTTATGAATACTTAGGTGAAATGATAAGTTTATTTTTAAAAACACATCATCAAACTCACAAAAGAATAAACAGAAAATGTGAGTAGTCTTTTATTGGATTCATTGTAAAAATCATTGTTACAAAGAAAACGCAGCCCCAGGTAGTTTTCACACTGAATTCTATAAAATCTCATAAGAAATGTATAAACTGAATCTTACACCAACTACTTCAGGACACATTGACATGGCTACATTAAGAAAAAGTAAAAAATAAAATGCAGAAAACTTTCTTAAAGTAACAGAAATGAATGTGTTTAATGAACTTATCAGTAGACTCAACACTATTAAGAAAATAATAAACGAAGCTAGCGGCAATCTTGAAGATAGAAATTTACCAATTGAAGTACAAAGAGAAGAAAAAAGATTTTAAAAACAAAATATTCAGGAACTGTGGAGAAATATTAAAAATTTATAAGAAAACACTAGAGAAAAAAAGTAAATGAGAACTAAAATGGCCATGAACTTTACAAAATTAATAACAGCCACTAATCCACAAACCAAGAAACTCAGAAAACACCAAGCAGGGTAAATATTTCATTCAGACACACACAAACACACAAACACACACACACACACACACACACACAGTCTTTCTCATACACACAAACCACAGTAGGAATATTTTATTTCAATTGCAGTAAAACAAACAAAAAAAAAGGTCTTGAAGGAAGCTGGTAAGGGGCACCTTACTTACAGAAGAATTAAGTTTAGAATTATAGCTGACTTCGCCCCTAAAATAATGAAAACAAGAAGATTATCAAATCTCTAATGTATTGAGGGAGAAAAAAAATCCCTGCCAACCTAGAATTCTACATCCACAAAAATCATTCTTCAAAAATAAAGGAGAAGTAATATTCTCAAACCAAAACTAATGACATTGACAGCAGAACTGTCATACAGGAAATGTTAAAAAAAGTTTTTCCGGAAGAAGAAAAATGATATAAGTCAGAATCTTGAATCTACATTTTTAAAAGGGCATCAGAAAAGGAATAAAGTGAAATATTTTATTTGTCTTGTATTTAACTGATCTAACAGTTAGTTATCTAAAGCAATACTAATAATACATTTAGGTAATTCAAGAATATAAGTAAGTAAAATAATGATGACAGCAACATCAGAAGCGACAGAAGGGAGAATGTGGAACACTGTGTTACAAGGTACCTATGCTACAAATAAAATATAGTGTTATTTGAAGCTGAACTAACTTTATTTAACAATGCATATTATAAAACCTAGTTCACCTACAGATATGTAAAAATGAAGTGTAACTACTGTGCCAAATAAAATGGAATAATATAAAATAATTAAAACAAAAAAAGTAGAACAAGAGGTAGAGACTAGTAACAAAGAACAAACGTAATGAAAGAAAAGTTACAAATATATTGCATTTTAACATAAATATATGAGTAATCACTTTAAATATGTCTAATGACATCGGTAAAATAGCAATAATTATTAGCCTAGATAAATTACAAGCCCCAGCTATATGCTGTCTGCAAGAAATTCATTTTAAATGTGAAGATTATGACAAATTAAAAGGATGGAGGAAGATAGTATACTATCACTAATCAAGAGAAAGCCAAAGTATATTTCAGACAAGAAGACATCAGGAAAGGGGAAATTGTCAGGGATAAGAAGGGTAACTACATAATGATAAAAAAGGTCAATTCTCCAAGAAGAACACAACCTTAACTGGTATGTACCTAACAACACAGTATCAAAATATTTGAGGGAAAACCTGATAGAACTGAAAAGAGAAAGACACAAATTTGCTATTATAGTTGGATAATTCCCCACCCCCCCATCAGTAATTGACATGGAGCAGGCAAAAAATCAACAAGGATATGGTTGAAATGAAGAGCAGTATTGATCCATTTTATCAAATTGACGTTTATAGAACACTCTATTTAAAAACAGCAAAACACATATTTAAGCTTATATAGAATATTTACTAAGGTAGATCACATCCTGGATCTAGCTTAACAAATTTAAAAGAATCTAAATCATACAAAATATTTTCTCAGACTACAATACAATTAAACTATAACAGAAAGATGACTAGAAAATCTCCAAATACTCAGAATACTGGCAAAGCTGTGATCCATGAGCAGTGAATCTTGTAAGATCAAAAGCTCATAAAATCAGATCCAGGCATCATCACCAAATGCCTTTTCAAAATATTATACAGAAACAAATATCGCACATTTTAAACCTTGTCAATTTAAATTCAGGTCAATTTAAATTCATTCTGATCTAATTATATTTTTAGAAAGATAGATTCATATTAATTATAATACACAGACTGAAAAATTCCAAAAATAACTCATAAGGAGTGTAAGAAAATAAGTGTTGTGGGTACCCAAACAGCCCTCTATCTATTAAAAATATTAATTGGCTGCTTGAATCTTCAGTGTAGGTATTTTCTTTTCTCTGAGTTTTAGTTTAGATAAAGCAGAGAGCAGACCCAGAGTAGGAACTTACTAGGATTTCTTTATTTCTTACTCCTAGATACACAGAAACTGGTGCAACAACTAAGTTATAAACAGTTTGTCCCTGAAATGGTAAGTTTTAGGGCAGAGGAACACCATATCTTAAAGCAGAAGGAGGAATCAATTTGGCCATTAAAATTTGGGGGATATTTTATCCAACTGGGTACAGGTCAGTGGGTGAAGAGATAAAATCTAAGGTACCCAGATAAGAGTAACAGGAGGCAGTGAAATAAAACAATATCATTTGCAATAATATAATCCTTAGCATTAAGCTCATTACAGAGTGAGTACTCAATAAATGTTGATTAACCTATATTTTGAAGGTATTCATAACACAAAAGAATACACAGAACTGAACTGAGGAAAGTTCTTTCATTGAACTGTTTGTCCAGATGTTGAGAGGGTCCATGGTTTTCCTATCGCATAAATGCAATTAATCAGGTGCTAATTTAGCTGTCATATATGAAGCAATTGTTGCCTGTGTGTTTCATTGTTATTGATTTATAAAAGAAAATGGCTTAAGTATTATTTGCATGTTTGGATGCACGCAAAGAAAGGTAAAAATAACTTCAGCCAACACTGAAAAGTGGATCAGTCTTTCATATTTGACTATGCTGATTTACAAAGCATCATGTTACATGTATGGAACATGACTTTTAGGAATCATATGGTTTATTTCCTGGAAAATTTGCTTATAGAAGCTTAACTAAGTAATTAATAAAATCATCTATTTATGGAGAGTGCATAGTGTGATAAGTATGTAATCTACAGCCTGATATCCTAGGCTAATTACCTAGGACCTGTATGCAGCAGGGTTTCCATCTGTGTTTACAGAGACGGTAGGAGAATTCAGAGTTAACACATGAAGCATGCTTAGTACAATGGCCAGAAAAAACAAGTGTTTTCTGTTGCCAAACTACTAATATTACCACCACAATGATTATATGCAAAGCACTGACTATACTGAGCACAAAGCCATGGTATAAAGGGAGTGATTCTATAGCTCTTATTCATTATTCTCTCTCTTTTTTTTCTCTCTCTCTCACAAACACACACACACAGACACACACACACACACACCTTTTTTTAAAACAGGAATTTGAAGATATAGATATGGACATTTTTCATAGTTAGGGCTTATATGCCACAGCTGCAATGAATAAAATTATCTCTAGAAATTTTGAATGAATATTTACTAAAAAATTAAACTGAAACACAAGTATATATACATTAAAGAAATTAAATTGATTATTGAATGGAATTTGTATAGATGTTGAGGAAGGAACAATCACTGTAGCTGCAAAGAATTTCATGGAATGGGAAAGGTATGTGCTTAAGTTGACAGACGGAACACATTTTAAGGAATGAGATACCAAATATCGATGAGGAGGAGATGGAAGAAAGCGTCTCAGTAAGAGATATGACTTCAAGTACCAAAGGGATAATGAAGAGAATGGTAAAGCTATTTTAGAGATAACTGGCCATATAGCATGAGGCTAGATTATTATGTGTCTTAAGACCTCGTCTAAAACATATAGTCTGTCCTGAGCACAATAGGAAAGAACATAATGTTTCTAAGTAGAGGGTATCATAATCAAAATGCATCTTACTGAAGTTCAGCTAGGCAATCATATCTAATTTCAATTGCAGATTTGAAAATTGAAGCAAGGAAACCAATAAAGATTATGGTAGAATAAACAATTCCTGAAGTCAAAGCTTCCTCCTTTTGGTAATTTCCAAGGAAATTGTATATGGAAAGGTAGAAAATAAAGGGTTAGTAAAGGCTTATAATGAACTAAGTTTAACCTTTAGCTTTTGCAACTTTGTACTTAATATACATATTTGATCTTTTTTCAAAAAGTACATGCAGAATAAAATTGATCTGGGATCTTAAGTGTAATTACAAATAGGACAGTTTACAATGCATAACAAATTTTGAGATCTTATACAGCTGAAATTTTGAGTATTTATTTTTCTGTTTAGCTTTATGTTTGCTTGTCTTTATTGCCCCTAATAATTTAAGAATGCTTAAACATCTCGATAAAGCAGAACAATTGTTTGTTGATAGCAATAATAAGCTGATGAAAGCTACAATATTGATCTCTCAAAATCCTCTTTCCAGCTATATAATAACTGTGTGTCAGAGTACCCTCTTATATTCAAATATTAAAAGAGTCTAGTGGTTTTTGTTTTTGTTAATTCATGTCTTCTTCTTCTTTTTTAAATCTTCCTAATACCACAGGATATGAATTATTCTAGGTCAGGAGTAGGGGTTGTTTTCTTCTCCTTTCCTGATCAGACAATTCATGATTCAATGAGCCAGATATTTGATACATTCAGCTCAAAAATATGTCATACGATTTCATACCTTGTTCTTGGATTCATGTTTATAACAGCAGTTGCTTGCCAGATAAGCAAGACAACCTAGCTCTGTTATTTAAGATATCTCTGATATTACATTTTGAAAAAAAATGCATTTAATACTATTACTAACATACATTTTATTAGTTTTATTTGCTGCTGTTTATTTTTTCATTTAAAATCTTTATGATATAAATCTAAAACATACATGAATGAAATAGAAAATGCATCTCTACTGTCATATATTAAGTGATTATAAAAATGACTTATTTTTACTTTAAAAGTTTTCAAATAAGAGGAAAATTTCAGAATATACTAGAAATAGAGCATTTAAAAATAAACAGACATAGGAGCAAAATGATTACATTTAATCCAAGCCCATTCATTCATTCATAAATATAAATATGTAACCTACCTGAGATGGATGATCATCTCAGTTTTTACAGCCACTACAGATCCAATCTTAATTACTTACCCTTCTGACTGCCTGAGATTGGGGATACTAAGCCTGGAACAGAGATGTGTGTAAAAAAGGCTAATGCAGTGACTCAGGTGTTAAATGAAAGGCAGAACAAGCTTGATAAAATAAAGGGAACATGAATCCTTACAATTTCAATAACCGTTTCAATATGAAGGCAAAAGGAATTGTAAATATGTATAAGCCCATGTTTCTGGCTTATGGATAATTAAACAGATTCGGTGGTCATTTGCTGGAATAGACTATTGAAAGATTGGAGAAATATTGAGAAAAAAATAAGAACGAATTTTAGCCTTAACGAGAATAAAGTATACCTGGAAAACTTCAGTGGAGAGAGACCACAGTGTTAAACATAAAATTATTGGATTCAAACATGTGTCTGGTTTGAAGATAAAAATTATTTGGCATCTTCAAAATATAAATGACAAAGATATGGGATTTGAGACAATACAGGAAATGAGAGGCAAAGGGACTGATTATAAGAATTTAGGGAATGGCAAGATCTAATATGAAATGAAGAAGCAATGATCATCTTAAGATCAATACAGAGGTATTTCAAATAATGCATTTAAGGGTAAATTGGGGGCATATTTTGAAATCCATTGTGAGGATTTTTATTTTAAGGTGGATTTTGAAAATGAGGGAAAGTTATATAATGGCAGAATGGAAATGACAGCTGAAATGACATGATATAATAAAGATGGGGGCCAGGCATGGCGGCTCACACCTGTAATCCCAACACTTTGGGAGGCCGAGGCAGGAGGATCATTGGAGGTCAGAAGTTCAAGTCTGGCCTGAAAACCGTGGTGAAACCCCATCTCTACTAAAAATACAATAAAATTAGCTGGGCATGGTGGTGCATGCCTATAGTCCCAGCTACTCAGGAGGCTGAGGGAGGAGAATAGCTTGAACTTGGGAGTGGAGGTTGCAGTCAGCCGAGATGGCATCATGGCACTCCAGCCTGGGCAACAGAGCAAGACCCCATCTCAGAAAAAAATAATAATAAAAAAAAGCATGGGTCATAATGTACCAATTTTTCCTGCAGATAAACTTTATTAAAATAAATGTTTGTATTGTGGGTTTTAAAATATATTCTAAGTAATCTTCCAAAACAATAATGTAGTAGGGGATAGGTCTAAAGTATTCTCCTTTGAATGCTGTATATCTGGGCCAGTTTTGTGTCTTCATATTATGTGAGTTTCATGCTGTGTGTTGTTAGAAAATCTTTTGAAATCTGTAGGATGTGAAAATTGAACAAATATCTGCTATTTTTGCTTATTTTATTCCAGGCCCTTTTGTTCAATGAACCCAGTGAGTATTAAAGAAAATAGTATACTTTAGTAAAGAATAATTTATTGAAAAATAAGTAAGAGTAAACATCTATTCACTAAGATATCAATTAACATAATTAGCATTCTTTTTTTTTGTTTTTAGACAGAGTCTTGCTCTGTTGCCCAGGCTAGAGTGCAGTGGCTCAATCTCAGCTCACTGCAAGCTCCGCCTCCTGGGTTCATGCCATTCTCCTGCCTCAGCCTCCCAAGTAGCTGGGACTACAGGCACCGGCCACCACGCCCGGCTAATTTTTTGTATTTTTAATAGAGACGGGGTTTCATCGTGTTAGCCAGGATGGTCTCGATCTCCTGACCTTGTGATCCACCTGCCTTGGCCTCCCAAAGTGCTAGGATTACAGGCGTGAGCCATCGCGCCCAGCCTAGCATTCTTAATGATAAAATTGTTCAGTTATTTTCAATTACTGTTACAAATTTAGCACTGAAACTAGTTTTCCCTCTCTAAAATAGCATTCAAGTGAAGTTTTTGAATCATATGTTTAACAGAACCAGAAAATGTTTGGCTTGTCACTCAGATTATATTAAGATTATATTAATATTTTGCCCCCGGGTACTATGCCCAGGGTAGTTGTCCTGACTCCATCTGCAGACAGTCTTTGCACACTGCTCCTTAGTTCTAATCTGAAGCTTTTATTTCCCATTCACACTAGAGGTGAACGACAGAATACCAGAAACACATGTACGGATACTCAGTTTACATATTCTCATCATTTTCATCTCATCTCCCACTTTTTTTCTCTCTCAAATTTTCTGAATCTCTGAGTGAAGTTAGTTTCCATCGCCCATTTAGACTATTCCTGTGGAAGATCTGGTTGTAATATAATTCTAAAGGTGTTCTTTAAAAAATATATTAACTGGATATCTGAAATCTTCTGGTCCTGACTAACAGTGCTGTTTCAAACATATTCTCATGTGTTAGTATGCACTGATATTCCCTTTACTTTTGGGAAGATCTCAGTCACCCATTTTAAACTGCTGTAATTAAGGTGTGTGTGTGTGTGTGTGTGTGTGTGTGTGGTTATTGCACTGTAATACTAAATTTTGACCTTCATGAGGGGAGAGACATGTGTGACTTGTGGATCATAACAGCCATCATCGCAGCAGCTAGGAATAGAGATAAAGTTATCCAGGAAGAATCCGCGGAGAGCCCTCATGTCAAATGTTGATTCCCTTGACATTCCAAAAAAAAAGTCAATAAGGTTGTTTTCTTTTTAATTAATACATTAAAATGCATATATTTTTGTTATACAATATGATGTTTTGATACATGTATATATCATGGAATGGCTAAATCAAGCTAATTAGCATATGCATTACCTCACATACTTATCATATTTGTGTGGTAAAAACACTTAAAATCTACTCTCTTGGGAATTTTCAAGTATACAATATATTGTTATTAATTATAGTCACCGTGATGCACAATAGATTTCTTGAACTAATTGCTCTTATCTATCTGAAATTTTGCATCCTTTAACCAACATCTCCCCAATCCCCTTGAAATAAAGGGGGCAAATATGGGATGAAATGAAGAAAGACTGTCAGACTTCTGGGATTCTATAAGCAGGGAAAAGGCTACTCAAAAGGCATGAACACCACTGAAACCACTGCTGATGGTTGAGAGCGCAGGGCCACTCAACAATATGATACTGTCTGTTTCAGAACCCCTCAGCTAATCATCCATTTTCTCTGCTCATTCAAAGCTTACTGTGTGCCAGGCATTATCCTGCATTCTTGATATATAAAGTAAATGACATTAACACATACTATTGAAGATAGATTTGAAACATAACTGCAAATACAATTTCATACCTAAATAGGAATAATGTACAACTCACCTCAAGTTGTGAAACATCATTTCAAACAAATAAACCATTATACAAAAGGCTTCCTAAGAAAGAACATATTTATTCTTTGTTTTGAAAGATACATAGGAATTTCCTAGTTAAATAATCAGAGAAGTTTATTTCTAAGGGAGAGATAACAAAATGCTCAAATGGAAAGAAGTGTGAAGTAATAATAAGTACCTTTAAAGAATAATAATCAACGCTATTTAGAACTGGCATATGTTTTGAAGCAAGGAATGGTAGGAGATACTGTCTATGAAATAGATGGGAGTCAGGTCAGCCCACGTGTTCATACAAAATGACTTGAGTGGAGACATTGGCCAGTGGATAGAAACATTTTGGGTATCAGGTATTTTTCAAAACTCTAAAGAAATCTATAAAGCATTTACCACCACAGGTACATATGTTTGTGTGTGGAGTATTGTATTACTCCATTTTCACACTACTATAAAGAACTACCTGAGACTGTGTAAATTATGAAGAAAAGTAGTTTAATCAACTCACAGTTCTTCAGGCTATAGAGGAAGCATGGCTGGGAGGCCTCAGGAAACTTACTTACAATCATGGTGGAAGGCAAAGGGGAAGCAAGCATGTTTTACCATGGGGGAGCAGGAGAGAGAGACAAAGAGAGAAAGAGAGAAGGGGAAAGTGCCACACACTTTCCAACAATCAGATCTCGTGAGAACTCTATCACATGAACAGAAGGGGGACGTCTGCCCCCATGATGTAATTACTCACTTCCCACCAGGCCCTTCCTTCAACACTGAAGATTGCAATTCAGCATCAGATTTGGGTGGGAACAGAGATAAACCACATCAAGTATGTATATATACACATGCATGTGTGTATGATTTATAATTCTAGAAGGACTTTTTATAGCTTATGAAATCTATGTTTATAGTCTTTTAAGTTATACACTTTAAATCATTACTTGTAAGCAATGTGTGTGGAAGTTTTTTCAGAAATTCACATTAGAAGTTACATATAGCAATAGTTAGGAGAATGGAAAAGAGAAAGGATAGTCAATATAGGGTAAAAATGAATTTACTTATGTCCAGTAGAGAAGTCAGAGAATTCAAAAGTTCCTAGGCTTATACTGGGAGACCAGGTTGTTAGTTATGCCACTAACAATATATAGGATTCCAGGTCTGAAGGGAACCTTGCCAGGGAGATGAAAAGATTAGTGTTGAATGCTTTAGTTGGAAGTCCTATGGGTTTATCATACTGGAGACTTCCACTAAGTTGTGAAACATTCTATTCTGGTGCTTACCTATAAAGAATGGGATTGAGAGACATGAACATATAAATGATATTTAAATCATGGGCATGGAGTGGGGAAATCAATGGAGGGATATGTAAAGAAAAGAAGAGGTTTGAAAAGAGAATCCTGGTAAAATCAATACTTTTACTTATTTTATTTGTTTGCTTATTTGTTACTTATTAAAGGCTATGGTCACAGAATGAGATACTGAAGTTTTTAAATTTTGAAGTTGAATAGATCCAAGATAGGTTATTGGTTAAGTCATCCACAGTTATTCTGTGTTTTTTTAAACTCTCAAGAAAAATTTGGGGTTTATATGTAGGAAATGTTAATAATCCATAGACAAGGATTTTAACAAATATGGGGAGTGATATAAAGGACTATAATAAAGATGAGAAATTGAGGGAAAAGGACAGGAAAGTGAGGGGGAAAGGATTAATAGCTTTAATTCAATTATTTTAAATGCGGATGGATGCATTTTTACAGGAGGTGCAAGAATAATGGTGGTTCAGAAACAGAAATAGGACGGGATTCAGGATGGCTGACTAGCTGCAGCCAGGAGGAACATCTCCCACCAAGAGACTGTGATACGGGGCAGACTGGCATCCTACAAGTAGATCTTCAGAGGGAAGGAATTGAGAGTGGACACAGGGAAGACACAAATGCTGGGCTGAATGGGGAGAAAGCTGAGAACCCTGCACAGGGTAGATAAGCACCAGGACTCATTCCTGGCCCCCAGTGACTCCTGGCGAAGGGGTAATTCACACAGGTGAGGAGTGACCTACACTTATCATGGACCTCTGGAATCCTAGCAGAAGAAGACCTCCTGACCCCCACAGACACTTGAGCTGGCAGAAAGATCTGCTTAGAGAAATGACACGGCAGGGCTCTAGCCTGTGTAGTTCAGAAGATTTGGCATGGGAATGGCTTCAGCGGAGCATGGCCAGTGATGCTCATCCCTCAAAGCTTGCCATGCTCCTCTAGGAACTCTAGGAGACTTTAGCCTCAGGGTGACTGTAGGACCTGGACAGAGCAGAGCAGTCACGCCCATGGGATGAGGGCATGACTGAGTGCCCCTCCATCTACTGGCATCTCCTGGGGCCCCAGCCTGACCACATCCACTTGCAGTGCAGCCTCGGTTACCCAACCAGGGCAGTTCCTGGGGGCTCACGTTATAGCTCCTTTGCCAGAAGACCATGCCTGACTGTTGGAAAGCTCCAGCAGACTAATCCTTACCAATGCACACCAGCCCACCCAGTTTCCCCTCGCTGAAGACTCCCCGTGCAGCTTTTCCAGCATGCACTCACTCACGGCCCCCTTACCACTTTGCCAGCACAAGCTCACCCAGCCACCCCTTCCTTGTGATGCTGCTTTGCCACCGCCGATGTGAACTCATACACAGATGCCAGGAAACTCACCCCCACAGTGCCATCACCACTGCTGGTACAAACTTGTGCACAGGTGCCAACAACCTCAGCTCTGCCAGTGCCCCCATCACCACTGCCACTATCAGCACAAGTGCTAGCAGAGAGGCTGACAACCCTACCCCCTCTAGATGCCCTTGCCCAGCCAACATGCATGCACCCCACCATGCTGCTGCAGCTGCTGGCACATGTGAGCAAGCACAGATCCCACTGCCTCTGTCCCAACAAAGCACTTTGGTTGGCAGCCCCTGGAAATTGGAGTGTTGTGGCTAGTGTACCAGGAAAACCTCAGCCCTTCCAGTGCACCAGGTTCATAACCTCAAGGGGCCAAAAAACAAGCTGGGGGGCTCAGTACCAGCTGATCAGAGTTAGAGCACTCATCCCAGGAGTGCCGAGCTGAGCTTTGGACTCCTAAAATCCTCCGGAAGTGAAGTCAGTGGACTGAACCCACCTTCTGCCACAATCAGACTCCCAAGAGCAACAAAGAAGATAAAAGCAAAATACCCCATCCAAAGGCCAGCAACTTCAAAGATGGGAGGATCATCAGCCCAGACAGATAAGAAAGAACCAGCATGAGAACTCTGTCAACTCAAAAAGCCAGATTGTCTTCTTACCTTCAGATGATTGCAGTAGTTTCCCAGCAATGGTTCTTAACCAAGCTGAAATGGCTGAAATGACAGATACAGAATTCAGAAGGTAGATGGATCATCAAGATTTAGGAAAGTGCAAGCCCAAGACAAGGAATCTAAGGAATACAAACAAACTATACAGGAGGTAAAAGATGAAATGTCCATCTTAAGATATAACTAAACTGATCTGATACACCTGGAACACTCACTTAAAGAATGTCATAATATGGTCATATGTATTAATAGCAAGATAGATAAACTGAGGAAAGAATCCCAGAGTTCAAAGACTAGTTCTCCAAATTAGCTCTGTCAGACAAAAATATGAAGAGACTTAGACAACTACACAATAACAGTGGGAAACTTCACCTCCAATTGACAGTATTAGACAGACCATAGAGGCAGAAAACTAACAAAGTTATTCAGGACATGATCTTGGCACATGACCAAATGGACCTAACAGACATCTAGAGAACTCTCTACCCAAGTACAACACAGTGTACATTATTCTTATCTGCACATGGCACACACTCTAATATTGACCATACAATCAGCCATAAAATAATTCTCAGAAAATTAAACAACTAAATCATACCAACTATACTCTCCTATCACAACACAATAAAAATAGAAATCAATAGTAAGAAGATTGCTCAAAACCATACAATTACGAGGGATTTAAACAACCTGTTTCTGAATGGCTTTTGGGTAAACAATGAAATTAAGGCAGAACTTAAGAAATTACTTGAAACTAATGAAAACTATGATACAACATACCAGAATCTCTGGACACAGCTAAAGCAGTGTTAAGGGAAAAGTTTTTAGTGCTAGATGCCCACACCTAAAAGTTAGATCTCAAATTGACAACCAACATGTTATCTAGAGGAACTAGGAAAATAATAGCAAACCAACCCCAAAGCTAGCAGAAGACAAGAAATAATAAAAATCAGAGCTGAACTGAGTGAAACTGACACATTCATGAAACCATAAAAAGATCAACAAATCCAGCAGGAGTTGGCTTTTTGAAAAAATAAATATGATTAATAGACTGCTAGATAGACTAATAAAAGAGAGAGAGAGAGAGATCCAAATAAGCCCAATGAGAAATGATGAAAAGGAAATTACCATTGGCCCCATAGAAATACAAAAAAACCCTCAGAGACTATTAAAAACATCTCTATGAACACAAGCTAGAAAACCTAGAAGAAATGGATAAACTGCTGAAAACATTCAATGTCACAAGACTGAACCAGGAAGAAATGGAATCCCTGAACAGACCAATAATGAGTTCCAAAATTGAATCAGTAATAAAAAGCCTACCAACCAGAAAAAGCTCAGGACCAGAAAGAATTACAGACAAATTCTACCAGATGTGTAATGAAGAGCTGGTACCATTTCTAATGAAACTATTCCAAAAACTTGAGGAGAGACTCCACCCTAACTCATTCTATGAGGCCAGCATCTTCCTGATACCAAAACCTGGAAGATATACCACAAAAAAAGAAAACTTCAGGCCAATATCCTTGATGAACATAGATGCAAAAATCCTCAATAAAATACTAAAAGCCATCTTTAAAATCCCATAGCCAATATCACAGTGAATGGGAAAAACCTGGAAGCATCCCCCTTGAAAATGAGAAAAAGACAAGGATACCCTCTCTCACCAATTTCATTCAACAAGGTACTGGAAGTCCTAGCTAGAGCAATCAGGCAAGTGAAAGAAATAAAGGGCATCTAAATAGGAAAAAGGAAGTGAAATTATCTCACTTTACAGACAATATAATTCTATAACTACAAAGCCTCATAGTCTCTGCCCCAAAGCTCCTAGATCTAATACAGTACTTAAGCAAAGTTTCAGGATACAAAACAGAGTACAAAAATCTATAGCATTTCTATACAACAACAATGTCCTAGCTGAGAGCCAAATCAAGAACATAATCCCATTCATAATAGCCAAAAAAGTATAAAGTATAAAATACCTAGTAATACAGCTAATGAGGGAGGTAAAAGATTTTGTCCATGAGAATTACATAACACTGCTGAAAGAAGTCAAAAATGACACAAACAGATGGAAAAACTTTCTGTGCTCATGGAGAGAAAGAATCGATATTCTTAAAATGGTCATACTACCCAAAGCAATGTTCAGATTCAGTGCTATTCCAATCAAACTACCAATGACATTCTTTACATAATTAGAAAAAAAGTTTTGAAAAATTCATATGGAATCAAAAAAGGCTCAAATAGTCAAGGCAATTCTAAGCAAAAAGAACAAAGCTGAGGCATCATATTACCTGACTTCCAAATATACTACAAGACTACAGTAACCAAAATGGCATGGTACTGGTGCAAAAACAGACACATAGATTAAAGAAATGGAACAGAGCACTCAGAAATAAAGCCACACATGTAGAACCATCTGATCTTCAACAAAGCTGGCAAAAACAAGCAATGGGTAAATGACTCCCTATTCAATAAATGGTGCTGGAATTCTGGCTAGTCACATGCATAATATTGAAACTGGTCCCCTTCCTTACACCATATACAAAAATCAACTCGAGATAAACTAATTACTTAAATGTAAAACCTAAAACTGTAAAAACCCTGGAAGATAACCTAGAAAACACAATTCTAGACATAAGAATGGACAAAGACTTCATGATGAAGATGCCAAAAGCAATTGCAACAAAAATTGACAATTGGGACCTATGTAAACAAAAGACTTCTGCACAGCACAAGAAACTATCAACAAAGTAAATTTTTAAGACAACCTACAGAAGGGGAGAAAATATTTGCAAACTATGCATCTGACAAAGGTCTAATATCCAGAATCTATATGGAAATTAAGCAGATTAGCAAGTAAAAACAAACAACCCATTTAAAAGTGTTCAAATGACATAAGCAGACACCCTTTCAAAAGAAAACATACATGTGGATAAACAAGCATATGAAACAGTTCAACAATACTAATTAGATAAATGCAAATCAAAACCACAATGAGATACTATGTTCAGTATGGGTATTATTAAAAAGTAAAATAATAATAATAACAGATGCTGGCAAGGTTGTGAAGAAAAGGGAATGCTTATACAGGTCTAATGGGATTGTAAATTAATTCTGGCATTGTGGAAAGCAGTTTTGCAAAACTACCACTTAATCCAGCAATCCTATTGGGTATATACTCATAGGAATATAAATTGTTCCACCATAAAAACACATGTACATGTATATTCATCACAGCACTGTTCACAATAGCAAAGAATCAACTCAAGTACCCATCAATGACAGACTAGATAAAGAAAATGTGGTACATATACACCATGGAATACTATGCAGCCATTAAAAAGAATGAGATTATGACCTTTGAGAACACATAGGCAGAGCTGGAGGCTATTATCCTTAGCAAACTAACACAGAAACAGAAAACCAAATACTGCATGTTGTCACTTATAAGTGGGAGCTAAACATCGAGTACACATGGACACAAAGGATAGAACAACAGACATGAGGGCTTACTTGAGGGTGGAAGGTGGGAGAAGGATAAGGATTGAAAAACTACCTATAAGGTACTATGCGTACTACCTGGGTGACAAAATAATCAGTACATCAAACCCCCATAACACACAGTTTGCCTATGCAACAAACTTACATGTGGATCCCTGAAGCTAAAGAAAAGTTTAATTAAAAAAAAATACAAATAAGGAGACTAGAATGCTGACATTTCCTAACCATGTTTTGAATATGAAATGAAAATAAAACAAAGAGAAAAATATAATATTCCACCCATGCATGGAAAGAAATGAAAGGACATCAACAGCTTGGGGAGTGAGATGGCAGAGTGCTGATTTTATTAGTTTACAAAAACAATTTAATTTTTTTAAACTATCTTTCCTTTCTTCCTACTCGGATTTTTGTTCTTAGTTTTTATTTCTTGAAATGAATGTGTTTACTTCTTGAGATGGGTGATTTCTTTTTTTTCTAATGTAGGCCATTATACACATTTCATTCTAAGTTCAACTTTAGCTGTATCTCATGATTTCTATGTGGTATTTTATATTTCAAAATCTTTCAAAGTTTTGCTATTACTTTTTGATTCCACATTATTTATAACTGTTAATTATAATTTTATATTTAACAACATATAATTTATAATTGTATTTATAATTATTTATAGACAATAAAACATTACTATATAACAGTGTTTCAGTGGTATACCTTTCAGTATAAGTAAAAGCACCTTCGTGTTCTTGTACAAAGATGGGGGCAATTATGGACAATAAATTGACATGCTTACTTTTAATGTAACCATTGAATAATTTCTCATAAAATGAGTGTGTATTATTATAATAAAACTATTAGGTTTTATAATCACTGAACGACTTCCTTTTTTTTTTTTCCTGTACATTTGTGGTAAGGCTCATGCTACAAGTCAAAGATCAGAAGTTGACTCTTCTGGAAGAAATATCAAAAGAATAACAAACCAATTCAGGACGAAAGAAGGTCCTTAATATGGTTTGACTCTTGTGTCCCCACCCAAACCTCATCTTGAATTGTAATCCCCATGTGTCAGGGGAGGGACCTGGTGGGAGGTGGTTGGATCATGGGGGTGGATTTCCCCCATACTGTTCTCATGATAGTGGATTCTCAGAGACCTGATGGTTGATGGAAAGCGATGATCCTCCCTTGCTCTCTCTCTTTCCTGCTGCTATATAAGATGTTACTTGCTTCCCCTTTGCCTTCCACCATAGTTGTCATTTTCCTGAAGCCTCCAAAGCTATGTGGAACTATAAATCAATTAAGCTTCTTTTTAAAAATAAATTACTCAGTCTCAGGTAGTTCTTTATAGCAGTGTGAAAATGGACCAATACAGAGAATTGCTACTGGAAGTGAGGTGCTGATATAAAGATACTTGAAAATGTGAAAGTGACTTTGGAACTGACTAATGGGGAGAGGTTAGAAGAGTTTGGAGGGCTTAGAAAAAGACAGGAAGATGTGGGAAAGTTTGGAACTTCCAAAATACTTGCTGAATGCGTTTGATCAACATGCTAATAGTGGTATGGACAATGAAGTCTCAGCTGAGGTGGTTTCAGGTGGAGGTGAGGAATTGATTGGGAACTGGAGCAAAGGTCACTCTTGCTATACTTTAGCAAAGCGACTGGCAACATTTTTCTCCTGGCCTAGAGATCTGTGGAACTTTGAACTTGAGAGAGATGATTTAAAGTATCTGACAGAAGAAATTTCTAAGCAGCAAAGTACTCAAGATGTGACCTGGCTTTTTCTGAAAGTGTAAAGTCATGCACTCACAAAGAGATGGTCTGAAATTGGAACTTATTTTTAAAAGGGAAGCAGAGTGTAAAAGTTTGGAAAATTTGCAGCCTGACCATTTGGTAGAAAAGAAAAACCCATTTTCTGGGGAGAAATTCAAGCCACTCACTGCAGAAATTTGCATAAGCAAAGAGAAGCTGAATGTTAATAGCCAAGGCAATGGGGAAAATGTCTCCAGGGCATTTCAGAGATCCTCACAGCAGCCCCTCCCATCACAGTCCTGGAAGCCTAGGAGGGAAAAATGGTTTTGTGGGCCAGACTCAGGGCCCAACTGCTCTGTGAAGCCTCAGGAGATGGTGCTCTGCATCCCAGCCACTCCAGCTCCAGCTGTGGCTAAAAGGGGTCAAGATACAGCTCTGACCATTGCTTCAGAGGGGACAAGCCCTAAGCCTTGGCAGATTCCACATGGTATTGGGCCTGTGGGTGTGCAGAAGACAAGAGTTGAACTTTGGGAGCCTCTACGTAGATTTCAAATGATGTATGGAAATGTCCCGATGTCCAGGCAGAAGTCTGCTGCAGGAGTGAAGCCTGCATGGAGAACCTCTATTAAGGCAATGCAGAGGGGAAATGTGGGGTTGGAGCCCCCACAAAGAGTTCCCACTGGAGCAATGCCTAGTGAAGCAGTAAGAAGAGGGCCACCATCCTCCAGACCCCAGAATGGTAGATCCCCCAACAGCTTTCACCATGCGCTTGGAAAAGCTGCAGCACTCAATGCCAGCTCATGAAAGCCGTCATGGGGACTGTACCCTACAGAGCCACAAGGGTGGAGCTTCCCAAGGCCATGGGATCCCACCCCTCACATCAGCATGCCCTTGATGTGAGACATGAAGTCAAAGGAGATCATTTCAAAGGTTTAAGATTTAATGACTGCCCTTATGGGTTTTGGAATTGCGTGGGGCCTGTAGCCTCTTTGTTTTGGCCAATTTTTCCCTTTTGGAATGGAAAAATATACCCAATTCCTCTACCCCCTTTGTATCTTGAAAGTAACTAACTTTTTTACTTTGCAGGCTCATATGCAAAAGGGACTTTTTTTTATCACAGGTGAGTATTTGAACTTGGACTTTTGAGTTACGCTGGAATGAGTTAAGACTTTGAGGGACTATTGGGAAGGTATAATTGGTTTTAAAATGTAAGAAGGACATGAGATTTGTGAGGGGCCAGGGGTAGAGTGATATGGTTTGGCTCTGTGTCCCCCCAATCTCATCTCAAATTGCAATCCTCATTTGTCAGGAGAGGGACCTGGTGGTGATTTGATCATGGGGGTGAACTTCTCCCATGCTGTTCCCATGACAGTGAGTGAGTTCTCAGGAGATCTGATGGTTAAAAGTGTGGCACTGTCCCTGCTCCCTGCTGCCATGTGAGACATGCCTTGCTTCCCCTTCCACCATCATTGTAAGTTTCTTGAGGCCTCCCCAGCTATGTGAAGCTGTGAGTCAATTAAACCTGTTTCTTTATAAATTAGCCAGTCTCACATACTTCTTTATAGCAGTGTAAAAACAAATTAATACAGCATTTTTAAATTTGATATAGGGAACCAACCCATGGAGACAGGCTTCACTGTATTAGACAACATCACCACAATAACCTGACATTTATCAGACACATCAGGTGATTGCATCAGGATTTCCATGATTCATTTAATCCAGAAGCAGGTCCGTTTTTAAAAACACTGCTACCTTTACCCCAAGACCAAGATAACAAGAATTATTAGGTGGACCAGAATGAAATTAAATAATTTGAAATTTCTTCTTTTTTATACCATCTATAATCCTTAATTTAACAGGCTTATTTGTACAAATGGAAATCAAATTCATGGTAAATAGAATTTTATCTCAATTGACCCCCTGAATTTATAAATAATAACCATATAAAAGTTTGTTCTACAGATTAAAACATAGAAACTTAATCATAAAAACTTAATGATGATTTTCTAACTAATGGCATACATTTATTGTTCTTGAGTATGACACCACTTAAAACAATGGTTATGCACCATGCTAAAAGGCTTGACTGATTCCCTTTACTAGTTATGAATGCATAATCATTTTCATAGGTCAATAGATTTGTCTTTTTTTATTTGGCTTTACTTGGATAAATGGAATGTATAATCATGACCATGCTGAAAATGTCACATATAAAGTCAAATATTACTTAAATAGGTCTTATAAGCCCTGTTTTAAGCAAGAAGACCCCACTTCACATGTGAAGTGATGTCTATTAAGTGCTTCTAGAATACATAATTAATGTCACTAAATAATTAATATCACTTTTAAATAGGCAAGGAATGTTGGCAAAATAGAAGATCCTAGTATGAAAAAAAGTCAGAGAGGCTTCAAAGAAATCTGAGAAAAATACTTTGTGTGGCTCTTTTTTCTGATCTGTATAAAAAAGCAGATAAAGGCTGTAAAAATAATTCTGACTCACACAAGTAGTTTTAATTATAACATTAGGGACTTTATGGACCCTATAGGCATATGTTAACCCTCAAGTTTTAATATCATATGCCTGTCATCATGTTAACATTGCGGTTTTGTCTATTAATATCTCATGTTATATCTACATAAATAACTCTAAATAAGCAAACCTTCATGTTAATGATACCAAGTCTAAAAGTAGCTAAATAAGCTGATGTGAACAAATCTTTGACCAGAGGAGGTACTGAGAAAGCAAAACTAGTATCTTGTTTTGCCACCATGAGGTGTGATCATGCACTTACTTCACTTCCCACAGCCCTGGAAGAAAACTAACCACTTTACCCTGAGATATTAAAAACAATAGCAAAAACAGTGTGCCTTGAAATATACCCCTAACTATATAAAATCTACCCTTTATATATGTTTCTGACTCCTCAATAAAAGGGAAAGAAGGGGGGAAGGAAGAAAGAAAGGATGGAGAAAGGTAGGGAGGTAGGGAGGAAAGGAAGGAAGGAGAGAGGAAGGGAGGGAGGGTAGAAGGAAGAGAGGGAGAAAAAGGAAAGTTTGTATTCATAAAATTTGCAACACTGACTTGTGATCAGTCTTGTGTTTCTGATAATCATGTGAGAAAATGGCTATTTTTCCACCAGTTAACTATAAACTTGGTAGCCTCAGGCTTGTTTGTTTCTTTCCATCTAAAGGTGTATTGTGTCTTTTATTTGGATAATCCATCCTTGTGAAATCTGATCTGCCTTTTAAGCTTTTGTAGGTAAATTTTATTTTTTCCATGAGGTCCTGATTTTAGGAAATGTGAACAATTGATGAACGTAACTCAAAATGAAATATTATAAATTATTTTACATCTCTCAATTCTAATGAACAATTGCCAAAACCCATTTATTATTTACACTCAAAGGTATGTGATAAAATATTTTCTAAATTGTTTAAAAATAAAAATGGCATTTATTTGCAAATGCTGGCTTGGAGTGAAATCTATACTTGAAATATTAAAGGGGAAAATATCCAGTTGTTTGATGATTCATTTTTCTGTCCTATTTTCAGAATATTCGAACCAGAATAATAAAACTTTGACTATTCCTTATTCTAGATGATTTCTGGAGGAGGTAATTAAAGTCTCTTCTTAGCCGACATCAGTACTTCATGAATTAGACAGTGTTTTGATGTGGGCTCTTAGAAAAGGAAATGGAAAAGAAAGTATATCTTTATGAGTACTATGATCAAAAAAGAAGTGCTACTATCTGTGGTGGATTGGATGGTGGCTCCCAAAAAGATATGTCCCATGTCCTAACCCCAGGAACCTGTGAATGTACTCTTATTTGGAAGAAAGACTCTTTGCAGAAAGACTCTTTGCAGATAAGTAAGTTAAGGACCTTGATATGAGATCTTCCTGGATTATTGTGTGCCCTAAATCTAGTGACAAGTGCCTTTATCAGAAAGGAGAAGGTGAGAAGACATGGTCACATAATAGAGAAGGCCACGTGGAGACCCATATAATGATGGAGACAAAGACTGCAGTAATGCTGCCACAAGCCAAGGAATTCCTTGAGCCACCAAAAACTCAAAGATTCAAGGAAGAATTCTGCCCCAGAGTCTCTTCAGAGGGAGCTTTTCCCTGCCGACACCTGGATTTTGGACTCTTCAACTCCAACATTTTGGGAGAATGAAATTCTGTTGTTTTAAGCCACCAATTTGTGGAGATTGTAATGGCAGCCCTAATAAAACATTACACCAACAATCCCCTGTTTTCTTATCCTGAGCCCCAGTCAAGATATTCAGATGATCTCATGATCATCTTGTAATTCATATTTGGCACAAGCATCTCTTAAAACAAGGTCATCTGAGTAGTATAAGTTTATCTTTGTTTTGCTGTACATTTTATGAAAACATTATTTTATGAAACCTGAGCAAAGTCTGAATATTTAAAAAAGGAGAGAAACATAGAGCACTTTTGTATATACAGAAGTTTTTCCTCCTCCTTCATAAAAATGATATTACAAATAAAACCTTAAGAAATCCACCATGCATCCCTTCACTCTCAAGTCTTCTCAATTGCTCATCTACTTCTCTAATATTTTGGTTTAGGGTAGCATTACTGGACTTAGGAACAGAATTTTCACATTCCCATTCCATTTCTCTCTGTTCCATCCTTAGTTAACTTCCCCAAATTCTGTAGTTTTATATCTTCCACATAATTCATGCTACCTAGTAGACTTCTTGCCCCGCCCCAAGATTTCTTGGTTTTTTAATATTTAAATCTTCCTTCTTATTTGTTATCTCCACTTAGAATTTTCCTTGTGGCCATATCCACATGCTGAAATGTTCATTTGTATTTAGAGACCCTTCAAATAATCTATTGTCCCCAATGTCTTTTCAGATATAGCTAGTCGGAATATTTCCCCATATTCTTCAGCTGCAGTCATGAAAATCTTTCATCATCTCTAATATCTATTATTGTCACGAGACCATGCAGCTGCCAACACACTTTTGTTGGACTACAAACAATGAAATATCATTAATTTCTGAAAAACTTGCCCTAACCTGTATCACTTGCTTCTTTCACTCCTGGCTTTTAACATTGCAATTTGTCATAATGTTTTAATACCTTATTCAAGTGGTGTGGCAGGCACTAATTAATTGCTATTCTGAGATCCTTCTTATATGAAAAAGTATAAAATGTGATTTGGATAAGGAATAGCAACTGCTTCAATCCGAGGCTCAGAAAATGCTTTCTGAGAAAACAAAAAAATACTCTGAAATTTGAAATGCTTAGGAACTAGCCAGGCGAATAGGGTACGTAAAGAAATGAGGTAGCAGCATGTATGAAGACATTCAGAGGAAAGGAAATATGATCTGTTTGAGAACCTTAAAGAATACTGTAGTTTTTGGTATAGAAATTCTGGTTGAGAAATCACCTGATGAAATGGGAGAGATGGCCTGGTCTGACTACAGATGTTTAGGTTTATAAAAGGTTATTTTTCACAATATAAAAGTCAGATGTTTTTGAACTTTGACAACTGAAAAAGAGTAAAATAACTTAGGATTCAACAGTAAGAATCTTTAGAAATATATCAAAGTAATATGATTTTTAAAAATAGAATGGAAAATTGATGATAGCTGAGAAAATAGCTAGGAGTGTTTATAAATGAATACATCATCATTTGCGTAACTCTTTTTGGTGGCCTAGACGGCTAACAGCTTGACACAATTCATTCTAGCTTTAGGATGTGAAGTGAAGGAATTAGTGACCTCTTTCATTGAGAAAGAAAGCTCTATGGAAATTATTGGCAAATTGTGAGTAAAGATTTTACTGGTTCTCTACATAATGCAACAAGTAAGTGTCAATGTGTATAGCACGGCATCTATTTAAAATGTGTGTTTTATTGTGATAGAAATTAAAACCCCCTTGTACTAAGAAGTGAAAAAAGTGAAATTAATTTACCTGTAGTAACAAATTGATTATTTTTAGAGAAGAGAATCTGGCATTGATTCTTGCTCCTGTTGTTCAGGAAAGTCACATTCTCTGGAATAAGAGGAACTCATTATATTTAAAATATTATCACAGATGATAAATTCTCATTGTTCTATATTGGCATAAAAATGCTCTTTTAAACTGAACGAGATCACTCTCCAAATCATTTTTTCCTCCTAGGATAGCACTTAGTGATATGAGCTTAATTGAAAAAAATATATAAGGATATCATGCCCATGTCTTTTTGGTGACATGACATGAACTTTATGCTTCAATAGAAGGTAAATTTTAGTTGTAATGTGGAATAACAATGAAAAAAATAGTACCGTTTAGGAGGCTTTATTTTATCCTTGCCATTCAAATACAAGTGGGAGCAACTTAGAACAAATACATAGGTAGTTTTTAACTGCAATGTTTTATCAATAAAATAAAATAACTTTTTAAAGTTATAATGAGTTGCCAGGGCAGGGGAGGAGTGAGGGGGCAAGTTTACAGTGGTAATAGAACATAAAGGAAGTCAATTTAGGAAATGGTATATTCTGCTAAAGTAGTAAACTTCGTAAAATGTTGTTCCAAAAAATGTCAAATAAGTAACAAATTTATTTTCGTTCAGTAAAAATTAAGATAAATTAATAATAATAACTTTTGACCTTTCAAAATCTTAATTAGGCACTTTTCTTTGTTCTACATGGTAAAGAAAACTGCTCAAAAACTTCTTTCACTTTTTGCTTTTATTTGGGAATTCAAGTCGAAATTACATTGATATTATAGAGACAGAATTTCCGCAATGCAAGTTGATTGCTGGATTTAAACTATCTACTCTCAGAGGAATACAATGAAAGAGACTGAATTGCTGTTATTGAAGGTCTACAATGCCATTATTTATTAGATTGACCTGAATCCCAATTTTGCCCTGGGCTGTTGTGATTTGTAACTGTTGTCCCAGTGTACTTATTAATATTGACCTCCTTTTGTTCTCAAAAGTATCCAGATTGGACAGTAAATTATATGGTCACTCTATTTAGTTAATATCTGAGGCATACTTTTTATGTTTCTACCAGTGCAAACATAATTCTCGTAAGCAAACTTGTTGGAGAAGTGCCCATTTTTCAAATGAAGAAACTAAGCCTTCACATAAATAAGTAATTCATGTAATCCAGGAGCAAACCCCAAATTGCTGACTCAGAAGTCTACATCTTTCTATTTACAGAGACACACAGCCTTTTCAATAATTGCTGAATGAATAATGAAGTGAAATACTGTGTTAAGTATTTGAAGGAAAGAGTAAATGGTAGGACTGCAGCACTGGGAATCTATTGAATCAAAACTTCTAAATAGATTAAGTCAACCAGATTAACTTGCCTATTTCGTAAATATGGATAATTTTTATATTGCTTCCTAAATACCTAAGCCTCAACTGTATCAGAAAGCAGAAAAAGGCAAAACAAAAAACAAAATAAACAAGCAAAAAAATCTTACTAGACGTTCACTATGAATGGGGTAGTAGGTTTACTTTAAAATAGAACATTTTAACTTGATGAAGATCTCTGAGAATGGTTCCCTGTGGTCCCAAACCTCATAGTGTCCCAAAAGTGTCCTGTGTATACATGGGCTTATTGAGTTTATGTTGTTTTTCTTATTTACATATTTTAATCTAACAATAAATTCTGAATTCCACATGGGAAGGTACCTTGAAATTTGATAAGAATTCAATGCATTTCTAATGACATATCCTGTATTATATGTAGACCCTTCTATTGTTATATAACTTTATTTTATTTGAGAACTGACAACAGAGAGATCTTATCTAAGGAAGTTAACTGGTTTTCCAAACAAGGGCTCCTCAATTGTAAAACTAGGGTATTTCGGTAAAAAATTTATAACACTGGCAGCTCACGCTCTTCATAGCTTTGATGCCTATAATATATGAACACAGTTACAATAATATGTACTATGTCTTTATCTCTATTGATTATGTATCTATCTATCATCTGTGTATCCATTTTTCTTTCTATCCATTCAGGTAATATAATATGAACTAAAAGTATTAATTTTGCTTTAGTTCACAGCTTTCTAAGGGACTAGAGAATTGTTTATATCTCTTTTAACCTATCTTTTTGCATCTAATTATAATATCAGAAAAGTTAGCTGTGGGCCAAATTGAAGGTCCCATTTCAGATGAACAGACTCACTAGACAAAAGACTGACAGACCCTGAAAAGTTAACTACAACAGCGGTTTTCAATTCCATCCGTGCATCAGCATCTCCTGCGGAAGATGGGAAACCCCAGATCTGAGTCAGAATCTCTGGGGATGAAGCTCTGATATGTTACTTTTAAATATCACAACAGACATGTGGCTCATAGTGAAAAAATAATAAGATGAATTGAAAAAGAAGAGTTTTGGTTATAGAAAATTAAACTGCAATATCAGCGTTAAAATTTGTATCAGTTAAGATTATGATTGCAATTGACACTAGAAAAACCCAAGTGTTTTGAACAATAAGATTATACATTAAAAAATAGAAATAAAAATACAAAGAAAGAAAATGGTAAATATGGAGAAAATAGAGATTAAAATTAAAACTCTTTGAGATTTCTGATACTGAAATTATCAGCAAATGAGAAACTACAAACTTTATGATATATGCATTATATCATAATAATGCTGGTATATCAAAGAGAAATATAAGGTAATAAACTTCATAATTAGTTCACTAATGATACTTAAAAATAGACTTGTCATATGAAAAAAAGCTCAATATGACTGATCATTAGAGAAATGCAAATCAAAAACACAATGAGATACCATCTCACACCAGTCAGAATGGCTATTATTAAAAAGTCAAAAAATAACAGATGCTGGTGATGTTGCAGAGAAAAGGGAACACTGTTGGTGGGAATGTAAATTAGTTCAACTATTGTGGAAAGCAGTGTGGCAACTCCTCAAAGAGCTAAAAACAGAAGCACCGTTCAACCTAGCAATCATATTACTGGGTATACCCCAGAGGAATATAAATCATTCTCCTATAAAGACACAAGAACACCTATGTTCATTGCAGCGCTATTCACAATAGTAGAGACACAGAATTAACCTAAATGCCATCAATGGTAAACTGGATGAAGAAAATGAGGTACATGTGCACCATGGAATACTGTGCAGGCATAAAAAAGAAAGAGATAATGTCTTTTGCAGGAACATGGATGGAGCTGGAGGCCATCATCCTTAGCAAACTAACACAGAAACAGAAAACCAAATACTGCATGTTCTCAATTATAAGTTGGAGCTTAAGGATGAGAACATATGGACACAAAGAGGGAACAATAGACATTGGGGTCTCCTTGAGGATGGAGGAAAGGAGGAGGAAGAGGATTAGGAGAAATAACTATTGGGTACTAGGCTTAATACCTGGGCGAAGAAATATTCTGTACAACAAACTCCTGTGACATATGTTTACCTATATAGCAAACATGCTCGTGTACCCCTGAACCTAAAAGTTTTTTTTTTAAATAGAGCTTGGTAGGCATGTAACTTCTTGACTTTTCTATGATTTAACATATCACAAAAGCTCCTTTTCCACCTCATGTTAGATAGTCATAAACAATTCAAGTTAAACTCAATTATTTCAGTATTCTTTGTCACTTCAAATTTACACTTAGGGAGCTCGAGAAGTTTCTCTTTCACTTCTCTCTAGAATTTTCTTTTCTAAGAGGTTGTATGACCACTATATATAGTGAGGAAGGAGCAAAGCCCCTGCCCTGTGGATGTGCTCTGTCCTCTGCTGGGATCCTATTCTCCACACTTTCAGGCAGAGAGCTTTTTGTTATCCCAGACCCCATTCTGCTCACTAACTTTATGGTCCAATCTAATTTATTCTCTAGATTCTTCTAATCACAATTACAAAACATCCTCAGAGCCGTTTGCTTTCTGTTCCTTAACTTCCACTCTCTGCCAGTTAAGGAAATGTGAGATTGCTCCTCTTATCTGACCAAATCACATGGGACCTATCTGTGAGGACGTTCCAAATCCATGTTCCTGGCCCTAGGAGATTTGGGGAGATTTTTAGGTTTCCTAGATGATCAGGTATGAACACACAATAAGTCTTATCTATTCTTTGATTCCTGACATCCTTTCTTTTCATCGTTCCATACTGTGGCTAATTTTGAGACGAAAGAACTGCTTTCCCAGATCTCATTAGTGTCTAGCCCTTTGGTTTCCTCCTCAGACTTTCCCCTTTTTTCACTGCAAAATTTTCATTTAGTTTGGACAAAGGGGAAAAGAAGGATGGGAAAAAATAGTCCCACTTCCTAAAAGATCACTCAAAATCCTTACTTGGCTTATGCTATGGTCTGAATGTATGTGTCCCCCAAAATTCATATGTTGAAACTTAAACCCCAATGTGATAATATTAAGAGGTGTGGCCTTTGGGAGTGATTGGGTCCTATGGGCTGTGGCCCTATGAATGGGATTAATGTCTTTGTAAAAGAGGCCTGAGGGAGCTTGTGAGGCCTTCCTTGCTACCATGTGAGGATACAGACTTGGTTATAGCAGCCCAAATAGACTGAGGTAGCTTACCACTAGATCCTAATATTTGAAGTTATAAACTAAGAATTGTTACATCTTTACTCTCTGATTATACTTTCTCCCCATTCAGGAAAACTTCATATATTGTCATTCCTTTTTTTTTCTTCTTTTTTGAGACAGAGTTTCATTCTTGTCACCCAGGCTGGAATGCAATGGCATGATCTTGGCTCACTGCAACCTCCACCTCCCAGGTTCAAGTGATTCTCCTGCCTCAGCCTCTCGAGTAGCTGGGATTACGGGTATGTGCCACCACACCTAGCTAATTTTGTATTTTTAGTAGAGCTGGTTTTCACCATGTTAATCAGGCTGGTCTCGAAATCCTGACCTCAAGTGATCTACCTGCCTTGCCCTCCCAAAGTGCTGGTATTACAGGTGTTAGCCACCTTGCCTGGCCTCATGTATTGTCATTTCAATAAAAATAAATGTGGAAAAATATTTCATTTCAATGAAAGTAAATATGAAAATTTAAATAAAATACAAATGAGAAAAATACATTATAGTTAATTAACCAAAACATTCAAAACAGTCTCTCCCACTCTCCCTCTCACTGTGTGTATGTGTGCTTGTGTGTGTGTGTGTGTGTGACAGAGAGAGAGAGACTGGGTATAAATTATGGTAGGTACTAACGAGAGAGATTTTTTTTAAATGAAAATAGAGACAAACAGAATTAATTACAAAGTTTAAAATATTAGCTTTTAAGGTATTCTCAGTGTAAGATTGAATATATGTGTGATCTTGGTTATGTTTGGTTGGTGGAAATACAATGTAAGAAATTAGTAGATATGCATAAACAATTTTTGTTAATAGAAAGTTATGTTTCTATCAACAATATATATGGAGACTCTGGTCGGGAAAATATATAGATTCATGTGGCTACAAGAAAAAGGGAGAATCTGCTGCTGAGTTTGGGAGACAATTTATCTAAAGGATATATTCGATAGAAGAGTTTGAATTTTGAATCAAAAAGAAATTCAATGAATCTGAGAATTAAAATTCAGAACCTTATTTTGAAATTGAGATGTGCCTTTTGTTTTTAATTTGGATATGATAAGACCTAGTTCAATAAACCAAACATGTATTTATCCACATTTTTTCACCTCTCATGCTTGTTGGCATTGCTGTTTAGAAGTAAGTCCAGAATAGAAAATGTCTGCGCACATGCCAGTGTTGGCATTTCAGTGAGTCTGGTTTGGTGATGATTTTGTGCCTCTGCTTATTTGTTTTACCTGCTCCTTTCCACTGCAAAAGAGGTCTGATTCCACGCAAAGAGGACTGGATGGGGGCTCAATCAAATTTGTTTTCTTGCTGATGGTTATACGATCACAGGAGTATTGACGAGTTATGCACTATGAGTTTTCACTTCAGTTTTTGTTCACAGTTCGTGAGACTGCAGGGAGAATGTTTTGTACTCTAACCTGAAATGAGAAATGAAGACTGTGAACTGCTGAAGAATATTAATTAGACAGATAAAGCTTAAATTCAGCAGTTTGATGAGCTAAAACTTGATAACTACACACAAAAGTGGAAGGCTGAAAAAAAAATTCACAGCTTTCTGAAGTACATGGAAAAACAATCAAGAGAAATTTAAATGCATAAATATAAAATTTCCCAGAAGAAAATCATTCTTTTACATCAAAATTGTCAGTGTTAGTGGGCTATTTGAATTGTTAAATCTAGAGTATATTTTCAAAGTACAATTTCTGATTCTAGGAGAAAAGGAGTCATTTAAAAAAAAGAGTTGGCCATTTGTGAAAAACAAAATTAATAGTTGAAGGAAAAAAGACATAGTTACCTTTTAAACATAAAATCTGAGGCTTTTAATTCTTAAGTAAATTTAATTTTTAAGGACTTTAATATGACATTCCAAGTTTTGATACAAAATTGTTACTTTTCTGGAAAAATAATTTTGCTTTATAAATTATTATTACTCATCCATTTGTTCATTAAATAATCAGTAAGCAGCTGCCAGACAAGGTGCTAGGGCCTTTTTCACAAGATGAATGAACTCAAGTTACTCAGAGACAAGAATGAAGAGACATATTATTAAAATTTTAACACAATGTGAAAATTGCTTTAATTATTCAATTTAAAGTATTTTTGAGTGCTTACTTAGCTTCAAGCTTTACATCATGAGTGGGGATAGAGTTTCATATATAGATATATATGAGAGAGGCTGGGAGCGGTGGCTCACGCCTATAATCCCAGCACTTTGGGAGGCCGAAGTGGGCAGATTACTTGAGGTCAGGAGATCGAGACCATCCTGGCTAACATGGTGAAACCCCGTCTCTACTAAAAATACAAAAAATGAGCCGGGCATGGTGGCAGGCGCCTGTAGTCCCAGCTACTCGGGAGGCTGAGGCAGGAGAATGGAGTGAACCCGGGAGGCAGAGGTTGCAGTGAGCAGAGATCAGGCCACTGCACTCCAGCCTGGGCGACAGACTGAGGCTCTGTCCCAAAAACAAACTAACAAACAAAAATTAGCCAGGTGTCGTAGCATGCGCCTGTAATTGCAGTTCCTTGGGAGGGTGAGACAGAAGAATCGCTTGAACCCAGGAGACAGAGATTGCAGTGAGCTGAGATCGCGCCACTGCACTCCAGCCTGGGCAACAGAGTGAGAGTCTGTCTCAACTGAAAAAAAAAAAAAAGAGAGAGAGATGTGAGAGATAGAGTGAAGGAGAGATGTATAAACAATGAAATTATGTAAATCCTATACAAAAATGAGGCAGACAAGTGGGAAGGACTCCCCATAAAAACTCCAGCTGGCCTTGGGCACTGGGGTGGAAACTCAGGAAGTTCCTGTGGGTTTTGCAGCAGGGAGGAGCTTAGCCCCTCCTCTTCCTGTGTGGAACCTGGGATTCAAACTGCGAGGCGGGAAGCGCACCAGCAGGGACTCTGCCTTTGTGGAGAGTCTGTGTTTCCCCCCTTTTCCATTTTTTTCACTCCTCAAATCGTCCGCTAGCCTAAATTTTCGTAGCTGTGTGATAAGGACCTCATCTTGAGCTGAACTAATGAAAAGTCCTGTAACAAAAAGACATTTTATGTTTTACAAAGTGATCAAAAAGAGGTGGCTGGGTCTTTTTGAAAGCATCAGAATATGCTTTCTAAAGAAAGTCAACATTATGCTTCAAAAAGGTGGTACAAAATGTGCCTTATCAACTGATATGGAGTAACCAGGAGTGTACCTCACAGAAGAGGTAAAGATTGAACAGATTATTGAAACAAAATAAGGAAACTGTCAGGAAAACAAAGAGGAGAGGATATTTTACAGAGAAACCAACATGTGCAAAAACAAGAAAGTGCAAATTAGCAGATGGCATTCCGGAAATTTTAAGTCATCTGGCACTGACCAAGGCAGCCTTAGAAGTTCCCCTGAACCTGACTCAACTTCAGACAAGTTTCTTCCTGACTCTAGGCCCTTGATCTCTCTTTTCTTAGAGCAGTTACTTTAGAAAAGTTAAAATTGTAAATTCTTTCGCTGCAGCTTAGAGATGTAAATCTTCTCTTGCAAGTTTTACAGACTAGGAATGTCTTTCTCCAGGTCCTGAGAGTCATCCTTTTGAAAAGTATACACCAAGAAAGATGGAGTGCCTTCATCCAGTCTCTATAGAAATGTAGGAGCTTAACTTAGATAAGCACGTATTAGCAAACACAGATGGCCGAATCATGTTTACCAACCTCCCTGCAAAGTTCTCTAGTACTTTGTCATTAAAAACTGTCCCATCTTTTGTTTCAGGGGAGTTAAATTTAGTCTCTCTCCCCTATTGCAATAGTCTTGCCTCCCTCTGCAATTGTCTTTGCCTGTCAACTCTGGCTGGTGTCTTTTTTTTTTTTAAGCACATGACAGGGAATTTGTAGAGATAGGTAATGTTAGGGTCACCCCAACCAGACTGTTCCCCCTCCCTTCCCATGGGTCTTACAATGCAGTCGTTTGTGACATCCGCACAGCTCCCCCAGGGCTAAAGACAAACCCCCCTTCACTGACCCCTCCAGTAACTAACCAGTCAGTTACAGGATGCGGTTGACATGTCTGTTCACCTTGCATAACAAAGCTGGCAAAAAACATCTCCAGGATGCGGTCAAGACACCTGCACACCCATCTCAGCTCCCCCACCCTGACCCTGTTCCTCGCCTTGTAAAGCCATGCAATGGTCTGAAAGCAGGGCTGCCTCCTCTGCTTTTATCAGGAGGTAGCCCGGCAGGACTGATAATAAATCAGCTTGCCTGAACTCAGCTGTCCTTCCAATTATCCCTTACAGGTAAAATCCAGAAAATGAAGGTTTTTGTATACCCTTAGGGAAAACGTTTTAAGCAGGGAAGAGGAAGACAAACTGATTTGGAATCCTAGGACTGGAGGAAAGCCAAATTATAATGGCAGTTTGTCTTATATTCCCCCACCAAACAGAAGAAGGCCACACAGGCCAAGTGTTTCCCAGCCCATAATCTAGCAAAAGAAGGTGGCTCAGAAAGGATTAAGTCTCCCTTGGATCAAATGCATGTCCCTCCAATAATACCAAGCAAGATTCCACCAGCAAGAGGAATCAATCAGGACCCAGTAAACATAGAGGGGCCAGTAGAAGCACTCTCCCACCAGGCTTATCCTGAAACCCCACTCCCACATCCAGGAATACCCAGGTAGCTGTGCACCAACCAGCAAGAGGGACCTCGCCATAACAGGTGGTGTGTAGACTAGCCCTATAAATATATTATAAAATACTCCTAGAACCAATAAGTGAGTTCACCAAGGCTGCAGGTTACAAGATCAACAGACAAAACTTAATCACAATTTGTATGCAAACAAGGAATATTTAGAAATTGAAATTAAAACTCAACTACCATTTGCAATCATTCCAAAGAAAATTTACTACTTAGATAGTAATATAACAAAACATGTACAGAATTGACGTGGTGAAAACTACAAAATGTTAATAAGGGAAATTTTTTAAAATCAAATACAGATAGATTAGAACATTCAACATAGTAAAGGTGCCAGTTCTCCCCAAATTGTTTTATATTAGTTTGGTGCAAAAGTAATTGCAGTTTTTACCATTGAAAGTAATGCTGTTTAAAAAAAAACACAATTACTATTGCACCAACAGGTGTAAGCTACTATAAATATTGATATGCAGGTTTTTGCGTAAACATAAGTTTTTAGTTGGGCAAACACCTAAAAGTAGAGTGGCTGGTTTGATAGCGAGTGTATAATGAACTGTCAAATAGTTCAAATGGGCTGTACTATTTCCTAACACCTGTGTTTGAATGTTCCAGTTTGTCTGCATTCTTGCTAGCACTTGGTATTTTGAGTATTTCTTAGCCACTCTAAGAGATTTGTTGTGGTATCTAGTTGAGTTTAATTTGCATTTCACTAATGACTAATGATACTGAGTATCTTTGATAAGTATATTTGACATTTATGTATATTCTTCGGTGGAATGTCTGCTGAAATATTTTGCCTAGTTTGTATTGTTTTTTGTATATTTTACTGAATTTTAAGAGTTCTCAATATATGCCAAATGCAAGTCAGAGAGAGTTCATAAAGACAATAGAACTATTTAATGAAAAGGTGGTAGCCATATAGATAGCATTGTAAAACTGCAAATGAGGATTTTTATATAATAGAAATTGAAACTGGGGAAACAGTGTTATGTTTTGTTGTTATGTTTCATTTTTTTTTTTTTTTTTGGACATGGTCTTGCTCTGTCACCTAGGCTGGAGAGCAGTGGTGTGATCATGGCTCAGCCTCCTGAGTAGCAGGGATTATAGGCTTGCACCACGACACTCCCTAATGGTTTTTAATGTATTTATTAAGATGGAGTCTCATTATGCTGCCCAAGCTGGTCTCGAACTCCTAGCCTCAAGCAATCCTCCCCGGTCAGCTTGTTTTTAACATTGTTTTAGAGTGTCAATACTCTGAGTTTAAAAACTAGTATTTTAATGGAAAACATAACTCATCTGTCCTTATACTTTTGCCTTATTAAATCTTCATAGTTAAATATATCTTATTTTCAGAACTTGAGATAATTAAATAATATTTATATAATTTAATCATATTGACAACTAGGAGAAGTTTCTTTAGGCTAAGTAAACTTGTGTGCTTATGACCGGAAGGCAGGGAAGTGGTCTGAGCATCAATTTGAAGCGTTATCGATACGGTTTTTTCTTTTGTAAAATGGGAATGATAATAGTAATGTCTACCTCATACAGTGGTTTGGGAAGTTAAATACGATAAACCAGGTTAAATATTTAGGGCAGTGACTACCATTCTTATTCAATACATAATTGTTATTATGATTATTTTACAATCTTTAAAATACTTCAGTGGTTTTGCAAATCTCCACTTCACTCTATCTGTATAAAGATCCATACTCCTTTTTTTACACAAAATAGGAAATAAAGGATACAATTTTTTTTAAAATGATTTGAAAGAAAGCTGACTTTCATTAGAGTGTGTCTGAAGCAGTGTTGTTATTGTGTGATCCCATATCAGAAGCATCTGTACCTGATACTTTGTTTCTATTTGTCTTTCAGCAAGCAAGGAAAACAGAAAGTGCCCACTGTGATTTTCTATTTTTCTAAGCCTTCTCAAGCAATTATTATCATCAATTTTCATCTAGCATTTTATCTTCTGTCTGGTTCACTTCTTTGTTTCTCAGGAGCACAAGTCTTTACGAAACTACGTGGGTAGCCACTTCCTTTTCCCTTTGAAATGGATACTTCTCCTGGCATTTTAATTTTGGCTCAAGTATAAGAGTTATCAAGACTCTCAGAATTAATAATGTAAACAAATTCTGTCAGAGAACATTTGAATTGGACGGTTCTGAAAGGGAAAACTGCATAGTTTAAAGTGACTTCCTCTATCACATTGTAAGATATTTCCTTTCTTCCTTTCTTTAATAAAAGAACCATTTAATTACTCCTATATGTCTTAGCCATGGAGGCATGGCTATATGACAAGAGGCAGATGGTCATGACATTTTAAATATTTTTAATATAAACTTTGTTTTTTAAAACCGTTTTAATTTACAGAAAAAAAAAATGCAAAGATAGCACAGAGTTTCATGTATCTCCATACCCACTTTCTCCTATTAGAAACATCTTACATTATATAATACATGTTTCACAATGAAAGAACCAATATTAACACCTCGTTATTAAATCCATGCCTTTTGTCAGATTTCCTTAATTTTTTGCTAATGTCTGTTTGTGATTCCAAGGTCCCATCCAGGACACCACATCACAATTAGTCATGTCTTTTTCAGCTTCTTTGGCTATTGCAGTTTTGCCCTTTCCTTGTTTTTAATGACTTTGACAATCTTGAGGAGTACTGGGAAGGTATTTTGTTGAATGTCCCTCAATTAGTGTTTGATGGTTAGAATAATTTATACATATTTGGAAGGCCACAAAGGGAAAGTGCCTTTTATCATATCAAGGCAACTGCTATCGACATTCCTTGTCACAGTTAATGTTGGCCTTCATCATCGGGCTTAGGTAGATTTGTCCATTTCTCTAATGTAAAGTTACTTTTTCCATTGTCCACACTGTAGCCTTTGAAAGGGTGTCAACTTGCATAGCCCACATGGAAGAAGTGGAGAATTATGCTTCTCCAGACTCCTAACATACAATAGTCTTTTAATGGTCTTTTTACTGCCTTTCTAAAATCTCATATAACTGAAATGATATACCATGTAGCCTTTTCAGACTGGCTTTTTTCACCTACTATTATGCACTTCAGGTTCATCCATGTCTTTTCATTGCTTAATGGTTCATTTCTTTTTATCACTAAACAGTATCCATTGTATTGATATGTCGTAGTTTGTTTATTCATTAGCATACTGAAGGCTATCTTGTGACTTACACTTTCTGATGATTATGAATAAAGCTGCTATATACATTGACATGCAGGTTTTTGTGTAGACATAAGTTTTCAAGTCAGTTGCATTAATATTCAAGAGTATAATTTCTGGATGTTGAGGTAAGACTATCTCTAACTTTGTAAGAAACTCCCAAGCTGTCTTCCAAAACTAGCAGTGAATGAGAGTTCCTGTTGCACTGCATCCTTACCACATATTGGTATTGTCCAATTTTTTAAATTTTAACCTCTTTAACAAGTATGTAGCAGCATTTTGTCTTAATTTGCAATTTCCTAAAGACAAATGTTTTGATAAAATTTTCCTATGCTTATTTGCTATCTGTACATGTTCTTTGATGACATGTCTGTCAGATCTTTTGCTCATTTTTTAATTGAGTTGTCTGTACTATTATTGTTGAGTGTTAGGTATGATTTACAATAAAGTAATTTCTTTTGTATTTTTGCATATTTCCCTCAGTCTGTGACTACTCTGTTCATTCTCTTAACAGTGTCTTCTATCCTGAAAATGAAGACAACTGCCTTCTTCTCACAGAAGATTGAGCTCAAAGAATTCATGAAGACAGAGAAGCTGAGAAGAAGTGGCCTTGGGAAGAATGACTTCTTGCAGAGCTGCAGTTCTAGCCTGTTATCCCCTTAAAGAAGCACTTGTCAAGCAGAGTGTGAGAACTTAGACACAGCAACCAGTAGTAGTGAAACATCAAGTGACCATGCCTGGAGGTAGGCATATAAATACAGTTATATCCCACCCAGTGGACTAGGCTTGTGTGTTTAGGGAGTATACACAAGAAATGGTTCTTCTTTTCCCTTTCTTATGTTGTTGCTGAATACTTCATGCACAAGGAAAAAAATCATATCCCAAAGAGAAAGTGATCGGCTTGTTCAGATTTTGTTGTTGTTCTTCCCTGTTATCTGATTAATGAAAGGAAGTATGTGTGGTGGAAAATATTTTTTAAAGATATATATGTGTGTGTGTATATATATATATATATATATATATATATATATATACATATAATGCACAGTATATAGGGGATGATGCACAGGTAGGAGCTGGCAGTGCAGAGAGGAGACATTGATCTGAAGAAACAGCTCCTAACAGCTTATGGGGCACTCACCCTGTGCTCAAGCAATCATTGTCAATGACAAAGTGGCCATTTAAGTTATAATTGTATTAAATTAGGCCAAGCACGGTGGCTCATGACTGTAATCCCAGCACTTTGGGAGTCCGAGGTGGGTGGATCAGGATGTCAGGAGTTGGAGATCAGCCTGGCCAACATGGTGAAATCCCGTCTATACTAAAAATACAAAAATTAGCCAGGTGTGGTGGCGCAGACCTGTAATCCCAGTTACAAGGGGAGGCTGAGCCAGGAGAATCACCTGAACTCGGGAAGTGGAGGTTGCAGTGAGCCGAGATCGCACCACTGCACTCCAGCCTAGGCAACAGAGTGAGACTGCATCTCAAAAAAATAATAATAATTAATTAATGCTAATAATTTGTATGTTTTATTTGGAGAGCTTGAGTAACTTTAACTCCTAACTAAGCATATGTGTTTCCTTGGTTTTGGTTTCGTGTCTTTTTTCTTTTGGGTTGATGTGTAACATGTTTGAGTATAGGAAATAGTGGGTTATTCTTTTGGCTTTGCTATTCACGGTGAATTATAAAATATAAATTTTTGTGAGATTTCGAAGATTATATTTCAAAGATTATATTAAAAGATAACATTGCTTACAGATTTAAAAGATGTGATTATCACAAGAATGTGATAGTGGGGGGATAAAATAACTAACAGAATAAATATTTTTTAGGATAAAAATATTTATTTTATAAAAATAAAATAAAAATGGTTTCAAATATTTCAAATGGTAACTTTCTCTACCCACTGTCACAGCCGTGAGGGTCTCTCTCTTACCTCTTCACAATGATAAGTTGGTGGGGTTCCTAGAAGTAAAAACCCACCAAAGTATGGAAGCCTCCATAAATGGTACCTCTGAGTTTCTTATGCTCGTGCTGATTGAAACTCAGCCTCATCAAAAAGCTTCAGCAGTTCAGAAGAATTACCTTATAAATGTTACTACCAGTTTATGGCTTTGGAAACTTCTGCTCCAAATAAGCAGACTCCAGTTATGACCCTCTGTATTTGCCTGTCTCCAGATTTCAGGATGATGATTTGCTCTATGACTTCAGTTCTCTAATGGGTCCAATAAAATTCATTGATTTCAGTTTGCTCAGCTTTTTTCTCTTGTTGAAAGAGTGTATGTAACATTCAAGTTGATAAGCTATTGTCATCAACACAGTTTTTAAAAATTGTATTTTGTTTACAACTTGTTTATTAAGACTTTATAGTGACAGTTACATTATGCTTATTAATGTTCCTGGTGACAGACCTTTATTTGAATTTTATATATGATTTAAACTTGTCTTCATATTGGAAATATTTAAGGAATTTTGATACTTATATTCACTTCCATCAAACCAAGATCCCAAAGGTTAAAAAGAATCATTAACTAATTTAGTAGTTGGAGACTCAATAGAGTGATTTCAATTGAGTTTGAACTTTAAATTAATTGTTATAATACCTGATAAGTCTGGCTTCCTAAAGTATCATTTCTTTATCTTATCATTCCACATTTTGAACTACATACGAAAATAAAAGTCATTTGAAAATTTACCTATAGCTTGGAAGAAATTTTGAAATTTAACCACACATGTATGTGTGTATACATGTGCACACACACACAACTTATTCCCACAGGTATTTCCTGTAGCAGTTAATAATACACCTTCCATATATTACATATTTAGTAAAGCTTTTAAAAATGATTCAATTTATGTAAAACATACAAAGAAAGCATATTAATCTTTTACTGAGACGGGAAACTGATGGATCAAAATATATGTGAGTTGACATTGTTAGCCACTATCCTTAAGGTGGATATCAGTTTAACATGGTAACATATTCCTGTTCACTTTTTGGATAATAGGCAGTAGGCTTTTGTGCGTCCATCTGGAAATTGGTTGTTGGGGACCATTCAATGATCTGGTTTTGGCCAAAATGCCCATATGGGTTTGTCAGATAATATTATAATTCTTTGGCACCATGCATAAAGAGTAGTCCAGCAACAGGAAATGAAATTCATTTTCTCACTGATGTTGGTTGAGTACAGAGGCCAGTTTGTCCTACATGTGTGCGTAATGTCACATGCCTTTTTAAGAAGACTTCACTTGGGGCCACCAGAAGCCACTCTAAGTGGGCCAGAGGTGATTTTCATATTATAGCTTTTATTTCTCTTGTTGAAAAATTGTATGTAACATTTGAGTTGATTGACTGTTTTCATAAATACAGGTTTTTAAAAACGTGTTTGTTTACATCTTGTTTATAAATTTTGTTTATACTCATCTTGTTTATACTTTCTGGTGACAATTCCATTGTGCTTATTATTCTAGTTTTCTTACTGTAGAACCAAAGACTGGCATAGTATAATATTCTCTTTGAACTTCTTCAAAGATGTAGTCTCTGAGTGTTGTGGGTTAGAGATCTTGGTGAGAACTACCCATTGGTGTAATGATCAATCGACATTTTCTTTTGCTTTGATGATGTCCCTTTTTGAACTGATATCCACCTTGATAATAGTCAACTTCTTAGGAACCATTAGAGTTATTAAAATACTTTTAATCTGCTAACCATTCTAAATTATGGATAATGTAAGATAATTACATTATCTTACTGCAAAGATACTTACATTAAGCATCTTTATTTTCTCTGAAGCTTTTCGAAATCATGAACCATCCCAAAACATTTCTATTATTAGTGTATATAAACCTTCTTTCCTTTATTCATCCAGCAAGCTATGGGAATGGAAACAATTATGTTATCTAAGAATATTTTCATTTCTGGAAAGGGGTCAAAATGGTGAGTTAAAATTTGTTCCAGTGTTTTCTGCCTGATATTTTCTGGTTTCATTCTTAGGATATGACCTACAAACAAATCAAGATTAAATCTGGATTTCTGGGCATGCTTTAATTAATTTATTAGCGTGTTTTAATAAATTTACTAGATATTCAGGAAGCAGTGGTTAGGGGGCCATGAGCTTCCCTCTTCTAATGGAAGAAGATTAATAGTATTTAAAGTATTACAGTGATGAACAGAAACATGGAAAGAAGAAAGTAATTCAATTTTAGAAAGTAAGCCTACTTTCTTAGGAAATATTGCATACTTTTAATGGGCAGCAAAGACTGGCAAAATAGGGAACCATTAAGTTTAAGGTAGAAAGTAAAACTGTTAGTAGAAGCCTCCATCAAGTTTCAACTTCTGCTTTCAGCTTAGGAAAGTAGGATTTTGACATTGGGTTAGTAGAAAAATAGTTGCATGATACTGGTTTGTTGAGATGGAAGAGATATTTGACTTGTTCAGATCTTTTATGTATGAATAGGTAACATGATTCATGATGACGCAGGCTCATAATGAGAGGTTGTTGAAGGGCTAATTTTTAAAGCATGAAATGCCTATATATGCATAAATTCTCAGATAAGAGATTTGATTAACAAAGATTTGGTTAAGTGATACAGTATTGTGTCAATTTCTGAAAGTCAACGTGGCAGACAGAATAAGAAAATGACTCCTAAAATGCCCAGATGTGCATGTTCTTGTATAACCCTCTCCCTTGAATATAAGTAGGATCTTTGAATATGATAAATGTCACTTGAGTGATTGGATTATGTAACACAGAAAAGGTGAAAGGGTTTTGCCGCTGTAACTGAGATCTCTAATTAGTTGACTTTGACTCAAAAGGGACATTATTCTGGATGGGCACTGACTTAATCAGGTGAAAGCCATAAAAGCAAAAGAATCTCTAGCTAGCCTTAAAGAGAAACAGCTGTATTGAAAGCTGCCAGTAAAGAGGGGGAGCCTCTAAAAGGAGAGGACCTTGATGCTACAACCACAAGTAACTAAATTCTACCAACATTAATGAGCTTGGAAGAGAACTTTGAGCTCCAGAAGAGAACTGCAACGTGGCTAATGCCTTGATTTCGGCTTGTGAGACCCTGAACAAAGGACCTAGTTAAGCCTTACCCAAACTCCTCATCCACAGAAACTGTGGTGTGATAAATGTGTGTTGCTTTTTGCGCCTAACTCTGTGCTAATTTAATATCTAGCCACAGAAAATGAATACATTTGGAAACCCATTGTTGGCTATAGTGAATGAGACCCAAAGAATCATCTCTAAAATCTCCTGGTTACTAACTAGAAAAATTCTGAATGGTTATGATCTTTCAGAAAAGAGAAATTTACCTCCTTGGGATATATTATGCTTCAGATGATACACTTTACTTTGAGAAAAAATTTTAGTCCCCATCAGAAAGTTTATAGACTATTAGAGATAAAACAAGTAATTAGATGGATGGAGTCAGTCCTAGAGCTCAGCTAAACTTTAGAATGCCACAAAGTATGGTAGAATATAGGGAAATGTAAGTTCCTTGAGGCCCTGGTTAAAGACTTTTAAAAATTAAGACAATATCTCAATAAGCCCTAAGTCATAATTACCAGTGTACGTTATCGAATTTCTCAGAAGAAAGCAAACATATGACTCTGAATTAAACAGATTCTAAAGGAACAGAAAACAGATTTACAGCTGTAAAATATGCAATTTCATTATGCACCAAAGACAAAATAATATTTGAATTTGTTACTACAGAGAAGTGGGAGATCATTATTCAATTTATACTCCTGAGATTCTGAACAAATTTATATCACTGCCCTGTGTTTTTTTTTCTTTTTCTTTTTTTTAAATTTAGAGAAGTACTACAAGGAATAGTACAAAGTTTCATGATTCATTTCTCAATTAGGTTTTCATCTATTGATTTTAGTGCTTTGTTAGGCCTTGGTTTTAGAGGGTATGGGGCAAGTTTGGGCAGATATTTGGAGGGTTTAGTCTGAAACTGATAGGTTCAGCCTAAACAGTATTACAAAATCAGTTTAATCTATGCCCAGAAGTATGACTACTTCTTTGACCTTCAATTTGTGTAAAGAGTACAGGTAAGGCAAGGTTTAAATAGCTATAACCTGCTTGTGATCGAGGGCGTCCTCAGGAAATGTGCAGGAACAGGCCATCAGGAGAGCTTTTATTTTATAGGAGATACTCACACCACCCCATTTGGTTAGTGGATGTGATGTCACAAAGGAGGAAAGAATGTTTCTCAATTAAGAGTCTGAGGGCGACAGTTATGCACTGGGGCATGCAAAGTGTTTGAGGTTTATTAGCGGTACCCGGCACCTGATAGTTATTCAGTCCCAGGGAGAAGTTAGGTAACAATGTCAAGATGTATGACAGATGTCACAGGGCCTATCAATCAAAATGTTGAGGTTTTTTTCTTTAATAATTAGAGAACTTTGCCTTTATGCAATGAAGGGACATTGAGCGATTTATTCCCCCTTGCAGAAACTTCAATAATTATCCCATTTGTATTTGTTCCCTTTTGTTTCCTAGCTGTAAGAGTGAAATTATTTTTCCTATACTCTTTCAGTTTAAAGTGTACAAAACCGTCTTTTTCAAGAGTACTCTAGGGTTTAACAACTATAGTGTTTTTACTTGAATCCCAAAGTAAACAGCATCTTTTTGAAATTCTCAACGTATAGACCATTGTTGCAGCTGTTTTTTTCATTTATTTTTAATTTTTTAATGATTAAATCCTTAAAGAAGAGTTGCAAAGCTTGTAGAGTTTTCATATATGCTTCATCTAGCTTCCCCTAATGTTAACATCTTGAATAACCATGATACATTTATTAAAAGTAAAAAATTACCATTGGTATAATACTATTAACTAAGTTACAGACTTCATTAGGATTTGCCTGTATTTTCCCCTAATTTTTTTTTCATTTCCAGGATCCAGTCCAGGTTACCACATTACTAAGTCATCGTATCCCCTTAGTTTCCTCCAGTTTGTGACAGTTTGTCAGTTTTTCCTTGTTGTTCATTACCAATATACTTTGGAAGGTATTTTGTAGAATGGCCCTTGATATGGGTTTCTGTGGTTCTCACAGTGCAACTGAGGTATGGATTTTGTGAAGAATATCATTTAAAGCCTTTTTCTAATATGTCAGGGAAACTTGATATCAACATGATTTGTTATTGGAGATGGCTTACTTTGACACCATGGCTAAGTTAGCGACTGATAGATTTCTCCACTGGAAAGCTGCCTTTTGTCTCTTTTCCTGCTCTATTCATTAGAAGCTTCTTAACAAATCTAACCCACCCTCAAGCTCCACCATGGAGAGAGGAGTATCAGAGAATTTACAGGCATATGTTTCAACTACCATAGTACTTAATAAATATTTTGGGGAGATATTTTCAGACCTGTTGACTTGTTATTTCTGCCATTCTTCTACATTCACCATTTGTAAAGAAGCTTTTCCCTTTCTTCATCAATTAATTTATTTGATTATTTATAACAGTATGGGCACGTGTTTATTTGATCTAATGGATGTAATTCAATAATGACATTGTTTATTTTGTTACTCAAGTTGTTCTAGGGTTGTCTTGGGAGATTTTTTGAGGTTTCAGGATAACTCTTGGATCACTTTGACATGCCCTATGTATTTATCTGTATGTTTATGTATTTATCAGCCCTTGCTTGCTTTCTAGCACCAGAGGATGCTCCAGAATCATTTGTATTTTTCCTGCCCAAGCCCCATATTTTCTCCAAATATGACCAAAGAAATCAGTCATTTCTCTAAATATGATTGCAGAATCATATTTAGAATCCATGATATAAACAACAGTGGTGCTCATTGCTATAGAACTATCATTGCTTGTTTACTTTTTCTGGAAAGAGAGAGAAAGTTATATGTACATATGCACACGTTTATATGTATTTCTGTATTTACTTATATTTATGCATATTAAAAGAAACAAGAACTCAATCTTTTATTTCCAATTGTAACTCATGGCCACAGTGGTCATTCTAGCCTCTCCCACTTGCTCATTTGTAATTTCCTTTTTCGATATAAAGAATTTGGTTCCCATTCCATTCCATGTAGTGAACTGTCTACATTTTGTTTACTTACTTGTACAACTTTAGGAGTTGTAGTTCCAGAATGGCTAAATTTACCCTGTGAGATCAAAATTACCAGCTAAAATAAAGTGCTTATGTAAAGTTCTTTCTGCCTTTAATTTTATGGTCTAGTCAAAACATTGTTCCCAACGTTATTGTGAGCTCTTTCTTGTTTCTCTCACACACTTCAGTGAGATTAAACCCTGTACTTAGATTTATTTGGCACAGTCTTCATTTCATCCTTGGATTTCCAAAAGCTTAGTTTTTATTTTAATATGAGTACATTTAATGCACTATTTTGTATGGTTTCTGAAATTTTGAAAAATGCGTAGTGTCATTTGTACATCACTGCAGAACCATATAAAACAGTTGCCTCATTCTAAATTTCCATTGTGTGCTCTCCAGTGATCAAAACTAAATGTCCTGATCAACAACTGATTTTTTTTTCTCATTTAGCAAAATGTCATGTAAATGAAATTATACAGTATACAGCCCTTTGGGTCTTGCTGCTTTCATTTGGCAAAATGAAATCAAGATTTCTTCATATTGTTGTATGAATCAACAGTTTCTTTTTAGTGCTGAGTAATGTTTCTTTGTATAGGTACTTTGCAGCATGTTAATCTACTCATATGTTAAAGGGAATCCTGGTTATTTTTGCTTTGTGGTGATTATAAAGCTTTTAGAAAAATTTGCATACAGGTTTCAGGTTTTGTGCACACAGACTTTTACTAATTTACCTAGGTTAAAAACTAAACAATGGGGCCGGGCGCGGTGGCTCACACTTGTAATCCCAGCAATTTGGGAGGCCGAGGCAGGCAGATCACAAGGTCAGGAGATCGAGACCATCCTGGCTAACACGGTGAAACCCCGTCTCTACTAAAAATACAAAAAAGTAGCCGGGCGTGGTGGTGGGCGCCTGTAGTCCCAGCTACTCTGGAGGCTGAGGCAGGAGAATGGCGTGAACCCGGGAGGCGGAGCTTGCAGTGAGCCGAGATCGCACCACTGCACTCCAGCCTGGGCAACAGTGTGAGACTCCGTCTCAAAAACAAAAAACAAAAAACAAAAAGAAAAACCAAACATGGTATTGTTGGTTCACACGGTGAATATATATTTAACGTCGTAAGAAACTGTCAGTTTCCAAAGTGGCTGTACATACCATTTTGCAGTCCCAACAGCAATGAAGGAGAGTTTCTGTTTCCTGCATCCTCACAAGCATTTGCTATTATCAATTTTTGTATGTTTGTTTTGTTTTGTTTTCGCCATTCTGATATGTGTGTAGAGGTAACTCAATATGGTTTTGATTGTCATCTGTTTATTTTCTTTCTCAAAATGTTTGAGACCTTTCCCATCTTAGTTAGGTAGTTTGTTTTCTTGTGATTGTTAAATGTTCTCTACATTTCTAGATACAAGTTCTTTATCTCTAATGTAATTTGCAAATATTTTCTACCAGTCTGTTGTTTGTATTTTCACTTTCATTAGAATATATTTTGAAGAGCAAAATGTTTTAATTTTGATAAACTCTATTTATCAAACATAAATAGAAAAACTGTATTTATAAAACATATGGCTCATGCTTTTGCACTATACCTAAGAATTCATTGCTAAGGTCATGCAATCCTCCTTCTCCTAGAACTTTTATAGTTTATGTTTCTATTTGGGTCTATAATCCATTGTGAGTTTATTTTTATATTAGGCATGAAGTGTCTGCCGAGGTGTCATTTATTTATTTTGCATATGGAAGTTCAATTGCTTCAGTACCATTTGCTAAAAAGACTATGCCTTTTCTATTTCTATATTTGTGAAAAATCAGTTGGCTACATTTTGTGGGTCTATTTCTAAGATATTTATTCTGCTCCATTGATTTATGACTTGATCCTTTCATTAATATTGTAGTCTTGAATGCTGTAGCTTTATAACAGTACTATAATGTAGTAGTGTCAGATCCCCCTCACAATTTTTTTCTTTATAAAAATTGTTTGGTTAATCTGGTTCCTTTGCCTTTCCGTATACATTTTGAATCTGCTTGTCAATATTTACAGAAGTTAGTTGGGATTTTTGTTGGGATAAAAATCAGTTTGGTAAGAATTGACATCTCAAATATTAAGTGTTTCAAATACTTAACCCTGTGTAGCTTTCCATTTATTTAGATTGTCTTTTATTTTTTCCATCAGATTTATTTCCTTTTCAGCATACAGATTCTCCACACATTCTGTTATATTTAGTTACACCAAAGCATTTCATTTTAAGTACTATTATAAATTATATAACCCCCATACCAGCTACCTTAAGATTCTCTCTCTCTCTCTCTCTCTCGTGTGTGTGTGTGTGTGTGTGTGTGTGTGTGTGTGTGTGTGTTACTTTGGTTGCTCACTTGCTTGGCTTTCAACAGTTTGAATATGATATATGTAGATGTGTCTTTTTGGAATTTGTCCTGCTTGTTGTTCTCTCAGCTCTTTGGATCTGTGGATTGGTGTCTGTCACTAATTTCAGAAAATTCTTAGGCACATTTTTAAAAAATTTCTTCTGCTCATTATTTCTTCTCCCTTTGATATTCTAATTACACATGTGTTAGACCAGATGATATTGCCTCATAGCTTTTTGTTACTCTGCTCTCTTTTTTCCCACTCTTTTATCTCTTTACATTTTATTTGTGGCAATCTCTATTGACCAATCTAGAAATCCACTGATTATTTTCCTCAGGCTGGGTTGATTTTACAGGAATATCTCATTTTATTAGGCTTTGCTTTCTTAAACTTTGCCAATATTTCATTTTTTACAAATAGAAGATTTGTGATAACCATCTATTGAGCAAGTCTATCAGCATCATTTTTCCAAAAGTATGTGCTCAGTTCAAATCTCTGTGTCACATTTTTGTAATTCTTGCAATATTTCAAACCTTTTCATTATTATTATATCTGTTATGGCAACCTGTGATCAGTGATCTTTCATGTAACTGTTGTGATTGTTTTGGGGCACTACAAACCATATTAGATGGTAAACTTAACTGGTAAATGTGTGTTCTAACTACTCCACCAAGCAGCCATTTCCCTGTCTCTCTTCCTCTCTTCAAGCTTCCCTATTGCCTGAGACACAATATTGAAATGAGGCCAATTACTAACCCTATAATGGTCTCTGAGTGTGAGGGTAAAAGGAAGACCTACATGTCTCTCACTTTAAATCGAAAGCTAGAAATGATTAAGCTAAATAAGAAAGGCATGATGAAAGCCAAGATCAACCAAAAGCTAGGCCTTTTGCACCAAACACATAGCCAAATTGTGAATTCAAAGGAAAGGTTCTTGACGAAAATTAAAGTGCTGCTCCAAATAACACATAAGTAATAAGAAAACCAGCAGCATTATTGCTGACATGGAGAATATTTTTATCATCTGGATAGATCTAAACAGCCACAACATTCCCTTAAGCCAAAGCCAAATCCAGAAGAAGACCCTAACTCTTTTCAATTCTGTGAAGGCTGAGAGAGGTGAGGAAGATGGAGAAGAACAGTTTGAAGCTAGCAAAGGTTTATTCGTGAGATTCAAAGAAAGAAGCCATTTCCATAACATGAAAAGACAAGGTGAAGCATCAAGTACTGATGCAGAATCTACAGCAAGTTACCCAGAATATTTAGCTAAGATCACTGATGAAGGTGGCTACAGTAAACAACAGATTTTTAATGTAGACAAAATCCCTTGTATTAGAAAAGGATGCCATCTAAAACTTCAAAACACGAGAAGAGATGGCAATGCCTGGCTTAAACCTTTCAAGGATAGGATGAGTTACTTGATAGGAACTAACATACCTACTTATCTTAAGTTGAATCCAGTGCTCATTTACTATTCTGAAAATCCTAGGACCCTTATAGATACTAAATCTACTCTGTCTGTGCTCTATCAAAGGAACAAAACAACATGGATGACAGTACTTCTATTTATAGCATGTTTTACTTAATATTTCAAGCCCACTGTTGAAACCTACTGCTCAGAAAAAAAAATTCCATCAAAATATTAGTGTTCATTGACAACGCACTTAGTCCCCCAAGAGCTGTGATGGACATGTACAAGATTAATTTTGTTTTTTAGCCTGTTAACACAGTATCCACTCTGCAGCCCAAGGATCAATGAGGAATTTTGACTTTCAATTCCTGTTATGTAAGAAATACATTTCATAAGGCTACAGCCATCCATTGTGATTCCTCTGATCACAATGGATGGCTTTAGCCTTATGAAATGTATTTCTTTCAAAGTCAATTGAAAATCTTCTAGAAAAGATTCAGCATTTTAGATGTCATTAAGAACATTTGTCAAAATATCAATGCTAACCAGAGTTTAGAAGTTGATTCCAACCTTCATGGGTGACGTTAAAGAGTCTAAGACTTCAGTGGAAGAAGTAACTACAGATGTGGTGGAAATAGCAAGATAACAAGAATTAGAAGTGGAGCCTGAAGATGTGATTGAATTGATTAAATCTCATAATAAACCTTGAACGGATAAGGAATTTCTTCTTCTGGATGAACAAAGAAAGTGATTTCTTGAGATGAAATCTTTTCCCTGTGAAGATGCTGTGAACATTATTGAAATGACAAGGAATAATTTAGAATATTGCATAAACTTAATTGATAAAGCAGCAGCAGGATTTGAGATGATTGACTCCAGGTTGGAAAGAAGTTCTATTCTGGGTAAAATGTTATCAAACAGCATCATGCACTACAGAGAAATCTTTCATGAAATCAAGAGTAAATCAATGTGGCAAAGTTTATTGTTGTCTTGTTTTTTAACAAATTGCCACAGCCACCCCAACCTTCAGTAACTACCACCCTATTCTGTCAGCAGCCATCAACATTGAGGCAAGACCCTCCATTAGCAAAAAGATTATGACTTGCTTAAGACTCAAAAGATCAGTAGTATATTTTTAGCAATAAAGTATTTTCAAATTAAAGTATGTACAGTGTCCCTTTTAGACATATGCTATTGCATAATTAATACACTACAGTATAGTGTAAATATAACATTTATATGCACTGGGAAACAAAAAAAAGTTACTAACTTTATTGCAATATTCACTTTATTGTAGTGGTCTGGAACTGAACCTACAATATCTCCAAAGTTTGCCCATACTACCGAGACTGTCAAAGATGGGCTTCTTTATATCTGTTATGATATTTCCAATTTCTAGTAGTTCAATTTTTTTCTTATAGTTTCAATCTCTCTGCTAAATTTCTATCTAATCTTCCATATTTTCTACATTTTCCATTAGCCTTTAAAATATTAATTATAGTTATTTTTAATTATTGTAGTCTTAACATATGTATAATATTTGAGACTGGTTTTGATGATTATGTTTTCTCTGCAGGCTTTGTTTTTAAAAGGTAGTCCTGTTGTATAGGACAGTAGATACTACGGACTTATGCTTTTTTATGCTTGAAAATGAATATACCTTACCTGTTGCTAGGCCTTATTTTTTATGCTTAATCTAGTTGAGAGTTGAAATGGGTCGACACTTGTTGTTGGTGTTGTTACCTCAGCACACCAAAACCTTCAACTTCCTCTAGTGATAACCTATGTTCATAGCATTGACTAATTTACCAAAGGCTTTTTTCTGTATAAATGTTTCCTGACGGACTTTGTTCCCCCACTGACTTTAGATCTCCACTTTGTGCTGCTCACAAGAAAGGATTATTTCTCTCTTGCTGCTCTTCCAGCTATATCCCATTGTTATTTTCACAGGTATCTTGAAAGTATTTTGTTTGGGAGGAAATGAGGGGGAGTCATTCTCTGAAGTTTTCTTTGAGTTGTAGTCCTAGGCAGGTACTACAAAAATGAGTACCAGGTTAAAGCCTTCATAGATATCCCTGCCCCACCTCCAGACAAAATAATGGGCTAAATATTCTCCACTTCCCTAAGAAGTAATATTTTCTTCTTGTTTTCTTCCCAGAGTTGCTGGGGATTTCCATATGTGCCCTCAGGCCACAGGTTTTGATGACTTCTGCTTTGCCTGTGAGGGCTTGTTTTCATTAGCAGAGGTGGAGAAGATGAGACTAGGCCGAAGATGAGACTGACACTGGGCTGGGCAGTGTCACTCACTGCCCAGCCAGCACCATGAGGGAGGCTTTCTCAGTATTCTCAACAGTATTCCCTGTGAGTACCTGGTGTGGTTGCTAGAGGAAAATCTTGTAAGAGGGTGCAAACCTAACATTTGCCAGTGTCTTGTTGTGGCTTCCAATTTTCATGCTTAACTACACTCAGACATTAGTAATTAGTGAAAAACTTCTAATTGACTCCGCATATCAACTCAAATGACATTCAGCATCTTATGCCTCAGGTAAACAAATTCCTGGATCTTGTTCCTTCCTTAGAGCACATTTGTCACTCTGGATTTACTTTTTTTGCCCTACAACATTCATTGTCTTATGGTAAAAGTAATCAATTTTTAAGATGTTTTAAAAAACTGTTTTTTCTTATTGTGAAGGAGGGAGAAATACTATCCAGTTCTCTTTATCTCTTAAATGACATAAGAACCCAGAAGCTGCCTTTTATGTAAATGTCTAACCATTGTTGTTGAAATAAATATATTTTCCAATACTAGGTCTTAAATAAAGCCATTTTCTCTAGAAAGTCATCCTATTCACTAGCTGTGTGGAATAGTTAGGAGATTATAATAAATCATAGAGTAAATTAGGAAATAATGCTAAATTCTAAGCATCTGTTTCCATTTCTGCATGATTATTGTAATCAGCTTTAAGAATAGGATGCTTATAAATCAAAATAGTAACTCACCTTTTTATTAATTATATAACTCATAACAATAATTTCAAAAGAAATAAATTTGTTTAGATGGAACCAGCAATGGTAATTTTGCATATCAATTTTATTTTTCATATTTGGTATTGGGTTATTTGTCAACAGTGGTTCTCTGTATCATGATATTAGGCCATATAATAAATAAAGGTGTAAAATTAATAACACTATAATATTCACAGAGATTACCAACATAACCCAACCTGAATATTATATGTTCATACCAGAGGGGGAAATGTCATTGTAGGTTAAAATCATCAGCAAGACACTGAGAGATATTCCCACTGATTCCACCAGTGAATTAAATTTATATATATATACACAATAGATAGATAGATAGATAGATAGATAGATAGATAGATATAAATATCAGTTTATGTTTATCTGGGTCATTATATGGGTTATACTCAATGTGAACACATAGTAATCTAAATATGCTTATATTTCCCTTTTCTTACATAATTCAAAGTGCAAGAAATAGTCCTAAAACTACTAAACTTTGTCATTTCCATTCTCCAAGTTGACTAGCCCACAAGCTTATCTTAAAAGTCTAAGAGACACCACGGACACCATCAGGACTCGTTTGCCCCACCCAGAGGCCTGGAGACCCACTCACACATACCACTGCAGACACCACTGGTACCAGGCTATCCATGCCATGTGCCAATGAAATGGCACATCTGCCTCATTGTGAACACCTCTAGCATCCACGCACCCCATTTAGAGTTCTAGGAACTGGCCCATTCACCCCACTGTGAACACTGCTAATGCCATGTGCCCCATTCAGAGGCCTAGGGACTAGGATGCCTCCCCTACTGTGGACACAATTGGCACTCATGTGACCTTCTTAGGTGGCTGAAGACTGATCTGCCATTGCCACCACTGGTACCCATGGACCCCACTAGGACCTAAAGACTGGCCCATCCAGGGCAAGAAGTCACCAGTGCTGATGCCCCCTTCACATCACCTTGGTGCCTGAGGACTATCCTGCTACATTCCCCAATCCCCAGCAAACCCTCATTACAGCCTCCAAAAGCAGTCACAGCCTAAGCCACTTAGTAACTTGCAGACACCAATGACATTGATTATAGCAGAAGTAATCATATAGAGACTACACTGAAATGTTCATCTAGAATCGAAACCAAAGCACCCTACCCAACTAACAGAATGGATACAGGAACAACACTTTTCATATGGAAACTACTCCATAAAACTAGAAGAAGGGACAGCTACATCAGATGTACAGACATCAACATTAGAATACAAGAAACATGAAAAAACAAGGAAACAAGACAACTCCAAAGGATCACAATAGCTCTTTAGTAACAGGTCCCAAGAAAAGAAAATATGTAGGACACCTGAAAAGGAACTCAAAATAATAACCTTAAGGAAACTAGTGAGATACAGAAAATCACAGATAAATAATACAAATAAATAAGAAAAAAAATTCATCATCTGAGGAATAACTCAACAGAAATATAGATATCATTTAAAAGAACCAAACACACATTCTGGAACTAGAGAATTCAATGAATTATTTTTTAAAAAATCAAGACCTTTAATAATATACTAAACCAAGTAGAAGAAAGAATTCCTGAACTTGAATATATAAATATATTCTTTTGAAATAACACAGTCAGACAAAAAATAGGAAAAAAGAATAAGAAAGAAGGAAGAAAGCCTACATGTCATATGGAATAACATCAAACAAACAAATATATGATTTTTGGGAGCTCCAGAAGGAGAAAAGATGAAAAAGAGGCATAGAAAATCTATTCAATTAAATAATAACTAAAAACTTCCCAAGTTCTACAAAAAATATTGACATCCAGATAAAGAAAGCTCAAAGATCCCCAAATATTATAGATCCTACAACAAAAAGTATCCTCCCCAAGGCACATTTTAGTCAAACCATCCAAAGTCAAAGGCAAAGAAAGACTTCTAAAAATAGATAAAGTGTGAAGTCACATGGAATTCCCATAAGACTAACAGCAGATTTCTCAGCCAAAAACTCACAGGTCAGGAGAGAATGGAATGATATGTTCAAACTCTGAAACAACAAAACTATCAGTCAAGAATACTATTTCCAGCAAAGCTATACTTCAGAAATTTAAAAAAAAAAAAAAAATAAGTCTTTCCCAAACAAACAAAATGGAGATTTGTCAAAAAATGGACTGGCCTTAAAATAAATGCTTAAGGGAGTCCTATACCTGGATGCAGCAGGATAATATTAACCATCAGGAAAATACACTGAAGTGTGTAACTCACAAAAGAGCAGATGCACAAATGAGAAAGAGAAAGGAATCAAATGTTATCACTACAGAATGCCACCAAGCCACAAAGATAAGCAATAAGAGAAGAAAGGAAGAAAAGATATGCAAAATAATCAGAAAACAATTTACAAAATGACAGGAGTATCTTCTTATCTATCAGTAACAACCTAGAATGTAAACAGTTTAAATTTCTCAATTGAAAGATTTAGACTATTTAAATAAATTTTAAAAAGACAAGACTGAACTGTATGCTGCCTACAGAAACTCACTTCACTCTAAAGGCACACATAGCCTGAAAGTGAAGGGTGGGAAAAGATAATCCATGCAAATGGAAAACAAAAGCATACAGAAGTACCTATGCTTATATCATACAAAGTAGACTTTAAGTTAAAAATCATTTTTAAAAGATGCAAATAAGGTCATTATATAATGATAAAGGAATATATTCAGCAATTTCTAACAATTAGAAATATGTATGCACCAAACGGTAAAGTGCCCAGGTATCTAAAGCAAATATCATTAGAGATAAAGAGAGAGATAGATCACAAAAAAGTGGCAACTTTAACACCCCACTTTCAGCATTGGACATATTATTTAGACAAATTAAAAAAAAAAAAAAACTTAAACTACACTGTAGGCCAAATAGAACTAACAGACATTTGCAGAACATTTTATCCAAAAGCTGCAGAATACGCATTCTCATCAGCATATGAAACATTCTCCAGCATAGACCACATGTTGAGCCATACAACTAGTCTCAACAAATAAAAAAAGTAGAAATTATGTCAAGTACTTTTTCTGACCACAAGGGAATAACTAGAAATTGGTAATAAGAAGTACATTGGAAACTGTACTAATACATGGAAACTACATAACATGCTCCTGAATGAACACTGGGTCAATGAAAAAATTAAAAAGAAAATTTAAAAATTTCATGAAACAAATGAAAAATGGAAACAAAACATATTAAAATTTATGGGATGCAGCAAAAGCAGTACTAAGAGGTAAGTTTGGAACAATAAATGCCTACATCAAAACAGTAGAAAGACTCCAAATAAACAACTTAACTATGCACATCAAGGAACTAGAAAAGCAAGAAGAAACCAAACCTGAAATTAGCAGAAGAAAATAAATAATAAAGAGTGGAGAAGAACTAAATGAAATAGAGTCTCCAAAATAAAAAAAAGATCCACAAAATGAAAAGATGGGTTTTTGAAAAGAAAATGAAATTAACTATTAGCTAGATTAAGAAAAAAACAGATAATCCCCAAACAACTAAAATCAGAAACAAAAAAGACATTAGATCTAATACTACAGAGATACAAATGATCACTAGAGACTCTTATGAATATCTATACACAAATGAATTGGAAAACCTAGAGGAAATGGGCAAATTCCTGGAATATAACCTACTAATATTGAACCACCAAGAAATAGAAAACTTAAACAGACCAGTAGTAACTAGTAGGATTAAATCTGTAATAAAAAGCCTCTCAACAAAGAAAAGCCCAGCACTGAATGGCTTTGCTGCTGAATTCCACTAAACCTTTAAAGAAGAACTAATATCAGTTCTTCTCAAACTATTTAAAAAATTTCAAGAGGAAGGAATTCTTCCTGATTCATTCTATCATGCAAGTATTACCCACAAGCCAAAATCAGACAAAGATAAAACAAAAATTGAAAACACTATAGGCCAACATCCCTGATGACCATAAATGCAAACATCCTTTAAAATATACTAGCAAACCAAATCTAACAACAGATCAAAAAGATAATACACCATGATCAAGTGGGATTTATCTCAGGGATGCATGGTTGGTTCAACATAAGCAAAACAGTAAATATCATACACTGCATCGAAAGAGTAAAGGAAAAAACCTTATACTCATCTTAATAGATGCAGAAAAAGCATTTGGTAAAAGTCCCCATTGCTTCATAATTAAAAACTCTCAACAAACTCTGTATAGAAAGAACTTCACACAAAACAATAGAGAGCATTGTATTAGTCCATTCTCACACTGCTATAAAAAATAGCCAAGACTGGGTAATTTATAAAGGAAAGAGATTTAATTGACTCACAGTTTGGCATGGCTGGGAAGGCCTTAGGAAACTTACAATCATGGTAGAAGGAGAAGCAGGCATATCTTACATGGCGGCAGGCAAGAGAAGAGTGAGCAGAGGAACTTGCCAAACACTTATAAAAGCATCAGATCTCATGAGAACTCACTTTCATGAGAACAGCATGGGGGAACCACCCCCGTGATCCAATCACCTCCCACCAGGTTCTTCCCTCAACACCTAGGAATTACAATTCTAGATGAAATTTGGGTGGGGACACAAAGCCTAACCATACCAACCACGCATGACAAACCCACAGCGAACATCATACTACATGGGGAAGAACTGGAAGCCTTTCCTCTAAGATCTAGGAGAAGACAGGGATGCCCACTTTCATCACTTTTGTTTTACATATACTGGGAGTCAGCTAGAGCAATCAGGAAAAAGGAATAAATAAAGGACATGCACATGGGAAAGGAAGAAGTTAAGTTGTCCTTGTTTGGAGAAGAAATGATCTTACACTTAGAAAAACATAGACTTTACTTTAAAAAAAAAACTGTTAGAATAGATAAGCAAATTCAGTTTAGTTACAGGATACAAACTCAATGTACAAAAATCAGTAGCATTTCTATAAGTCAGTTTCGATTTACCTGAAAAAAAATCAAACAGTTCATTTTACAATAGTTACCAAATATCTAGAAATAAAAGTAACCAAAGAAATGAAATTTCTCTACAATAAAAAATATAAACCCCTGATGGGCTGGGCTTGATGGCTCACGCCTGTAATCCCAGCACTTTGGGAGGCTGAGGTGGGCAGATCATGAAGTCAGGAGATCGAGACATCCTGGCTAACACAGTGAAACCTGTCTCTACTAAAAATACAAAAAAAATTAGTCAGGTGTGGTGGCGGGTGCCTGTAGTCCCAGCTACCTGGGAGGCTGAGGCAGGAGAATGATGTGAACCCGGGAGGTGGAGCTTGCAGTGAGCTGAGATCATGCCACTGCACTCCAGTCTGGGTGAAAAAGCGAGTCTCTGTCTCAAAAAAAAAGCAAAAAACAAAAAACAAAAAAGCAAAAAAAAAACTATAAACCCCTGATGAAATAAATTGACAAGGACACAAAAAAGGGGGGGATAATTTATGTTCAAAGTCTAGCAGAATTAATATTGTTAAAATGTCAATATTCCTCAACGTGATCTACAGATTTAATGCAATCATTACCAAAATATCAATGAAATTCTTCCAGAAATAGGAAAAACTCTCCTGAAGTTTGTATGGAACCACAAAAGACTCCAAATAGCCAAAGCAATCCTGAGCATAAAGAACAAAGCTTGAGGCATCACACTACTTGACCTCAAAATATACTACAAAACTACAGTAACCAAAACAGCATGGCATAAAAATAGACACACAGACCAGTGGAACAGAATAGAGACCAATGGAACAGAAAAGATAACACAGAAATAAGTTTTTGTATTTAGAGCCGACTCATTTCAGACAAAGTTGCCAAGAACATACATTGGGGAAAAGACAGTCTCTTCAATAAATGGGACTGGAAAACTGGATATGCACATGCAGAAGAATGAAACTAGACCCCTGTCTCTCACCATATACAAAAGTCAACTCAAAATGGATTAAATACTTAAATGTAAGACACAAAACTATGAAACTACTAGAAGAAAACAGGGAGAATGCTTCAGGACATTGGTGTGGGCAAAGAATTTTTGGGGTAAGACCTAAAAAGCACAGGTCACAAAAGCAGAAATAGATAGATGGTATTACATCAAGCTAAAAAGTTTCTGCACAGCAAAGAAAACAATCAACAGAGGAGAAGACAACCTACAGAATGGGAAAAAAAATCCGCAAACTATCAATTCAACAAGGGCTTAACCAAGACATATAAGGAGCTCAACCAATTCAGAAGCAAAAAACAAACAAAAACAAAAACAAATAATACAATTTTAAAATGGGTAAATGATCCCCATAGACATTTCTCAAAAGAAGACATACAAATGAGAAGCAGGTATATAAAAAAATGATCAACATTACCAATAATCATAGAAATGCAAATCGAAACTGCAATAAGATATCATGTCACCCCAGTAACAATGGCCATTATCAAACAGACAAAAAGTGACAGAAGCTAGTAAGGATGTGGAAGGAGGGGAATTTTCATACACTATTTGTGGGAATGTAAAGAGTATGTAAAAACCTAAAAAAGAACTGCCATATGATTCAGTAATCCTACTGCTGGATATATACCAAAAAAGAACAGAAATCAGTATATCAAAGAGCTATCTACACTCCCATATTTATTACAGAGCTATTCACAGTACTCAAGATATGGAATCAACCTAAGTGTCCCTCAGTCAATGAAGAGATACAGAAAGTGTGGTATATATACACACAATAAAACATCATTCAGCCATAAAAAATAACGAAATCTTTTCATTTTGGCAACATATATGTGCCTGGATGACAATATGTTAAGTAAAATGAGCTAGGAACATAAACACATATATCATTCACACATATGTGAAGGCTTAGAAAAACACTGACTCATGGAGATAGAGAATAGAATGATGGTTACCACAGGCTGGGAACTATGGGGGAAGGGGGATAGAGAGAGATTGGTTAATGGACACAAAAATACACTTAGATAGAAGGAATAATTTCTAGTGTTCAATAGCACAGTAGTATGAATATAGTTCTTAATAATTTATTGTATATTTTTAAATAGCTAGAAGAGAAGATTTGGCATATTTTCAACACAAGTAAAGGATAAATGTTTGAGATGGTGGCTATCTGAATTACTCTGGTTTGATTATTACACAATGTATGTGTATCAAAATATCACGTGTGCCCCATAAATATGTACAATTATTATATAACAATAAGAAAATTCATATGTAATATTTGGAACTTGTAGCCAAAATAAGCCTAAGAGAAACAGAAGGAGTGTTTGTGTGTGTGTGTGTATGTGTGGGTGTGTGTGATATCACCTTCCTTAAATTATTGAAACACAAATATTATCTTTACATGCTTTACTGCAACCACGTCCTATATGATTCACTTTATATATCCATCATCCTCCATCCCTGCAACAATCTTATGTTATCCGTTGTCTTCATTTTTTCCTGTGAAGAAACTGAGGCTTAGGGCATTCTAATATGTAAGTCAAAATCAAACTGAGGGGCAGAGGCAGAGCTGAGTTTTGAATTAAAATGTGATTGAATAAAGAATTCTTTCTATGTCCAGTTTTTCACTCTATTCTACATAATTACCATCATGTAATGTGTTAATTGTATATAGAAGAAATTCAAACACATAAAACAATATACCTTTAAACAATAAGAGAGTTGGCCATATTTTCAAATGAGAACATAAAAACATAACAAGTAAATTAGTTTATATATGTGTGATGATTGTAGATAATTTAATAGTGGGTTGCTAGAGCTAGCCTTTGATCTTTAGTTAGGGTTTTAAGAAATCCTATAGCACTAAACTGTAACTAAAACTATGTAGACCACTAAAAGATACAGGAATAAAAACATTCTGATAATACAAAAAGCTACTAAGGCTTTTGATTCTAACATTGAATGAATTCTTATTACAAATATAATGAATCACGGGTATGATACTTGGTGAGTTAGAATTGGACCACTTTTATTAATATCTACCTTAAGGAAGAATTGTTGCTCACTTAGCTAGTTATTCCTATAATGTTTGCCACCCAGTACCAAGCATAGGTTATGGAACACAGTAGACTCCTAAAAATTATATCGATTTATGTAGCCGTTGAATGGTTTTGTTTTGCTTCTTAACAATTAAAATCAGGAAATTACATAATTTCAATCTATTTTTCAGTTATGAATGTAGCTAAATCTTAGTAGACTACAATATAACCAAGCTGTACTAACCTATTTTTCCTTGACTTCAGATTCTTTATGGGTTAATAAAACACTGTAAAATAAATTCATCTGTGGGAGATAAAAATATCAACTATACTTACAAAATGCTTCTTAATTAGTACCAAAATTCCAGAAAGAAGGTAACATCAAATAAATGATCTGCCTTTTTTGAAGAGCTTTTTCACTAAAACAAAAATAATATTAATAGTAGTTTGTGGAGTCAAAAACATGTAGAATTCAAAAAGCCTGACAAAATAACATAAAAATAAAACACAGTAGAAAAATATTTCTAGGTCAGAGCATTTCCAAGAAAATCACAAAGCTACAGAAATATTAGATTTTAATAAGTTAAAGAGTTTAAAATGGGTGTTGCAATTTCTAGAATAACTATGAAATGAAAGAATACAATTAAAAGTCAATTTATGGGTATGTAAGTTTTTATGGCTGCTATAACAAATTATGGCAAATTTGATGTCTTAAAACAGCAAAGATTTATTCTTTCACAGTCCTAAAGGCCAGAAGTCTGAAATCCAGGAGTTGAAAGGGCCATATCCTCTCTGGAAACTCTGAGGAAGAACCTGTTCCTTGTCTTGTTCATTTGCTGGCGGCTGTCAACGCTCCTTGTCTTGTGGCCACATCTCTCCTGCTCTGTCTTCACGTTACCTTCTCCTTTGTACGTGCTTGTTTAATCTCCCTGTGTCTCTCTTTTATAAGGACACTTGAGATGACATTCAGGACCTACCTGATAAGTAGGATAATCTCCTCATCTCAAGTTCCATACTTAATTAGATCTGCAAAAAACCTTTTCTAGATAAGGAACTATTCACAGTTTTCAGGGATTAGCAGGTAGACACATCTTTTTGGGGACCCACAGTAAGCCGTCTACAATGGGGGAAATACATTAATAAAAATAATTTATTAATACAGAATAAGGGAAGAAATGAGAGGATGTGGACCATAAAACATTTCAGACAAATAGAAAATACATAGTAAAATGACAGGTGCAAATAGATCAGTAATTCATCAAATGTTAGAGGAGCTAATAGTAAAATTAAACGTAAATGTGATGATGCTGGTTTAAAAATATTTCTAGTTGTGAAACCACTTTAATTAAAACAGAAGCTATAATGTTAGAAAAGTTATATAAATTCCACGACTTAAGAAAGATATCCTCCTTTAATCTATTAGGATATATGACTTCATTTTCTATCAAAGCACCAGCGGACCCCCAGTAATTGATGGAGTTACCTGGGACACTGTGGGCATTCAATAAATATTTTATATTGAAAAAAATGAATGATTAAGGAATGCCTGTTTCCTAAGAAACAGACATCACCAAGGAATGGATATATTCCATATACAGAGATCCTATTATATTGAATTATATCCAGAAATGCTTTATAAAGGTGAGATTTGAACCATCAGGATGAATGAATCAGAGATAAATTGGCAGAAGAGGACTGAGAGAAGAAAATGTGGTAGAAGATTAGTTTAAAACAAGTAAGAAAGTGTAAGGACTGCTTTGAAAAAAAGGTGATTGAAGAGTTTGCTGTCACAAAGGTTTACACTGGTGAGCATAGTGACATCATTTTGGGAAATGGTTTGTAGCCATGTTGTAAAGATTTTCAAGTGCAAGACTAGCATTAAATTTAATTCTCCAAGTAAGATTTCTGAACAATGCAATAGCACTAAATGATGAAGTAGTGCTTTGAAAAAAAATGGCCCTGGGTCTAGGGTTGTGCTGTGTAGCATATACTCAGGAGACTGCACTCCTATGGACCTCCTTCCTTCCTAAACCTACCCTGACACTCACTTAATACCCATTAAAATTGTAAAGCTGCAGAGGCATGTTAAATGGTGAAACCATTTATATAGTGGTGAAATTTATATAACCTTTCTAACATTTTAGCTTTCATTTTAATTAAAGTGGTTTCATAACTAGAAATATTTTTAAGCCAGCATCACCACATTTACCTTTAATGTGTTAGTTCTACATTAGTTCCACTAGCATTTGATGGATTACTGATCTCTTTGTATCTGTCATTTTACTATAATTTTCTATTTGTCTAAACTCTTTTATGTTCCACATCTTCTCATTTCTTCCCTTCTTTTGCATTAATAAATTATTTTTATTAATGAATTTCCCGCATCATAGAGGGCTTAATGGTGGTTCCCAAAAAGATATGTCTGCAGCTTTACACTTTTAATCTAAGGAATTTTTGAGCATTCTGGTTATTTGTGCTGCACTTTCCTGCACACTGGCTTTCACAATTCAGAATCTTTTTGCATTTGGTTCTTGGCCCTTTTTACTTGGACTGGTTCGCCTGACCCAGGACTCCAGTCCATGACTGACTCATAATTCCTCATTGGGAATTGAAGCTAGTTTGGGCCTCTATGCTACTTATTCTGAGGAACAGCATGAAGAGCTACATACACCCAGATCAAGCTCCTTGTAACATGTCACACTAGACCCTCACAACCTCTTCAAGTTTCAGAGGAATAATCAGATAAATGAGGCTGATATTGAAAGAACAGTAAACAGGCAATTTCAATTGCTAAATAAGTGGTTACAAAAACTGAAAAAAAAATGAATGAATATCAGCAGGTATTCTGTGGGGGAAATTGTAGGAGGGGATAAAAGCAACAGTGAGCCCTCAGAGAGGATACAGAAAACAAGGAGCTTCAGTGATGGCCTCAAATGTGACATATCAACAATAAAGACAGAGACACGAAAAACAGAGTTAGTTTCATCTGAGATTAAAGGAAACCTCATAAATTGAATGCCTAAATGCCTGATGAAGAATAATGATCAGAAATCAGAAGCACTTATAAACACATCTATTAATAAATTTTATTATTTAAATTATGATGTGAAAACATTTTATTTGATATTTGAGGTTTATTAAAAGATTTGTCTATAAAATATATTTGATGGCAGTGAAGAAAAAAATTGGTCTGTTATTTTATATAGACTAGGAAAAATACATAATGCTGTTTTTCACTTTCTTTAAACTTGATATTTGACCTCCACATTTAGGGACCTAAAAAGAATCAGAAAGAGATGTATGCTCCTTTATTCAGAAGAGAGATTAGTTGAAACAGTATGGTAATGAAATTTTTAATATGTTATCTCTTGCTATAGTTCATCCAATTACTTTTACCTCCCAAATGGCAAAATTGCAATTTCAAAAGCCTATAATCTAGCCTCTTAACATGATTCCAAGGGGAAAGCATGAGAAATGAAAATGCCTGGGCTTTGTAGCATTACAGTGATCCTATTATATTGAATTATATCGAGAAATGCTATAATTTTTGTGGTGTATCACAATATTAGTAAGATGACCTGGGAAGCGAAAAATCATTAAAGTGGGGAATTTGGCTAAAACCTCCCTATGAAGCCAACAGATGACATCCTAAAATAGGCTGCTTTAAAGTTGATGGCGAATACGTTTAGCTGACACAGAAAGCATTAATGAAGATGCACAGATTCTTGAATTCCACAAAGGTATCTTCTATCATTGCTGTAAGTGACAGCATTTGCTTTTACACACACACACACACACACACACACACACACACATACCCTTACACACCCCTGCTCTACTCTGCTTTCATTGCTACCAGCTGCTAATCAAAAATTAGAAACAAGGAGGGAGCTAATTTAGATCAATATGAAACATTGAAGTAATTTGCATCTCAAAAAATGAATAAGTTTGTTGTGAAGTCAGTATATGTAGGGAAAAGACTATTCATCTTTCTTAAAGGATACTGAAAGAACACTGAATGCCTGCAGCTTCTTCATGTATTACTGGGGCATTTTGCTTCAAATTATATAGTGAAGAAAAAAAAAAAAGCTCTGTTATTGGCTGGGCACAGTGGCTCACGCCTGTAATCCCGGCACTTTGGGAGGCCTGGGGGGGCAAATCACGAGGTTGGGAGTTCAAGACCAGCCTGACCAACATGGTGAAACCCTGTCTCTACTAAAAATAGAAAAATTAGCCAGGCATGGTGGCGCGTGCCTGTAATCCCAGCTACTCAGGAGGCTGAGGCGGGAGAATTGTTTGAACCCGGGAGGCAGAGGTTGCTATGAGCCGAGATCATGCCACTGCCCTCCAGCCTGGGCGACAGAGCAAGACTTCATCAAAAAAAAAAAAAAAAAAAAAAAAAAAAGCTCTGTTATAACTGTGAAAGACTAAATAATGCGTCCCCAAATATGTCCACATTCCAATCTCTAAAACCAGTCAATATGCTACTCTATATGGCAAAAGGGATTTGCTAATGCGATTATCTTAAAGATCTTGGAACTGGGAGATCATCTTGGCTTCCTGCATGGCTCCAATATAATCACAAGGTATTTATAAAACAAAGCAGTTGGTTAAAGAGAAAAAAAAATGCTACGTAGCTGGCTTGAAGATATAGGAAGGGGCCACAATCTGCCTCTAGAAGCTGGACAAGGTGAGGACAGGTGCTATCCTCTGGAGCCTCCAGAAGCAATCACTCCTGCTGAGATCTTGATTTTAGCCTTGTAACACTTACTTCAGACTTAACTCCGGAACTGTAGGAAAGTAAACATTTGTGTTGTTTTAAACTGCTCTGTGCTAACTTGTTACAGCAGAAATAGGAAACTAATATAATCATATTCTTAATTTTGCAACCCTGATTACAGTAAGTGTATATAATATCTCTTTTAGTGTGAAAAAACACCATTCCCAAAGCTTTTTCTCCCTTAAAGGAATTGTTACATTTCAATGTCAATCATTTCACCTCCAGATGTTTTGGGTCTGGGAAGCAAAAACATCTATGTGGAGACATTGGTTTTCTTTGCTGATGTGTGTTTGTCTGTGTGAGGGTGAATATATATCTCTCTGTTTTCTAAAGGGAAGGCAATTAACGTGTTTAAGTATTTATCCTATGCCAATCACTTTCATTTAGGATAATTTTAAGTTTACTGTAAGTCTACAAATAGTCCTAAATTCATATAGATCAGGAAGCTAATGCTATTGGAAGTAACATTTTAAATGTCTGTGTGTCTGTGATTCCAGTCAGACAGAATTACATATACTTTTATATTTAATGCTCATTTCTATTTACTTAAATCTACAGAATTTGATATATATGAAAGTTGAAAAATTTTAATATAGGACAGACATTTAAAAATCATTACATAGTTATTACTGAAGATTTGCTTATATATTCCATAAAACGTGTTTTTAAAATATCACACTATGTTATAGTCTGCTTGGGCTGCTATAACAAATTACCACAGACTGGGTGGCTTAAATAACAAATATTTGTTTCTCACAGTTCTGAAAGTTGGGACGTCTAAGACCAAGCAGCCCACAGATGCCATACTTGGGGAGGCCCCTCTTCCTGGTTTGCAGACAGTCCTCTTCTCCATATATCCTCACCTGGCCAAGAGCAGAAAGAGGAAGCAAGTTCTCTTCCCCTCTCTTCCTATCAGGTCACTAATCCCATCACGAGGACTCCACCCTAATGACATCATTACTTCCCCAAAGCTCCATCTCCAAATAACACCACATTGAAGATTAGGGTTTCAGCAAGATTAGGGTTTCAGCATGATTAGGGTTTCAGCATATGAATTTTGTGGTACAGGAACATTCAGTCCATCACACACTGATAAGAATGTGTGAATGCATTAGATTTTGGATGAAAACCAAAAAGACAGTGTCACAAATTTGTAGCATGTTTCTGAACATTAAATGGAGTATTTACTAAAGTTGCTAAGAAAATTTTAAAATATGGCCATATAATTATCTATTTACTGCCAATAAATATTGGTTTGTTGTATAAATTATTTCATTACGCAGGTATTAAACCTACTACTCCTTAGTTATTTATCCCGATCCCCCCTCCACCTTCTACCCTCCAATAAGCGTCAGTGTGTGTTGTTCCCCTCTATGTATCCATGTGTTCCCATTTAGTTCCCACTTTTTAGTGAGAACATATGGTATTTGGTCGTCTGTTCCTGTGTTAGTTTGCTAAGGATAATGGCCTCCAGCTCCATTCATGTCCCTGCAAAATACATGGTCCTATTCTTCTTTATGGCTGCATAGTATTCCATGTACACTGCAATAATTTAAAACAAAAATATATGAATACCTACTTACAGGGTATAAAGTAATATCCAAGAAATTCAGTTATTTTGGTACAAGCCTATAATGAATTCTATATTCTACCTGACTATTAAACAAAAAGAAGTTATTAGTTGTTGTAACACAATTAATATTATTAAAATTTGTGCACATTGATTCTGAGTAGAAATCATTTATTTAAAACAAACTCTCCTGATGAAACTAAAACATATTGGCTATCTCAAACTGTACTATGGTATTTCATGCTGCTCTAAATAACCTTGTGTAAAATTTATGCACTGAAAATACCCAAGTGATAGCATTTATTGGTTCAAACATTAGAAATATATGCTGGGGAAATCTACCAAAAAAGGGTTGCATTACCTAAACAAATTGTATCTCTGATTATGAATAACCCAGGTAAAAGCCAGTAGGGCAATGCCCTAAACTTTTAACTGGATCTTTTGCAAAATAAAGTATTCTTTTCTTTTTCTATTTTGAGGTGCAATTTATGAAAGTTTCTTTTAATTGATTACACTTTTAATGTTAAGTCTAAAAACTCTGCCCAATCCTAGATCCAAAAGATTTTCCCATTTTATCCTACATTTTTTATACTTTTAAATTTAACATTTAAGTGTTTGGTCCACTTTGAGATAATTTTAAGATAGAAGGTTTAAACCGAAGTTCATTTTATTTTCCTATCAGTGTTCAATTGTTTCAGTACCACTTATTAAAAATGCTATTCTTACTTCATTAAATAACTTTTGCTCCTTAGTCAAAATTTAACTGGGCATCTTGATGTCAGTATATTTTTAGATTCTGTAATTTGCTCCAATTTATCTGTGTTTATACCTATTCCAGTAACATACTCTCCTCATTAGGAAGAGTTATAAATAGCCAAAACAATTTGAAAAAGAACAAAACAAATGATTAACTCTTCCCAATGTTAAAGGGAATGTTATATAAAATTGGTATAATTTCCCATTAACACTGGGAAGAGTTAATCATTCATTTTGTTCTTTTTCAAACTGTTTTGGCTATTTATAGATCTTTCCTTTCCATATATATTTTAGAATAAGCTTCTCTACATCTATACAATTCTTGCTGAGATTTTGATAGGAATAGCATCAAATACATAGATCAATTTGTAGACAACTGGCATGATTAATATGTTGAGTTTTCTCTTTCATAAATGCTGTGTATTTCTATTTATTTAGGTCTTTTTCATTTCTTCCAACAGCATTCTGGAATTTTCAGCACAAAGTCCTGGGACATGTTTTGCCAAGTGTATACCTATATATTTCATTATCTTTGGAGTAGTTATAAATACTACTGTATTGTGTTTTTAATTTTAGAAATTAAAGAAATGTGATTCATTTCAGTTGTTGATTTGTATGTGTCCTGTGATTTGCTGAACTCAGTATTTATGAGATTTTTGGTAGATTTCTTAGGGTTTTTAGTGTTGATAATTTTGATATTTGCAAATAAAGACAAGTTTATTTCTGCCTTTTCAATCTGCATGTTTTTTATTATTATTATTCTACTTTAAGTTTTAGGGTACATGTGCACAATGTGCGGGTTTGTTACATATGTATACATGTGCCATGTTGGTAAACTAGTTCAACCATTGTAGAAGTCAGTGTGGCGATTCCTCAGGGATCTAGAACTAGAAATACCATTTGACCCAGCCATCCCATTACTGGGTATATACCCAAAGGATTATAAATCATGCTGCTGTAAAGACACATGCACACGTATGTTTATTGCGGCACTATTCACAATAGCAAAGTCTTGGAACCAACCCAAATGTCCAACAACAATAGACTAGATTAAGAAAATGTGGCACATATACACCATGGAATACTATGCAGCCATAAAAAATGAAGAGTTCATGTCCTTTGTAGGGACATGGATGAAACTGGAGACCATCATTCTCAGCAAACTATCGCAAGGACAAAAAACCAAACACCGCATGTTCTCACTCATAGGTGGGAATTGAACAATGAGAACACATGGACACAGGAAGGGGAACATCACACTCTGGGGACTGTTGTGGGGTGGGGGGAGGGGAGAGGGACAGCATTAGGAGATATACCTAATGCTAAATGACTAGTCAATCTGCGTGTTTTTAAATTATTTTCCTGCCTATTGGAGAGGCTAGAACTTTCAGTACTATGTTCAATAGGCATGCTGAGAGTAGGTATTTTTGCCTTATTCACAATCTTACAGGAAAATGTGCAGTTTTTCATCATTAGCTATGATGTCAGCTGTAGGGTTTTTGAAATTATGAGGTTTAAGAAATTCATCTCTTCCTTGTTTGTTGACTTTTTGCATGAATGGTTGTTGAATTTGTTAAAAATGGTTTTTCTGTGTCAATTTATGATCCTATGATTGTTCTTCTTTAGCATATTGATATGATAAATTACATTGATCCGTTTTCAAATGTTGATTCAGGCTTGAATAACTGCAATAATCTCATTTGATCATAATATATACTTTTAAGCATCCATTCTTGGATGTGATTTCTAATATTTTGTTGAGGATTGTTGTGTCTATGTTCCTGAGAGATATTGGCCTGTGGTTTTAGACTTTTGTGCTATCTTTACTTGCTTTTACTATCAGGATAGTATTGACCCCATAAAATAACTCGAGAAGTATTACCTCCTAATCTTTTTGCCTTTTAAGAGATTATGTAAAATTGGTGTAAATTCTTAAATGTTTGGTAAAATTCTCCAGAACGTCTGGGCCTGAATGTTGGGGGATGGAGATATTCTAATTATGAATTCAATTTATTTAATGGTTATAGGACTCTTTCTTTTATCTCTTTCACCTGGCTGATTTCTGCTAGTGTTTAGTTTTTGAATAATTTGTTCATTTCTTCTAAAGAGTTAAGTTGATGAGTGTAAAGTTGTTCATGGTATTCCTTTATCTCTGTTTTTTTTTTTTTTTTTTTTGAGACGGAGTCTCGCTCTGTCGCCCAGGCTGGAGTGCAGTGGCGGGATCTCGGCTCACTGCAAGCTCCGCCTCCAGGGTTCAGGCCATTCTCCTCCCTCAGCCTCCCAAGTAGCTGAGACTACAGGAGCCTGCAACCACGCTCGGCTAATTTTTTTGTATTTTTAGTAGAGACGGGGTTTCACTGTGTTAGCCAGGATGGTCTCGATCTCCTGACCTCGTGATCCGTCCACCTCGGCCTCCCAAAGTGCTGGGATTACAGGCGTGAGCCACCACACCCGGCCTCCCTTATCTCTTTAATAGTTGCCAGATATTTTATAATATCCCTGCTTAGTGCCTGATACTAATAATGTGTTTTCTCTCTTTTTATTTTTATCAGTCTTGCTGAAGATTTATCAGTTGTATTGATTGATTTTATTTGAAGAATGAGTTTTTTGTATCATCTTCTTTATTGTTTTTCTGTTTCAATGTCATTTATTTCTGCTTTTATCTTTATTATTTCCTTACTTTTGTCTGCTTGGGTTTATTTTGCTCTTTTTAACTCATTTCCTGAGGCAAAAATAGATTATAGTTATGAGATCTCTGTTCTAATGTAACTGTGTTACTTAGGGATTTCCAAAGAAACAGAATCAATACAAAAAGAGATTTACTGTGAGGTATTGGCTCACACAATTATGGAGGCTGAGAAGTCCCACTATCTTCTCTCTGCAAGGTGGAGGCCCAGGAAAACCAGTGTTGTCATTGCAACCCAAACCCATAGGCCTGAGAACCAGGAGGAGCCAATGGTATAAGATCCGATTGGAGTTGAAAGAGCTTAAAAACCACAAAGGCTGATGGTGTAGGTTCCTGTCCAAGTGCAAAGGCTTGAGAACCAAGAGCACCAGGAGTCCGAAGGCAGGAGAAGAAGATGATTTGAACAATTTGTCCCTGTGAATCAAATTCCTCAATTGTGGTGCATCAAATTAATCAATTGTGATCAACCCTTGTGGGTCAAATTCAAAACTTTTTAGTGTTTTTAATTTGTTATATGTGGCTCCTGAATGTTCTTTTTGTCACTAACCTTTATGGTACATGGTATGATATCAGTGCAAAGATGGCTATTTAGGAAATGTACTCTCTGAAATTGACAATTGTCGTGGGTCTCTCTTTGAAAGGAATCTTTTTCACAAAATTCAATGTCTCCCTGAAAATGTGGCTTCATCATCTATTCTTATGGTGAATGAAAGTCACACACAAAATGGCTATTGCTATTACTGGAATTTCAACCCATACTATAGTTGACATCTACAATTTCTATAGCAAAGTATGCAAGTATTATTTTGAACTACATCTGATACAGATTGGTGGTCCAGGTCCTTACTTACAAATTGACAAGTATTGTTTTAGCCACAAACTCAACTATTATCATGGTCATGTTCTGGAGAGGGAAATATGGGGTTTTGGTATCATAAATACTACCCGTCAGCTAGCTGTTGGTTATTTGACCATTCTGCCCAACTTTGCTGCTTATTTTGTGATGCATAGTTCAACCTGGCTCTCCCATTTAATCTGACTTATGGGTTTCCCATAGTAACATTCAGTCTCTCATTTGTTTCTAACATGATCAGTCTATACATAATGATCCCAGCTTCCATTTCATTTCACCTCTTGATGTGCATACCCCAAATATCAAGTCCTATTGGAAAAAATATAAAAGCAATTGCAAGACCATCAGAGTTCATCATAATATGATAGACTCATATTTGATCGAATTTATGTTGTGTGATTGATTTGAAAATAATGCTTTCCATTTCCTTTTACTGTATATATCAGAACAACTTCCTGTTAACTAATATGATGTATAGACTCTTGGTTTTAACAGGTTTTAGTACAAATATCCAGGGATAAATTATTCAATTGAATGCATCTGAGAGATAAATTTTTCAACTGATCAAGAGAAGATAGATGTTTTAGTTCAAGTGAAGAGAGTGAATTCACTCTTTCTCCACCTTGTTGTACTCTTCAGGCCCTCAATGGACTGCGTGATGACCATCCACATTAGTAAAGGTGGCATTCTCTTTCAATTTGCTGATAAAATTGGTAATCTCTTCTGGAAACACCCTCACAAACATGCCCAGAAATAATATTTTACGAGCTATCTGGCATCCCTTATCCTAGTCAAGTTGACACAAAAAATAAACCATCACAGTAAAAATTTAGTGTTTCAAATTTGTTTCTTAGCATTGCTCTAATTGTATCCTACAAATTTTGATATTTTGTACTTAATTTTATTTTAATACGTATAAAGACTTCTTTATCCATGAGATATTAAATATTGTGTTGTTTAATTTCCACGTTTATAAAGATTTTTCTGACGTCTCTCTAATATTGGTTTCTAATTGTTTCCACTATGGTAAGAGAACCTATCTCAAATATTTTAATTCTTTTAAATTGATTGAGGTTTTATGAACCAAGGTATGCTTACTTTGGGTAATGTGCTGTGGGCACTGGAGAAGAATAAACATTCAGCTGTTGCTATGTGGAGTGTTCTATAAATGTTAATTCATTGGTAGTGTTAGTTGGTAGTGGTAGTGTTCTTTTTTGTTCTTTTTTTTTTTTTTTTTGAGATGGAGTCTCACTGTCACCGAGGCTAGAGTACAGTGGCACCATGTCAGCTCATAGCAACCTCCATCCGGGTTCAAGCAATTCTCCTGCCTCAGCCTCCCGAGTAGCTGGGATTACAGGCACCCAGCACCACACCCAGCTAGTTTTTATATTTTTAGTTGAGACGGGGTTTCACCATGTTGGCCAGGCTGATCTTGAACTCCTGACCTCAGGTGATCCACCCACCTCGGCCCCCCAAAGTATTGGGATTACAGGCATGAGCCACCGCACCTGAATTCAGTTCTTAACTATAAGTAGGTTTGTCTAGTCCTCCTTTAACCTCTATTAGTTTTTGCTTCCTGTATTTTTAAGCCTCGTCTTTTTCTATTTTTCTTAGTCTGTTTGAACTGCTCTAACAAAATGTCATAGACTGTGTGACCAAAAAACATATGTATTTTCTCACAATTCTAGAGGCTTGTAAGTCCAAGATCAAGGTGCTAGCCAATTTGGTTTGTGATGAGGGCTCTCTTACTGGCTTGTAGATAGCAACCTTCTCACTATTTCTTCATATGGGAGAGAGAGAGAGAGAGAGCTCTCTGGTTTCTCCTCTTGTGAGGACACTCATCCTATCAAAGTGATTTCATTTAACTTTGTTTACTTACTTATTCCAAATACCACCACATTGAGGATGGGTCTTTAACACCACTGTTTCAGGCAACACAATTTGGTCAATAGCAGTATTGATACACTTGAGATTTCTATATGTATTTGGTGAATTGATCATTTTATCATCTTGTGATGTCTCTTTTTCCTAGTAATTTTCTTATGTCTGAAGTCTGATTTATCTGATGTTAATGTATTTATTCATTCCTTTTTAGTTAATATTTGCATTTGCATGATGAATCATTTTTCATCCCTTATTTTCTGCCTACATTTGTCAGTACGTTTGTAAGTGAGTTTTTTAAATAAAGTATGTAGTTGGGTCAAAAAATTTTTATCTGTTCTGCCAATTTCTGCTTTTGCTATATTTAAGTTCAAGTTAATATATTAACCAGTTAAATAAGTATTTATCAAGTAGTTATTAATAACTAGGGATTAAGTCTTTCATTTTATTATTTGTTTTCTTTTTGTTCCCTAGGGTTCTCATTCCTGTTTCTTCTGCTTCTGACCCTGATTGATTTCAGATCTAAATAGCAAAGATAAATCAATAAAACTCTTGGAGGAAAACATGGGAAACAATGTTAGGACCTTTGAGTAGGCAAATAATTTTGTTAAAAAAAATGAAAAACAGCTAAATTTGAAAGAAAAACTGAATAAACTGGACTACATTTAAACTGAAAGATTCTCTTCATCAAAGCAAAATCTTAAAATAATAAAAGCCACAAATGTGGACAAAATACTTACAAAACACATATATGAAGTACTAAGCAAACAAGCAATCAAAAGGGGGTATGGGGCATGCTAGTGTTGGAATATGCTTTCTTGTTGCTCTAATTCTGTGCCTCTGTGCATTAATATTTGGATGCATGCAATGCCAGCAAGGAAATTGGTCTTCACACATACTGCAATTTTCCAGAACACTCACAAACCCATAAATGTAACAGACTAAAAAAAAAAAAAAAAGAAAAGAAAAGAACTCACATCCAGAACAGACAGTTCTCCTTCAAATCAGTGAAAAAGACAATAGAAAATTGGGCTAAGTACTTGCACGGTCACTTCTCAAAAGAGAATATCCAATGGCCGTAAAACCAAGGAGTACTCGTATTTATTAGTTATTAGTTACACTTCATTAAGTCTTGTACCTTTTCACTTTCAGGAACAGATATTTCACTTACACATTTTGTCTTCAAGAATAGAAATCCTCAGACTCTCATATATTCTTTGAACATTATGTAACCTATACCTATTTGGCTTATGGCCAACAAAATAAAACCTAAATTATTAATTGACATTTAAGGACACCCTCCAACTCTCCATTATCTCCTTGATTATCTCCCTGTTTGTGTTTTCTTTTTTTTTTTTTTTTCTTTTTTGGAGACAGAGTCTTGCTCTGTCACTCAGGCTGGCACCCAGGCTGGAGTGCAGTGGTGTGATCTTGGCTTGCTGCAACCTCCAACTCCTGGGATCAAGCGATTCTCCTGCCTCAGCCTCCCAAGTGGTTGGGACTACAGGTGCCCGCCACCATGCCTGGCTAGTTTTTTGTATTTTTAGTAGAGATGGGTTTTCACCATGTTGGCCAGGCTGGTCTCGAATGCCTGACCTCAAGTGATCTGCCCGCCTCGGCCTCCCAAAGTGCTGGGATTACAGCTGTGAGCCACCATGCCCGGCCCCTGTTTGTATTCTTATCACTCAAATAGTATCTTCAAAAATACTAAATTACCTTTCAACAGCACTTCAATCTGTTTCTATGTTTCCCCAAATCCTTAACTTTTTTCTCACAATGTTTTCTTCTTTAGAATTCATTTCCATATCTCTTAAAACCCTTCCAGTCTTTCAAAACTCATCACAAAAAAAATTATTTAACACAGGAAGTTTATCCAAATTCCCAAATTAAGTGTCTATTTAATTCTTTAATGTTTCAGTAGCATCTATATATAATATATGATGTATCTGTTTCTGTATATAATTTTTTTCCGTATGCACACACACATACACACCCACACAAAGAGACTAATACAGTGCTCGATAGCTTTAAAATTGACTTTCTTTCAGAAGCTCGACCCAAGTGAATTGCAAAAGAAACTGCTCTCCCTTTCTAAAAATTTCTTCATAGCTCTTTTAGGTCCTCATTTTATTTTTTATTCCTTAATGTGTAATCACTCACAGTGTGCAGCACCCTAATATGAAGCAAGCAGAACCGAGTCTTTGACAACAGGTCACTCAGAAAAGATGTAGAAAAACAGTAGAGAAAATCAGTAAAATAAAAAGCTTGTTCTTTGAAAAAAAGTAATAAACCTCTAGCAAGACTGACATAAAAAAAGAAGAGATAGAAATAAGCAATATCAGGAATGAAATAAGGGATTATTACAGATCCTATGGCCTTTAAAAAGATAATTATCAAATACTGCAAACGAGCTTGTGCTCATGAATTTGACAACTTAGAAAAATGGATCAATTTCTCATAAACCACAAACCAAAAATCAACCACAATGAGATCATGTGAATAATTTCTATTACCATTCATGAAATTTAATTTGTAATTTGAAAGAGCCAGAAAAATAAATTTCCAGGTTTAAATAGTTTAACTGAATAATTGTATCAACTCTTTAAAGAATTAACAGCAATTTTATACATATCTTCCAGAAAAAATGAAAGAGGAAGGAACATTTTCAAACTAATTTGATGAGCCAGTATTATTCTGATACCAAAGCCAGAAAAAGGCAGTACAAAAAAAGAAAACTACATGCCAATACATTTCATGAGGTTAGATGGAAACATTCTCCACAAAATATTAGCAACAAAAATTCAACAGTGTAAAAATGAATTATACACCATGACTAAGTGGGATTTACCAGGTATGCAAGGCTGGTTCAGCATTTAAAAATCAATTATAATCCAAAAAGCTAAAGGAAAAAATTCCTATGCTCATCTCAACTGATGTAGAAAAAGCATTTGACAAAATCCAATACTCATTCATAATGAAAACTCTCAACAAGTTAGGTAACATATCTCAACTTGATAAAGAGAATGTATACAAATATCTATAGTGAATATAATAATTAAAACTGCATGCTTTTTCCCTAAGATAGAAACCAAGAAGTGATATTATCTCTCACTGCTCTTATTTGGCATAGATGTTGTAGTCACTGGAATAGGCAGGACGTAGAAATAAAAGGCATACTTATTGAAAAGAGAAAAAATAAAACTTTCTATTTGCAGATAACAAGATTATCTACATAGACTATCCCAAAGTATCTTCCAAATCTAAAAAAAAAAACCTTCTATAACTAATACATGAGTCTAGCAAGGTCACAAAATATAAGATCAACACACAAAGATCAATCATATCTCTCTATATTAACAATGAACATAGGCAAAAATGAAAACCACAATACTATTTACAACTGCTCTAAAAGTGAACTTGATAGATATATAATTAATAAAACATGTAGAAGATCTGTATGCCAAAAATTATAATACATTGATAAATTAATAAAGAAATTTAAACAAAGGGAGAGACATACCATGTTTATGGATTGAAAGACTCAACATAATAAGGATGTCAATTCTTCTCAAATTGATTTATAGGTATAATGCAATTCTTAACAAAGTCCCAGCAATATTTTCTTTTTTAAGACATAGAAAAGCTTATTCTAAAATTTATTTGGAAAGTCATAGGCCCTCAAATGCAATTTTGACAAAGAAGAATGAAATGGGAAGAATAACTCTCCCCAATATTAAAGCTTCCTATATAGCTACAGTAAGCAAGATAGTGTGGAGTGGGAAGAAAGAGACCTATTGAACAACAGAAGAGAAAAGAGAATGAAAAAAATAGACTCATACAAAAATGCCTAAGTGATTTGTCACAAAGGAGCAACAGCAATTCAGTGAAGAAAGAATAGCTCTTTTAATAAATAGTGCTGGAGAAATTTGACATACATAGGCAAAAATTTTTTTAAAAAGAAAATTTGACTTAAATCTCATCTATTATTCAAAACTAACAAAATGGATTACAGTCTTAAAAGTAAAACATAAAACGATAAGCTTTTTTTGAAAAAAATTAAAGAAAGTAATTGAGATCTAGAGCTAGGCAAAGAATTGTTACACTTGACACCAAAAGTATGATTCGTAAAATAAAAGCAAATAAATTGGACTTCATCAAACTTGAAGACTTTTGTTCTTGAAAGCCCATCTGAAGATGAAAAGAAAACAGCTACAGTCCAGGAGATAATATTTACAAATCACATATCGGACAGAAAACCTATTATTTAGAATATGGAAAGACCTCTCAAAACCCAATGGTGAAAACATGAACAATATACCTTAAAAAGACAATGGGCTTCAAATATGAGCAGATATTTCACTGAAGAGGACATACAGGTGGAAAATAAGCACATGAAAAGATGATCAGTGTTTTGACATTGTTTGCCATTAGAGAAATGCAAATGAAAACCACAAGTGAGATATTGCAACACACCTATCCGATTATCTATTTATCACTGAATGAATTAAAAAATAGTGATAACACAAGTTGGTAAGGCTGAGAAACTGTATTACTCACACACTGCTGGAAGAAATGTAAAATGATATAACCACTCTGGAAGACAGTTGGGCAGGGCTATAAAATAAAATTAAACAAGCAATTACCATATGATCCAGCAATTGTTCTCTTGGGCTTTTTCTCCAGAAATGAAAAATGTCTATTTACATGAAAACCTGTCCATACATTTAATAGCTGCTTTATCTGTAATAGCCAAACACTGAAATCAACTCAGATGTCCTTCAACAAGAGAATGGTTAAAAAACTCTGGTACATACATTCTAGGGAATACTACTCAGTCACAAAAAGTATACACACAACTTGCATGACTCTCCAGGGAATTATGCTGATTGAAAAAGCCAATCCACAATGCTAACAATAGACACTGGGGACTGCTTGAGAGGGGAGGTGTGGAGGGGCACAAGAGTTGAAAAAGTGTTGGGTATTATACTCCATAGCTGGTTAATGGGATCATTTGTGCTCCAAACCGCAGCATCATGCAGCAAACCCAAGTAACAAACTTGCACATGCGCCCCCTGATTCTAAAATAGAAGTTGAAAAAGAAAAAAAAAATGGAGGTTATGGGCACCAACCCTCCACACAGTCAAAAACCCACATATAACTTTTGGCTCCCCCAAAACTTAACTACTAATAATTGCCTTCTGTTTACCAGAAGTCTTACCAATAGAATAATCAATTAAGAACAACAAAAAAGAGCCAATCCACAACATTTACATATGGATGACTCCATTTATACAACGTTTTTGAAATGAATTGGGCAGCAGTGGGTGGAAGCAGAAGGCACGTGGCATGGTTATAAAAGGGCAAAACATAGCATCCTTGTAATGCTAGAACCGTTAAGTATCTTGACTACGGTAATCATATATGAAATGACTCATGAGAAAACTATATTGAATTAAATACATACACCCACAAATGACACAGTAAAATTTGAGAAATCTGAACCAGACAGGTGGATTAAATCAATGACAATATTCAGGTTGTGATATTATAGTGTAGTCTTGCAAAATATTATCATTGGGGATGGGGGAAGACTGAGACATTATTATTATTTTATTCTCTATTATTTTTCTACCATTGCATGTGAATCTACCATTATCTCAATAAAAAGTTAAACTACAAATATCTGTTGAAGTTATCCAAATAAGATTTAAGACATATCTGATAATATGAGCAATTTGGTAGACATCTATCTACTTTGAGGTAAAATTTCTACTTAAAGGAAAAATATGTTTTAGAAATGTAGACGCTGTCTCCAAAATCTTATGCTATTTTCAGCTGTAGCATCTCCCAAAGTATCAATGTTACAAATTTACACAAAGTTCACTTAAAACTTAATTATATATATTTATTTTTCACTTATTTGATTTTGTAAATTAAATTTTACCCTTATTTTTTCAGCCCTTTAAATCAAAGATGACAGTTGTTTGAAAATAAACATTATTATTTAAAGTTTACAAAATTGTTTATAAAATATAATTTTTAAAAAGTTTGAATTGTAGCATTCACATTTTTTAAGTTACTAAAGTTTAAAGCTTAACTTTTGGCAAACACAAATTTCACTACATAACTGTATAAGAATTATGTAAGCCGGGGTATGGTGGCAGGCACCTGTAATCCCAACTACTTGGGAGGCTGAGGCAGGAGAATCGCTCAAATCCAGGAGGTGGAGGTTGCAGTGAACCGAGACCGTGCCATTGCACTCCAGCCTGGGTGATGAGAGTGAAACTCTGTCTCAAAAAAAAAAAAAAAAAAAAAAAAGAATTTCGTAAGCTGAACAATTTGAGATGTCTATGGTGTCACCTATTGTTTCTGTTATTAATCATCAGTTCTTTTCAAGTAGGGCACACACAAGACGAATTTGTTTCCTCACAAATTGATATGGATGGTCTGCTGCTGCAGGCATCATCTTCAACATAATCTTGTCCCTTCTTAAAATGAGTTCTCTATTTATAAGCTGCTGATATCTTTGAGGCATTGTCCCCCTAAACTTTTCATAAAGCATCAGTAATTTTGCCCTTCTTCTACTCAAGCCTCACCATAAATTGGATGTCTGTTCTTGCTTCAATGCTAGCAGAATTCGTGTTGCTAAGATAGGAGCTCTAGGGGCTCTTTTCTCACTGATGCCTTATCCTTCTTAGTGTCTCAAATTAGATCCTACTCAGACATGTTATAACAAGTTAGTACAAGTTTATTTGGGTACAAAACATTTCTGAAATTTATGCATAGTTTTCTCCTCATATATATTTTTTTTTCATAAACTTTTTGCAGACACTTCATATAATGTCATTGCCTGTACCTTTATGTTACTTATTTTCATTAATATGTTAAAAAGGATGCACTACAATGCAGTAATTAGCGATTATAGACACAAAATAACAAATAACATTAACACAATTCAAAATTTTATTGAATTGTTATATGTTGAATTTGTGGAGTTTTGGCCTAATATCTTGTACCACAAAGTATTTTATTCATAAAACTCGCGATCACTATTTCATTAAAATGATTTACAATAGCAAGATTTAGAAAGATTTCTTTTTTAAACAAAGCCCTTTGAAAGACAGTGATTGTGATCAACTGATCTGACGTTAGCAAAAGTTCCTCACTTTGAAGAAATACCCAAGTTAACAAACTTCCAACTACAGTATTTAATACTGAATAGTGTTTGGTGTTTAATAATATTAATTCTGTGACGTATCTGTTTATTTCTCAATTTGTTTTTTATAGTCCTTCACAGGAACAAGGGAAGTGGTTCTTGAATGTGGTTGTTTCAGCTCTTCAATAAGGTTTTGTGGAAAAAAATGCATTGATATCCAAGGCATGTAACTAAGCGAAAGCACTGAAAGATTACCAACAAAAATATTTGTCAATCTTACCAAAGTAAAAAACAATTTTGAATACACAAAATAATATTTCAATTATGATATTTAATATTGTTTTTACAGAATTACATTATATAATTACAGCACTTGGTTTGTGTCTTTTCAAAATTAATAGAAATATGTTTGAATTAAAATTATGAAATATAAATAATATATAGCAGAAAAAAGTGACAGTTTAGAAAGAACACTAATCAAATAACCAGATTAAAAATCAATATTTTAGATGTTTTCAGGTTTTTAAAGATATAGTGTCAAAATGAAACCCATAAAATTCACAAGACAAACAGGAAACCAACCAACCATTAGATGTAATTTTAGAAAATTATATTTACCTGGTTTCTTAAATTTCAATGAATAGACAAAGCTGTTAGGAACAAAAATAAAATTCCTTTAATTTTTTATTACTATGTGTTAGGGCTGAGGAAAGATATTATAATGTATTCTGTGTTCTCGTGAGAAAAAAGTCATCAGAAATCTGCAGAATTAAACATACTGTGTTTTGCAAGGCTTTCAATACACAGTGAGTGCTCACTAAAGGGCACATAATAATCACTACAGTAACGATCATACTGATCATAACTCAGTCAGACACATGTTTATAGAACATATTTAAATGCTAATTTAAATTCACTTAAAATTGAAATTGGAACTTTCCCTTTTTTCAAAATGAAATATTGCCTTAGCGGTTCCTCATTAGTGGAATTTTAATGAATGTAATAGTCTTGGACTATGATTAAATCTTTGGTTTGTACTGAATATAGTTTAGTGTTGATGCTAAACAATTGTTACATAATAGGAAGACTTTCAGAATCTACCTTAACTCCCAAATGCTGTAAACTTGCAAAGCTTTCAATGTTTGTATACTTTGTCAAAAATGTGAGATAAATTTTAAATATATACACATGCAAAGATATTAATAGTATTTGCAGGCTTGGTAGAAGAACGAAGCACATAGCACCCTCATTTGTGTTTTTCAGGTTCTTAAAAAACACATAACTTAGTACAGTGTTTATAAATTATTCTGATGATGTGACTGAGGTCACTGTCTGTCTATGCATATAGGTGTCACTTTTAAGAGAAGATAAAATAATGAAAAACCTTATTAGCAGGACCAGATTAGGTGGTAATTGTCAGTTTCCTTGCTTTAAAGTATCTGAATGAAAACTTACTATTTTCTATATAGTAACTATGACATACCTTATATACTTCTTTGGATAATTTTATGCTGTACTATTTCAAATTATACTACCTTCCTAAAATTTTCATGTCTTTTCCTTTCTGGGAAGCTGATATGTTGATTGCTATACTATGGAACACATTAAACACAAAAGGAGAAAATCTCATTTGATCCCTATAATAGCCCTGTGAGGGATCCTATAATCCACATTTTATAGATGAAGAATGATAGGTTAAATAATTTTCCCAGGATCAGACATTAACAGGTACTTAAACAGAGATCAGAAGTGTGAGACTGGCTCTCGGGCCACACTCTGTAACAGCATGCTGTGCCGCTCTCAGAGCACCATGTGGGAGCTAGGGCAGCCCACAAAACCCACTCCCATCATCCAGGCCACATTTACCTTCGTTAGGCCTGAGCCATCCGGAAAAATCCAAAGCTGAGACGAGGACTTGGAATAAACGATGAGGGGAAATGTGTGATTTTTTTGGAAAGATTGCTTAGTAACTTAAAAAAATTCCCTCCTACATTCCCGTTTGCAGCTACATGTTTGAGAATTAGTGTTCATCTCCATCTTATTCATTTGGGGATTACTTTAAATGCCAAATGATTCAAGTCTCTCACTAAATATATTCCAATACACACTCTTAAAGGATTTTATCTCTTGTTTGTCCCCAGTTTGTCCTCTTTTTCACAGAAGTTAATAAGCTGTTTATTTTCTCTGAACTTTTAGTTATTAACCCATCTGTGCCTTCAAAAATGGCATCTTTTCCACTTTGAATGTCTTCTCTTTCAATACTTCCAGCTCAATTCTATTCCTTACCAACATGATATATATAAAAAATCTCAGTCACATGAATTCTTTCCTGAGACACAGCAACATACACACACACACACACACACACACACACACACCACACACATACACACATTTGCTTATATCTGTATTTCCATCTAAGTACATTTTGGAGAAGAAAGGACACCAATTCAGATGAAGTAAGAAATGTCTATATACAATGAATGAGCAGGATGATGAATTAGAGGCTATGAAGTATACTCCATATAATCAGTATTTAATATTACTGAGTTTCCAGAACACCTCAGATATTTCACATGATGTGGTCTGATTGATAGACTTTACTTGGAAACTCTAAATTTTGTTTTTGTGTTGTTTTGTTTTGCTATGTTTTACATCAGCATTGCAATTTCCAAAGGACGTTTTCTTTTATGTAGCATGTTAGCTTTCAAGAACAGATAAGTGAATTTTCTCTGGCATTCATTTGCTTTCTATAAATATCTACACATGTTTATAAATATCTGAAAAAATAGCTGCCAATGTGGTATAAAAATTAGTGAGCTATGTTTCAGACAACCTGGTTCTCCCACTTATTGTGCTACCTTGGTAGGTCACCTGCGTTAGTTATTACTCCTATCATCACCAGGCGGGAGATTAGGGGGTGAAGCCAACAATTGCAGTGGAAGCCTGTAAATTTCATATCAATTCTTGGCTAAAAATTTTTAAATAGGTAAGAAAAACAGTTTAAAAGTAAAGTTTTATGTAAAAGCAAGCAAAATAAAACAACAAATACATCTAAGTAGGGTATAGAATGAAAACTATATCTATAAATCGATATAAATAGGATATCATATATTTATTTATAAACTTAGAACCAATAAAATGATACCAGGTTTTCTTTGAACTATGCCTGTAACAGTTGAGAAGGAAAAATATTTTCCTTGAAGCCAGAAGTAAATAGACATTTTTATCTCAAAATCGTAATTGAGCATAAGTATAAAAGATTACACTCATTATGCAAGAAAATGCTGGTAATTAAAATACAAAATAGATCTTCAGACATTATTACTTCAGTAAATATGCATCAGAATGAAGTATATGAAAATAGAAAGCAGCTATTTCACATGCTCATAAAGACCACCACAAAGAAGTGCCATGATTGAATCGATTATGATAATCGTAATTAGATTTCTCATAAATAGAAAATAAATTAAAATGCTATACACACATTCTTAACCCCAAACAGACAAGCGAACTGTCTTCTAATTGATTTTGTCCACATAGAGTCATACACAAAATGTCAAATCTATTTTGGTTAATTTTAGTGGAACTTTTTATAATACTTTGTTTAGTTCATTCGCAGGAATATTATAAATACTTGCTAAATGTATAAATGTGTATTAGCTTTCTATTTCTGCAAAACAAACTACTACAAACTTAATATCTTAACACAAATTTCTAATCTCCCAGTTTCTATCTGTTAGGAGTCCAGGCATGGATTCCCTGGGCCCACTGCTCAGGGCCTCACCAGACCAAACTCAAGGTGTTTACTTAGACTCAATAGGATCTAGAGGTCCTCATCTAAACTCATGCAAGGTGTTGGCAGAATTTAGTTCCCTGTGATTGTAGGACTGACATTCTATTTTCTTGGCTGCTCAGTCAGGGGTTGCTCCTAGTTCACAAGGCTGCCCTCAGGACCCAGCTAACCTGGCCCCCTCCATAGGGCCTCCCACATTTCCAATCTCTTAGACTGCAGGAAGGTTCCAATCCCTCTTAAGGGGTCAGCGATAGATTAAGCCCACTCAGAGAATCTCCCTTTCGATTAATTCAAAGTTGACTGATTAGTAACCTATTCACAAGCGTGAAATCCTATCATATTTACAGGTTCTGCCCATATTAAAGAGGAGGGAAACATACAAAGGTATATACACCAGGGGGAAGGAATCTTGGGGGCCATCTTAGAATCCTGCCTCCCACAATGTACATAGTTAACAGTGTGTTCGGTATTACTCATATCTCCATAGAGAACTATCTTTCATGACAAAGCAGGTATATCTCCTTTTCAGAAATTTTATTAACAAAGATTGGAAGCTAAATCAGATTGTTATATTGAAGGATCCTGATGCCACCAGAAGTATACATAGGAGCAGTTCCTTCTATTGTTTTCATAATCCCTGCCTGTGCTAACATTGATATACTTAGCAGAACCCTCACATTGGTTCCCTGCTCTGTGGTATAAGAAACATTATTATAGAAAAAAATAAGCAGACCTCTCTGATACTGCCTCTTCAACCTATCCAGGATAGAAAATCAGAAACACTACTGCATTACATGCCAAATGGTAGAAATTGATGCCAAACTCAAAGACTTTTAAAAAATAAGTTTTGTGATCTGAATTCTTATCCTCATTTAATTCACCAATACTGGCCTATAACAAATTAGATACGTCATGGCAATTGAAAGTGAAGTTTCATATCTTTAACCAAGTGGCACACTCATTTTCACAGCTGCTTTAGCATATTTCCTACAAGAAGGCAACACAGACTCCATACTTGATATGTAGTTGTGGCAGACGCAGTAACAGCACTACAAAGATGTCTACGTCCTGCTCTCTGAAACCTGTGGATATGTTAGGTTACATGGCAAAGGAAAATTAACGATGTAGATGGAATTAAAGTTACTAAACATCAGACCTTAAAATAGGAAGATTATCTTGGATTATCTGTGTGTGCCTAATATAATCTCAAGGGTCCTTAAATGCAGAAGAGTGAATAGGGAGAGAGAACCAAAGAGACGGCATTGTGAGAACTGGCCAAACATTGCTGGCTTTAAGGATGGAGAAAGAGGCCATGTGCCAAGGAAAGTGGGTGGAAAAGGCATAGGAAAGGAGTCTTCCCTACAGACTCCAGAAAAGAATGCACTTTGCCAACTCTTTGATCTTAGCTCAGAGAGATCTATATCAGACTTCTGATCTATAGAATCACGAGATGAGAAATTTGTGTTGTTTTAAGCTACTGTTGCCATAGTCACAGCAGCCGCAGAAAATTCATATAGTAGCTATTAATTTAGTGAATGAATTTAATTTTATTCCCTGTCAGAAAAAGAATCAGAAGCATTCATTTGGATGGAAAGTAAATAGCACATGATCTCGCCTCAGGATGGTATTGACTCTGCTACATCGTCACACTGTAGTCTGAAAAGATCTTGATTATCTGGACATTCTATGGACAATCTCTCTGACTCTTTTTCAAGACTTTGGGAAGCAGGAAGTAACAGATACTCTGTATGCCTTTGTTTTTGTCATTGTTGTTGTTGTTGAAACAGCATTTCTCTCTGTCGCCCAGGCTGGAGCGCAGTGGCGCGATCTCGGCTCACTGCAACCTCGCCTCCCGAGTTCAAGCAATTCTCCTGCCTCAGCCTCCCGAGTAACTGGGATTACAGGCATCTGCCACCATGCCCAGCTACTTTTTGTATTTTTGGTAGAGATGAGTTTTCACCATGTTGGCCAGGCTGGTCTTGAACCCCTGACCTCAGGTGATCCAACACACCTCGGCCTTCCAAAGTGCTGGGATTACAGGTGTGAGCAACTGCGCCGGATCATGTATGCCTTTTTAAGTTGACTGCTTGCTAGAGCAAGGGACCTGCCATATTAATGAAACTTTTAAGGATCCAATGATATGGTGCATGCCAGGACATCAGAACTTCCTGCTACTGAAAGGTTGCAATGCTTGGCAGACATTTGCAGATTTTTGAAATAACACATACCATACTAGGGCGTACTGCTTTGATTCATTTATCAGGTGACTTAGAACACTGCCAATTTTGAGTGGGTCTAGAGCCGAAGTCAGCTTAGCAGCAGTTGTACGCTGTTGTAGAAACAGCCTTACCACTTGGGTGATATGATCTGGCAGATCCAACAAGTTATAGAGCAGGAGTCAGCAGAATGTTTCTGTAAATGGCCAGGTAGTAAATATTTTAGGCTTTGAAGGCCTTAGGGTCTTTGCTGCAATGACTACACTCTGCTGATGTAGTACAACTATTCAACGCTACCATTATCCCAAAATTATTCAACTCTGCCTTGGTAGTGCAAATGGAACCACAGACAATATGTAAACAAATAAGTGTGTCTATGTTCCAATAAAACCTTAACTACAAAACCAGGCCCTGAGTCAGATTTGTCCCGTAGGCTATAATATTCTGAGCTCTGCTGTAGAAAAGAACATTGTGTGGAGTCCTCAGAGTACTCTAATAAGAAAGTTACAGCACAGGCCACTAGGGTTTGGAATAAGACCTTCCTCTTCAGCAGGGAATTGTAAACCACTTGCAGTACAATTTCTGGATTGGGGGCCTTACTGGAAACTGAATATCTGATTGTAAGGCATCAAACGACCATATGACTAAAGCTGCCCATCATACACTAATCATTGTCAGACTCATCATGTCATAAATGTAGGCCACCTAGCAACAAACCAGTATAAATTGAAAGTGGTATATGTGGGATTAAGCCCAAGCAGATCTGGATGGCATAAGTAAATTACATAAACAAGTAGGAACCACCCCATCCACCACCTACTCTACATCAACATATCTATCTCCACCTACACCTGTGCCTTTGTGTGAAGCCCCAGTGACCAGCTAATAGAAGAATGAAAAAGGAAGAAGGAAACTAAAGCCTGGTTCACAGAAGGGTTGACTGAACACTACAACTTCACTGAGGGGTGGCCTTGAAAGACAGTGGAGAGGGGAAATCTTCTCCTTGGAAACACCTTCAGGTAGTACATGTGGTCACTAACTTTTGTAACATATTTATTAGTAAGTATTATCGTGGGCCTCTGGAAAACATCTTGAAAGTTCTGGATGAGAAGTTCAGGAGAAGGAAATCTGGGCAAGAAGCTACCAGATGGACCTGAAGTGGTGAGCATGAACTTGTTCAGCTTTAGTGAAATTTTATACTTAACATTTCTTTCACAGGTTAATGAGAAATTTCTCTAAAGTTTAGCAAAACCAAATATGAACTTTGAACTCTAGACAGCAAAAGAGGAAATGGAGTGAAAAGAAGGTTAATTTAAAAATAGTGGAATTGACCTGCTATTGATTCCTTTCTTTCTTGCTTGCTTGCTTTATTCATTAACTTATCATTTTTATGTCTGCTCTTCAGTATTAATTAGCAAGTATATTAATTCCAAGTATATATGGAGTGTCTTGTAGTGAGTGACGGGCATAAGAATAAGTACATATCAAAATAGTCAAATATATTATTAAAATTATCATAAGTGCTATGAAAGAAAACAGAATACTAAGAATAACAAGAGTAGATCACCTTAGAAACAGGTTTCTCTGAAAAGGTAACATTTAAGAAAATGTTAAGAAATATCACAAAAAATTAGAGGAAGTCAGCAGTACAAAGACTGAAATTAAAAGTTTTCAAGGAAAAGAGTAAACAAATAAAAAAGACCTTCAGGTTAGAAAGAGCTTTTCATGTTCAAGAAATAGAAAGAAGGTGAACATGATTAGTGTGCAGTGATAGATGGGAACCTTAAGAGAGGAAAGAGAGGTGGGCAGGAGAGGGAACACATCTTAGCATCATTCTGGGCACCTGTTCTCAATCAGGCAATTGCGCCCTCAAGGGGCAAAAAAAAAAATGATTCTGGTGTGGAGGGAGAATAGTTCTCTTCTTATATGTAATGCAAAGATACACATATAAAACATAAACAGACAGTAAAATTTAATAAGAGGTCATTATAAATAAAAAGTCTGAAAAGGCTCTTTAGGTGCTGAAAATGAATACTAATTTGAGAATTGCCAACTAAGGATAACACTAGTATTTTAAGAAAGAAACCTGCAAATTTCAGTGGCTTAACACAATAGAATTTTACACTATCATAACTTGTGGATATTACTTTCTCCTACTTGATGATTCAGGCACTCGGACTGTTTCTAAATTTTTGTGCAAATAGTTCCCAAGGATTCAGGGACTTCTGTTCCCAGCTCAAAATCTGGGATCTCACTCCCCGATTCTGTATTCTAGCAACTCCAACACAGATCCTACACTGTCATGATCCTGCGTTTCAGTAACTAGCAGACAACTATATGCCCTTATCTCCCCTCCCCATCCATTATATAGTTACAGCGCAGGGATAAGACATCCATGACAAAAAGCAAAACAAATATGCCACCTGAATATTCAGAGAAGGGAAGAATAAGAAAACACACCAACTCCAGTTCAAGGCAAAGGGGCAATCCTATAGGAGGGCGTCATGAAGCCCTGCTCTGGCAGGGGTGGAAGTTCCTGAGTAGACAGTAATTCTGCTCTCTGAAAGGATCATTGTTCTCTGTGAGCCTTCATTGCACTCTGCATAGATTTCCTAGTTCATGTTCCTGTTAGAGTCAGAGGTGAGGTGGATGTTGGCGTTATTCCCTCTGTGATGGCTGTGGGGCTTTACTAGCATGCTTTGTGCTTGTGTGTGTTTTGGGATCTGATAGCAGTTCAAGAACAAATATCAAAGGCTTTCTACTTCAGGGATTTTGATTTTTTTTTATTGCTACGGTTCTCCAGAGAAACAGAATTGTTAGGACATATATAGAGCGATATATACAAAAAGATTTTTTAATGAGGGATTGGCTCACATTCTTCTGGAGGCTGAGAAGTCACATGGTCTGTTGTCTGCAAGCTAGAGGCTTAGAAAAGCTGCTGGTATACTTGCAATCCAAGAACTGAATGGAGGGCCAATGATAAAAGTCCTGACTCAAGTCCTAAGGCCTGGGAATCAGGAGCACTGATGTCCAAGAGCAGAAGACAGATGTCCTGGCTGAAAAAGAGAGTGTGAATTCTTCCTTCCTTCACCTTTTTGTTCTGTTCAGGGTCTCTGTGGATTGAATGACGCCCACCTGCACTGGTGAAGGGTGATCTTTACTCAGTCTATCAAGTCAGGTTTTGATTTCCTCCTTAAATACTCTTGTAGACATCCACCTCACCTATGACTCTAACAGGAACATGAACTAGGAAATCTATGTAGAGTGCAATGAAGGCTCACAGAGAACAATGATCCTTTCAGAGAGCAGAATTACTGTCTACTCAGGAACTTCCACCCCTGCCAGAGCAGGGCTTCATGACGCCCTCCTATAGGATTGCCCCTTTGCCTTGAACTGGAGTTGGTGTGTTTTCTTATTCTTCCCTTCTCTGAATATTCAGGTGGCATATTTGTTTTGCTTTTTATCATGGATGTCTTGTCCCTGCACTGTAACTATAAAATGGATGGGAAAGGGGATAAGGGCATATAGTTGTCTGCTAGTTACTGAAACGCAGGATCATGACAGTGTAGGATCTGTGTTGGAGTTGCTAGAATACAGAATCAGGGAGTGAGATCCCAGATTTTGAGCTGGGAACAGAAGTCCCTGAATCCTTGGGAACTATTTGCACAAAAATTTAGAAACAGTCCGAGTGTCTGAATCATCAAGTAGGAGAAAGTAATATCCAGTCAAGTTGATACATACAACTAGTTATCAAATTTCCCCAGAAAAATTTCCTGTGACTTGGGGAGGCTTTTGCTTCTAATCAATGCTAAGTACCAGGAACTATATGAAAGTCCTTTGTTAGAAATAATTCTCAAGTCTGTCTTACCTCGTTTTCTCCCTTCCACACCTTTCACTCTCAACCTAATGGTGGCTATTTTGAGACCACCTAAAACACTTCACTTGAAAGGCAAAGTAAAACCTTATCTGATCTTTGCTTCTGGACTGAGTCACTTAGATTAACTGGGAAACTTTACTGGGTATTTGTTGCCCTTAACTTGTTCTCTGTCTTGTTTTACCCTTCTTGTCTGTAGATTTTCTCAATCTTGCTAAGCGGTAAATTTCTCTATTCTTTCCCATTTCAGCTATCAAAGCAGATAGTTATTGCATGAACTGTTATTTCTTAAAGTCCCATTTTACAGGGAGAGGGAGTAAAGCCAACATACACAAATGTTTTTAATTTTTAGAACAAAATTTCCCAAGAAATACAGGTACAGTAAAATCTTGGTCTGCTTTTCACATTATGGCACACAGCAATTTTATGAAATATTTGCCACATAATAAGTTATCCAACCTTCTGTCCTGAAGTGTTTACTGTTTCTTAGCCTGTTGCTCAACTACTGATAAAGTGCCACATTTGTTCATAACTAGTTGGAGTGGCATCCATCATCCAATACTATTTCTATGTTGATAGAGTAATTCTAGAAATGTGTGAAATAGTAAGTGAACAAAGGTGAATGCTCAGACAGCAGATATACTAGACCAATAGGAACAACATGTACTAGAAAAGACTCAAAACCAATGGTAGCTAGACAAGTCTTCCATTGGTCATCACATACCAGAGTAATGCTCAGAGACCTAGCAGAGCAAGACAAACTCAGAACACCTCCAATTATGGGGTTGTGAGGCTTTTAGGCCTTGAAGTTGAAGTTTATACACCATAGCAGATGAGTAAGGGAATCACCACCTGTGCTGCCTACCAAGACGTACTGGCCTATGTGTTCATCTGCAGTTGGTTCCACAGACATTTTCAGAAGGTGTGATGTGTGTGATTTCTGGCTACTCACATTTGTTAGTCTGTCATTCTTAGTCAAATTAATGCACAAACCTCCCACCATGGTAGCAAATAAACCCTACTTCAGTAAGTTAGCTTTCTAAAAAATGATTGCTGTCTTACCTAATAGAACAACCAGTTTTTCCTGTTATGCAGAGGGCTGTCAGAGAAACAACTCTTTTCATTGTGGGCTTCCATCCAATAGCAGTTTAAAAGGGGGATGGGAGGTGAGGGGAACCATACACATTTTTTCTCTGCCTTGGCCCAAATGTGGCATACATCACCTTATTAAGAATTGCGAAAGGTCTGAGGTTCTACCCTATTTGTAACTTAACAAGTTAGACTGACCCAACTTCAAGGTTGGTGGCAGAAGACATGAGACTCCTGAGTCACAGAAAAAGGGGAGTTTATTACTTTAAGCTAATTCCAGTAGCCAGTGTATCAGCATATATTTTGCACCTGTTCCCAGGTCCCCATTTCTATAAGGAGACACTAGGAGGGACAGATGATACATGCACATTTAGTGGGTTGTAGTCCACAGGAAAGAGACACTGAGCTTAAGAAACACGAATCTTTAGTAATGAGCAGGATGCATTTCTGCTTTTTGCTCTCAGAGAAACATTATCTGGGCAGTAAGCATGTGTGCTCTTTGCTCCCGTGAAGACACTATCTCTATGTAAATATGCCTTAAAAGATAGTCCAGGACAAACAGCAGTCAGTGCTTCTGCTTGTAAGACATGGAGACATCAGAGATCCATAGAGAATTGTTTCCCCAAAACAGCACTCCCTCTAATCAATATCATCTTGGTTTCTGGCAAATTTTCCCATTAGATTATGCCATGTCAACAGCTGCCCTGAATAATCTCAACAGCTACCCTGAATAATCTGACCATAAGGCTACTATCTCTAGTACTCTAAACAAGTAGATCTGGTCAATCTGCAATATTATGCTCATCCATGTCCTTCAAGGTATTTATAGAATAATTCCTATACATCAATAAGGTCTACTTTAGAAAACCAAGAAGTGTCTTTCACAAGTTTCTGCATTGAAATGGTCCATAGCATTAATCCAGCAGGATATATTTTCAATTACACAGACTAATCCTTGGCCCTCAAGGATAAAAATCTAAGGCAATCCTTACCAGTGAGTTGAGGCTGATCTGAATACCTTCCTTTTTTCTTTCTTTCTTTTCTTTTTTTTTTTTTAGACAGAGTTTTGCTCTTGTTGCCCAGGCTGGAGTACAATGGTACAATCTCGGCTCACTGCAACCTCCGCCTCCTGTGTTCAAGTGATTCTCCTGTCTCAGCTCCTGAGTAGCTGGGATTACAGGCGCATGCCACCATGCCTGGCTAACTTTTGTATTTTTAGTAGAGACTAAAAATTCATCATATCGGTCAGGCTGGTCTCAAACTCCTGACCTCAGGTGGTCTGCCCACCTCAGCCTCCCAAACTGCTGGGATTACGGGTGTGAGCCACCACACCCGGCCGACCTGAATACCTTTCAAGGGTCAGATGGCATCACTGATGACTTTAGATAAAGTTGGACACATATTTTTTACTACCCTTTCTAACTGGATGATTCCCATTTTAGGGAAACTGCCCACAGTTGTGACAATGTAATGAGTCAGTTACATTCCCAGGAAGTTCCCATGAGTAAACAAGGGTAGATACATTTGGGAGAGATCTCTACAGTTGTGTTTTGGATACATGATCTCTGGTAATGTGACCCAAATCACTCTGAACTTCCCTAATAACCACAATTAAAGTTTTTAAGCAAACATGTTTGAGTGGGAGGCAAATTAATAGCTAGCTTCTGTACAAGAAGCATAGTCTTAGGGCACAAATAGTGGCCCTAAAATGAAAGAGCTGTTTAAAATTCTTTGATCCCCTCCTCCAGGTGGGGACTATATCTTTTAGGAGCCTAGCTTGATAGGACCTCGAACATGACTTTCCAATTTGCTGATAAGCCTTAGGATTTCCTATTCATTTTGAACAACCGAGTCCAGCCATTGATTTGGAGGGACTACCTGAGAGCAGATAGTCTAACCTGTCCTGTTGACCAGGTACATCTTTGGCCACATGCAATTATCTGTCTTGCGAAGTGATTGAGTTACAACTGTACCAGTGGGTATTGGAAAGATCTTTGGAGGTGATGACAGGTGTTTCGAGTGGCAGGTTTAGGAGCTAGAGCCATCTCCTGCTGTTCCAACAGAATTATCAGTAGCATCAATGAGATTGATGATCGAACTGTGTTCAAAGCCATCTGGTGAGGAATTGTAAGACCCAGCAGTCAATAAAATTTGAGATGCTTGCAACAGTTTGTGAGAGCCTATGAGGGCATCTTTCTACATGAGACGGCTCCTTGAGTAATCTGAAAGACAAAAAAAAAAATCACTATCCTTCCTTCTTCCTACATCCTGGGTTTTGAGGTATTCCTTTCTCAGGTGATGAGGCTGTTCTCCCTTCATCATTCCTGCATTAGGTTTCCATGTTGTGTAACAAATTATTAAAAACTTAGCATCCTAAAAGAACTATCATTTATTATTTTGTTGTTACTATAGGTCAGGAATCTGTGCATGGCTTAACTGGGTCCTCTGCTAAGGGTTTCACCAGGCTACAATCCAGGTGTTACCAGGGTTGTGGTCTCATCAGAGGTTTGACAGGGGGAAAATATGCTCCCAAGGGTCCCTCGGGTTGTTGGCAGAATTTATTTCTTTATGGCTGAAAGACTGAGGCTTCAGTTTCTTATGAGAGACTATGTCAGGAACTAGACGCTCCATCCACAGTTATTGCAACTACTGTATCTCACCACATAGCATCTTGCTTTAAGGCCACCAACACAGAGAAGTTCTCTAAACTAAGTTTGCTGGAATGTTACACATCATAATGTAATCTCAGGAGTCACATCCCATCACCTTCACTGAATTATATTGGTTATAAGTCCAATGTCCAGCCCGTGATCAATGGAAAGAGATTATATGAGGGAGTATACACCAGGAGAGAGGAATCAGGGAGAACCATCCCATGATCTACCTACCATAGTCCGTAGTCTGCCCTCTGGCCCCCAATGACTCATGTCCCTTCTACCTGCAACACACATTCACTACCTTCCAAAGTTCTCAAGAGTGTCATTCATTATAGCATCAAGCTCAAAGTTCAAAATTTCATCATCTAAACCAGGTCCAGGCGCAGATGAGGCTTCTGGCTGAAATCTTTTAAGTACAGTTCCCAGGGGACAATTCCTCTCTAACTGTGGATCTGAAAAACTAAAGACAAGTTGTCAACCCCTAGAACACTAATATAAAGTGGTAAGACTAAAATAGAATAACAGCAGAAGACAGTCCCAGTCAAAAAGAAGGTAAAATGGAGGGCAGAAACAGTGGTTCAGTAGAACTTAAATACAAATAGGTAAATGTTTGTCATTTCTTAATTGCTTTTTAAGACCTGGAATTGCCCTCCATGGTATTAAGATCTACCCTATGGATTCTTCCTTTTTCATGGAAGGTAGAATTTTTGCTGCTAAGTGGTTTTATCAGCCTGCTTCCTGTAAGTACAATTTTAGAGATCTAACAACTTTCTTTCATTTTACACTCTCTCTGTCCTTTTCAGTCTATGGAGCAGTGTTTTTAATGAAATAAATTTTGCAAAAACTTTGTAGGTCTCCCATGGATTTTAAGTAGACTTTACTCGATTTGACAAAATCTACCTCCACAGATCTTTTCAAGTTAATCCATTCTCTCTTTTAACCTCCTGCTGAGATGGGTAAGGGTCAGTGCCCTTAAGCCTCCTGTAGGCCTTATGGTTTGATTAAGAGGAGCTACAATACACACCTTTAAACTCTTCAAAGGGTCTTTGTGGAACTGAAAACTTTAACTTTTTGTTTTTTTCTTAAGTTTTAGCAAGAATTAACACAGCCACATCTTTGGCTTTTTCTCTATATCAAGATTTCAGAAGTGATGTCTGAATTTTAGCATCTTTTGCCATTTTAATATGATGAGAATTTTCAAATTCATCAAGTCCTGGTTCCTCGTTCCTTTTTGCTTCACAGTTTTCTCCTCAAGTGTCTCTCTCTCTTTCTCTCTCTCTCTCTCTCTCACACACACACACACACACACACATTTTACTATAAGCAGGAGGAAGAAACCAGATGGTACCTTCAACACTTTGTTTGGAAATCTCTTTAGCTAAATAAATAAGTCTATCATTAGAAGTTCTGCTTCCCATAAACATTAGGAGACAATTTTTCCAGGCTTTCTAGCACTATATAATAAACAAGTGAGGGTCCCCAGGGACCACTCTATGGTCTGTCTGCTACAACCTTAAAGTCTCTTCCAGTAGCTATCACTGCATTTGTTTTTTTCAAATCATTCCCTACTCACATTCAGATCTTTGATCTGGAAAGCTCAAGTCTAAGAGAGACAAAGGAATTTTTATAAAACTTACAAAAACCTTCTACGGGACCCAATTTGGCTCACATGGGCCACTACTGTGGGACTTAACAAGCAGTAAACTCAACCAAGTGGTCATTTCAATATATGACCATGCATATCTAATAAGAGAATTCAAGTGTCTAAATCAGAATTAATTTTGAATCAGCTAGGTCCTGCTTTCAGTGGACTGCCACTAATAGGGTATAACATCAAGAACAGACTGGAGTTGTTGCTAGAGGAAAGAAAGAAACATCATACTTGGGAATGATTACAACAGTATCCCAAATTTTCAAAATCTGTCTACATAGCTCCCATTGCTTTTCTCCCAATCACTACCCAGGAAGCACGTGAAAGCAAATCCCTTTCTGGAGATAGCCACATTAATTTACTAGAATGCCCTTCTTTCTAAGGTACGTTGATCAGGGTGACACAAAGGATGTAGGGTTAGAAATATTTTTAAGTCAATTTTTGAAGAGGTCATTCCAATGTCCAGCAATGTTAGATGGTTATGAATAGTAGGGAGTGTGAAAAGTCTATCAAATACCTTTGTCTATGATTGAAGTGTTGATTCCAGTTGGTATCATCAGAAAACAGGCCCTTACCATGAATATCTACATAAACGAACCAGGCAGTTTGAACAGTAGCTGCAATTTGTTTCCATAGGCCACAGTTCCAAACAAGGATGTCTTTAATCTGATAGTCTGTAATGTTTAAAATGGCATTCCAAATAGCTATGTTATTTGCAACTGTTCATGAATCCATAAAATAAAATGTTTTACTAAGTGGGAGTATTGACCAGAAAGAGAGATGAGAAGAGGCTTTAGTTCTGCCTACTGGGTGGCATGACCACCTGTGCTTTTGGTTCTGTATAGTCAGTGCAGAGCTTGAACAGCCACAGAATCCCAATGAATACCCTTAGTGATCCAGGACCAGGCATTGAAGAAACTCTCTGTGCATTGTAGGCCCCATTGAGCTAGCAGTTTTGCTTTAAGCAGTGGAATGCTTCCCCCAAAAGAACAGCTGCCATTTTTTCATCTAAACAAAGATTCCAATGGGACAAGGCTGGCTGCATTCTTGAATATACCATTTATATTTAACAAGTGAGACTTGTTAGGTCATTCTCACATTGTTAGTCATTGAGTCCGAGTTGAACTACCCTAAAATGGAAGTATCAGGTTGTAGTCACAATGACTCCATAAATGAGGTGTCTAGTTTCCACAAGAGCCCAGTTGCAAGCTAATAGCTGCTTTTCCTGAGAGTCATGTCAGAGAAGTCATGAATATAAAACTCCAAGTGGCAATTGTATGTGGAAATCAGAGGCTCTGTCCCAATTTCATAGCCAAAACGACCAAGAATTCTGTATTAGTTCTCTAGGATTTCCATAACAAAGTACCAGAAACTGAGAGGCTTGCAACAACAGCAAGTTGTGTCCTCACAGCTCCGGATGGTCAAAGTCTGAAGTCAAAGTGGTGGCAGGGCCATGTTCCCTCTGAAGACTTAGGAAAGGATCCTTCCTTGCCTCTTCCTACTTTCTAGTAATTGCCAAAAAATACTTGGCTTTCCTTTGCTTGCAACTATATTACTCAAATCTCAGCCTCAGTCATCACAAGTCCTTTCTCCTTGTGTTCTCCATGTCTTCACATGGGGATCTCCCTATGTGTGTCCAAATTTCTTTCTTCCTATAAGGACACCAGATATTGGATTAAGGTCCACTCTAATTCTATGATTTCATCTTAACTTGAATACACCTGCAAAGATCCTATTTCCAAATAATGTCACATTTAAAAGTGGGGTGGCGGTCAGGCTTCAACGTACATTTTTTGGGGGGGAAACATTTCAACTCATGACAGGGCTCCAATCAGCAAAATTATCAGTCACTGAGATTTAACAATGTCATTAGGGTTTCCGTACCCCCAACGGCAGAAGGACTTCTCTACACCAGCTCCTGAAAGCATGCGCTCTGATATTATTGGGATGGGAGTTGCAAGTATTAACACATTAATTTTTACGCTATATTTAGTTGTAAAAGCAACCAAAAAAGTATATTGAGTTGGTCTAACAGGCTCACACACAAGGTCACATTAGCCTTGTTCTCCTACTGTGAACCTTATAAACCCTAGCCAAATTACATTGACTGTTTATAAGCATCTGCTCCCCTCATGGGAGTGGGTACATTGGTGACTTGTGTGCCTGATCCATCAGTCAAAAAGTTAGAATACCACTTTATTCCAAAGTTCAGTATGTATATGACCTTTGGTCCTCCTTGGAACTAAAGAAATCTTGGCTTTACCATTAATCTTGTTTATCCTTAAAGCATATTAAATTAGAATAGAGGATAAATAAGGAACTGTAGGTGAAGAGGAAGAGAGTGGTTCCATGTTCGTAAGCAAGGCACATTCAGTTTCAATTGTCAGTCACTCATGGCACAACCAAATGAACTTCTAATGCTTTCAGCATCACCAAGCTTTATACTGATAGCAAGGTATTCATTGCCAACACTGCTTCATCTTCAGAACTCTGACTCAGTAGCCACAACTACACGGCCTTTCAGATTGGGACTTGAGGTTTGCTGCCCCCTCTTTCTGATACTGCTGCTTCCTTTGCTTGCCCTAAGAAGAGTGAGAATGACCAAGACACCACTCACCCTCCAGACTTTCATTTACAGGCAGGAATTCACCATCAAATTCCAGGAAGTCTTCTCATATCACTGATCCAAGAACACTAGGCCTTTGTCTTTCTCTCCAAAATTTTGTATCTCTTTCAGCGTCCCAATTTCATAGCCCAAACCAACAAGAATTCTGAAGGATTAAAGATTCATGCCACTTACCAACTAACATACCAGAACCTCATGAGTGCTTGCAGAAGGCACCAGACTCCCAGGTCAGAGACAAAAAAATAATGAATTACTACAGCAATTCGAGTAGCTGGAGTATCAGCTTTTTTGTTTGTACCAGTTTTCCAAGTCACATTTCCTACAGTGCAATGTGAAGGAGGCCAGATGATACCTGAACACACAGTGAATTGCATTACATTAGAGGATCTTTGAGCTTACAGAACAAGAGTCTTTGGTATAAGGCAATAATCATCCATGCCTTCTGCTTCAGAGACAGCAATGGGAGTCAAGATCAAGAGGTTCAGGAAGGAAGTCTATTAAGTAGGAAGGGCACCTATTATATAGTTTAGGTACAACGACTAAAGCCCATTGCTTATATGAAAATATTTTGGTGCTAAATTTATCTCCAATACAGATTGTAGCAGCAGTGGTAGACTTTTATTACCAAGGGCTCATTAAAGGGAAGGAGACTCTTGTTGCCACCATGCAGTGTTCTAATTGGTTTGAGGGTTTGGTATGTTAAAAACTCCACTTCATCTAGGTACTCTCAAGCAGACAGTACTCTTATTATGGAAATATAATCTGTCCAAACTTCTAATGCCAGGGCAGGCAATACAGATCACGTTTGCCAATTTGTTTCCTTTATCTGTTCAGACTCATCACTCAGTTAATTGAGGGGGAAACATATAGCAGTCTTTCAGTTTGTTAAAGAAGTAGCTGTTACTGTAGATGGCAATATATGGCAGTCCTCAAGCTAAAACAACCTACGATTTAAACAGCATATGATCATTTATTTATACTTCAATTGTGACTATGTGTATTATACTAAAAAATATTGCTATGCATATAAATATTAATTCACTTATTTCTGTGACTTTTATGTGATGTCCTCATATTGTAATATTATGCTACTATATTTGACCTAAAAGCTGAAAACATTTATATAGGAAAATTTTATACCAAATAGTATGAGAAAAAGTTAAAGCAGCTTAAAGATTCCATAATATGAGTATAGCTGAAAGGAAAGATAATAAGTGCTTAAATATCTGCTATTTATATAATTTATTAGATATTTTTGAATAAGAAATATCAGTTTATGTATCATTCTTTCTAAGTTTAAAAAAGTCATTCTTATTTCTTAGATATAGTAGAACCTATTCCTGTAGGCAGTTTTACAAGAATATAAAATATACCATAAATTGGAGAGAATCTAATAACAACTCAAATATGCTCACACACATACACACACACACACACACACACACACACATGCCTAGAGCAACACCGAGGCAAAGAAAATGGCTAAAAAGTAAAGCATCATCTTTTTATTGACCTTCAAATTTGATATCTAATTTCAGAAATGCCCTTGAGCTATTTCTAAAGTGAATGTCCTCTTGAATAAATGTCAAGATTCAACAATGAATCTGATTTTTAATGTACATCTATAAACATAAATATAATTTTACTTGAAATTATTTCAAGGTTTTGTCAGTCTCTGAATGCTCTAAGGAAAGATTCCATTTTAATACAACTTAGGTACAGGTATAAGACTTGGATGAAAAATTTACACTCTGTGTCATGGGACCCTAAGCGTTAAAGGTAGTACATAAATTTCTAGTACTGTTGAAGTAATTATCTGTAGAAAAAAGTAGTAGAGCATACTACCATTGAAGTCATTGTGAGGTGGAATGTCTTCTATATGCTACAAGTTAGAGAAAGACATAGGAAAATTCCTCATATTATTAGTCACCTGATATTGTTTGGCTGTATCCCCACTCAAAATCTCATCTTGAATTGTAATCCCCATAATTCCCTTAATCCCCACCTTTCAAACGACACACCAGGTGGAGATAATTGAATCATGGGGATGGTTTCCGCCGTGCTATTCTTGTGATCGTGAGTTCTCACAAGATTTGATGTTTTTATAAGTGCCTGGCATTTCGTCTGCCGGCTCCATTCTCTTCTGCCACCCTGTGAAGAAGGTCCTTGCTTCCCCTTTGCCTTCTGCCATTATCGTAAGTTTCCTGAGGCCTCCCCAGCCATGCTGAACTGTGAGTCAATTAAACCTCTTTCCTTTATAAATTACCCAGTCTTGGGCAGTTCTTTATAGTGATGTGAAAATGGACTAATACATCACCACAGGGGTTTACAAAAGCATGGAACAGAAAACAGATCAATGGCCAAGACGGACATTCTCAGCATTTATTTTTGTAAGACTTTGACCAGGCTGGGACCTTTCTCTCACAAGTATGGGAAAGTGGTGTAGAGAACATAAGTGACCACCACCAGTCCTTTGTCTAAAAGAAGAGACTGCAAGGACACTACCAACATTCATTCAGCCAAGAGTGAGTCTGAATTGTCATAAATTTCCCTTCATTCAGCAAAAAATAATTAAAACACTCAAGTCAAGTGTGGCCTATATTGGTAAAAAACTCATATATCATAATTAAGATATGAGAATATATGGAAGTGTGTGGGAATAATAATTTTCACGATTTTTTGCTACCTTAAAACCCAGAGAACTTTGCTTTGAACACAAGGAACATGGGAAAAGAATTTAATTATCCTAAATGTCTATATTCTTCTTCTTAATTTATATGGCTAGAAGAAAGAAACATTTACTTGTTTTAGACATTTGTAACATTTTGGGTACAGAAAATGTTTGGAGGTACTTGAGGGATTTTTGGCTTGTTTTTTTTGTTGTTGTTTGTTTGTTTGTTTTGTCTTGTGATTTCTCTATCAAAGGGGCGAAGAAAGAAGATAATTATTTTTAGAAGCAAACCTTTGTTTCTTAGGCCTCAGCAATCTGGCAATAAGAAAAGATTAAAAACAAGTTCACAATGTAAAACTTGTCTGGTACTGCATGTTCCTATTAATTTTTCAACAAAGCCAACCTCCCTTAATCTCTTCCTAGATAATCTTGAGAGGTTCCTACAAGTGTCATGCCCAATGCTCCATGAAGCTGCTGGTCTCCATGGCTACTGCATTATGTTTTATCACTTTCTCTTTCTTCTTTTTCTTAGTAAATATCCTTCCTCCAAATGTCAACCATGCTATTGACACTCACTAGAGACACAACTGCATCTGCAGCTGCCGCAGATTCAAATGTCTGACCCTGAGGCTGACCTTGGTGCTAAGTCTACACCAATTATTGTTGACTATCAATGTTAAGGACCCCACAGACTAAGCCAGGAATGGTGCCAAATTTTCCAGCCTGACTCCATCAATCAGTGCAAATGTTCTTCCTGGTCTGTGTTCTCAAATTTTCAATATTGCACATTGTATAAAAAACATCTATTTTTCTCTCTCTCCCACCACCTTGTGTTTTTCACTCTCACATTTTTTCTTTTATCCTAAGATAAAAGAATGCAAGTGGGTAAGGGGAAGAGAAGACTGATCTCAATTATAAATGCCATTTTACATCCTGAAACTTCTCCTCTCTGAAGCTCATTTGTAGTCCTTTCATTATTTGAATTCAAATATTATTTAAGGATCTATCCTGTGCCAGTGATCATTCTAAGTAATGAAAATATAAAGAAAAAAGTCTAAGGGGGTACTTACCTCATGAAGCATACCTTACAAGACAAGAGTCAAAATAAATAAGTAAATCCATAAAATAGATTATCATGACCTGGTAATTAAACAAAGTAGATGATGTGATAGAGTAACAGGTATGGTGCTGCTTTACACAAGATGGAAGAAGCTTTCTCTGGGAAGTATTCAAGCTGAGACATGGAGGACTAGAGAAGTTAACCATGCAGAGAGTTGAACATCCCAGTTAGAGGCAAGAGTAAATATAAACGCTTTAGAGAAGAGAGAGGGAAGTATTTTGAGGAACTGAAATAAAGCTTATTTATCATTTAACCTGTGTGACTTGACTCTATTTTAGAATAAGATTTTTTCCCTAGTATTCATTTGTACATCATCTACATCTACCACATTGTCTTCTAGGAATGCTTTAAACATGCCTAATTTTTAAAATGAATGTGTTTCACGCTCTAGCAAAGTTCCCTTTACAAGACAAAATATGCAGAAGTTTAAACAGAGCCCTCAGAAATAACGCCGCATATCTACAACTATCTGATCTTTGACAAACCTGAGAAAAACAAGCAATGGGGAAAGGATTCCCTATTTAATAAATGGTGCTGGGAAAACTGGCTAGCCATATGTAGAAAGCTGAAACTGGATCCCTTCCTTACACCTTATACAAAAATCAATTCAAGATGGATTAAAGACTTAAACCTTAGACCTAAAACCATAAAAACCCTAGAAGAAAACCTAGGCATTACCATTCAGGACATAGGCATGGGCAAGGACTTCATGTCCAAAACACCAAAAGCAATGGCAACAAAAGACAAAATTGACAAATGGGATCTAATTAAACTCAAGAGCTTCTGCACAGCAAAAGAAACTACCATCAGAGTGAACAGGCAACCTACAAAATGGGAGAAAATTTTCGCAACCTACTCATCTGACAAAGGGCTAATATCCAGAATCTACAATGAACTCAAACAAATTTACAAGGAAAAAACAAACAACCCTATCAAAAAGTGGGCGAAGGACATGAACAGACACTTCTCAAAAGAAGACATTTATGCAGCCAAAAAACACATGAAAAAATGCTCATCATCACTGGCCATCAGAGAAATGCAAATCAAAACCACAGTGAGATACCATCTCACACCAGTTAGAATGGCAATCATTAAAAAGTCAGGAAACAACAGGTGCTGGAGAGGATGTGGAGAAATAGGAACACTTTTACACTGTTGGTGGGACTGTAAACTAGTTCAACCATTGTGGAAGTCAGTGTGGCGATTCCTCAGGGATCTAGAACTAGAAATACCATTTGACCCAGCCATCCCATTACTGGGTATATACCCAAAGGACCATAAATCATGCTGCTATAAAGACACATGCACACGTATGTTTATTGTGGCATTATTCACAATAGCAAAGACTTGAAACCAACCCAAATGTCCAACAATGATAGACTGGATTAAGAAAATGTGGCACATATACACCATGGAATACTATGCAGCCATAAAAAATGATGAGTTCATGTCCTTTGTAGGGACATGGATGAAACTGGAAATCATCATTCTCAGTAAACTATCGCAACAACAAAAAACCAAACACCGCATATTCTCACTCATAGGTGGGAATTGAACAATGAGATCACATGGACACAGGAAGGGGAAAATCACACTCTGGGGACTGTTGTGGGGTGGGGGGAGTGGGGGAGGGATAGCATTGGGAGATATACCTAATGCTAGATGACGAGTTAGTGGGTGCAGCGCACCAGCATGGCACATGTATACATATGTAACTAACCTGCACAATGTGCACATGTACCCTAAAACTTAAAGTATAATAAAAAATAAATAAAAAATAAAAAAAGGCCAAATATTCACCAAAGCTACAAACAAACAAACAATGACAAAAAACCCCCCAAATCTAATATCAGTTAAAGTTTTTAAAATAGTTTAAAAGAGAACCATAAGAAACTTCCAGTTTCTGGCCTACCATGTAAGAAGCTTATAAATCACCACTTCAGTCTAACAATAAGAAAAATCCTGAACAAACTGAAAATTCTTCTTTTTTTTTGTTTAATTTTATTATTATTATACTTTAAGTTTTAGGCTACATGTGCACAATGTGCAGGTTTGTTACATATGTATACATGTGCCATGTTGGTGTGCTGCACCCATTAACTCGTCATTTAGCATTAGGTTTATCTCCTAATGCTATCCCTCCCCCCTCCCCCCACCCCACAACAGTCCCCAGAGTGTGATGTTCCCCTTTCTGTGTCCATGTGTTCTCATTGTTCACATTGATGCAAAAATCCTCAGTAAAATACTGGCAAACCAAATCCAGCAGCACATCAAAAAGCTTATCCACCATGATCAAGTGGGCTTCATCCCTGGGATGCAAGGCTGGTTCAACATATGCAAATCAATAAATGTAATCCAGCATATAAACAGAACCAAAGACAAAAACCACATGATTATCTCAATAGATGCAGAAAAGGCCTTTGACAAAATTCAACAACCCTTCATGCTAAAAACTCTCAATAAATTAGGTATTGATGGGACGTATCTCAAAATAATAAGAGCTATTTATGACAAACCCACAGCCAATATCATACTGAATGGGCAAAAACTGGAAGCATTCCCTTTGAAAACTGGCACAAGACAGGGATGCCCTCTCTCACCACTACTATTCAACACAGTGTTGGAAGTTCTGGCCAGGGCAATCAGGCAGGAGAAGGAAATAAAGGGTATTCAATTAGGAAAAGAGGAAGTCAAATTGAAAATTCTTCTTAGTACCTTAACAGACAAACCAATGCCCCCCAAATTGGAGAGACAAACAGGTGAATACAGGCAGTTAGGGCATATTGGAACAGAGAGTTGTGAGTTTAAACCACCATTGGAACCAGTGCGAGGATAGGAAAACCAAAAGTGTAACTGTGAGTCAGTGGAGGCTCAGTGAGGACAATTCTTGAGAGTTAAAAACGGGAACCCAGTTACGGTGCAACCCCCCCCCCACCCCCAACACACTTGCATGCATGTTACCTCCTGGAGCTCTCCAGGCCCTCACAATAAGTAATAGATAAAAAATCCCATCATGTTTTGGCCAGGTCAGAGGAAAATAACCCATTTGAATGTGCCTGAGAGTTCATTTATTCTTAACAAGGTCTGCCCTCAGAGGAGATTATTTAATCAAAGCCTAACTTCTTGGTTTTATCAGAGCCTCACAGACCTGGGGGAAGTGAAATATCCAACCACAGCTGGCTCTAGCATCCCCTGTGGAGGAAAGGAAATACCCAATTTCAGATCCCTCTAGTCATCCTGTCACATCTAAGTGGAGAAAACTGAGAAGCACTTGAGAAGTTCACAGTCCAGAACACAAGCTCACTAAAAGACTGAGACCTAATCATAGGACTATAGAACATTTCCCCTCCCCCAACACTGTACCAGCTCATTACTAAAAGCCTGTTTACATCAGTTCATTTTATCCAGTACATAATGTCCACCTGGCAGGAAAAAAATGACAAGACATACAAATAGGTAAAACACAGTGTGAAGAGACAGAAAATGCATTAAAATCAGACTCAGCGATGGCAGGGTGTTGGAAGTAACAGACGGGGAATTTAAAATAACTATGATTAATATGCTAAGGGCTCTAGTGGATAAAGTAGACAACATGTAAGAACAGGTGGTCAATGTGAACAAAGAGGTGGAAATTATAAGAAAGACTTCCCTCCAAATGCTAGAGATCAAAAAACTATAACAAAAGTGAAGAGTACCTTTGATGGGCCTCTCAGTAGACTGGACACAGCTGAGAATAGAATCTCTGAGATTGAGTCCATCTCAATAGAAATCACTGAAATTTAAAAGCAAAGAGAAAAGAGAATGAAAACTAAAAAGTCAGAACACAATATTTAAGAACTGTGAGAAACCACAAAAGCTGTAATGTATGTGTAAGGGCACTATCAGAAGGAGAAGAGATAAAGGAACAGAAGAACATTTGAAATAATAATAACCAAGATTTTCCCCAAATCAAGTCAGACACCAAACCACATGATGATGGAGAAAAAACATCTGCCAAAATATACGAATAGATGTTAATCTGAGCTAATATGAGTAACCGCAGCCCAGGTTACACAATCTCAACAAGTCCTGAGAGAAAGTGTACCCAAGGTGATTGGGTTACACATTGGTTTTATACATTTCAGGGAGACAGACATTGCAGGTAAAATCATAAATCAATATGCAGAAGGTATACATGGGTTTGTCCTGAAAATGTGGGACATCCCAAAATGAGGGCTTACAAGTCATAGGTGAGTTTTAGGGATTCTTTAGTTCACAATTGGTTGAGAGAATTAAGAAACTATCTAAAGACTTAAAGCCAGTACAAAAGAATGACTGAGTTAAGATTAATGGGATTGTGGAGACCAGGCTTCTTATTGTGTAAATAGACCCTCAAAGGTGGAAACTGTCAGAGGGAATAGATGGTAAATGTGTGTCTTCTCACTTTCAAAGGTGTCAGACTCTCAATTTCTCCTAGATCCAGGACAGGGATAGAAAGGGGAAATGTGGCTGCATTAATCTCCATTCTCTACAGATACAAATTTCTCCTACTTCAGTCTGCTGGCTTGTGACAGCCATTTCAAAATATATCAAAGAAGTACATTTAGGGGTAAAATATTTTTATTTCCTTCAGTCTGCTATATGTCATGTGGTGCTATACTATAGTCAGGTTGGAAAGTAAGCAACTTATATAGGGTTAATAAAAACCCATCTAAAGATATTTCATGGTGTATAAGGCATGACTTGCCAGGGCTCTTAGATAAGAATGTGGGCAGGAAGGGGGAAAAAGGTCAGAGTTTAGTTCTTACACAGTCCTTACACAGAGTTTAGTCCTTACACGTACAAAGACAGAGGGAGGGGGGCTCCAAAGCTGAAAGAGGAGACCCCACATTTGGAGGATACCAGCCAGTTTTATGCCATGGCTGGAGGAGGCGGTGTTTGATTTGCACAGGGCTCAGGGAATTGGTTTGACCAGGTATGTTATTCACTTAGCCAGCAAGAAAACTGGCCTTTCCACCCCAGCCCTTTAATATGCAAATGCAGGGCACCATGATGTTCTACACACATGGGGATATATGGGGGTGGCCATGTTGTCAGGCACCTGTTGGGGCAAGGGCAAGAGGACAACAGTGGGAATTGCCATGTTGGGTGGAACCAGTTTCTAAAGGCTGGCATTTGCATATTAAAGGTTGCCGTCCCAGGTTTAAGAGCCAGGGCTTTCATGCTATACAAGAAACGTTTTTTTGGAGCTGCGAAAAACCTTCCAAGGACCTCTTTTCCTCTCTATCTGCCTAAAATAATTTCTTAATAACTCCTACCACACTTGTAGAGGAACAGAGATAATAGTTACATCTGACTTCCCTTCAGAAACCATGCAAGCCAAGAAGAGAGTGGAGTGAAATATTTAAAGTGTTGAGAGAGGAAAAAAAAAAAAACAACACCTAGAGTTCTGTACCCTGAGAAATTACTCTTCAAATGTAAAGGAATTTTTTTTTTAGGTAAATAAAAATTTAATAAATTTGTTACCAGTAGACCTGACTTGCAAGAAATTTTAAAAGAAGTTCTTTAAAGAAAAACAAAATGATATAGTTCAGAAACACACATCTACATAAAGAAAGGAAAGCATTACTTAAGAAATAAGTGAAAGTAAAATAAAAACTTGTATTTTCCTTATTCTTAATTGATCTGATAGATGTTTGTTAACAATAGCAATAATATATTCAATTATGTATGCTTACGTACATACATAGACTTTTCTATGCTTATGCATGAATGAAATGAATGACAATAAGGGTGAGAGAGAAAAATATGAATTATTTTGTTATTATAAGATACACATGAAGTGGCATAGTGTTATTTGAAAGGGGACTTGGATTCACTGTAAATTTATATTGTAAACTCTGTGCAAACATTAAAAAGTCTCTAAGAATGGAGAGCAAATGAAATCATATAAAATGCTCAATTAAAACCACAAACGACAGAAAAATAGTGTAAGACAAAAATAGGAATAAAGAACAAGGTGAACAAACAGAAACTAACAAATATGTTAGGTATTAACCCAACTATATCACTAATCACTTTGAATCAGTGATTTAAATGCACCAATTAAGCAACAGATTTTAAAAAATACCCCATTATATGTTGTCTAAAAAAATCCCACTTTAAATATAAGGACACATATAGATTACAGGTAAATGGATGAGGAAAGATATACAGTAGGCCCCCCTTACCTTTGTTTTTGCTTTTGTTTTTGTTTTTAGTTCCTGTAGTTTTCATTAACAGCAGCCACAAACAGTCCGAAAATATTAAATGGAAAGTTCCAGAAGTAAACAATTCATAAATTTTAAATTGTGCATCATTCTTGGTAGCATGATAAACTCTCACACCATCAATCCTGCATTATCTTGTGTGGGATGTGAATAAACCTTTTGTCCAGCATACCCACACTGTATATGCTACTTGCCCATTAGTTGCTTAGTAACCGTCTCAGTTATCAGATTGACTATCATGATATCTCAGTGCTTGTGTTCAGGTTAATTCGTATTTTACATAATAATGGTTCCAAAATGCAATAATAGTCATGCTGAAAATTCAAACATGCCAAAGAAAGGACATAAAGTGATTCTTTTAGGTGAAGAGGTAAAAATCCTCAACTTAATAAAGGGAAAAAAAGCATATATTGATGTTGTTAAGATCTACAGTAAGAATGAATATTCTATCCATAAACTTATGAAGAAGCAAAAGAAATTTATGGTAGTTTTCTGTCACACCTTAAACTGCAAAAGCTCTAGCCACATTGTATGATAAGTACTTAGTTAAGTAGAAAAAGCACATAATTCATGGATGGAAGACATGAACTGAAAACATGTTCAATTATAGCAACGTGTTGTGCCAAAAAGTGTTGAACCTATGCAAAGACTCTATCAAGAAATCTCCTGATATGAATGACACCAAGTCATTAATGGAAAGTTAAAAGATGGTTACACAGATTTAAGAATACAAAAGGTCATCATTAGCCTACTGCTACATCACAAGGCTTATGTGATTCATGTCACTTTGTCTTATCACGTAGGCATTGTATCATTTCACAACATCACAAGAAGGGTGAATACTGTACAATAAAATATTTTTAGAGAGGCAGAGAAATCACATTCATATAACTTTTATTACAGTATATTGTCATGATTGTTATATTTTATTATTAGTTATTGTTGGTAATCTCTTACTGTGTCCAATGTATAAATTAAACTTTATCGTAGATATGTATACATAGGAAGAAACACAGCATATATAAGGTTTGATGCTATCCACTGTTTCAGGTGTCCACTGGGAGTCTTGGAACATATTCCTTGTGGATAAGGGGGATTACTGTACCATGCTAACACTAATCGAAAGAAAGTGGGAGTAGCGAGATTAATTGCAGACAGAGCAGATTTCAGAGCAAGGAAATTATCAGGGATAACAAGGGGCACTGCGCAATGATAATGAGGTCAATTCTCCAAGAAGACATAATAATTATTAATATATAAGAGCCTAACAATAGGGCATCAAAATATATGAGGCTAAAACTGATAGAACTGCAAGAAAAAGTAGATGAATCCACTATTACAATTAAAGACTTCAGCTCCCCTCTCTCACAAATGGAAAATTCCAGCAGCTAGAATTCATTAAGGCATAACTGAACACACCAGTGACATCATCAACTGGATATAATGAACATCTGTAGACTAATTCTTTCAACAATAACATTCTTCTCAAGATTGTATGGAAGCTTCACAAAGAGAGACCACATTCTGAGCCATAAAACACAGTTACCAAATTTAAAAGAATAGAAATTATACAGTGGCTGCTATTAGACCAGAATGGAGTTTAACTAGAAATCAATTTTAAAAAGGTAGTTTTAAAATCCCAAATTACTTGGAGATTAAAAAACATACTTGTAAATAACACATGGGCCAAAAAAAGAAATCTTAGGAGAAATTTAAAAGTATTTCAAAGTAAATAAAAATGAAAAAAACAACTTATCAAAATTTGTGGATGCAGAAAAAGCAGTTCTCAAAGGGAAATTTATGGCATTGAATGCTTTTATTAGAACAGAAGGAATATCTAAAATCAACAATCTAAAATTTTACCTTCCGAAACTAGGAAAAGAAGAGCAAATAAATCCAAAGTAAACAGGAGAAAAGAAATAAAAATCAGAGCAGAAATCAATGAAACTGAAAATAGAAATTCACTAAAGAAAATCAATGAAACCAAAGCCTGGTTCTTTAAAAAGATGAATAAAATCTATAATTTTCTAGATCAGCTAAGAAAAAAAGAGAGATAATACAAAATATTAATATCACAAATGAAAGAAGAGATATTACTACAGATCCATAGTCACTAAAAGAATAAAATAAAATATTATAAACAACTCTATGCACACAAATTTGATGACCTAGATGAGATACACCAATTCTTTAAAGGTACATCTTCCAAAACTCATACAAGAAGAAATAGAAAATCTGAATAGGCCCATAACTATTAAAAACTTAATCAATATTGATAACTGGATAACTGAAAGTGTCAGGCCCAGATGGGTTCACTGGTGTATTCTACCAAACATTTAAGGAAGAAATAATATCAATGATCTAGAAACTCTTTCAGAAGATAAAATCAAATAGAATACTTCCTCACTCATAAGAGGCCAGCATTATACTGATATCAAACCACAGGCATTACAAGAAAAGAAAACTACTGACCAATATCACTCATGAACATAGATTATAAAATCTTTAAAAACATTAGCAAATCAAATCAAACAATGTATAAAAGAATTATACGCCATGACCCAAATGGATTCATCCCAGTTATGTAAGGCTGGTTCAACATTTAAAAATCAATTAGCATTTGACAAAATCTAAGCCCCACTTATTATACAAACTGTCAGTAAACTAGAACTAGAGGAAAACTTCCTCAACTTAATAAAGATTATCTACAAATAGCCTACAGCTAACATGATACTCAACAGTAGGAAACTTCAAGCTTTCCCATTAAAACACAAGTCAAAGATGTTCTCTTAACCACTGTTTTTCAACATCATACTGGATGTCACAGCTAATTGAATAAGACAGAAAAAGGAAATAATAGGTTTATAGATTAGGAAGATAAAAATAAAAAAAACTATCTTTGTTTGTCGATGACATGATTGTCCATGTAGAAAATCCAAAATAATCAATGAAAAAGGTCCTGGAGCTAGTAAGATTATAGCAAGATTGTAGTATGCAAAGTTGATATATAAAAATTCATCACTTTCCTATATACCAATAATGAACAAGTGGAGTTTGAAATTAAAAACACAGTATCATTTACATTAGCATCACCCAAAAGTGAAATACTTAAAAGGTAGAAATCTAATAATACTTATATAAGATTTATATGAAGGAAATCACAAAATGCTGATGAAAGAAATTAAAGAACTAAATAAATGGAGAGATATTCCATGTTCATGAATAGGAAGATTCAATATTGTCAAGATGTCAGCTGTATAGATTCAACATAATCTCAATGAAAATCCCAGTAAGTTATTTTGTGTATATTGATAAAATGATTCTAAAGTTTATATGTAGTATCAAAAGACCCAGAGTAGCCAATACAATACTGAAGAAATAAAAGTCAAATGTCTAATACTACCCAAATTCAAAACTACTGTAAAACTACAGTAATCAAGAGAGAGGTATTAAAAAAATAGATAAATAGATTAATGGAACAGTATTCAGAGCCCACAACCCACAAATATGGTAAAATTATCTTTGACAATGGAGCAAAAGCAATAAAAAATGTAGAAAATACAGTCCTATCAACAAATGTTGCTGGAACAACTGGATATCCATATACAAAAAAAAATGTTGAAACTAGACACAGACCTTACATCCTTCACAAAAGTTGACTCAAAATAAATCACAGACCTAAATGTAAAATATAAATCTATAAAACTCCTAGAGGATAGCCTAGAAGAAAATATAAATGATTTCAGGTTTGGTGGTAACTTTTTAGTTACAACACCAAAGGAACAATATATGAAAGAAAGAATTAATAAGCTGGACTTTATTAAAACTTTTAAAAGCCTGCTATGCAAAAGACATTCTAAAGGGAATAAAAAGACAAGCCAGAGGCTGGGAGAAATTATTTGCAAAACACCTATCTGATAAAGTACCGGTATCCAAAATATACAAAGAACTCTTAAAACTCAACAGTAAGAAAACAACCTAATTTTAAAATGAGCCAAAGGTCTTCATGGACACCTCACCAAAGATATACAGATAAAAAGTGAACATATGAAAAGATGCTGCACATCACATGTCATCAGGGAAATGGGAATTAAAATGACAATAGGGTAACACTACACACCCATGAGAAAAGCCAAAATCCAGAATACTGACAACACCAAAGTTGGGAGGATGTAGAGCAACAGAAACTCTCATTCATTGCTGGTGGGAATGTGAAATGGGACAGACACTTTAGAAGGCAGTTTCTTTAAAAACTAAATATATTCTTACCATATGATTTAGCAACCATGCTCATTCATATTTACTTAAAGGAAAATTTATGTCCACAAAATGACCTACACAAATATGTTTATGGAAGCATTATTCATAATTTCCAATATTTGGAAATAATCAAGATTTGCAGAAGTAGGCAAATGGATAGAGTGTGCTCTACACAGAATAGTAGAACATTGTTCAGCACTAATAAGAAATGAACTATGAAGTCATAAAAAGAATGGAGGAAACTTAAATGCTTATTACTAAGTAAAAGAAACCTATCTGAAAAGGCTACATGCTTTATGGTTCCAACTGTATGACATCTGGAAAAGGCAAACCTGTGGAGAATATAACAAGATCAGTGGATAACAGGGGTGGAGGGAGGGAAGGCTGAATAGGCAGAACACAAGGAATTTTTAGGGCAGTGAAACTACTCTGTATGGTACTACAATGGTTGATAAATCCCACTGTATATTTGTCTAAACCTATAGAATGTACAACACTAAGAATGAACCTTAATGTAAGCTACGGACTTTGGGTGACAGTGATCTATCAATGTAGGTTCATCATTTGTAAAAATTTAAAAAGTACCACTGTGATAAGGGATGCTGATTATGACATAGGCTATAGATTTGTGGGAGTTGGGGTATTTATGTGGTAGGGGATGTTGATTATGACACAGGCTATACTTTTGTGGAAGTAGGGGTCTATAATTTCATACAGTTGGAAAACCTCTATACATTCCACCCAATTTTGCTGTGAACTTAAAACTGCTCTAGAAAAATAAAGTCCACTGAATTAAAAATAGAACCATAAACGCATATATTTGCTAGACGTAAAACTAATTCTAAACATAAGGGTATTACCACAAATCTGAGAAACATTAAGCTATGTGAAAGAAACTTGTCACAAAAGCCCACATATATGTGATTTGACTTACATGAAATGTTCAGAATAGGTCAGTCCATGGAGAGAAAGTAGATTAGTGTGGTTGCCAAGAACTAGAGGCAGAGGGAAATGAGTAGTGACTGTTAATGGTGTGGGGTCTATTTTTGGAGTGGTTATATGTTCTAAAATCAGAGAGTGGTAATGGTTGCATAATTATATGAATATACTTAAAAACTACTGAATTGCATACTTTCAAAGAGTGAATTTTATGGTATGAATGTAAATTATATCTCAATAAAGCTGTTATTTCAAAGTTATATTAATAATAAAATAAAAATATTACCTTTAACCTTTAAATTGTTGGGATTTTCTGTGGAAAAAATAAAATGGTATTACAGTTAAGAAATGTTCCCATAAATAACATTGGAACTTTCAAAAGGAATTCTAAAAAAATCAAACGTTTTGGAAGGAATTGAGAGCAAAGAAAAACGTATGAAATGAAATATGAATATGAAACAGATTGCAACTTTTATTTTATAGATAACAAACTAAAGCTTAGTTAGAATGACTTTGTGCAAGGTAATGAGAGAGTAGGTGCCAATGCTGGGAGTTGAATTCAGGCCAGTTAAGCCAATGTTAAAAATATTTTTATTGGTCTTGAGGTTTCCTTAAACATTTTGCTATCTCAGCAAATAGAGATCTTTCTCACACTCAACCATATTTCTAGAACACAAAAGTTCTACAAGGTTTTAAAAATTCATCCTCTTAAAACATTTACAGGGCATTAAAAAAAGAAAATGCATATTAAATATTCCAGATAATTAAAATTTCAAAATGTCTAGAAAATGACTAATCAAATCCTTTGTAACAAGTAGAACACTAATCATTGTGACCACAAATTTGAAACTGCCATTGTGAATCACTTGTTTTTGTATGTGTGGAATCAAAGCCATGCTTCATTTGTTTTGAGAACCTAATGCAGGAACATCTGTTTCAATGGTATCTGTTTAATATGAAAAAAGGCTGAATTGTTATGTTGGCCATTTATCAGTTCTGTTAACTATTACATGAAGGCAAATCGATCACACTGGAGAGAAATTCCAACTTACCAAAAAAGACACCCCACCGATTGTTAATGGAAACATACATTTTATTTATTCATTGACTCTAAATATTAATTTTATCCTATATCTGTGTCAGGCACTTCAGTAAGTTTTAAGGTTGTGATGTAAACTAAAACAAGACATTGCCCTTAAAAAAATGTGTTCTCAGTCTAATGAAGAAACAAGAATGTAAATAAAAATTTCAATACTTAGACAAACTCTGTAGTTGAAATAATCACACAGTATAGAAAAGGGCTGCCTAAATTTGTTAAGGGTGTTAATAAATGGAGGTGTTAAAATAAAGTTTCTCAATTGAGAAGTTAAAACTTTCTTTTACAAAGTAAAAAATTTGTGACAGTTATTGAGAGTATAACAATTCCAGACTTCAAGTAGCAAGCAGCTCCCAGCTACAACCAAACTATTGTACTTACAAAAAAGAATTCAGTGTATAGTTTCAGACAAGTATAAACACAAAATTAGGCATAAGTTTAATGAAACATTATCCCCCCAACAGATAATGTATCATCTATAAAACGAAACACTTAAGAGTTTGGGTATCATTTGAAGATCTGTAATATAAATTATCACAATTCTTCTGATATTACAGTACTTTTCAACTAATACACTTGTAAATGTTCTTAAAGTAGTATATAGGAAAATTACGTTATAATAAAGAAAGAAAGGATAAATAATTAGCAGGAAAATCATTGTAATAATCTGAGGGGAGAAAATTTTTGCAATGAAAATGTATCAAATGTTTACCTAAAAGGAAAAACATTAAAAATATGCAATGACTGCAGCATTATTCACAATAGCAAAGACATGGAATCAACCCAAATGCCCATCAATGATAGACTGGATAAAGAAAAAGTGGTATATATACACCATGGAATACTATGCAGCCATGAAAAGGAATCATGTCCTTTGCAGAGACATGGATTAGCTGGAAGTCATTATCCCCAGCAAACTGATGCAGGAACAGAACACCAAACACCACATGTTCTCATTTATAAGTGGGCACTGAACAATGAGAATACATGGACACAGGGAGGGGAACAAAACACACTGGGGCCTGTCAGGGAAGGGCAATAGGGGAGAGCATTAGGTAAAAGAGCTAATGCATACTGGGCTTAATATCTAGGTGATGGTTGACAGGTGCAGCATACCACCATGGCACATGTTTACCTGTGCAACAAACCTGCACATCCTGCACATGTAACCTGGAAGTTTAAAAAAAATCTAATTTAATTTTAAAAAATACAGTGTCAAAATAAGGCATAAATAACATCATCACAGAAAAAATCAATTAAAAAAAGAAATACTATATATATATATTTTTAAGGTAAGCATTTTGTAACCTATTCAAATAAAATTATCTGTATGTTTTAAATTCATGTTATAAAGGCAAAAAGCATAATATTCTGAGTACAATTCAAATGTTTTGAAAAAAAGGAATGAGCTGTGTAACATATTTTTTAACTTCAAAAATGTAAAGGAGGCCGGGCGCGGTGGCTCACGCCTGTAATCCCAGCACTTTGGGAGGCCGAGGCGGGCGGATCACGAGGTCAGGAGATCGAGACCATCCCGGCTAAAACGGTGAAACCCCGTCTCTACTAAAAATACAAAAAATTAGCCGGGCGTAGTGGCGGGCGCCTGTAGTCCCAGCTACTTGGGAGGCTGAGGCAGGAGAATGGCGTGAACCCGGGAGGTGGAGCTCGCAGTGAGCTGAGATCCCGCCACTGCACTCCAGCCTGGGCGACAGAGCGAGACTCCGTCTCAAAAAAAAAAAAAAAAAAAAAAAAAAAATGTAAAGGATACAAGCCAGGAAATAATGTTTTGTAAAAAAATTAAACTCTCATTTATTTTCTTTAACACTACATAGAATGAGGCTCAGTCAGTATTTGTGAATGGAATTTTTTTTAGTAATGCATAAAATAAATACAAAGTCAAGTTGTGCTTATTAGCCATGGGATTCCTATCATGAATATTATCTACGGTAAATAATACAGTAAGTGTTAAACTTTTGAACACCAATAATCATGAGAGAAAAAGCTCTGGCAAAACTGCATGTGACAAATCGAATTCGAATGGCTGGCTTCCACATTTCTTACATAATTTGAAGAATATAAGTAAAACAATCTGTTAATACCAAATAAGAACATTTGTCTAAAAATGTTTCTTCAGTTATAGCTCCTGAAGAGTGGGTAATAAGGTTTGCTAATCTTAGTAGTTATTGAAAAATTTGCCAATTTCTTTTCTTTGTATGTATACACACCATATATCATTTTCTAAAAATGCAAAAGTATATTAGACATGATATTGAGGGATTCTATGCATTTTTGTCCATTTGTACACGGTTTTCCATTCCCTCTATCTATCTACACCTAAAAATTTTATCTTATATTCATTGGCTATGTGAGTTTTGTTTTATATGTCATTACTTCACTACATTCACTGAATCTCCAGGGCGTCATAGAATAATAATTGGTTTGATTGAAATGGTTTAGTGCCTTAACTTTTAACATTATAGTCTACACACCTTTTTGGGAGGTGGGGGGAAAGATAGGGTCTCACTTTGTCACCCAGACTGGGGTGAGGTTGTGCTAGCGTAGGCTCACTGCAGCATCAAAGTCCTGGGCACAAGGAATTAGCCCCCCTTAGCCTGCAAATAGCTGGAACTAAAGGCATGCACCACCATGCTTGGTTGTTTTATTGTTTTCTTTTTTTTTTTTTTCTTTTTGTAGAGACAGGGTCTCCACTCTGTTGCCCAGGCTGGCCTCCAACTCCTGACCTAAAGTCATCCTCCCACCTGGGACTCTCAAAGCACTGGGATTATAGGCATGAGCCACCATGCCCAGCCTATGCAGCATTTTTGACAATATTTACTAAATTCAAGTATCTTACAAACATACCTGTTTTATTTGGAAATTTAAACATTTTACCCACTGCTTGTCAAAATTCATAAATGATCATATGCTTTATTTCTTAAATTTGTTGGTAATTATGTTGGCAGTTTTTTTATATTGAGAGAGTCTCGTCTTCTTGCTATCAACCCTCCTTGGCTGTAGAGTACATTTTTTCTTTGATAAATTGGCTAGGTTCTTTTTTACTAATTGTTTGTTTAGATTTTTCTGTTAGAATCTCTGTGTGAAATATTATAACCTTTTTTTTCTTTTTAAAAAGCTTAATTATAGCAGGGATGGCTAGCTTTGCTTATTTCACTTTAAAATTGCCTAAAACTTAGTAAGACTCATTCTTCTGATAATTTTGTCTCAATTCATGGTATCTCTTCTTGTATTTGTTTACTTAAGCTTCTGTCATGTTTTTTCTTACGTAAGTCCAACTTTTGCCGGTTATTTTTATTTCATCTACTCTCCAAATGGCTAGTTGTTTGTTTGTTTATTATAACTTGCACTTCTGTGCTTTGACACATTTATTCTATAAGATCTTCTATACCTCTGTTATAGCATCCTTCAGTTTACCTACTGAAACATTTAATTGGAAAATCATGTGATTTTCCAGAAAGTATGTGTGATTGGGGTGCACTTGAATTTTCCTAAGAGTTCTTATTATTTGTTTGTTCAAGTATGTTCTGTCTCCTGCAGCAACTCTATTTTGCTGTCATGAGATCTGTTTGTGCTGACTGATCCTCTCTCTGGCTGTTAGAACCCCTGTTTGTTATTTTCTTTATTAGCCCTTAGATCTGGTGGTGGGGGTAAACAACTGCAAGCAGGCAGACTACTCTCTACAACACTGAGCCAGTGGTGCACGAGCAGAAGGGCTGCCAGCACCCACTGCGGAGGAGCAGGATGAAGCCTTCCTGTTCCCAGGTCTCCAGGCATATACTCAACCTCAGGAGCAGAGGACCTAATTAGGAGCTGAATTAGGTCCCTAAGGTCATACTGACTGGAGAAATTTTTACCAATGTCAAATTTCCTTCTAAGAATCTAAGAGTCTCTGTGTGATAGGTTCTTCCAAGAATCTGGAAACTCTCCTTCAGCCCAAGGAGGAAAGAGTCCTTATCTGTTCTTTCCATAAAGATCTTCAAGCCTATTCTCTCACTGATTCCAGTGGCAATTTGATTTAGAAAAGACAGACAGATTGTCAGGAATTTGAATAGAAGGTGTAGAGAGCCGAATTTATTAGTTTTCTAGAGCTGCTGTGACAAAGTATGACAGACTGGGTGGCTTAAACAACAGAAATTTACTGCCTCACATTTCCGGAGGTTAAAAGTCCAAAGTCAAGGCAATGGCAGAGTTGGTTACCTCTGAGGACTGTGAAGGGAGTGTCTGTTCCAGTCCTCTTGCCTTGGCTTGCAGATGGCCATCGTCTACTCTCTTTTTATCACCTTCCCTTTATGCTTGTCTATCTCTGTGTCCAAATTTCCTCTTTATATAAGGACATCAGTCATAATGGATTAGGGCGCACCATAATGACCTCGTTTTAACTTGATTACATCTATAGAGAACCTATCTCCAAATAAGGTCACATGACATACCCCTGGTTAGGGCTCCAGCACATCTCTTTTGGGAGGACAAAATTCAACCTATAATGGCCATATTTAGGTAAACTGTCTACCCTGAATACTCTATTGTATGTATTAAATAAGTTCTAGATTGTTTGGTCATGGTCGTATATGCTATAAAAGTGGGTAAATTGCAGAACAACATTCTGGAGGTAGATGAAATAATAAAGGGACTCTAGCCTGAAGGGCTATGCAGGAGGAACTGCTGGGGTCATGGAAACAAACAGAACATTGTCACAAGCAACTCTAGAATTTCACACATACATCGTATTGACACATTACCAGCTGAGAAACAAATGAGGATTTTCATAAAACACTAAAAGGTATTATACCTACAACAAAAGTATCTCCTCTATAAACCACCTCTTGGGTAATTTATTTGCATTTTCACTTCAGTGAAAAATAATCACATAATATTCCCATTTTAAAATTTAAAATAATAATAAAGCAAAAAAAGTGGCTTAATGGCTAGTCATTGTCTAATCACTCAAGAATCACGTGGGACGCTCTCCAGGAAAACAACACATAGCATTCCAAATACATTTAGCCATAGAAAAAAGGAACTACAGAGAGAATAATAATATGTTTTAGTTTGAAGACTTATATGATTTAGTAAATCATTTTAAACAATGCCATTTTTCATTTCATGAACAAAAATAATTTCTCAGTGTTTGTGAATATGTGTGTATGAGACAGTTAAACAGACTTTTAAAAAGGAATATTCTGAAATATACCCCTCAAAAAGATTTTTAAATGTTTTCAATTTAAAAGAAAATAGATAATTTTTGAGGACTAAGCTCTGATTTTTTTATTTTACACAAATTCCTCCCTAAGGGGTCTAAGGAGTCATGCCCTACAAACAATTTTCATCAGATGGGTTTTTTTGACCCTATATATTATGACTTACTTCTCAATCTGACTCTGGCATAACATTATGAGACAAAGAAAAAATATTTAACCCCAAAATATATTTCCTTACCCTACCTTCATTGTCCTTCAAGGTCTCTTGCAGGAAAATCCACATTCTATAGAGAATCCCCTTTCCCCTTCGTTTTCCTTCCTTTCCTCCTATCCAGGAGATAATCAACTAAGAGCCAGGCACCCTTTTAAGTCCCATTAAGAAACAATTTACAACCTGCTCTCTCTGAAGTCCGCTATCTGGGAGCTTCCTCTGCACAATAAAACTTGGTCTCCAAAATCCTTTATCTTTAACCTGAACATTCCTTTATATCGATCCCAGGTCTTTAGACAAACTCAACCAATTGTCAACCAGAAAATGTTTAAATTTACCTATAGCCTGGAAGCCCCCGCTTTGATTTGTCCCACCTTTCTGAACCAAACCAATGTATTTCTTAAATGTGTTTGATTGATGTCTCATGCCTTCTTAAAATTTATAAAACCAAGCTGTTCCCCAACCACCTTGCGCACATGTTCTCAGGACCTCCCGAGGGCTGTGTCACAGGCTGTGGTCACTCATATTTGGCTCAGAATAAACCTCTTAAAATATTTCACAGAATTTGATTCTTTTTGTCAACATTTTCTATTGTCAGCAAAATACAGAATAATGGTCTCACCACTATTAGATTAATTGGTCTTATATCATACATATTATACATATTTGGCCTAATAGAATGGCTGAGTACCCCATTGAAGGTTCAGCAAATATCCTGGCTTTAGGACAACAGCCTGTGGCTGTGCAGTAGTGTTCTCCATGATGCAGTACATTCCCGAAATCAACTGCCAATGTATGGGGCTGAATTGTGTTTCCCCAAACATTCATATGCTGAAGCCTTAACCTTCAGGACCTCAGAATGCTACTGTATTTGGAGGTAGGGTTTTTAAAGAGGTAATAAAGTTAAAATGAAGCCCTTAGGATGGGCCCTTATCCAATCTGATTGGCGTCCTTATAAGAAGAGGAGATTAGGACCCACAGGGAGAAAGCAGAGATGTGGATGCACAGAGGAAAGACCACAGTGAGGCGAGGTGAGAAGGTGGCCATCTGCAAGCCAAGGAGAAAGGCCTCAGAAGAAATCAAACCTGCTGGCACCTTGATCTTGGACTTCTAACCTCCAGAACTTAGGAAAATAAATTTCAGTTGTTGAAGCCACCCAGTCTGTGGTATTTTGTTTTGGCAGTCCTAGCAAATGAATACAGACACCAATGCTGGGAACATATGAGTTCAGGAACCTAGGAGTACAAGTAGGATCAAACTTTCTCATTTCGACCTCCACTTATTTAGAGAGTTTGTGCTTCCTCACTTCATAACCTTTGTCTCTAATAGGCAATAGTTTCTGGTGTCAAGGGAAAACTCATCTGTTAGAGATACAGGAAGAGTTCCATTGAACTAGAAACTACATGTACCATCTGGCCAACTACCATGCCTTTATCATGCCAGTGGATCTGCAGACAAAAAAAAAAAGTCATTTCACTTCAGCAGCCATGTAGCCATGGTAATCAGCATTGATTAAAATCGGAAGCTAAGATTTCTGCTATACAATACAATTTACAGTATCTATTTGGGAATCCAGGAGATCCAATGCATTGTCTCTTGGTTGTTTCATGCCTAGAGATTAGAGATAAGTTGGCAAATTCACCAAACATGACTGAACAAAGACAAAGTAACCAAGGTTTCACATCCTTCAGGATTAAAAGTTTACATCACTCCAACAGGGGAGCAATTTACTAGCTGAAGTACTGGGGCAGAATCTCAAATTGTACGGCACATAAACCGGGTCTGGTGTCTTTGATATGCCTTCCAACAACTTACCTAAATTTTACACTGTATTATCACTTACCTCCTCATAGAGTGCACTCTATTATTCTGGCTTCACATTTTTCTAAATTCCTAAAATCCATACTATCTGAACCAAGCATATTAGCTGTTGGTTAGATATTGCCTCGAATGTTTTTGTTTGTTTTGTTTTGGTCTTTACTATTTGGGTATATAAGTATGATTTCTCCAATAATATTTTAAACTCTAGAAACAATATTTTTAAAGTTTGGAATCTCGAGTCAACAGATAATATAGGGGTTATTATACAGTAAAGTATTCAATACAGCTACTTATCAATCAATTGACACAAACAATGACACTTTCTTTATGTGGAATTCTCTGTTTTCTACAGTGTATTTCATTGTGTAGTTATGATTCACTCATGTTGAAATAAGTAGCTGAATTATATCCATTTTAATGGTTGTATAATATTCTTCTACATCGACATACTTCACTCATTTACTTACTTATTGTTTCTTTGTTTATTGGTAGACATTTCATTTATTTCAAGCCAACTTTCCATTAAAAACTATGAACATTCTTGTACATTCTTCCTGTTGTACCAATGCCAGATTATTTTCTAGGATATATAATTAAGATTAGCATTCTTGATTATAGTTAATGTAGAGAAAACTTGTTTTTTAAAATGGGTGTACATTTTCATTAGCCCTATATAAGTTTTTGTTGATCCACACTCATGCAACAATTGGTATTACAATTACACACTTGTCAATATGTCGGCTCTAAAATTGTGCCCATAATTTAATTTGTATTCCTTAATTACAAATAAAGTTTAACATCTTTATTTTTTTATTTTTCTGAGACAAAGTCTCACTCTGTCACCCACGCTGGAGTTCAGTGGTGCAATCTGAGCTCAATTCAACCTCCACCTCCTGGGTTCAAGCAATTCTTGTGCCTCAGCCTTTGGAGTAGCTGGAGTTACAGGTGCACACTACCACACCCAGCTAATTTTTATTTTTGTATTTTTAGTAGAGACAGGGTTTCACTATGTTGGCCAAGCTGGTATCAAACTCCTGACCTCAAGTGATCTGCCTGCCTCAGCCTCCCAAAGTACTGGGATTACAGGCGTGAGCCACCATGCCCGGCCAAAGTCTAACATCTTTAATTATACAAACACCTATTTTGTATTTTTAAATTCCTGTTAATGCAATATTTCCACATTTGTCTTTTATTAGATTGTCACTCTTCTTTTTTCATTTTTTAGGAAATGCCCTGGCTATCAATATTTGACTATCATATTATTTTCCAAACTTGAGTATTCAATACTATTTATTTGCTGCTTCTCTTTTTTCTGCTTTTTTATTATTGTGAGAAATTTTGCTAATTTAAACCCTGTTGAAAAACATTTCGCTTTTATAATGATCTATTTTATCTTTGTTTTCTACTTTATTAATTACTTATTCTCTTATGTGTATTTACTTCCTTGTATATTTATGAGATTTATTGAGCTGTTCATGACCGCATCTTAATTTCTATGTGTGCATCATTAATTTTCCGACTTTAAGACAATTTAGGGATACCCGTTTGTTTTTAATCACAGTTTTAGAGGCCTTCGGTATGTAGTATTCTTATTACCTTAAGTTATAAATATTTCCTAATTTGCATTATATAATTATTCATTTTAACTTTATTCAATTTCAATTTTAAATTCATTCTCTGAGATGATAGCACATTTTAAAATTAGCTGAAATTTGTTTATCGTCTATATGTTCAAATTCTATAATTTGAGCATCTATATGCTTAATGTATGCTTAAAAAGAATGCTTATTATGGGCTGGGTCCGGTGGCCCAGGCCTGTAATCCCAACACTTTGGGAGGCCAAGGTGGATAGCTTGAGGCCAGGAGTTCAAGATCAGCCTGTGCAACATAGCAAGAGACCCATCTCTACAAAAAATAAAACAAAAAACATTAATCCGGCATGGTGGCACATGTCTGTAGTCCTAGCTACTCAGGAGTCTGAGGTGGGAGGATCTCTTGAGCCCAGAAGTTCAAGGCTGCTGCAAACTATTGTCATGCCACTGCACTCAAGCCTGGGTGACACAGAGACCCTTGTCTCAAAAAAAAAAAATGCTTATTACAAAATTGTGGTTGTATTGTTGTTTAACTATTCTCATTAATCAAATTTGTTAATCATATATATTTTTCAAAATTAATGTCCTAATTCATATCATAAAAGCTATGGAATAGCATATGAAAATGCCCTGCTATAGTGCTAGATTTATCCTTTTGATTTTTTGGCTTTACATGTTTCGAGGCTATATTATTAGATGTATGCAAATTTAGAAATTTCCTATCCATTTGGTAAAACTTTATTCATTATATAAAGATGCTTTTTGTGGGTTCGTGTGTAAATACGTTAATTTCTTTACTTTGCTTAATATTTTATTTTACTTTTGCAGGGTTCAGCATTTACCTGATGTGTTTTCCTCTCTTTTTACTTTTATGCTTCTAAATATCCTTTGGTTTATACTTGACTCTTATAAACTGTATATAGCTGTTATTCATTATTTTTATTCTTTTAAAATAATAAAAGCTGCTCTCCTCTGTAGCAGCTTTTGAGATGTCTTTGTCATTAGCATTATGCAGTCTAGCCTAGTCAGTCTGTAAGCTTTGACTGTTAATTTCTAACATTAAAAACTATCACATATATAAGTATTTTACAAGAAATACTATCAGTCTAGGCTAGACTGCATACGCGGTTTAGTATTACGCAGTCTAGCTGTAGTTTTTCTCCATTGTCCTGCTGGAATAATTTTCACTTCCATAATATGAAAATTCATATCTAATCGTTTTGATAAAACTTTCAGTTATTGTCTCTTCATATTTTACGTATCACCATTTAATTTATATTTTTTCTTAATATGCATCTAATTTTTGCTAGAAATCATGAATCTCTTCTCCATGTCTTTAAACGTCTTCTCCATGTCTTTAAGCCTGTTTTTGTAAATATCTTTGACTCTGTATGGTTAATATTGTATAATTTTCAGATGTATCTTTTTCTTTTTTCTTTTTCTTTCTTTTTTTTTTTTTTTTTTGAGATGGAGTCTCGCTCTGTCACCCAAGCTGGAGTGCAGTGGCACTATCTCGGCTCACTGCAACCTCTGCCTCCCTGGTTCAAGCGATTCTCCTGCCTCAGCCTCCTGAGTAGCTGGGACTAAAGGTGTCTGCCACCAAGCCTGGCTAATTTTTTTTTTTGTATTTTTAGTAGAGATGAGGTTTCACCATATTGGCCAGGCTGGTCTTGAACTCCTGACCTTGTGATCCGCCCACCTTCGCCTCCCAAAGTGCTGGAATTACAGGCTTGAGCCACCGCACCCAGCCCCAGATGTATCTTTTAACCCACTTATTATCTTCCAGCATGCTTAATCTGCTGTTAAAAATATCCATAATTTTTAAATTCTAGCTACAATAATTTTCATTTCTACATAGTTTCCTGGTTATTTAAAAAATCTAACTGACCAATTTTATAGTGCCAGCCATATTTTTATTCTTCTAACAAACACACTTACTTTATATTCTCTAGCCACTTATTCCAACATCTACAATCTTTATACTTCAAACTCTGTTTTACCTGCTTTGTTGACTCAAATTCATAGCTTGTTTCTTCATGTGTTCTGTTTTTGATACTGAGCATATGTTCTTTGGAACTTTCTCTGTGGGAATTCTTCCCTTCAGACTTGAACTTAAGATATAGTCCTCCAGGGAGAATTATGGTTGTTTCTACCAGATTTCTGGGACATTAAAATCACAGCACCAGTTAAATACATATTTGTAACCTGGTGTTTCTGTGGCCATAGGTGGTGTTAATTCTGGCTCAAAAACTGTATATGTTTTTGGTAAATGACATTTTAGCGAGATTTTGCTGGCCTCATTCAGAGCTAAAGCTGAGACAGACAAGTTTCCTTCTTTCCTTTGGGATATAAATAGTTTTTCTAGATTGTGTCCTGTGGTTATTCACTCCAGGGATTGCTGGTTTTAAAAGACATAGTGTTTAGGGCTTTGTTTGGGCTGTAGTCATTGCTCCAATTCTGCGGGCCTCGAGTTAAAATGGAAGCTCTAGTCGAAGAGAGATCAGTTGTTTCCCCTTGGGCACCCTTCAGCTTCAGTCCTCACTTCTTTTTTTGCTTCATTCCTTTTCAATAGTTTGGTCCTGTGGGTATTTTTTATTATTTATCTGTGAAATCTCAGCTAGGTATTTAGTTTTTTTTTTAAATAATATATTTCCAGTACTTTAGACATTTTGATTATGGGCACCTTTTTTAGGATATATACTCTGGCAAAAATACTATAAACATTAGTTAAGAAAATGAGATTTTGGAAGAAGCTGGAAGTGATAATGGTCTTATAAAACACTTACATATGTGATAGTTGTTATGTTAGAAATTAATAGTCAAAACTCAGAAAATGTATTAACTGTACAAATTAACTGATTATAATTTTTTTCTATAGAGGTAAATTATTAATTCTGTAGCATATCATTAGATACTGTGATGATACCATATGCAGCCTACTTGTTATCCAGTTAAAATGCTATAATAGGTAAGTTCTTAACGTTTCTTTTTAGTGTGGTTCTGACCAAAGCTGTGGACATCAATAGATGCATTATTAACATGTTATCTTCCAATGTAATGGAATTGCCATATTTAGACTTCAAAAAAGTCTAAGCTATTGCCCAAGCCTGAGTCAGACTCCTCTGAGTCTTCTTTCTGACTAGGCCCTGACCTTGGGCTTTGTCCTTAGTTCCAGTGGCTCTGCCTGTTTAGAGCACTTTTAGCAAGAATCTTGCTGGGCTAGTCTAGTGAAAATCCCCTGCCCTTACATAAACACCCTTGATATCTGATCAAATTCCTTATTCCTTACCCTCAATATCTTGTCATGCTGGTTTACCTTCAATAAAAATCCTGTCAAGTCAGTGTAAGAAGAATCCCCTTATCCCTGATGTTTTCTCTTAGTAACTTTTCATTCACCAGCCCCTACTCCTTGACCATAGATTCGCACTTGTTCCTCTTGTAATCAGAGTCAAGACCAATGTCTCTACCACACTATAAGACCCATTGCAACAATCCCTATACCTATTGCAATATTCTCCCTTGAATAAGCTCTTCCATATTGTCTCTAAAGAGTGTCTTGAATATTTTTTAACATGTTACAATTGTAAAAATTCTAGTATAATGGATAATATTAACTTATTTTTCATAAACAAGGCACTCTCCTGAGGCAGGAGAATCATCTGAACCTGGGAGGCACATGTCTCAGTGAGCTGAGATCGCACCACTGCACTCCAGCCTGGGCAACACAGTAATACTCTGTATCAAAAATAAATAAATAAATAAAGTGCTCTTAGAGTGAACTGAGGGCACACATAAAAACTCCAAAGTTGCTTTTCGATCGCCAAAGAAAACACACTACAACCTAGAGATCTTAAATAATTTTATGAAGAGAGAATGGGTTAAAAAGCTTAGTAAGCATGGAATTTAAAAAAGGGTTAACCAAAGAACAAAGAATATTTATGCACTCAATCATTGATTTAAAGTATATTTACCGACCACTTACCACATGCCAGACACTGTTAGACACAAACATGTATTTTCCTCATCTTCATGGAGTATTCAAACAAGGGCAAACATCAAATTATATTTCATCTGTGAAGAAAAAAACACCATGAATTAAAAGTAAAGGGGAAATTTTGTTATATATTGTGCTCAAGAAAGAAACTGATAGCCGTACTGTGAGTTAAAGGCTGAAAGGTAACCAAAGATAGAAAGCCCAAGAGGACAGGTGTTTAAAGTAGACAAATTCTGAGAAAAGAAACAGCTCATGTGACTGATACATAGTGGGGAAAAGGGAAACCAGTAAAGAAAAAAAAAGTCTAAGCAATTTTGAGCAAGAAGAACAAAGCTGACGGTATCACACTCCCTGATTTGAACATGTATTACAAAACTAGTTATTGAAACAAGGCACTGGCATAAAAACACACATACAGACCAGTTGAGTAGAACAGAGAGCCCATAAATAAACCGATGCATATAAGGTCAACTGATCTTCCACAAAGGTGCCAAGAATACACAATGAGGGAAAGATAGTCTGTTCAATGAATGGTTTTGGAAAAATCAAAATTCAACACACAAAAAAATGAAATTGGACTTGATCTCCCGCTATATGCAAAAATCAACTCAATATGGATTAAAGGCTTAACTGTAAAACATAAAACAATACAAGTCCTGGAAGAAAACATTGGAGAAAATCTTCTACAAATTAGACTGGGCAATGATTTCTTGGATATGACACTAAAGCACAGGAAAAAAAAAGCAGGGATAAACAAGTGGGATTACATCTAATGAAAAAGCTTCTGCACAGCAAAGGAAGCAGTTAGCAAAATGAAAAAGTAAATTATAGAATGAGAGTAAATATTTGCAGACCACGTATCTGAAAAGTGGTTAATATCTAAAATGTATAATAAACTCAAACAACTCAATAGCAATAAAACAACCCAAACAAAAAATGGACAAGGGAACTGAATAGACATTTCTCAAAAGAAGACATAAAACAGCCAATAAGTATATGAAAAATGGCTTTTACCAGTCATCAGGAAAATACAAATTAAAACCACAATGAGATATCAGCTCATATTTGTTAAGTTGGCTATTATCAAAAAACAAAGGGCATGTGTTGGCTAGGATGTAGAGAAAAGAGAACACTTTACACTGTTGATGGGAATGTAAATTGGTAAAGCCACTATGGAAAACAAGATGAAGATTACTCAAACATTAAAACTAAAATTACCATTTGATCCAGAAATCCTACTTCTGAGTGCATATCTAAAGGAATTGAAATTAGTTTGTTGAAGAGATATCTGCACTTCCATGTTCACTGCAACATTATTCACAGTAGTCAAGATATGGAAACAACCTCTGTGTCCATTGGTGGATGAATGGATAAAGAAATCAGTTGTGACACCATGACTCATGGTAATATATATACACGCAGGAAAGTTATTTAGCCTTAAAAAAAGAAGAAAACCTGAACATTTGTGACATCATGAATGGACCTGAAGGACATTATGTTAAGAGAAATAAGCCAGTCAACAGAAGGATAAATACTATATGATCTCACGTATATGTGGAGTCTAAAACAGTCAAACTCACAGAAACAGAGTAAAGGGTTGGTTATCAGAGGATAGGGGAGGAGTAAACTGGGGAAGGATTGGACAAAAGGTCTAAAGTTTCAGTTATACAAGACAAAAAATTTTTGAATATCTCCTGCACAGCAAAGGGCCTATGATTAACAATGCTGTATTGTATACTTTAAAATTTGTTAAGAAGATAAATCTTACGTTAAATGCTCTTACCACAGAAAGAAAAAACAAAACAATCAAAAGAGTGGGAGAAAACTTTGGGAGGTCATGGATAGGATTATAGCATTGATTGTGTTGACGGTTTCAAAGGTGTATTCTTATCTCCGAACACATTAAGATGTATACGTTAAATATCTACAGCTTTTTGAACATCGATCATCTCTTAATAAATATTTTTTTAAATAAATAAGCAAAATAAATTTTCTGTGGATTTTACAATAAATTACTCATTTAAATATTCTGAAAAGTTAAAACTGTCTACAAAATGTACAAAAAATAAATACAATTTCACATTTAAAAAAATGAGGCTCAGGAGATTACCAACGGGATAGTATTCAGAGTCTCGTGAGTTATAAAAGGGAGTATGAATTCAATTTGTTGCATTGGAAATAAAGGGCTTTGGGAATAGAAGTAGCATCGTTTGATTTACTTTAAAAAACTTAATATTTACAATGGAACTTTAATTAGATTAGCAGGAGAAACAATTAGGAAGCTGTTGCTGAGATTCATGTACAAAATTGTGTAGCCTAGACAAGCAAATGTAAATAAATTATTGGATATTCTCCCTCTATTCAAAATAGAGGGTCACCAAATCAACTAATAACATTTCATGATTATTCTAGTGTTCTCAGTAGGTCAATCCTTATGCAGAAGGTAAGTTCACTAGGCTCATATTCAGTGACAATATGTAAGCCTGCCATAGGGCTAATTATTCTCTACTAGATTTATATTAAATAAGCAACTTTCTGATTGATTCCTAAATTAAAACTTTATTTCAACCTTAGGGAGTGTTAATTCAAAGATGTCAATATTCTAATTATTTCAAAAGTAACATTACTTTTGGTAAGTGTTTAAACTGGCATTTTGATCTGTATATCAACTTTTGATGAGATGGTTAGAATGATTCAATGCTACTGAATCCAATCAACTCTCAGTAAACTAGCACTAATTCTATACTACATTGACTTAAAGAGTATATGGGGCTTTTATTAAATAGCAAAGCATCTCAACAATATGTGTAAAATATCCCAGGTTTTAGATCATTGGTAGTAACAACTGAGGAAATGTAAAAAAGCTAACTAAATAAAAGAGGCACCTTTATCATTATACTGAAATTGATCTTTCTGTTGCTTAGGCAATGTACACATATTTTGAAAAAATAGAATAAATGTGCCTTAAAAATAGCTCCATGGTAGTGAACAAAAGAAAACTAGACAATGAACCAAAAGCCCCAGATTGAAATTTGATACCTTCTGCTTACTGGATATGAGGGCTTGTAACCGTCACTTAACCACACTGGTCTACAATTGCTTTCTCTTGAAAAGTAAGTATTAAGCATGATGAAGATCGATATCCCATTAAGCTCCGAAGTCCCATGTCCTATATAATGTGAAGTAGAATCCATTAGTGCAAGAAAGCAATAATAAAGGCCACGAAAGGTAAAGCTGAGATGTGGCCATGTCACAATCCAGCACAGTTGTATATGAATGGGCTGATCATCTAATCGTCAGCCACAGAAGGTTCCCCCTACCCCAAAAACACATTCACTCGCCTACCCATTCAATCAGTACTATTACTCTGAAAAGAGTACGATTTACAAGACAGCTACCAAAAATATGTAGATGCATAATATTCTGTTTGACCTTATAGAAATTAAAACAAACAATATAAATATCCCTCAACAAAAATACACTAGAAAATTAAACATCAAACGTTAACTGAAAGAAACAGAGCACCACAATCACTCAATTTTAAATATACCTAATTAGTCTAGTTCCCAATGCACTGTAACAACTTCCTTCATTTACTAATAGAGAAAATACATATTGTGTTTCCAATGTGATAATTAATGCACCCAACGAATACTGAGTATCTATTATATGCTAAGTGTTGTGCTAAATAGTGGCCATTGTCCTCACTCTAGTGAAAAAGTCAAACAAATAAATGAGGAGGATGATAACAAAGAGTGACAAGTAATTTGAAGACAATAATTATGGTGTTATGAAAAATGAGTATTACGAGGATTCCAGCCATTCTTTCATATGAACTTTATATTTAAAAAGGATTAGATCCATACTAATTTCATATCCGTACTAATTTTATAAAGTATATTTCTATGTTTTATGTTAACTACAAGTTGAAATAGTTAAAATTATCCTGGCTTTTAAGCCATTGTGTAATTTAATTTTCCAGATTACTCTAAAGAGAGTTTTAATATTATCTATTAATTTACTGACTTAAACATACATTGTCTCCATCAAGCCAGAGAATAAATCTGCAAGATCATTTAATCTAATTTTCTCAATAAATATACTTTAAATATATATATATATATAAAGATATTTTTTAAAGAGGATACCTTTTCTCAAAGTACCCAGTCAGTGGTTAAGCAGAGCAAGGAATCCACGTATTCTTGAAATAAAGTTTTGAAGTTTTTTAATGCGTACGTTTTTAAACAATTATTACTGCTATTCAAAGAATCGCCAACTAAAAAGCTTTTGTGCTTAGTGAGATTTCAAAAGATTCATCGTGAATAATTAAGTTGATAAAAATGGTATGAATCTTCTCCAGGTACAAATATTCCTGGGCAGAATCAATGGTGTCCCTTATGAAACTTCTGGCAGTTTATGATTTAAATCAGAAAACCACTATGTGAAAAGAGACAAGTATAATAAAAACATCTAGAAATAAATCCAGGAAACTCTTTATTGTCACTGAATGTAAATAAAACTTTTTTACTAAAGTGTAGAGAGAGAGATTTTTCATATGAGAGGGTTGGAAGGTGGTGACTTATGCTTTCCAGTTAAACAGAGAATTTCAGGAATAACCAACGTGTCAAGATGAGGAATCATTTTTGACATGTCATTAGACTAAGTTAAGAGATGAAAGTAGGGATTTCAGAATAAATATCTGAGGAAGTTTTGGGGAAAATCTAAGATTCAAGGAATGAACATTTGATCATGGCTGATAGTAAATAAGAGCCACTATAAAGATCAAAGAAGTTTTAATTTTTAAAAAACTTCTATTACTTTGAAATACATAAACAACACAACACACACACACACACACACACACACACACACACACTTTTCTTTTCCAGTCTTCCATCCAAAACCCAAAGTAAATAAATGTGGGAGGGGAGGAAAACAGGGACAGAGAAGGAGAGGGGGAAAAGAATAGAGAAAGAGAAGGACAGAAAGCTGACATGACGGAGAAAAGATGGACCTTATAGTACCATGTGATCTAGCTGTTCTTCTCACTTAAACTTACTGTGAAGATGTAAAACGGGAAAGACCAAAAAAAAAAAAAATGGTGGGAAGCCTTGCGTCTCTAGCAGCCATCTCTTTAGACTTCACACCTTCATCTTTTTAGAACCCTTACTATTACTTAAGGAAACCCAACTTAAATCCAGTCAACAACGCTTCCTGGCCAGAAGCTGGCCAGGCTTGAGAGGATTCTAGAAGCAGCTGGTTCTTCCGTTCCACGGGCGTTCACGCACCACATTGTCTTCTCTTCCCCAGCCCTCCGCCAGGGTCTGGGTTTACTGCTGACTCTTGTATTTCGGTGTAGAGTGTAACAGACAGTGTCACATCCGAGAAGACCTAAAGTGTGCCTTTTCCCGGAAGGGAATACTAAAGGGTCCCTCCTGCGGGGTTACACTACCTAATCCACAAAACCGCTGACTTTCCCAGGTGGCTTTTTCCGCCCACCTCGCTCCAGTCGCCGTTTGGTTTGTTTGGGTTTTGTTAAAGGGTGAAGCGCTAAGCCCCGCCTACCGTCGTAAGTGGCCTGTCACTCCGTCCCGCTGTGCGGTCGTGATTGGTCGACAGGACCGGGTTGTCCGGCCCCACCCCCGCTTCCCTTTGCCGCGCTCCGGGTCTCGGGTTTTAACCCAAGGTGGAGAGCTGGATTCCGGCGGGCGGCGCTTGGAGCAGGTGGAGAGGCGTCCTCTTTCCGGCTGTTGCTGCTCTTCTTCCTCCAATCCTGGGTCTCAGTCAGGGAAGAACGAACATTCTTCCTTTGCTGCTGGAGCTTTAGAGAACTGTTGCCCAGCACCTAGGCACTTCAGACATTTCATCTCACTCATTTTTGTAATTTCACTGTAAAAATCACCTGCACATTTATAACACTGTGACTCTCCACTTCTGCTCAATGCTGAGAAGGGGTCCGCATACTGCGGGGAGCTGTCTAAGGTGCTGAAGCTTCCCAAGCATCAGTCTACACCAACACCATGCGGGGTTAGATTGTACATTTTCATTCTGTCTTTCTGGTTCCCCATGCCTTGGATAAGACTATTTTCAGGATCGTGAATATCTCTCCGTATCATGGCCCACGTGAGACACTTTCGGACATTAGTTTCGGGATTTTACTTCTGGGAAGCAGCACTGTTACTCAGGTGAGTTCGCTTGGATTTAACAGTCGGAGAACTCATTAAGCCTGTGCATTACGTTGCAACCACTTGTTATTGATGAGACCGGGAAATTTGCAATTCTATATTGACTTGTTGAAACAATCAATTTAATCGTATTGTTTTCTGTCTAAATTATTTAGCAGTCTATCTACTGAGACCTACTCATTTGCTTTTTCATTGATTAGTGCATTTTAGTAACTGGCATCTTGCGTTATTTGCAGCTGAGAAAAAAAAATTATTTTAAAAGCCTACGTTTTCCTTCTCAAATTGCTTTTAAAGTTCCCGTTTTCTAAGTGAATTATATAATTTGGGTGTTACTCTTTTTTTGAAAGTTACAAAACATTTAGTATTTAGAAACGAGACATTACTTTTTTTAATGCAGAAATACAGACCATAGTCATTTACTGATGAGAGAAACTCCAAATGTTGTTGCTATATTCAGAGGTTAAGTTAAATGAATCAAAATAAGGGCCTTGCAAGTACTATTTTCTAATGACCTAGCTCAGGTAATACATGAAGGCAAAATCATAAATAGATTATTAGATATGTTCTATGTCAGGAATAATCTTCTTGAGTAAAGTAATATTATAACAAAGCCATTAAACTATGAAATTGTTCTATGACATGTCATTTTCTTATCATGATCCTGTCATATTTGGTAGGCTTAAAAAAATAATTTAAAGAGTATAAGAGAGCTAGACAAAGGATCAGATAATTTTACCCCGTTCTTAATGAATGTGTAAAAATAAGGTACTGCTCATATAGAATTTTGACCCACCAATATAAATTTAATTTTACTGTTACAATTAATTACCATAGGATTTCCATTTTTATGGCTTGCAAGGTTTTCAAAGGAGGATTGAAGTCCAATAACTAGAGTAACTAAGTTATATGCATACTGATTTCTACTTGAAGTATTTAAATATTCTTTATTGCTATGTCGATTTTTCATCTTTGGGCTACCTTATAAAAACCAATAGTGTATCTCAAACTACCTTATAGAAAGTTATATTATTTTCATTTGCCTATATATAATAGAAACTGTGATGGTTATTATTTCTGAAATTATTGATTTTTTCCCAAAATAAGAAGTTGAACTATTTTTAACCAAAGTATTTTCAATAAAAATCATCTTGATATGATCTAGTAATTTTTGTGACTTTATTATTGTCAGAAATTTGATTTGTAATAATTAAAGCCAAGTATATGGAGCTTTTATATTTCTGAAATTATTATGTAAAGGAGTACAAACTTAATGTTAAAATATAAATTGATTATTTCTCTATATTTCTTAATGGCTTAGATGGTAAAATACATTTTTTTCAAAGAAATCAGATTAGCTTAGTTGATAGATACTTAGATTTAGGAAGCTAAAGTCAGAAACTAAAATGTTTTGGTCAATGAGGTTAAATTTGTATAATGGCAATCACTATGATATTTGTTAAAACATGTTCTGAGATAAATAATCTTCATCACTAGATTCTCTGACTTTTGTCCAATTTTGTTAAAAGTTATGAAAAAGTATTTCAAATGGATAATTGTGATTATAAGAATTTATCTTTTTTAATGTTAAATAATTTTAATTAGAAATAAATTTTATGAGAAGCCCAAAAATGTACTTCTTTGAAAAGACATACAACATACAAAAGTTTACTTCATAACTTATATTCTTCATCAAGTTTTTCTTTCTCCATTCATAAATCAAATAAATTTTTCTCTATCCATGACTAGTCTTAGATGAGAGTAGGTTATCACTCTATGAAGAACTTTAATTATATGTAAAAAATTAAGCATTTTCACTTTTAGTGATGACCCCCAAAAGAGGATTTCCTATAGAAAAAAAAAAAAAAAGGAAGCTCCCTCTACTGGAAATATTTTGTAAAATAAATGTCTTCCTGGAAATGATTCTTTATTCTCTAATTCTAGCCCTGATGTATTGAGCACAAAGGAAACAAGAAAAAAGATGAAAACAAAAGAAAGTATTGGCATTAATTCTTAACATATTTTTAAATTTCAAAACAGCTTACCAGGGCAATTTGGAGGCAACAACAACAACCAGAAACCACAGATATTTATAAGTAAATAATTCACTAGTACAGACTTTTTATGTCATAGGCTTTGAAGATTTTTTTAAAATTTTTATTGAGATACAACATACACAAAGAAAAGTGCACAAATAATACATTTCCCTCTAGATAAAGTTTTACAAAGGGAACACACCCAAGTGAAGAGACTACAGTTCAGCAAGTAGAAGTGTGACTGTCACAGAAGCACTCACCCCACCCTCTTCCTCCACCATAATCCTTTCCAAGGCACTACCTTGGCCAAAGGTAATCACTCTCCTGACTTATATAATAAGTATATCTTTTCCATTTTAGAACTTTATATAATTACTCTGAGTCTGCTTTATTTTTATAAGCATTATGTTTATATGATTTATCCATCTTGTTGCATGTAGCAATAGCTTATTCATTCTCATTGTTGTATCATATGCCATTATATGAATACATCAAAATTAACTTATCTATTGTCCTGTTGATGGGTATTTGGGTATTTCTTAGGGTTTGTTACTACTGTTATGAATATCATTGAACATCTTTTGTGGTGAATACATGTATTCATTTTGGGATCATGATGTTGAGGTCCAAGACTTTCTCTAGAAGGGGAATTGCTAAGCATAGCACAGGCATGGGTGTGTTTAACTTTAGTAGATACTGCCAGTATTCCTATGTAGTTTTATGTTTTTACACTTATATCAGTAATGTATAAGAGTTTCTGTTGCTTACTAGTACACAATTTGATCAGTGTAATGTTATCGTACTATACAAATTTTTAGTATTTCTAGTATATTTTTACAAACCTACAGATGAAACTTTAGTGCTTTCAAAAACATAAAAGCACTAAAGTATCATCTATACTTTAGTAAATAAGCATTATTAAGGCAAAAGCAGCAGAAAAAAATTTACAAAATATTTACAAAAAAGTTTTTAAAACTTTCATACTTGTTTTGGATATTGCTATTTTATGTAATAATTTTTCTATGGCTTTTGGATTTTAGTTATCATATTAATAAAATAAAGAACAAAACATCAGTGTTCAGCTTTCTTTGAAATGCAGATAAGTGATGATTATGAAGAGCTTGCAGAACAACTTCCAAAAGCAGGGAAGCAACAGAAAATATTTCATTTAAGTTGATTACTTTCTTGCCATATCATTTAATTTTTCATCTTTACAAGTTGATATCAACACAGTATTGCTACTTGAATAAATTAGGGCACATCGTGTCAAAACTTGAATGTGTGAATTTCAGATGTCATAATAATAAAAAATGTAATATTTTCTTGGTTTACTTCAAAGCCTTAGTAAAATATCTTAGCACAGAGCTTACTGGTTTTGCTTTTGGTATGTTTTGGAGGATGAGAGGAATCCTTTTTAATGTTGTCTCTATTTTTCTATGTAAGATATTGAAGAAAACTATATTTCTAGGAATACAATTTTACTATTATTATGATTTACTACATGGAGGTGTAGCAAGATTCTGTATAGTTTTAAAAAAATCTTTGCTATATATAACATTATCCTTCCCTTTTTCCCTGAAAATAGCAATAAATTGTCCCAGGTATAGAAGAATCATAGTCCAGTCAATGCCTCAAGCAATTTGCCCTGCCAATTGAAAGAACATCTTGAAAAATATTTCCTCTTCTATATAGTTTTTCTTCCCTTAAACACACAACTGTGTACTGAGGCAAGTCAATCAGCAATTATGTGTTTACTATGTAAGATTAAGCAATTTAACAAGATTTATTCACGAAATTCTGTGCACAAATTGTGCTAAGCACAATTTAGCTTTGGATGATTGAACAAATGTCACCTTTTCCATTTAGCAACTTAGAGTCTAGAATAAACGGAAAAGGGTCAAACATCAAAAGAAAAAAGTACAGATAGCAATATTTTAGGGAATATAAGGAAGCGCAACTATCAAGAAACCTTGGTACTTGTGGTGGGCCTTGTAAGATATTTGTTCAAGGGGCAAAATGATATATAAAGAGAATATTCTATGCAAAACGAATGATACAGATATATAGTATGTGATTGGGAAAAGGTGACTGTCAAATTCAGTTGAAGAATTTACAGTTCATGATTTAAAATTATATTCTACTAACAACAACTATTGAGCTAGTTACATTAATAAAACTACAAGAATATGGAGGAGTCACAGCATTGCTTCACGATGGAATATGGCTAAAATTTAGAAAGAAGTAATTTAATTATAACTGAGTAGTCATCATTACAGGAATAGTTTTATAACTTGACTCAAAATATCCCTATCGGTTCTTCTTCAGAGGTAGTGTTTACCTCAAAATTACTATTAGTCATAGGATTGGTGATAGCAATTATTTAAGAGCTATGTAAAGAAACAATGACACACTACTAGAATAAAAGTTTAATCTGATTGTTTTAGAAGTTGGAAACCATGTGAGAATTTTTCTTCAAAATATAGTTTCTTAAAAGAAATACTGAAATATAGTAGAGGATTTGGATAGTTGGAGGAAAAGAGGACATTGAATTTGGTTCGGGGTATTTTGAGGTTAAGATGCTTGCAGAAGAGCTAGGTTTCCTGGCCTCAGCTAGGAATTCAGGTATTTGCATAGATTTAATTGCCAGACAACAGATTTACAAAAGGTTATAAAGGTGAGTATACTGTGGTGCAAAGAAAGAATAGAAAATACATTTGTCAACGATGAGGATAGAACACTTGGAACAGAACATGGAAAAGTACTCAGAGATCTCTGAGCTCAGCTGTAGAGATGAGGCTTATTAGAACCAAGTGATGAAGTTGCAGATTTATCACAGTTTTATGCTATTTATCTCAAGGACCAGTTATTATTAATAGCATATATTAATATCTTTCTATCACTTATCAAGAGGACCTTAACATTAGCATTTCTCTAATTTCAGCTAATCTAATAAACTAGTCCATATTTACAGATGACATACTTTACTCAAGTTTTCTCAGGACATTTTCAGGGAATTATTTTGGAGAAGGTAGATCATCTACTTTTCCTTATATCATGAAACATATCTAGCAAAGCCTCCTTAATTTGCCCACCAAACTTGTCTCCTACCCTTTTCCACAGGATTATTTATATACTTGCATTAATAGTACTTATAGAAAATAAATTCTTTTTTTTTCTTTTTTTGAGACAGAGTCTCGCTCTGTTGCCCAGGCTGGAGTGCAGTGGTGCAATCTCGGCTCACTGCAACTTCTGCCTCCCAGGTTCAAGCAATTCTTCTGCCTCAGCCTCCTGAGTAGCTGGGACTACAGGAACATGCCACCACGCCCAGCTAAATTTTTTGTATTTTTGGTAGAGAGAGGTTTTCACTATGTTAGCCAGGATGGTCTCTATCTCCTGACCTCGCGGTCCACCCGCCTCAAATTCATATGTATGTACATGTATATGTGGAAATACATTTTTTTTTTGAGTTTTAGTTTTTTGTTTTTTTATTAGGTGGATGGTACAGCCTGTGGCTTTATTTTGCTTGGGGAAATGGCCAAAAGAGACAAGTAACTCCAGAGAACTGGTTCTGGAGTGCAGGCAGAAATTCAAAGACAGAACCAACTGTTTAGCAACAAACAGTGTATATATGGAATGAGCTGTTCAGTAACAGTAAATGAAGCTATTCTAACAACTGCATGGCAACAACACACATTTTCAATAAATGGAGTTTTAAATCCTGAGATGTTATCAGAAGAGGAAACAGTGGTAAAACAATGCAGCTCCATCATAATGTATTTCTGAAATTTTTTCAGAATCTCCTTACTAGAGATGCTTTTAGGAGGAAGTATTACTAGTACCTCGTAGGCAACGTGATGCACAGAAGCAATCACCTCAATGGTACAATTAGGAATAGCATACAATTTAAAGGTCTCTGGAAAAAGCTTACTGAATGGAAGCATTTCCGATGTAAGCGATGAAGAATTCTCCATGAGTACATACAAACATTTGCCATAACCAATCAGGAATTATGGCCAAACCCTGATATATTTCTGATAATATTATACAACCATTGCCAACATAGAATGATTGGGCTTACAATGGAGGTAACTGGTCCATCCAGTATCCTACCTAAATTTTAGAATCTCTGAACATCTTCAACAGGTGGTCATCCCTTAATCTTTAAAATTCCTAGTGATAAGGACTTGTTTACTCAGAAGGAAAATATTTATTGTTTTTAATTAGTAAAAAATAAAATGTCCTCTGTTTTCTCCTAGACAAAATGAACTATTTTTTCCTATATGTGCTTCCATAAATGTTTGTTTCTGTGTTCTTTGGGGATTTTCTCCACTTATGATGACCTTCCTGTTCATAAAAATTGGGCCTATATTTGAGCCATGATTTTAAATGATAATGTCCATGGAGGTGCTCCATGCATGAAGTTTGGATTCTCTAGTTTCAGAGAGCCCATGGCATTCTACCTGAATATCTCTATAACTTCTATAATAATGTATGGAGCAATGGCTACATCCAAAGCAGTGTGTTAAGTACTGGGGAAGCAAAACCCCAACTTTTAACACTGTATCACTGTGGAGAGGAGAACCTGTGATATCCATTTCCAATTTGTGTTTTAGATTTTCATGCAAGTTGTCTCTGTGTATCTAAATTTTAACTCCCATGGGGATAGAATCATTTCTGGTCTTTGTTTTACCTCCATAATGTTTAATTCAATGTCATGCATGCTCAACAAATAATATATAAGCACTGAGATGACATCTGCCTGTCTGTCACATCTTTCTAAGATTTTAGATTTGAATTCTATTTAGTTGTGTTATCAAGTGGAGAAAAAGGAAGTATTGTGTTCAAGAGATCATAAAGTTTATAGGATCAAACAATCTCCTTAGAAGATATTAACTACTTCAAGAAGAGGCTGTAAAACAGATACAAATTGGCAGCATCTAGTGGAAAAGAGAAGGGTTTGGTTCTTTGCCCCATGAAAAACCGAATTTGTATTGTGTAATGCATTTGTATTGTGTAATGTAATGTATATTTCTCAACTTTTTTCATTATTGCCTCTTAAAGCACCTTTTGTAGACATTTTTTGTAACTGACTTCCAAGAAATTGTAATACCACAGATACATCATGTATTTTCTTATGTACTCTCTCTATATATTTATTTTAAAAATAAAAATAAAAAGGCTTTTTATCCCCCTGAGAAAAAACTTCTGCCCACCCACCTTGGGATGATACCACTCCTTGTTATAATGGTTGCTATGCTTTTATGATGCTACTTTGACTAGGGTCATATAATTTACAATTTTGGGTCATGACATAGAAATAAAACCATAAAAAAGTATTTATTTATTTTGAATTTTACTAGGGCTTTGCAGCTTTTTACAATAAACAATTAAAACACTCTGTAAAATAAGTTAGCCTTAAAAGCATTAGAGAACTTTAGCAGTATATTTTTCCATAAATGCATATAGTTCCAAGAAGCCACTGGACTTTCTCCATGACACTGCTGCTCTTACTAACGTCATATCATAATTTTATTCAAATAACTTTAAAAATAATATTGGAAATATTTTCATTTCTATGTCATTTGTTTTTCTATACACTGTTGACTAGGTTTAGACTCTGTTGACTTTGTTTTTAATGTCAAATACATGTAAAAAGTTTACATTCCTTCTTAAAGTTAACTTTTAGTTATAAAGCAAGATTTCAACAGTTGGTCCTGATATTAGCTCTGGATGTTCTCCTTTTCAGAAGTTAGGAAATATGTACAAAAATCTGACAGTAATGTTACTATGAAATTTAAAAAAAAAATGATTGTCAGCTAACTGTGGCAACAAGTAAAATACTACTAATGAAAATAAAATAGATGTAATTACTATAGCAGTAGGGTGTGAGGAAATCACTAGCAAATAATGTTTGCCTTTTCTGTGGGTGGTGGAGGGAGTGTGTCGGATTGGTCATCTAATACTTTAGGTGGAAGCCTGAAGAAGATAAGTTATTTGAGACTCAGTGAAATGACTACCCAAATGTCCTGCATCAAATGACTGGGAAAAAAATGTGAATCCCATCTCTTTGCCTGGCTAATTCCTGTTTAACTCATTTCACATTCTCTAAGAAGCCTCTGGTCTCCCTAAAGTCTAGGTGAGGATGCTTCCTCTGTGTGCCAGTGCCACATATCCCAGCGCTGTTGCCACTGTCTGAGTTCTCTGTCTAGCTCAAACTGTGAAGTTTTTGAGGGCAGGGACCAAAATACATTCCCAGTTCTCTCTGCTGGGCTTAAAAGAGTGTCTAGCATGCTGAAAGAGCTCACTAATTTCTGTCATGAAGCACTATTTCTTCTTTTCTAAAGCACATTAACAATTTCAGATAAATAACTCCAGGCATAACCAAAACTACTATGTTATCATTCTGCGCTTCTAACATTCAGGGGAACATTTGACGAGGAATTTGGTGCAGCTTATTTTTCTTTATTCCTAATTTTATGTGTCTGTGGTAATATATTTTCCACTTGCCCCTTATCTCTCCTTTTCAGGGAAAAATGTCTAGAAAAAAATATCTAAAAATGTTCATTTTCTTACTCAGTTATGCCTTACTTGTTCTTATTTGGAAACAATTCCCAACTCTACTCTTTTCAGCAGTAATCAGCTTTCATGTGTGATGGTTTCTCTTTTAAATATTTTTCACTAAAATAACGCTTCATACCATAATAGTTGTAGAAAATTGCTATTTCATATATGAGGTGTATCTTTAAATCAATGTATGATGTAATCATCTAGTTTAAAAAAGATATTTGCACTGAAAAGAGAAAGCATAACTAAATGACAATGCTAAATATTAATCAAATAAATGATGCATATTCTCAAGGTATCATACTTGAATTTCTGCTATTGCACCTATCAGAGTTCTGGGATCAGAATCTCTAATAAGTTTCCAATTCTCTAGATAGATGTAGAACCATTGGTACCACAGAACATTTGTCTCTTTGTTTACATACATTTATGTATTAATCCTGTGAGTCTCTATAAAAGGTAGATGAGTGATGATTCTTTGCTGAAAATAACTGAAAATGTAATTATGAATAACTACCCGAAATAGTAATAATGATAAATATTGAGAAAAAACATTTTTTTCTGGAATGGAAAGGAGTATAAATTCTTTATAAAGAAGGAGGAAATATTAAGTGAATCTTGAGCAGGTGATAGAATTTGGGCAGAAAAGAGGATGGAATTTGAATGGTCAGGAAAAGCACTGTTGGCACAGGCCACAGTTTCCATGTGGAATAGAGAATATGGCAAACTTCATGGAGATATTTCCACATGGGCCCTCAAGTTTTCTTTTCAAATAAATCCACGCTGTATTGTTGTGTTAGGACTAGCTGCTGGGGAAAATCTGTATGACTCTTCAAGAGAGTTATAAAATATCAGCAAATGTTTATTCAAATAATAATTTTCTCTGTTACAAAATTTTTCATTGTCAGCACTTGACTGTTAGGGAAGAACATATTCTAATAAGCTACTCTATATTCACTTGTCCAGTTGGTGTCAACATAGGCATGTTTTTGTTAATTTCCATCATTTAAAATCAGTTTGTTCTACTTATCAGAAGTTTAAAGGGAAACTTAATTATTAGTAGGTTAAACAAGACAAACATCCAATAAAAAAGAGACGTACAAGTTTTCTTGATTTTATAAACAAGTGATTACATTTCTGATAAGTGATAAAGATGGAAGTGTGTAATGAAATCCTAACCCAAAGAACTTAGAGACAATCTGCCTTTGTAAATTACTTTCTTATTAATAACAAAACAATCTAATATGCATTAACTATTTTCCACATTATTAAATCATTCCTTTATAAGAAGTGACTTACATTTAGTCTATTAAGATACCAAGAGACTTTTCTTTTTTTCTGTATCCTACTGTCTAGCACAAATAAATGGACCTCTGAGTCCTTAACTTGCCTCCTGGTTTATTTATTGGTAAGAATAGAAGCAGCAGAGGATTATAAAGATAGAACTATTAGAAATCTTCCTTCTGCTTTATGTTGTTTCTTTGTAAAGACCTTAAAACAGTTGAAAAGATTCTAAAATATTTTTCCCCTTAAATCTCTGAAATTTAGGGTATCTCTTCCTGCAAATCTTAAATAGAGTGAGAATCATCAAAGTCATTGACTCTGCTGCAGACCTTTGCTGGTGCCTCCTGAGACTATAGTGGAGAATTAGGTTTTATGTGTAGCCTAAATATTTCCCCCTAAGTGATAACTGTGAATCTAAAATTTTGCTCTATTTCAAAAGGGCAAAGTACATATCATTCCCTGTGGGTATATGTATAGTTATCATAAATATAATCTCACATCAAATATTACACTGGAAAAGCTTGATATGAAAAAAATTCAAATTCCTAGAGAAAAATCAGAATTAAATTTCAAAAACATAGTAGTAAAAAGCCAAGATATATGCCTCTATAAGAAATAGCTCATTTATTTTAAATATTTTCTAAATTAACTGTCCTTGAATTCTATTGCCTCTCCTCATTCACTTGTATGCCATGTGAAAATAAGAATAAATTTGGAGAAATAAGACTCAGGATTAGATCTTGATTCTTTCTTTGAAGAACTGAGTGACTTTTCTATAGACTGAGTGATTATATTTAATATGCTACTTTTAAAATGTAAAGTGTAGAGCTGTTCTAGCCAACTACAATTTTTAAAAACTAACATGGTCAAAATCTGATAATCTCTCTTTAGCAGAAAATATATACTTAGCATTATAGCTATAATTTCATATTTAATTAAATATTGGTAACCTTGGTCAGGCGCACTGGCTCACACCTGTAATCCCAGCACTTTGGGAGGCTGAGGTGGGTGGATCATTAGAGGTCAGGCGTTCAAGACCAGACTGGCCAACATGACGAAACCCCATCTCTACTAAAAATACAAAAATTAGCTGGGTGTTGTGGTGCACACCTTTAATCCCAGCTACTAGGGAGGCTGAGGCAGGAGAATTGCTTGAACCAGGAGGTGGATGTTGCAGTGAGCCGAGATAGTGACACTGCACTCCAGCCTGGGCAACAGAGCAAGACTCCATCTCAAAAAAGTATATATATTAGTAACCTTAATGCCAGATTATCTATCTTTGTTTCTAAAATTCATTGTATAGTAGAAGTGAGGGCTGTTGAACGGCAAGAAAGTAAATAAGGGATGAACAGACCAGCCTCTTATTGTTGTTTTAGTACAGATTAGTTTCATTTGTGAGTGACAAAAAGTGCACAATAGCATTGGTTTAAGAAAGATTTTTCTCCCTTTCAAGAGTAAAAGAAAGAAAGGAAAAGAAAAACTATGCAAGTGAACAGCTCAAGGCTGGAATGGAGGTTGCCAATCCTTCTCTCTTGTTTTGCCACCCTTAACGCGGGATTGCTTCTTTGAGATCGAAGATAGATGCTCTGCTTTCATTCATTCTGGCTTCTTTTTAGCCATCAGAACGAAGAGGCTTCTCTTTAAAGACACTTCCAAGATGTTAAAGATTTTGCAGTTTTCCTGGCAGGCTTGTGTGCCTCTGTGGCCAAGTTCTGGCCAAGAAGTTGTAAATAGAAGTGGCATGCTGAACTTCTTGGAAGCATCTCTAAAGGATGTCCAGAGGCTCCAGATGCATTCTGCCTTGTGGAGCTCAGACCTTCACTGAAGCAAAAAGAACTGTGACAGGTAGGAAAGGAGCATGGTCAGATCGTCTCAGAAATATCACTAAAGAAGTAATATGGAAATAGTTGAGGGGTGGATACCCCATTTTACATGATATTATTACATATCACATGCCTGTATCAAAAAATCTCATGCACACCATAAATATATATACCTGCTATGTACCCACAAGAATTAAAATTAAAAATTAAAATATAAAGCATGCCAAGAATTTGGGAACACAAATTAAAAAAAGAGAGAAATAATATGGATAACTGTGAAGAAAATGTGTTGATCAGTGAAGAGGGGCAAAACTGGCTTCAGAGAGCATAGTATGTGATCAATGCTATAGCACATTTCAAAAACAGAGAGAAGGAAACACAATTAGAAATGACCAAGAAAAAAAAAAAACCACTTGTCCATTGATTGGATGTGAGAAAAAGAGAGAATAATGTAAGATAATCATATTTATTCTTTTAGTAACTTGGAGAATTATAGTGCCAGGACAAAAATAGAATATACAAGAAAAGGAACAGTCCTATGGACAAGTATCGTGAGTTAAGTTCTAGATATGTATAGTGAACGTGATGCCTATGAGATATCCATTTAATAAATATACAGAACTGGAAATAGGTGAGATTTGATGGCTAGAATTCTGGGGCAGGGCTTTCCAATATTTTTTATTGTTGAGAAGCACACTTGGACGTTTCATCCAGTTGGGGTAAATAAACCTGGTGACTCACAGAGATCCCTGACCTTTGGGATCCGGCTGTGCCAGTCCCCAGCTCACACACTGAAGACTGAGCTATGGAAAACACAGCAAACCTATAACCCACTGGGGCATGCAGATGAGGAGAAGTCCTCCCCCATCATGGACCTAGCTATTCAATGTGTGGACCTTTAGGAAGCTTATTAGAACTACAAACACTGTCTTCCACCACATACTCACTGAATCAGAATGTGCATTTTATCAAGGGATATGGTTTGGCTGTGTCCCTACCCAAATCTCATCTTGAATTCCCACGTGCACTCATTTTTAAAAGGGAGACAACATAAAAGTTCAGAAAATTTGTAGCCTGATGATGCCACGGAAAAGAAACTCCCATTTTCTGAGGAGAAATTCAAGCTGGCTGCAGAAATTTACATAAGTAATGGGAAGCCAAATGTTAGTCACCAAGATAATGGGGAAAATGTCTCCAGGGCAAGTCAGAGAACTTTGTGGCAGACCCTCCCATCACAGGTCTGGAGGTTTAGGAGGAAACAATGTTTTTGTGGTTCAGCCCAGGATCCCTTTTCTGTGTGCAGCCTAGGGACTTGGTGCCCTGCATCCCAACAATTCCAGCCATTACTAAAATGGGCCAAGGTACAGCTTGGGCTGTTGTTTCAGAGGGTGGAAGCCACCAGCCTTGGCAACTTCCATGTGGTGTTGAGCATGTGGGTGCACGCAAGTCAAGAACTGATGTTTGGGAACCTCCACCCAGATTTCAGAGGATGTATGGAAATGCCTGGATGATGAGGCAGAAGTTTGCTGCAGGTGCGGAGCCCTCATGGGGAACTTCTGCTAGGGCAGTGCAGAAGGGAAATGTGAAGTGGGAGCCCCCACGCAGAGTCCCTACTGAGACATCACCTAGTGGAGCTATGAGAAGAGGGCCACCATCTTCCAGACCTCAGAATAGCAGATCCACTGACAGCTTGCTCTGAGCACCTGGAAAAGCTAGAGACACTCAATGCCAGCCCATGAAAACAGCCAGGAGTGGGGCTATACCCACAAAGCCACAATGTGGAGCTGCTCAAGGCCATGGGAGCCCACCTCTTGCATAAGCATGACATGGATGTGAGACATGGAGTCAAAGGAGATCATCTTGGAGCTTTGAGGTTTGATTGCCCTGCTGCATTTGGACTTGTATGGGGCCTCTAGCCTTTTTGTTTTGCTCAATTTCTTCCATTTGGAATGGCTGTATTTACCCAGTGCCTATAACCCCATTGCATCTAGGAAGTAACTAGCTTGCTTTTGATTTTACAGGCTCCTGGGCAGAAGGGACATGCCTTGTCACTTATGAGACTTTAGACTGTGGACTTCTGAGCTAATGCTGAAATGAGTTAAGACTTTGGGGGGACTCTTGGGAAGGCATGATTGGTTTTGAAATCTGAGGACATGAGATTTGGATGAGGTTGGGGATGGAATCATATGGTTTGTCTCTGTCCCCACCCAAATCACATCTTGAATTCCCACATGTTGTGGGAGGGACATGGTGGGAGGTAATTGAATCATGGGGGCAGGTCTTTCCCATGCTGTTCTTGTGACAGTGAATAAATCTCATCAGATCTGATGGTTTTAAAAGGGGAATTTCCCTGCACAAGCTCTCTCTCTTTGTCTGCTGCAATCTATGTAAGACATGACTTGCTCCTTTGCCATGATTGTGAGGACTCCTCAGCCACATGCAACTGTAAGCCTATTAAAACTCTTTCTTTTGTAAATTGCCCAGTCTCAGTTATGTCTTTATGATCAGCATGAAAATGAACTAATACATCAAGCTTTCCAAGCTCCACTGGCAGAGTGGCAGAGTGGCAGAAAAAGAGAGAGGAGAAGAAGCAGCTGGACATCAGAGAGAAGCAGCTTGACTTCAGAGGGACTGCTTGGACAGTGGAACTTTGAAGAAAATTTCGCTCAGGGATGGCCAAACTCCAGGGGAAGACTGCCTTCCCACTTCATCCCCTTTCCAGCTCCGCATCCTGCTGAGAGCCATTTCCACTAATCAATATAATCCTCTACATTCACCACCCTTCAATTCATTCATGCAACCTGATTCTTCCTGGATGCCATCAAGAACTCAGGTACTAAGAAGGCAAGTGCAAAAGGCTGTCACCCTGACCCCCTATTGAGCTGTTAAACACTTAAGCCAGCCATGGACAGCAAAGCTAAAAGAGCACACTGTAATACATGCTCTTTGGAGCTCTGGGGTCATGGATACCCCCCCTTGATGCTGCTGCAGAGCCACACAGAGTTCTACTCCTGCCAGCGCCCAGAAGCCTTTGTCCTGATTCCTGCAGACTCTCACCTGTGTGCTCCCCTTCCCGTGAGGGTTTGAGAGCTGTGGGCTGAGTAAACGAGCTAACCCCTTTGTGAGTCCCGCCAAGGCATCTGTTTCAGAAGATGTGAGCTTGTTTATAGTCTGGAGAAAAGACATCAACGGATTTGGAAATACTTAGAAAGAGACAAGAGGGATACAGAAGAGATAGGGCAAAGTCATTAAATAAAGATGACAAAGAAAAGTTTTAATAGCAATAGTTGAAGGATAGATTTTAAATCAGAAAAGGGCTAAGTCTTTGGAACTAAATAGAAAGAGGTTAGAATAGAGGCAGAATATATTAGGCTATAGATTTGGAGGTTGTAATTTCATAATTCAGCATAATTCATCAGTTGAATGCACAATTATATCTTTGAAGTGGGAAGTCTCAAGTATGATAAAGATGAACAATGAAACAGACCAGTGTAGGCTGATGCAACTGGTTACGAGGCAACACAGAATAGAGCCAAGTCTGTGTTATTTCTGGTACTGTGGTGTGGCTACGCTGTAGTTTTCATAGAGGATTCAGTCCAGCCTCATTGCAGCAGACATTTCTATTGCTCTGAAGAGGAAGTGAATGAAGCCAAGGAATGATCTTTATTTATTAAGGCTGCACTAATTTTGGTGGCAAAGTCAGAGATAGGACCCACATCACCTAATTAAAATTCTCTGTTTATTTTTCCAAAGGAGCACTGTATTAGACTTTTCTAGAGAAAAAATAATCATCTCATCACTCTGTAAAAGGTAAAATATGACTCATTTAATTAGAATTATAGGACAATATTTAATCTTTTCATTGGAAAATATGAGACTGAAACAAATTCAGACATTTGACTCTTTTAAAAAATTCTTCTATATATGAGCATGAAGGTTGGCAGTGTTGGCTTATATTTTTCACTTATATTTCTGAACCATTTTCTTTACATGTTGAAAATAGCTAGCCTTTTTGTACAAAGCACAGTCTCTAGGGGTTTTGTTATGCTTGATTAAAGGAACGCGTGTGCTCTTATTGCCACAGGAAATAACTTCTATAATTTAGAGGCTGTCTGAACCCTTTTGTTTCCTGGGGAACTGTTAATGTTTTGCCTATAATAGTTTAGGCATATAGATAGAAGAAAGGTAGGAAAAAAAGACGGAGGAAGGGTGAGAAAAGGAGAGAAAGGTGAGAGAGTGGGTAACCTAGAATATTAGCTTTAAGTATAAACTGAGTATTAGTCTTAAGAATAATGTTAACATCAGTGATGGCATCTTGCTAAACTTTGCTCTCTCTTACTTTTTAAAAAGAATATAATTCTATAAAAACCTTGAGGTATAGCGTAATATTCAGTAGAGTGAAATTGAATGACACCATTCCTAGTGCTATATTTACCTGTCCTTACCACTTTTAATTATAGACTCTTTTTTTCTGCTTTATTGTTTAATTTTCTCCTTTGTTCTATGCCATTTTCTCTCTCCAGGCAGAGGTAGGGCTTCTTGCACTACAGGAATAAAAAGGCCCAATCTGTCTTGAATATACTTAAGATAGAATGCCTTCCATTTAAAGGGGATATTAACATAAACATCTGTAGTTATACAAGCATGAATATCTACCATAATCTGAATGAGTCCCTACTCTGCTGGTTCAATACTATTTATAAAAATAAATTTAGAATGATTTCACTGCAATATCTGTGTACATCTGTTTTTAAGTCTGGAGACTCTAGAGATTGGTGCTTCAAAATATCATGCTTTTATGTCCTGAATCTTATTGATTTGAAGATTTATAAAAATGCATTTCATTAGTACTATTGCTGTATCTTTTCCTTTGTAAATCTATAACTTAAAATATCCCAAGTAAAATGGTAATTTCTGTCAGTATTGCTTATTTCTGATTGGTGAAATAACTTTTTCCCAGTATTTTTGTAGTATTTTTCTGATAATACACATAGATTAAAATAAAATGTATATAGTGTTTTTATTTTAAACATGCTTTGTGCTTATTTTAAAGTTCTAGGAAGTATTTTACCAAATAAGATTTAGAAGATAATCTCAATTCTTGATCAACTTTTTTCACATTGATTTTATGTAATCATTTTGAAATTATGACTAGAAAAATGTACCTGAAATCATGCTCAGTGACCTTTTGGTAAGTTAAACTGCTCGAGGTATATTTAGAATATAAGGAAGAAAATGTTCTTGAATTGAGTTTCAAATGATCCACCCGTTATCAAACTGAGTTCTAGAGGACTATAGAAATTACAGCAAAGCAACATAGTTGTGTTATTTGTTTTTCTAATTCACCATATGTGTCATATGACATGATTGCTGCCCTTAGCCTTTAAGTTTCCAGGCTAGTAAAGAGAATTATGACTTGTAAGTATTACATATCAACATTGAAAACCAGTGAATGAGAACCACATTTGTGATATAACCTATGGCCTATAAGAATTTAGTGGAGGAGGGATCATTTCTGGCTCAGCTAAGCCAAGAAAGGCAATGTGGAGGACATGACATTTAAGCAAAAGAATTGATAAAATTCCCTTTGGCAAAAATGCACAGTCAAATTAACAGAGATCAGGCCACATCCTGGATTTTGAATAATTACTCTTGTGACTCTGGGGGTGCCCTGACCTTTTTCTGACTAAAGAAAAGGTAACATCTGCTATTCCAAGAAAATTTTACCTTCCAAATTTTGATTTTATTGGTAGCTGAACGTTTTTATTAAGTTTGTTATCCAACAGCACACTCTAGGCTAGAGTCAGAGCAAATTCCCTGTTTATTTTTCATTAAAAAAAAAAAAAAAAAACAGGCGGGGAAGTACCTTGTGCATGCTGTCTGTGTGTGTGTCTGTGTCTGTGTGAGTGCATGCATCTCTCTGTGTGTGTGTGTGTGTTATGTGTGTGGTGAATGAACACAACTAGAATAAAACAGTTTCAAAAACAAACTGTAAAGATGAATTGTCTAGAATCAGGCTTAGGGAGGAAGTCTTTTTGCATATGAAAAGAATGAGAGAGAAAAGAAAGACTATCCCTTCCCAGAAGGAAGCTAGGAGCAACAATACCTATGAGAAACATTTTATAGCTTGAGATTTATTTTAAGAAATCAACTGCTATTTCACGGATTTGACAAAGGAAAGTAATATTGACAAACTATTTCCCTGAAATGCTGCTACAGGGATTTAGAATGTAACTGGCATTTTTTTAAAGCTTGTGTATGAAGCTGCTACTGTGGTAATTGATATATAACCACAAACTTGCATTTATAATTTTGACTCTAATCATTATAGCCATTTAATTAAAATGGATTTCAAAGTCTTTATGTGGATTTAATTTCACTTACAATTACTTAGGTAATACATAATTATGTCTTCAATATAAAAATCCAAATATTTTGGATAAATGAAAAGTTTCCCTTGGTTGCCAACACTGTCTTAGTTCCCTTCTTGGAGATAATGACTGAAATCATTTAATATGTTTCTTTCCAGATTATATTTTATATATTTCTACAAATATATGTGACCACAAATAAATACATATGTATATAATATATATATATTTAAGAAAAATGTTCCAATTAGGGGATTAATACTACTTATCCATTCCATGTGTTTCCTTTACTTTGAAGGGGAGAGAGTTGCCTTGAGAATTTGTTCTTGCCTCTCCCCACCGCTAATCCATTCTGCCACAGAATAGAGAAGTGAATATTCTGTTGAGGAGGTTTCTAGTCCAGCATCTTTTGTTTCCTTTCCTCTCACTTCTGATTGTCCTTTGCTCTGTTCTTCTCTAACTGCTCCTTTCTTCCAAAATAGCATGTAATTTACCAATTTCTCATATTTCTGGTTTATAATGTTCCATTCTGCTAGAATGTAAACTCCATGAGACCAAAGATTCTGTTCCATTTTATTTATTGCAGAATCCAGAGTCCTCAGACAGTGCTCGACACATTGTACATTTTCAAAACCTATTTGAAGATGAAAATGAGTAAGTGTGGGTACTAAATAAATCAGCCTTTTCTTTAAGGCTTTTTATTTTGTCTTATTTATAAAATTCTCTTCTATAAAAGTCTTAATTTCTTCTATATCTCTAATCCTTTACTTTGAATTATTTTTTAAAGTAAAATTTGCATATGGATTAAAAAATCAAATGGTGAGGATAGCACTCTAATGCTGTTCATAGCATTCTTTAGTCCTACCTCCCTTATACTGAGTTATGCTTCCTAAAAGCAATCATTTTTATTTTATTTTTTAATTAATTAATTTTGAGACACAGTGTCACTCTGTCACCCAGGCTGGAGTGCAGCGGCACAATCTTGGTTCATTGCAACCTCTGCCTCCTGGGTTCAAACGATTATCTTACCTCAGCCTCCCAAGTAGCTGGGATTAGAGGCATGTGCCACCATACCTGGCTCATTTTTGTATTTTTAGTAGAGATGGGGTTTCGCCATGTTGTCCAGGCTGGTCTCAAACTCCTGACCTTCAGTGATCCACCTGCTTTGGCTTCCCAAAGTGCTGAGATTACAGGTGTGAGTCACAGCACCCAGCTAAGCAATCATTTTTAAATGTTCACATTTTTCTTACTATTATGACTACAGCCGTTTGTTGCTTAACAGCAGGGAAAAGTTTTGAGAAATACATTGTTAGGTGATACAGTTATTGTATGAACATCATAGAGTGTACTTACACAAACCTAGATGGAATAGCCTACTGCACACCAAGGCTATGTGGTACAGCCTATGGCTCCCAGGCTGCAAACCTGTACAGCATGTACAGTATTAAATACTGTAGGCAATTGTAACACAATTGTATACATATGTCTAAACATATCTAAACATAGAAATGATACAGTAAAACTACGTTTGCTAAAGGTAAAAGCAAATGATTTGCCTGTATAGAGCACTTACGATGAATGGCGCTTGCAGTATTAAGTGAGTCAGTGAGTGAGTGGTGAGTGAATGTGAAGGCCTAGGACATTACTGTACACTAGTGTCGAATTTTTAAACACTGTGCCCTTAGGCTACACTAAATTAAAAAATATTTTCTTTCTTACGGTAACTCTTACTTTATAAACTTTCAATTTTTTTAAATTTTTGACTCTTTGATAACAATGCTTAGCTTAAAGGACATTTTACAGCTTATAAAATGTATTCTTTATATCTTTATTCTATAAGCTTTTGTCTAGGTTTAAATTTTTTTCACATTTAAATTTTTTTTTTGTTAAAAACTAAGACACAAGCACACACATTAGCCTGTGCCTACAGAGAATCAGGATTATCACTATCACCATCTTCCACCTCCACATCTTGTCCCATGGAAAGTCTTCAGGGATAACATGTGTGGAACTGTTATCTCCTGCAATAGCAACGCCTTCTTCTGGAATACCTCCTGAAGGACCTGCCTGAGGATATTTTACAGCTAACTTTGAAAAATCTAACTAGAACGCATGCAGTCTAAAATAAAGATTAAAAGTATAGTAGGGTAAATATATAAACCAGTAACATTTATTATCATTATCCAAGTATTATGTACTGTACATAATTGTATGTGGTATACTTTTATATGACTGGCAATGCTGTAGGTTTGTTTATACCAGCATCACAACAAGCACATGAGTAATCTATTGCCCTATGATATTACCATGGGTATGACATCACTAGGCAATAGGAATTTTTCAGCTTCATTATAATCCTCTGGGATCACAATTCTGCATGCAGTCTGACATTGGCCAAAATGTCGTTACGTGGTGCATGACTGTATATCCATACATCTGAATAATACCCTTATATTATTTTTGGTTCACCTTTTGTTTTTCCTTAATTCCATACTTGTTTTCTTCTGGCTTTAAGTGCTTTTTCAAATATTTATTTTCTTCCTCCCACTCTCAAACCTATGATGTCCTCTTTGCAATACATTCCATACTTCACTGCACTCCACAGCACAGCGACCATCCTAGAGTTCTCTCTTCTTCTGATCAAAACTGTATCTGTGTTTTCTAAGATCTTCTGCATGGATTTCATTTGAGGAAATCACATCACTACTTTCTAAGTTGGATCAGCTCCTAGGATTCTTGGTCTATTTCTTGTCTATTTCCTCATTTTGCTATGGTATTTTCTCAAAGATTTTTCCAGGAGAGCATTTATGCAGGTAGAGTATTTGATTCCATGTATTATGGCTGCTTAGTTACTTCTGATTCATAGATTGGCTGGAAAACTGGATTGAAAACACTGAATGAAAATAATGCTCACCCAGAATTTTCAAAGGCTTTATCTTTTTATCTTGTAGGCTCCATAAATGAAAATTTAAAAGTGGTCTCACTGTTTTGTGTTTTACTTTTTCTTTCAAAATATTCATTCAGGAAATCTTTCAGAATCTTCTCTTCATAATTTTTGGCAGGTTTACAAAAATAGGTCTAGACAATTCTCTATTTAAGCTTAACCTCCTTTGATCTCAAATAGGCTCATTTAACTTTGACAATACCTGTTTTTATCATTTCTGAAAATTTTCTGGATAGATACATATAAATCTCTTTATAGATTATTTCTTTTTCATCTCCCAGAAACTTGTAAAACTTGTAGGAATTTCTCGTTTGCTGTTATCTCCTTCCTGTTGTCTTTGAAAGTGAATCTGTGTTTAGTCATTTAGTAGTCCTTTAATGAACACTGCAAGGGAAAGAAAATAGAAATGTGCTTACTCTTGAACTATTTTTGAATGTTTTATTTAAAAATTTACATATATTTAGAGATTTAATTTATCTGTAAGTTATTTTCATGGTATAAGAGACCAAGTTTATGTTATTATTTTCCAGTAGATTGATTATTGCTACAACACCGTAAGTTTGAAGTAGTTGTTCTCTGTATCTTCTTTTGTCTGCTTCACACTCAGCTCAGTAAAGACTTTCTAAGTCTATTCAAGCATCCTATTCAAGATAGACTGTCTTTTCTATTTCATCATACTGGCTATTTTCTTCTGAGAACATAGAGCAGTCTCTAACTGTCTTGATTATGTATATGTTTATTTTGTTTATTTTCTGTTTCTTCCAACAGAAGGTATATTCCTTAGTTACAGAGACTTTATTGGTATTTCATCTATTGCATATACAGTCTTCCATAACTTTATTTTACCACATATATACAACTAAATGAATATAAGAATATGTGTTTTGTATGTATATGGGTGTCTATAGAAATATATACAGATACATATACAGTCATCCCTTTGTATCCACAAGGGATTGATTCCAGGACTCCCGAGGATACCAAAATTCACTGATGTTCAAATCCCTTATATAAAATAAAGTCGTATTTCCACATAACCTACCCATATCTTCTCACATACCTTAAATCATCTCTAGATTACTGATAATACCTAACACAAGGTAAATGCCATTTAAATAGTTGTTATACTCTATTGTTTAGGAAATAACGACAAGGAAATAAAGCCTTTACATATTCAGTACAGACACAACCATCCTCTTTTTCTGAATATTTTCAATGTCTGGTTTTTTGAATCCACAGATGCAGAACTTGACACAGATACAGAGGGCTAACTTTTATGTATATGAAATACAATATGGGGGAACAAATATTCTGCTTTGTCTTATCTTAACAATCTGCACAAATATTCTGCAATGTCTTATAGAACATTCTGCTTCTATAAGAATGTTGAAATTTTGTTGTTTGGTTTCCTCTTAGATTTTCAAAACCTGCTTTTTAGTTGTTTTGGGGAATTACACCTTGTTTTTTTGAAAGTCTTACGCATGCAGCGATTAGTATAATGAGATGTGTGTGTAAAGCTGCAGATTTAAGTTTATAATTTTAAGCTTAATTATTTTAAATGCTAATTAACAATATTGAACATCCCAGATTTAAAAAAGTGATTTATCAAAAATGTTTACAAGGAACAAGAACAGGAGTTATAAGCTTCAGGAAAAGTCTTTGCTATACCTTTCACCTGATCTTTTCAAGGAAGACCTCTTTTCTCTGAGAGGACATTGAAGTAATATCCGGACAAAGGCTCCACATGATCCCTTCCCAAAGAGACAGTGATACTCTAAATCAAATCAAGGGTGTTTTTATTGCTCTCTGGAATTACACAAAAGTTTGAAGAGTTGAAGAATCACTGCCTTTGTCAAATAGCATCACTGAAACATTTCCTCATTTAAACTATCCTCTTGAAGACCCAACTTCTATAATATCCATAAAAATAATAAATGTTATGGTTTATTGAAAATTTACTGAGTTCTATATCAACCTGTTTTATTATTATGCAGAAACTTCTTGGTAAAAAATACTTTTTATTACCCTGATATTTAAGTGGCTTAAAACAACAATAAATACCTGTAAGCCTCAAAGTTTCTGTGAGTCAGGAATTCAGGAGCTGCTTAAGTAGGTGTCCTAGCTCTGAATCTTTCATGAGGTTTATGTCAAGATCTCAGTCAAGTCAGAGGAAGTCTTGACTGAAATAGAGAAGCTGATTCCAAGATGGCTCAGTGAAATGGGCAGGAAGTCAATGAAGCCTACTGGTAGAAGCCCTTGGTTTCTCCCTTGTAGCTTCTTGAGTGTTCTCACAACATGATGATTAGCTTCCCAGAGTCAGTGATCCAAAAGAGTGCAAGATGGAAGTTACAATGCATTTTATGACCTAACCACAAAATTCATGCACAATCAAGTCACTTTACCCAGCCAAATTTCAAGAGGAGGGAAATTGAACAGCACTCTTTGAAGAGAGGAGTGCAAAAAAATTTGAGAAAAAATTTTAAAGCCACCACACTCATCCTAATACAGGAGCTAGAAAGAAATTATTTAGGCAAATAGAGAGGGTAAAGGAGTCCTCAGCACGGCTTCCCTTTTAGCAAAAAGCAGCTCCCAAATCATTTCTTTTTTAACAAAAAGCAGCCTGAAAAATCGAACTGCAAACATAGATAAGCAAGCTGGAAGCTTGCACAGGGGAATGCCGACAGCTGTGCCAATAGAAAAGGCTATCTGGAAGCCAGGTATGTTCAACACGAAGGCTCCATCTTCACTTTTCTTTGTCGCTACGTGTACAGTAAAGAACCAGGCAACATGGCACTAGCCAAGTAGAGAAGCCATCTGCATAATAAAGATTAGGGTGGGGTGGCCAGCTTCTTCGCACCCTATGCAAATGGCACACCTGGTCTGACCAATCTTTCATGCCCTATGTAAAGCAGACACCACCCCATCAAGCTCATTTATATAACCTTCTGAATTTCACTGTAGAAGCAGTAACACATTTTCTCCAGGACCGCGCGTTCTGTGCAGAGAGCTATTCTCTTGCTTTCGCCTATTAAATTTCCACTCTTAACCTCATTCTGGTGTATCCATGTCCTAGTTTTCTGTGGACATGGGACAACAAACCTTGGGTGTTATCCCAGATGAATGACACTACTTCAATCTTGAGGACATTCTTCTCCTTCACATCCAGTACCAAACCACCACCAAATTCTGTGGATTTTATTAATTATATGTCTCTTAGGTTGTTCCACTCTTCTCCACCCCTACTGCTATTAAAATTACCAAGACTACCCTCAACTCTCTTCCTGACCACTAGAATTGTCTCTTAATGGGGCTATGAAGATACATGTCCATAATATGATCTGTAAGGCACTACATGATCAGGTACTTGTAGTGCTCTCCAGCCTCATTTGTTATTAGGTTGGTGCTCTCTTTCTCTCTTCCAGCCATGCTGACATTCTTCTAGTCTCTTGTATTTTCCGTACTCTTTCCCATCACAGGTTCTAGGAAACTTTCTCTTTTTACCTGTCTGTTCAACATTTTCCTGCCTGAAACTCTGGAGCACTATTTCAGAAGTCCTTCATCCTATAAATTTTCACTGAGTTTTATATAAACTGATATATTTCTTTTGAATTATTCAAAATCTTGCTTAGTATACCAAAACCAAAACCAAACTGTTAAATACAAAACAATATAAACCCCAGACTACTTTAAATATCCATTCAGCAGTTGGGCTATAAAAAACCAAATGTCATGAATGAGAAATTATTTAAGGAAAACTAGTAGACAAGTCTGTCAGTCAAGGCCCCTACAACTACAAGTTTGCAAAGTGATTTTGAACCTCTTTTGCTAAAGCAATTTCAACCAGGAGTTGAATTCATGAACTGGGATGAATCAATCAGATTCTTAATTTTATGGTGCTCAGTCTTTGCTGAAGTTTGTCTGTTTTTTCTACATTTGAGTCTCATAAGATACTACTATCACCATTCAGCGCTCTTTTACATAAACAAGGTTGAGTGGATTTCTCTTCATTTCAATTAAAAATATCCCTGACCGAAAGAGTCATGGTATTCAATGAAAAAGCCAAATTTCAGCATAAGATTTTGGCAGTTTTCTAAACATATGTGTATGTCACATCATTTGTTTTACTAAACTTATCTGTGAAAAATATGTATTGGTAAAATGTCTGGCTTGCCCAAGGCAAAACAACTAGTTAATGACAGAAAAGAACAAAATACAAGCTTCCTGGCTAGCCATCTGGAGCCTCATCCATTGTATCATGGTACCTTACATTTTATTATCTTGAGCATGACACAGTAGGAGCTAATAAGTCTTTCCTAAGTAATTTTCAGTGTATTCTGAAACACTTAATTAGTTTCCTTTAAAATAAATAAGTCATTAAGAAGCTACAAATCAGTGAGTTAATTAGCTGCATTATGGTCTTTTAGCTCTTTCAGTTGAAATAAGCTGATGCCAAATCTATAAAGAAATAAACTATTACCCACGAGAAGAGACAATTTTTAGGAAGTTATAACAATTACCATGAATTTCAAGTTTAGCATTTTCAAAGCTTAGTCAAAATGAATGAGTGCATGATGAAAATAAATCTTATAGATAAAACCAATAAATTGTATAAAGATTAGATTTAAGAAATCTCAAATAATTACACTAATTTTTGTCATATATTTCACTATTGAATGGAGTCCTCCTTCCCCACCCCAACCCCACCATAACCCAATATTAAGTCTTCACACTCAAATATGCTATGTTCATGTACAAACGATATATAATTTATCACTGGCAACTGGCAAGCACTGAATATAGATACCCCTAATAAGCACTAATTTATGTAAGTCCTGAATGTAACACTACTGCAATATCAAGCCTGGTTAAAAAGATACTGACAGCATTTCAATTCACAACTCTGGTTTCATCTTTAAATGACAATTTTCAGACTATGATTTTGATGACTCAAGTTTCTCTTTTAAATTTCTACATCTTGATTTTTATCTACTTCTAAATCTTTGTTCTATAATACCATTACCAAACACCAGGGGTTCAGTTTAGATCCCATTGCTCACCTCACAGAAAGCCAATCACTGAGACAACGAGTATTGCCAGGAAAGAAAGTCTTTATTTGGGTGATGTTAGCCAGGAGACAGGAGATTAGTTTCACCTCCTCTCCAGTTGACTAAAATTGGAGGTCTATATAATAGGGAAGGAATGTAACTATGCACAAAAAAACAAGAATTAGGGAGGGGTAAAGAAGAGGAGTTGATCAACAGAAAGCGTGTAGTCAGTTGGACAATCATGATAGATGAGGATTTTGTTGTTCATTATCTGGATGTAGTGATCTGGTACATTTCAGTTCCTTGATACTATCTGGGAGAACTGATGGCAGGTTTTCTGAGAAAGGAACGTAGATGAGACAAATGTAAGTCTCAAGTTTTAAGACCAGGAGGAGCAATTTCTATGCTTATTCAAAAAAATGTAAACATCAGCTCTATGGGAAAATTGGGCCAATTTCAATATTATTTTTATTATTCATCAGCATCACTCCTAACTTGGGCACAAGGATGAGAAATGAGAAAGGTTAGACCTTCTCTAGTGTCAAACATGTACTCAAAGCATGACTACTGGTTGGTTTGGAGGATCAAATTCTGAGGCTTGACTTCTCCCTCATTATATTCAGTTAATTCATTTCAAAAATATTTATTTTTGAAATATTTATTTCAAAAATATTTATCTAGATACTTTGGATTACTTTTAGGGCTATTTAAACAAATGAAACAGTGACAATTTTTGCTTAAATAGTAGACCCTACAAAGGAGGCAGATAGACATATACCAATCCTGTAAAAATTGACAGTTACAATTGCAACAAGTGCTACCAAGGAAAGACAGACTTGAGACACATTTTAGCAGTATTTTCTAAAATCAGAGAGAATACTTAAGGCTTCCTGGGGGAATTATGCTTAAATCTGGATCATAATGAAAGTAAGAGTTAATGAGATGAATAGAGGACCATGAGCACTTTAGGCAAAGGCAATCACTAGTAGTAAGTTGGAATAGACCAGTCAAAGAGAACATGGTAAGGTGTGGTTGAATTATGGATAAAATTAGATGGTAAGGCCAACAGGATGGATATGATATGTAAAAGTTAGAAGTGGAGTCAGTAATTAGCAAAGATTTTCATCTTGAGAATTGGAAGAATAGAGCTGCTATTAACCAAGTTTGAAAGGAATGCAGAAAGAGCAAACTTGTGTGGAAATGACAAGAGTTTGATTTAGATGTAATGTCAGATATCCAAGTGGAGATGACAAGTAGGCAGTTGGACCCAATAGTCTGTAGTGCAGGGGAATTCATAGCTCGAGATATAAACTGAAATTGCTCAATGTAATCTATACTATGTCTGAAACTATTAGACTGGATAATATCACCAAGGGACGTGTCATTAGAGAAAAAAGTCTCAATATGAATTAATTGGATTTAGCTCTGTGGAGGATATTAGGACCTTGACAAGAGCATTTTACTGATGGAGTGGTGAAAGAGGCTGGTGTGGATTCAAGAGTAAATACAGATGTTGCTCAACTTATGATGAGGTTACATCTTGATAAACTCATCATAAGTTGAAAATATCCTGAGTTGAAAATATATTCAGTATACCTAAGCTACTGCACATCATAGTTTAGCCGACTCTACCTTAAACATGCTGAGTACACTTACATTATTAGCCTACAGTTGGACAAAATCATCTAATACAAAGTCTATTTTATAATGAAGTGTTGAATATCTCATGTAATGTACTGAAAACTGTACTGAGAGAAAAAACAGATGTAATCTGTATTATTTTAAGCCAGCCATTGTCAGTTTTTTAACAACAACAACAACAAACAAATGGCAGCCCAAACCATCAGAAAGTCAAAAAATAGTAAGTTGAATCATCATAAGGCAGGCATAAGCATCAGATTCCACAACAGAAAGTCAAAAAATAGTAAGTCAAATCATCATAAGCTAGGCACTGTCTATATACAGAGAGGAATTAGACATTGTGCGTATGTGTAATTAAAGTTTTGCTTTTAAGAGAAAGGGGCAGGTGGCTGAGACAAGTGATAGAGTAAAGAAAGTTTTTTTGGCGGGGGGGGTTTGGTTTTAACAATACAAATAAAAGCATGGTTTGAATGCTTATAGGAATGACCCTGTAGAGAGGGTGTTGTTTATTGGAAAATAAATGAAATCAGGAGATGCAGTGTGACTGAAAGGAAGTGCTAAAATCCATTTGAGAGTATGCTACACAAACTGAAAAGGAGACAGAATGTCTGATGTAGAAATCAGCAAAACCTCACTTTCCTGAATTAATTAGCCAGTGCACCACATTAAGTTATGTCTATTAATTACAAAAATTAATTATCAGAAAGTAGTTAAAATTAATCTTCTTAAAGTCCATATAAAATCTATGAAAAATTTTAAATTACTTTACTATCAACTGCCCTTATAATTTTTCTTTTTGCATTTATTTTTGCATGTTTACTATGATGTATCAAGTCTATTCTCTATCTTTCATTTTATCAACTTTCCATACTGCCTTCTATACATTTTCTTCTGGTTTGCTTTCCGAACAAGTAATTCTCTTTTTAGCTATGCCTAATCTGCTGTTAAGATAATTGAGTTCTTAATTTTATTTCATTCTTAAATTATGGAATTGCCATTTAGTTATTAATTATAATAGATTTCCATGTTGAAATTCTCAGTTTTTTTATTTTTTATCTACTTAAACATATAAAGCTTAATCACTGTAACAAATTCATCATCTGAATCTTTGGTTTATCTATTTCTATTTCACATTTGTCTTGAGTTGAAGATCTTAAAGTTAATTCTCTTTTACTTTTTTTCCTGCTTATTTATATTACATCCCAGGTGTTGTACATATGAATCAGATAAAATTTGAGGTTTAGAGTGATATATTCTTCCTCCCAAAATGATGTATTTAATATGTTTGCATTTATTTAGAGAGGTAAGTTGCTAGCAACCTGGGGTTAGTATTGCATTCCAGCTTTGGAAATTGAGAGGATTTCAAGTAATACTTATCTTCTTTCTAAGGTTCTGTATTTCTGGGTCATTCTTACTAAAGTTGAATTCTTAAAAGTTGTAATTCTTTGAGATCTCTAACTCATGTGAGTTCGCCATTTTGGTGAATCCTAGAATGCAATTTTTGTCTTACTAAATCCATAAAGTTTTCAAAACTGGTGTTCAGGTTGTTAGCCTCTCAGTTACGACTTACGGAATTTATTGCCACCCCAAAGGGACATGCATCTCCAAATATAGGGATTGCCTTCGAATTTCTTTTTATCTAGGTCTCAATCATGTCATTTTTCACTGGTGTTTTTAGCACTGCCATGGCACTTTTTAAAGAACCTTTTCTAGTTGCTTTAAGCGGAAGCTTTGGTTTGTTTTAAAGTGTAGGCTTCTACTTTCAATATTTGAGTGGCCTAGAAAAATTACTAACTTTTCTATATACCTTTGTTTCTTCATCTGTAATCCATAGGTAATTATGACTAATAACATTATTATGGTAATTAAATGATATGTATATTAATCCTGTGCCTAAGATATCAGGAAGCAGCTATCATTTATCTGCGAAAAATTAAAATTCCTAAGTCCTTATTCAACTGCAGGTAGAAATTAGATCACTTCAAAATAATAATCATATTTCACTGGCACATTGCTGACAGTGACAAGAATCAAGATCCTAGTAGCCCATCAAGTTTTAGCTATTTCTCTGTCTCCAGAGGTGTTTTAAAAATCTTTTTTTTTTTTTCCTTTTTTCAGGCAGAGTCTCCCTCTGTCGCCCAGGCTGGAGTGCAGTGGTGCTATCTCGGCTCACTGCAAGCTCCGCCTCCCGGGTTCACGGCATTCTGCCTCAGCCTCCCGAGTAGCTGGGACTACAGGCGCTCACCACCACACCCAGCTAATTTTTTGTATTTTTAGTAGAGACGGGGTTTCACCGTGTTAGCCAGGATGGTCTCCGTCTACTGACCTCGTGATCCGCCCGCCTTGGCCTCCCAAAGTGCTGGGATTACAGGCATGAGCCACCGCGCCCAGCCTTAAAAGTCTTTTAAATATTCTTCCATGGTGGCCTTCTTTTTTTAATTATTAATGTCCAAAAATTAACTTAAGGCCTACTTCACTGGTAGTGTCTTCACTGCAATGATTCTTTTTCTTAGCCACTTTGATTTAGTTTGAAATACTCGAAACATCACATATTCCCAGATGACCAAGTTTCTCTTTAGTTCTCCCTACATTGAAGCATAGGGAGATGGGTAAAAGGCTCATATCTTTCATTCTGTATCTTATTTTTCAAACTGTGGCTAGAAATATCAATTGCTTATGTTACTTACAAATTAGAAAAGCCCAAATACTAAATTTTTTTTCACAAGGGCCCATAACTCTACAGGACTGGCCCACGGAGGTAGTGAATACATAGTAAACTCTCTTTCTCCATCATACCCTAAACCTTCCCTGCTTCAGGAGCCTGGGCACTGATTTGTTCCCCAAGAGTCATTCTTCCCTCTGTGCAAATAACTTTTGAAAAGAGATACATGGAACATTGTGGCCCCATGTCTCAAGGTCTGTCTCAAACCCACGTTATGTTTCTCACCTTCAACTTTCGTATTTTCTCTGAAAATTTTAAGGTGTATTTAGCAGAGATACTTATTGGCAATTATATTAAAAGTCATCATAAAAGCATCTGTATTTATTGGCTATTTTCATCCTCCAAAAGTGAGTGAATATATTTTACTCCCCTATCATTTTTTTTTTTTTTGAGATAGGGTCTCACTCTGTTGCCCAAGATGGAGTGCAGTGACACAGTCATGGCTCTCTGCAGCTTTGACCACCAGGGATCAGGTGATTCTCCTGCCTCAGAGTAGCTGGGACTAGAGGCGTTTGCTATCTCTTCAGCTAATTTTTGATTTTTTTGTAGAGAAGAGGTCTTGCTATGTTGCTCAGGCTGGTCTCAAACTCCTGGACTCAGTCATCCTCCCACCTTGGCCGCCCGGTGCTGGGATTACAGGTGTGAGCCAATGCACCCAGCTATTACTCTCTTATCTTATTGGATATTATTGTTAGATTTTGATGTTCTGTTTCAATACTTGAATGAATTGGTTTCTGCCAACATTTATGAAATTAAAGTTTCTGAACTTTCAAGTAGCATGTCTTTATATAAATAAGAATATATAAAATACCTAAGTTAAAAAAAATTCATTGATGGGAATGTGTATGAGCCCACACAGAGTTCCCAAGAAAAGTTAATAGTAAATGAAATACTTGGTGCAGCACAGAAAAGAAGAGTGAAGTGTGGGAGGCAAGCTAATTACCACAGATTTTGAGGAGATTCATAAATAAAAGACTATTCGAAAAAGTCAAAGCTGCTTCCTTCCAAAGTACCGATCATAGCTAATTTGCTAACAATCTTAGTAACTTGCTATAAATACGTCAGCTCTGTTGAAACTAGGAGGTTTAGACAAAATAGAAATGGCTTTGATGGTAAAGTTTCTTATCCAAAATTCATTCTAAATTAATATTGGGTTTCTTTTCACTGCCTCTTCCTACCCTGAGTTTTAAAAAACTTAAAAAAAGTTTTTGAATATGTGTGTACAAATGATGTGGGCTATTTCAAATTTAGAGTAGGCTGCCAAATTGGTTATATGGAGCCTCATACTATGTATTTATTACTGTGAGTTCCCTTAAATGACTAGTTTTCTAAGGGCTGTCTGCTAATGTTCACATGGTACAAGGCTCAGATATTACTGTAATAAGAAGAAAGTTTTAGGAGAAATATATTAAAGTAAGAGTTTAGCTGATAGGAAGTCTTTCTGTAAGCAAAGCCTCCACCCCTTTCAGAAGAGGAAGGGGCCAGGCGCGGTGGCTTATGCTTGTAATCCCAGCAATTTGGGAGGCTGAGAAGGGTGGATCACGAAATCAAGAGATCCAGACCATCTTGGCCAACATGGAGAAACCCTGTCTCTGCTGAAAGTACAAAAATTAGCTGGGCGTGGTGGCATATGCCTGTAGTCCCAGCTACTCGGGGGGCTGAGGCAGGAGAATCGCTTGAACCCAGGAGGCGGAGGTTTCAGTCAGCCAAGATCGCGCCTCTGCACTCCAGCCTGGTGACAGAGCGAGACTCCGTCTAAAAAAAAAAAAGAAAGAAAGAAAGGGATAGACTATGTAAAAATGCTTTTTAGCCAATAACTCAATGTAAATTTGCCAACAATAAATTCTTTTGTGTAAAAAATGTGAATCTTTAAAAGTAAAATCAATTGCCCATAAGCAATTGAATGAGTCTGTATCATTGAAGGAAACATCAGTAGTACTTGAGTCCTTTCAGGCTGCAAAAACAAAATACTATAAACTGGATGGCTTATACACAACACAATTTATTTCTCCTGGTTCTTGAGGCTGGGAAGTCTAAGATCAGAGCACCAGCAAATTGTCTGGTTTTGGGCCTGCTTCCTGGTACATTGACCACTCTCTTTTCACTGTAACCTCACATGGTGGAAGGGGCAAGGAAAATCTCTGGGGCCTCTTTCATAAAGGCACTAATCTCATTTGGAGCCCTTATGACCGAATCTCCTCCCAAAGGTCCCCACTCCTATTACCATCAACTTAGGGTTTAGAATTTTAACATATGACTTTTGGGGAGTCCAAAATTCATGGCATTGAGACCATATGACATTGAGACCATAGCAAGTCATAAAGAAAATTTAAATATTAATCTTTTCAGAATTTTCTCATTTTATAGGCATCAATCTGTAGAGTTTGGTTTTGATTCCTGTTACAAAACATAAGGATTTTGCTCACACCGTATTAAGAAGGGAACCAACGGATCATTTACTTCATTATCTTCTCATTTTTCAGCTCCTGCTCACTTCATAAGGAGACCACACAGAGTAATCGACTGAACTGTGAACACTTTAAAGATTCAGATTTGTGTTTTATATACTTTACTGTTTGTAGCACAGTGCTTTGCATCGAACAAATTACATAAGAACTCAAAAATCATTTTTGCAATATATACCATATATTTGATTACATTATGGTATAAGAAAGGATACTTTTACATAATAAATAAATGCACTTTAATTTTATTAGTAGTAAACTTTTCTCCATTTATAAAAGGCTTATAAAAGTTTGTGTATTGTACTTTAAAAACAGTTTATCACCTCTTACATATTCCTCCTCCATCCCAGACCAATGTATATTTCATGTATAGCTCTCAATACATTTATCAAATTATATTTGTGCATTTATTAATTTTAAGTGCCATGTCAAAAGAACCATAATTTTGTGTTTAATTCACATTTATGGTAAAATATATTTTTAATTTCCAGTATTAAAGAATAGAAAAAAATAATGGGACATTTGACTATAAAATATATAACTGTTTTCAGAGAAAGCAGATAATTTTAGTAGATTTTCTGCTACCAGATGAAATACTTCACATCTTTCTAAAGGTATTTACCAAAGATATATCTTCCGTCTTGGTCTATGTTAGTGATAAAAGGTAGTATGTTTTTCTTCCTCCAGTTTAATTTAATTATTAATTGCATAAACAAGGAAAATTTATATATTAGCAGAAGCTATTTTAACAACATGTTGATCTTTAAAAAGGTTAAGCACTGAGGTTATATATATATACAATATAAATATATATAATTATTTATTTATTTCTAACTTTTTTCTCTTTGAGACTATTCTAGGCATGATGCCAGGCTCTTTGGAACATGTCAATAACGGCTGTTAAATAAATAAATGAATGAGCCACTACTCATAAAACTCTTGTCCTCTATTAAATGGATTTTTATATATTCCCACCCCTGGTGAATTAGTCATGATTTTTACGTAATATACTTGGAAGCAAATATTTTTGGCAATGAAAGTATATTTCAAATAGAATTTTTACAGAACCAATATCAGATCAAATTTCAGGAAAGCAGTTATTGCAGTAGCTCAATTATTGTTTTTTGAATACATCAAAAGAAATGAGATAAGACTTAAAATATTAATAACAATTTTTAACCTTCAAAAAGATTAAGAATGAGTTTGTCATATTTAAACAATAACTATCTTGCTTTTTAAATTTAGTTATTCGAAAGGGATAATTGGGTGCTGAGAGTGCTTGTTAATAGGGTTTGAAATATTCAACCAGGAATTTGGGACAATACAATTATAGTGAGCATAGTGTGTGGTGTGTATGTGTGTGTGTGCGTGTGTGCATAAAATTGTGTTGTATTTTGATTGTTTAACGCTGTTGCCTTCCTATAAATGTCCAGAATTCTAGGAGTTCTTAAGCAACATGATCATATACTACAGAAAATGCAAGCATCACGTGGCACTTAACATGCCAGTCCCTACCACTACTTGTATTTGGAGTAATATTTTTTTAAAAAGTGCACAGAGATGACATCTCTACATCCACTACTGGAGAATTTTTAATACCTTATTTCTCATATTGGTTCAAATATCAAACTATTATAATAGGTGGGTTTCAATGGATAAGTGATTGCTTAGTATGAGATGAGAAAAATGTGATTTTTTTATTTTCTTATTCTATTTTAAGATTAATGTTCAATTGTAACATTTGGAAAAATATTTTAGAAATGAGTTAATGAAAACTAGAAAAAGACAGACTTTTGCAAGATATGATTTGCATGAATGAAAGGGATTATTATCATTAAAATTTAGCATTGGTCTGCCTAGATAAATAAAATTACTTTTTTGTCAAAGTTGTTGGTAGATAGTGAAAATCTTAAATCTAAAATTAATTAAGATTTAATCTTAATTAATCTTAGTCTTTTATTTTTTCTTTATTGTGCTGACTAATACTTGCCATATCTGAAAATATATATGAAAAGATAGATGATAGATAGAATTATTCCTTTATTATTGCCACAAGAATAACAGTCACTTAGAATATTTACTCTACAGTTTTTGGACATATATTATAGGAAAATCCTAAAAACAGACTTTGCATCCTTTCTTTTAAAAGCAAATCGTGGCCAGGTGCAGTGGCTCATGCCTCTAATTCCAGTGCTTTGGCAGGCCAAGGTAGGAGGATTGTTTGAGTCCAGGAGCTGGAGACCAGCCTGTACAACATAGTGAGACCCCATTAGGCGGCTGACACAGGAGGATCGCTTAAGCCCAGAAGTTCAACGTTGCGGGGAGCTGTGATTGTGCTGCTGCACTCCAGCCTAGGCAACAGAGCAAGACCCTGTCTCTAAATATAAATAAATAAATAAATAAATAAATAAATAAATAAATAAATGAATGTAAATTTTGACATTACTTAAGAAAACAGGTATTTTTTTGAAAGGCCTGCAAAATGGTATCATGGTATGCAGTTGATACCATGGGAGTAAATAAAATTACTCACAAAGAGAGCAATGGAAGAGCTCCAGAATGGAGCTGTGAGGGACATGGTTATTTAAAGCAAAGATATAGTAAAACAAATATAAAAAGAAGTCTAGGAAGGCATTATTAGAGAGTGACATCAGCAAAAATAATACAGTAAGAAACACATAGTAGAGTAAGGACCTCCATAAATTCTCTTCTTTATGAAAGCAACAAGAAAACTGGCAAAAAAATAATTGTGAGAATCAACTTTTTCAAAAGTCTGACAATTAATCAGAGGCTTGTAGTGATTCCTGAAGTTGTATATTGAAGAAAAACATTTTTCTCTTAGTAAAAACAGTGGGATTTGTGGCATTATAATTTGCTCAACTTCCCACCCCCTCTCTTCAGCTCCGTGGTGACAACGTAAACCAATAGCCCCAAATTACAGGAAAAGTCCACAACCTGGCAGCCACCAGAGGGGACAGCATGGAGTCTGAACTCCTTTAAGGCCTTATTCTTTAAGAATGATCATTATTTAACTTGTCTGCAGGTTTTCTGGAAGACCCCATTTGCAAATCTATTTTTCTGTGACCTAACTTGGAGTTCACCCACCGCCAAAAGCCTTTTTCCTGAAGAAGTTTGTTTAAAACATTTAGAGTCATTTTTTTAACTTCACAGGTGCCTAAGGCAATCAGTAATAGTGTGGGCACACAATATACTTAACAAAAATGTTAAACGGAAAGCATTGGAATGATATGTCCATATGGGTTTGGAAAAACTGCATATATTCCTGGTTATCTGGAAGGCCACACGTATGGGCTGAATTTTTTTCTCCCAACACTCCTATGTTGAAGTCCTACCTGCCAGTACCTCCAGACATGACTTTATTTGGAGGTAAGGTCTGTTACCTTACCAAGAGGTAATTGATGTAAAACAATATGCCCTAATCCAATATGCCTTGTGTGCTTATAAGAAGAAGTTAGAACAGACACACGTGAAGAAAAGATCATTAAAAAAAAACAGAAAATGGACATCTACAAGCCAACAAGGGAGGGCCTCGGAGGAAACCAACCCTGCTGACAACTTGATCTTGGACTTTTAGAATTGTGGGAAAGTTAATTTCTGTTGCATTAGCCACCTGTTCTTGATACTATGTCATGGCAGCACTAGCAAAGTAGTACACCCAGGGTTGTGTGCATGCTCAGGAAAGACCTGAAAACACCCTTAGTGCTCAACTCTGGCTGACTTTTAGGCCTCACACAAGTGAAAGTAAAGTCCAGAGTAATCAACTGCCTGACATAGTGTTGAAGGTATGACCCCATGACACAGAACCCCCAGCAAATACTGAGTCACTTATTGGTTCTAGAAATTAATAAAATCCATGTTCAATTAGTAGCTGACCTCTAAGCTAACCAAGTAGATATTCTAATTGTCACATATTATAAAGAAAGTAGACTTTACAGAATTAGTTCAAAAAAGTCCATTTAAAAAAGAGCAACAACACCAAACTCTGGGGAGAAAAGACAATATGATTTCCATAGTCGCCACAGTATATTACTTAAAATGTCCAGTTTTCAATAAAAGTTACAAGTTTCTCAAAGAAACGAAAATATATGGACCAAACACAGGAAAAATGCAATCAATAGAAGCATGCTTAGGGAGGCAAAGACATTGCAATTACAAGACAAAGACTTCAAATCAACTATTTTAAGCACATTTTAAAAATTAAAGGAAACCATGTACAAAGAGCTAAAAAGAAAGTATGATAGTGTCCCACCAAAAAGGAAATAATGAGATAGAGATTATAAAAAAAGAACCAAAGAGTAATTCTGGGGTTGAAAAGCAGCATGACAGACATGAAAAATTCAATAGAAGGTTGGTATTCGTTTCCAATGGCAACTGTAGCAAATTACCACAAAGAACAGAAATCTATTCTCTAACAGTTCTGCAGGCCAGAAGTCTGGAATCAGTTCACTGGGTCAAAATCAAGGTGTGAGTAGGTCCGTGCTACCTCCAGAAACTCTGGGGAAGAATCCATTCCTTTTCTCTTCCAGCTTCTGGTGGCTGCCAGCATTCCTTTGCTGTGGCCGCGTCACCCCAATTCCTGTCTCCATGGTCACATTGCCTTCCCTCTTCTGTCTGTCATCAAATATAATTCTGCCTCCTTTTTATAAGGATAAATATCCTTATAAGGATACTGTTTCATGTATCTTTATACATACATATATCCTTACATGTTGTTGCATATAGAACTGCCCTTGATAATCTAGGATAACGTTCCCACATTCTGTGCACAATGTGAAGGATTGTGGTTCAGTATACATAGTCATCTAGTATTTTTTTTTTTTTTTTGAGATGGAGTCTCGCTGTGTGGTCCAGGCTGCAGTGCCGTCGCGTGATCTCGGCTCACTGCAAGCCCCACCTCCCAGGTTCACGCCATTCTCCTGCCTCAGCCTTCCCAGTAGCTGGGACTACAGGAGCCCGCCACTACGCCCGGCTAATTTCTTTCTTTTTTTTTTTTTTTTTTTTTGTATTTTTTAGTAGAGACCCGGTTTCACCATGTTAGCCAGAATGGTCTCGATCTCCTTACCTCGTGATCCACCCGCTTCGGCCTCCCAAAGTGCTGGGATTACAGGCGTGAGCCACCGCACCCGGCCATCGTCTAGTATTTTTAAAAGAGAAGGAGGCAGAGTATTATTGGTTCAGGTCAAGATAAATTGGTATATTTGTTGGTAGGAGGAGGTAGAAGTTTATTTTCTGATAATTGAAAGGAGAGATTTTGCAAGGGAAATAAAGAGAATGGTTTAAAAGCAGCAGCATGTAGCTACAAAATCCAACGATGCTTTTCCACACTATTCTTGAACCATGGAATATAAACAAATGCTTCTTGATAGGAGAGGAAAAAGTTACTTAAAACCAGATGGTAGAATAAAGCTCTAGAGTCATTGAGAAGATAGGTTTTTTTAAAAAAATATATTTATTATTATAATGATTTTTGTATTAGAATAAACTTCCCAATGATCACAATGACAGTTTGGTTGAGCAATAATAATCAGAGATAAAGGATCACGAAGTCACATGGAGCCAACAGAATAGGGAGAAAAAACGCTTCCATTCTGGAAGAAAGCGAGAATGACAGAATGAGAGTCACTGGGGAAACAAGTGACTCAGAGTGCCCAGAACCAGACAGAACCTCTAGAACAGGGCAACAGCTAATAGATAGTGTTATTTGTGATTCTGTGCTTACAGAAATCTCATTCTCATATTATCACCAAGATTGATGAGATTTTAAAACTGTGCCCATGAATCACTGCATATATCCCTGTGGTAAACAACTTAATGATGATGGCTCTAAGCCCCAGTTGTACTTCTCACTAAAATTCTGGCAGGAGAAATCTAAGGAATTTAATAACTGATCTTGTTATGATCATGTGGTGACCCAAATGGTTTGATTTGGCAATGTCCTGAGTTGAATGACAGAGCTGGGAGCATGTGATGATTGATGATCTTCAGGAAGTGACATCAGCTTGAACACATCAGTTCCAGAAAGTCAGTGTCACTTTCCTGAGCAAAACTCTGTGGATAAAAAGAATCATTTGATCTTAACAAGCAGGCCCCAGCTTCTGTTGGAGAAGGCTATGTAAGTGAAGAGCTGGACAGGAGAAGCAGCCTACACTATGGGTTTCTAGGATAAGTGGCTGGACACAAAGGAAAAAATTGAATGAAAAGAATATAGGAACACACTACCTTTCCTGGACACAGGTTCTACTAATATAATATCCAGGTGCACATGGTACATTTATGGCAATTTCTCAATCTTGACACACAAATTTTAGATCTGAACGAAAGGTATTGTAGACTAATGACATGTAGGTAAAAGCAGAATGAATTTAACTTTGTGTGTTGCTAATTCAGGAAGCACTCTAATTGAAGAAAAAAACATTGTTTAATTTATTAGACAGAAGTTTTTTACTGCTAAGAATAATTCACAAAACCTGAAAAGAGATGTTTTCCCTCAATAAAAGCAATAAGATTGTAGTTCACAGTTGAATTTTAATGTTTTCTTACACCTAAAGCAATAAGGATACATTTGGTTAAAAATTGCTATCAGAAATAAGGCTTTTGTAAACACAGATTTGAAAGCTTAATATTTTGGAAGTGGCCTTTGTTTTCAGGTCTAATACAAAAGAATGCCACCTCTGACAATTGGACTGAATAGATATGAAACCTTACAAGTATTGACTATAAATCTATAAATGTCTATCTTATTATAATCTTCACTGTATGATATCTAAAGGTTTATGTTTTGTTGCCAAAGATATTTAGCTCAGCATTTCTATTTTATATTTGTAGGTAACAATTATTAGAAATACTTCTTTTTGTAAAGTCTATATTTTTGTTCTTATTTGTAGTTTGGTTGCCACAAAGGAAACAGACAGTGCAAGATCTCGAAGTGCTCCAATGTCACCTTCTGATTTTCTGGATAAATTAATGGGCAGGACATCAGGATATGATGCAAGAATCAGACCCAATTTTAAAGGTAATTGTTCTGTTTGCTACTTTATATGTGTGTTTTAAATATACTTCAACAAGGTACAGTTTTAAATTAATTCCACCAGAAATTCTAATGCTTATTTTCAACAATCTTCCAAATATTGCATTAGTCACCAAGGTGTCTTGAAAAAGAAATCCATTCCCATGTTCTCAATTATCATAATTTGCCTTCTTTGGCCCAGCTATGTCTTTTTTTTTTTTTTTTTTTTTTACTTCTCTAACTGTTATAATACTTCTTGTCTTGACCATTGATTTTAGGAATATACATATATGTACGTATCCTTTATTTAATTATTCTATCAGTTATCTAACTGGAATGGAAGCTTCTTTAATTGCTAGTGATAAACTTTCCCATCTTTTTAATCAGCCACTTTACTACTGTCTATATTGTGGGGAATCTAACCGTTGTTGAATTTACCTATTGGGAAACAGTCTGGATTGCTAACTGACAGCCTTTGAAATGTATAAGACATTATTGCACCTACCAAATGTTTTACCCAAATTTCTAGGAAAGAGTGTAATTGTCAATTATTTAAGAGTACCACTTTTTATTCTTCTGTTTAATATAGTTGTAAGTAACATGTTTATATAAGGATATGTAACTTATCCAGAACCACAATATATCCTGTAATTTCACTTTAATGGTAAAATATTAGAAAGCTGCTTCCAGATCCCAACTTATTTAACATGTTCTTGAATATTACTTTACCCAATAAAGAAAATAAACAAAGTTAAAGAACATACACTTTTTTCATGGGATTCAGTTAAGCTGTTTCATTGCTAAAGTTTAAAAAAGTGTTGTCTATAACTACCATTTTTCCTTGAATTTGTCCTTATGGAAGAAAAAAAGAAATGCTTAGCAGTGGGTGAAATAACTAGAATGGAGTAAAAAAATATCAAGATTGGGTAGCAGGAACAAAAGAAGTAAAACTCACTGATAATGTCTGAGTGGAAAATTATGAATGGCTTCAATTTTAAAATGAGTTTAATATTTAAATTGTGGATCACATGTCTTGATTTGTTTTTAAGCTTTCAACCATAAATATTTTCAACTTCAGGAGGAAAGCACTGAGTACAAGTTGTGCAAAAATAGCACAGCTTACAGGGTACAATATACAAATGAAAATGAGAAACAAAAATAGTACAGCTTACAGGGTACAATATACAAATGAAAATGAGAAACAAAAATAGTACAGCTTACAGGGTACAATATACAAATGAAAATGAGAAACAAAAATAGTACAGCTTACAGGGTACAATATACAAATGAAAATGAGAAACAAAAATAGTACAGCTTACAGGGTACAATATACAAATGAAAATGAGAAATTTCAGTATTATAATGATCTTTTCCAAATTGAGGGAAAGCAGTATTCCTGTGAATCCGCTGAGAACTAATTAGTAGTTGATCTTCAAAAATATGCAGTTGTCATTTAACTAAACCACAAGACACATAATCGGGAATTAGCAGATTCATTATGGTGAGTCCATATTCAGTGATTCAGAAGTATTTCTTTCTTTTAACTGAAAATTAAAGAAGAAAATGCATTCTATTTTTAAATGTCTGTGAATATTTAAAAAGCATATAAACAGTCTCAGCAGTTATTTTAATAAAACTGCAGATAAGTTACCAACCACACAAGAGTGGCCTCAGTGCTTTTGCCATTCTCTTGGAAAGTTTAGTGTTAGTTTATTTTTTTAATAGTTTAAAAGATAACAGAAACATTAAACTATTTAAAAATGTGATTATTACTATTTATATGTAAGATCAGGAAAGGACCCCCAAGGATTTGGTGTTGCTTAAAACAAATACTGATTCTTTTCTAAGTAAAAATGTATTCCTAAAAACAAGCTGATCACCAAGCCAGTTCAGAGGTGATTAGATTTTGGGGGAGACTAAAATTCATTCTTACACCCCAGTGTCACTAAAGGAAGAAAAAGAAAAAGGAAGATTTTCTCTCATTGTTTTTCAAAATATCTTGTGCTCTGAACATTAGAAAAAAAATTCAGGCTGCATTTGATAGCCAAAAATAATATCAATTATAAAAAGTAATAATTTAATGGATTAGTTTTTAGCTAACACTTTTGCTTTGTCATCTTTTGCAAAGGTCAAACATTATTGACTTCAGCAAACATACTTATAACTCTACTCCCTAATTAAGTATATTCAACACCGTGTCATTTCATTGGATAAAATAACATCATCATCTTTTGACCATCATTTCATTACCCAATATTGAAATATAAATAAAATAGTATTTACATGCTATTTCTTCCTTACGGCTATCAGGAGGATATTTAGGTGCTAACAAACTGAATCCAATACCTAACAGAAGACATTTACACAAAAGGAGGTGAGAATGATCAGCCCTTGTGTCGTCATGTACCTAGGGGCCCACCTCACCTCAGGCAAAAATAAGCTCATCAAACATAGATGTAGAAAATGAAGAACCTGTTCTCCTGATAATATTGCACTCATTTTTTCTCTGTGGTAGTTCACATGACTAAAAATACAATCCCTTGCCTTGTTGATTTTGTGCCTTTCCCCACATCAATGTTTTTGGAAGGAATCTAGTTAGCTCATCAAATGAACTAATTTAAAATTGGTGTTATGTATGCTTTCCTATCCAATTGTCAAAGACAATGAATTAATAGTAAGCAAGTTTAGAGACATGAATATCAGTAATATATATTAAAATTTTAAAAATGAGCATAATTAGCTAAAATAATTTTAAAAGAAGAATGGGTCTCATGCCTCTAATCCCAGCACTTTGGGAGGCTGAGGCAGGAGGATTGATTGAGGCTAGGAGTTTGAGACCAGCTCTGAGACACCCATCTATCCAAAAAAAAAAAAAAAAAAAAAAACTAGCCAGGCATGGTGGCACACACCTTTAGTCCTGGCTTCTTGGGAGGCTGAGGCAGGAGGATTACTTGAGCCCAGTTGTTTGAGGTTACAGTGAGCTATGGTTGTGCCACTGCACTCCAGCCTGGGCAACACAGTAAGACTCTATCTCTTAAAAAAGAAGAAGAATGGGAATTGTGATATATGTAAAAATATATTACTATAACCTAAATGATTTGATCCTCACTTCTTCCTAAACACACAGAAACATAACTTACCTAGATAAGTAATCAGCTGATAGAAAGGTGCTTATAAAATATGAAAGCATTGGAAAATACCTATCTGTTTGCCCTCTCTGGACTTCAAAGTTTTGTAAAAGGCAAACATAAAATTTCAGTATGGACATTATCAGACAATTAACAGAAACGAAATGGAAATGTTTAATCTCATTAGCCAAAAGCAAAGTGTATAACAGTAATATAACATTTTTGCCTTTCAAATATTTAAAAATAAGAAATGTTCCAGCATTATATACATAATTATGAATTTATTTCTGGAGTAATAGTATAAAATTTGTGATTGTTTTCACAAGTATCTTTATATTGAAAGAAAATTTATTTTGAAGGCCATAGTGGGAAAACAACTATTAAAAAATACAAACGACTTTGTAAAAATGCAACTTTGATTTTGCTGCTTTCTACTTCTAACATTTACAAAAATTTAGAAGTAGATTTTTTTACTTAACCAAAATTATGGTGTTTGTTTTTATTGTTTTGTCATTTCTCTTTAAAAAGTACACTTTAAAAAAATCTCACCTCTTGAAGACTAAGTAGTTTAATGTTATTAAAATGTACCACAGAAAAGTATAAATAAATAATTCTCTTAAAGCAATTTAAATTGGTATTGACCATGGATAAGACAGCCTCTTCCATCGAACATTATTTAAATCAATACTGAAATAAGTTAAAATAATTAGGTGCTTAACTCATTAACATTATCTTTCCTTTTCACTGATTAATCTGTTCTCTTCCCCTCCAGAATAGTATTAATTTATCTGAAACATTTTTGAGAATCAGATTTCTCCACTAATGATCCTGTGCCTTTAGGATAATTTGACATAAGTATAAAAACTACTTCAAATTTCTATTATATCTTAGTCCTATTAAATATAATGATTTTAAAAACTATTATTTAAAAGGCATTTAATAATGATATATGGGTTTAGAAATGTTCTGAGAGCTGCTAAAAAGAATTAGAAAGTAAAGCTGAAAATATCACTCAACCAGTTGATCATGCAATAGAAATTAGAATTTTGTCCAAGTCATTATTTCAAAAATTTGGTCTTAAGGAAGAGAAATGTTATGTATAGAAATGGTTGATTTTATGTTCACTTAGGCACAGGTCATTGGTAAGAATAGTGAATTTGCATCTAAGTTTTGATGTTATTAGGGGTTCTTTGTGTTTTTGGTTTTTTTTTTGTATTTTTTTTTTAATTATACTTTAAGTTTTAGGGTACATGTGCACATTGTGCAGGTTAGTTACATATGTATACATGTGCCATGCTGGTGTGCTGCACCCACTAACTCGTCATCTAGCATTAGGTATATCTCCCAATGCTATCCCTCCCCCCTCCCCGCACCCCACAACAGTCCCCAGAGTGTGATATTCCCCTTCCTGTGTCCATGTGATCTCATTGTTCAATTCCCACCTATGAGTGAGAATATGCGGTGTTTGGTTTTGTTCTTGTGATAGTTTACTGAGAATGATGATTTCCAATTTCATCCATGTCCCTACAAAGGACATGAACTCATCATTTTTTATGGCTGCATAGTATTCCATGGTGTATATGTGCCACATTTTCTTAATCCAGTCTATCATTGTTGGACATTTGGGTTGGTTCCAAGTCTTTGCTATGTGAATAATGCCGCAATAAACATACGTGTGCATGTGTCTTTATAGCAGCATGATTTATAGTCCTTTGGGTATATACCCAGTAATGGGATGGCTGGATCAAATGGTATTTCTAGTTCTAGATCCCTGAGGAATCGCCACACTGACTTCCACAATGGTTGAACTAGTTTACAGTACCACCAACAGTGTAAAAGTGTTCCTATTCCTCCACATCCTCTCCAGCACCTGTTGATTCCTGACTTTTTAATGATTGCCACTCTAACTGGTGTGAGATGGTATCTCATTGTGGTTTTGATTTGCATTTCTCTGATGGCCAGTGATGATGAGCATTTTTTCATGTGTCTTTTGGCTGCATAAATGTCTTCTTTTGAGAAGTGTCTGTTCATGTCCTTCGCCCACTTTTTGATGGGGTTGTTTGTTTTTTTCTTGTAAATTTGTTTGAGTTCATTGTAGATTCTGGATATTAGCCCTTTGTCAGATGAGTAGGTTGCAAAAATTTTCTCCCATTTTGTAGGTTGCCTGTTCACTCTGATGGTAGTTTCTTTTGCTGTGCAGAAGCTCTTTAGTTTAATTAGGTCCCATTTGTCAATTTTGGCTTTTGTTGCCGTTGCTTTTGGTGTTTTAGACATGAAGTCCTTGCCCATGCCTATGTCCTGAATGGTAATGCCTAGGTTTTCTTCTAGGGTTTTTATGGTTTTAGGTCTAACATGTAAGTCTTTAATCCATCCTGAATTGATTTTTGTATAAGGTGTAAGGAAGGGTTCCAGTTTCAGCTTTCTACATATGGCTAGCCAGTTTTCCCAGCACCACTTATTAAATAGGGAATCCTTTCCCCATTGTTTGTTTTTCTCAGGTTTGTCAAAGATCAGATAGTTGTAGATACGCGGCGTTATTTCTGAGGGCTCTGTTCTGTTCCATTGATCTATATCTCTGTTTTGGTACCAGTACCATGCTGTTTTGTTTACTGTAGCCTTGTAGTATAGTTGGAAGTCAGGTCGTGTGATGCTTCCAGCTTTGTTCTTTTGGCTTAGGATTGAGTTGGTGATGCAGGCTCTTTTTTGGTTCCATGTGAACTTTAAAGTAGTTTTTTCCAATTCTGTGAAGAAAGTCATTGGTAGCTTGATGGGGATGGCATTGAATCTGTAAATTACCTTGGGCAGTATGGCCATTTTCAGGATATTGATTCTTCCTACCCATGAGCATGGAATGTTCTTCCATTTGTTTGTATCCTCTTTTATTTCCTTGAGCAGTGGTTTGTAGTTCTCCTTGAAGAGGTCCTTCACATCCCTTGTAAGTTGGATTCCTAGGTATTTTATTCTCTTTGAAACAATTGTGAATGGGATTTCACTCATGATTTGGCTCTCTTTTTGTCTGTTGTTGGTGTATAAGAATGCTTGTGATTTTTGTACATTGATATTGTATCCTGAGACTTTGCTGAAGTTGCTTATCAGCTTAAGGAGATTTTGGGCTGAGACAATGGGGTTTTCTAGATATACAATCATGTCGCCTGCAAACAGGGACAATTTGACTTCCTCTTTTCCTAATTGAATACCCTTTATTTCCTTCTCCTGCCTAATTTCCCTGGCCAGAACTTCCAACACTATGTTGAATAGGAGTGGTGAGAGAGGGCATCCCTGTCTTGTGCCAGTTTTCAAAGGGAATGCTTCCAGTTTTTCCCCATTCAGTATGATATTGGCTGTGGGTTTGTCATAGATAGCTCTTATTATTTTGAAATACGTCCCATGAATACCTAATTTATAGAGAGTTTTTAGCATGAAGGGTTGTTGAATTTTGTCAAAGGCTTTTTCTGCATCTATTGAGATAATCATGTGGTTTTTGTCTTTGGCTCTGTTTATATGCTGGATTACATTTATTGATTTGCATATATTGAACCAGCCTTGCATCCCAGGGATGAAGCCCACTTGATCATGGTGGATAAGCTTTTTGATGTGCTGCTGGATTCGGTTTGCCAGTATTTTATTGAGGATTTTTGCATCAATGTTCATCAAGGATATTGGTCTAAAATTCTCTTTTTTGGTTGTGTCTCTGCCCGGCTTTGGTATCAGAATGATGCTGGCCTCATAAAATGAGTTAGGAAGGATTCCCTCTTTTTCTATTGATTGGAATAGTTTCAGAAGGAATGGTACCAGCTCCTCCTTATACCTCTGGTAGAATTCGGCTGTGAATCCATTTTTGGTCCTGGACTCTTTTTGGTTGGTAAGCTATTGATTATTGCCACAATTGCAGAGCATGTTATTGGTCTATTCAGAGATTCAACTTCTTCCTGGTTTAGTCTTGGGAGAGTGTATGTGTCGAGGAATTTATCCATTTCTTCTAGATTTTCTAGTTTATTTGCGTAGAGGTGTTTGTAGTATTCTCTGATGGTAGTTTGTATTTCTGTGGGATCGGTGGTGATATCCCCTTTCTCATTTTTTATTGCGTCTATTTGATTCTTCTCTCTTTTTTTCTTTATTAGTCTTGCTAGCGGTCTATCAATTTTGTTGATCCTTTCAAAAAACCAGCTCCTGGATTCATTAATTTTTTGAAGGGTTTTTTGTGTCTCTATTTCCTTCAGTTCTGCTCTGATTTTAGTTATTTCTTGCCTTCTGCTAGCTTTTGAATGTGTTTGCTCTTGCTTTTCTAGTTCTTTTAATAGTGATGTTAGGGTGTCAATTTTGGATCTTTCCTGCTTTCTCTTGTGGGCATTTAGTGCTATAAATTTCCCTCTACACACTGCTTTGAATGCATCCCAGAGATTCTGGTATGTTGTGTCTTTGTTCTCATTGGTTTCAAAGAACATCTTTATTTCTGCCTTCATTTCGTTATGTACCCAGTAGTCATTCAGGAGCAGGTTGTTCAGTTTCTATGTAGTTGAGCGGTTTTGAGTGAGATTCTTAATCCTGAGTTCTAGTTTGATTGCACTGTGGTCTGAGAGATAGTTTGTTATAATCTCTGTTCTTTTACATTTGCTGAGGAGAGCTTTACTTCCAAGTATGTGGTCAATTTTGGAATAGGTGTGGTACGGTGCTGAAAAAAATGTATATTCTGTTGATTTGGGGTGGAGAGTTCTATAGATGTCTATTAGGTCCACTTGGTGCAGAGCTGAGTTCAATTCCTGGGTATCCTTTTTGACTTTCTGTCTCGTTGATCCGTCTAATGTTGACAGTGGGGTGTTAAAGTCTCCCATCATTATTGTGTGGGTGTCTACGTCTCTTTGTAGGTCACTCAGGACTTGCTTTATGAATGTGGGTGCTCCTGTATTGGGTGCATATATATTTAGGATAGTTAGCTCTTCTTGTTGAATTGATCCCTTTACCATTATGTAATGGCCTTCTTTGTCTCTTTTGATCTTTGTTGGTTTAAAGTCTGTTTTATCAGAGACTAGGATTGCAACCCCTGACTTTTTTTGTTTTCCATTTGCTTGGTAGATCTTCCTCCATCCTTTTATTTTGAGCCTATGTGTGTCTCTGCATGTGAGATGGGTTTCCTGAATACAGCACACTGATGGGTCTTGACTCTTTATCCAATTTGCCAGTCTGTGTCTTTTAATTGGAGCATTTAGTCCATTTACATTTAAAGTTAATATTGTTATGTGTGAATTTGATCCTGTCATTATGATGTTAGCTGGTTCTTTTGCTGGTTAGTTGATGCAGTTTCTTCCTAGTCTCGATGGTCTTTACATTTTGGCATGATTTTGCAGCAGCTGGTACCGGTTGTTCCTTTCCATGTTTAGTGCTTCCTTCAGGAGCTCTTTTAGGGCAGGCCTGGTGGTGACAAAATCTCTCAGCATTTGCTTGTCTGTAAAGTATTTTATTTCTCCTTCACTTATGAAGCTTAGTTTGGCTGGATATGAAATTCTGGGTTGAAAATTCTTTTCTTTAAGAATGTTGAATATTGGCCCCCACTCTCTTCTGGCTTGTAGGGTTTCTGCTGAGAGATCCACTGTTAGTCTGATGGGCTTCCCTTTGAGGGTAACCCGACCTTTCTCTCTGGCTGCCCTTAACATTTTTTCCTTCATTTCAACTTTGGTGAATCTGACAATTATGTGTCTTGGAGTTGCTCTTCTCGAGGAGTATCTTTGTGGCATTCTCTGTATTTCCTGAATCTGAACGTTGGCCTGCCTTGCTAGATTGGGGAAGTTCTCCTGGATGATATCTTGCAGAGTGTTTTCCAACTTGGTTCCATTCTCCCCATCACTTTCAGGTACACCAATCAGACGTAGATTTGGTCTTTTCACATAGTCCCATATTTCTTGGAGGCTTTGCTCATTTCTTTTTATTCTTTTTTCTCTAAACTTCCCTTCTTGCTTCATTTCATTCATTTCATCTTCCATCTCTGATACCCTTTCTTCCAGTTGATCGCATCGGCTCCTGAGGCTTCTGCATTCTTCATGTAGTTCTCGAGCCTTGGTTTTCAGCTCCGTCAGCTCCTTTAAGCACTTCTCTGTATTGGTTATTCTAGTTATACATTCTTCTAAATTTTTTTCAAAGTTTTCAACTTCTTTGCCTTTGGTTTGAATGTCCTCCCTTAGCTCAGAGTAATTTGATCATCTGAAGCCGCCTTCTCTCAGCTCGTCAAAGTCATTCTCCGTCCAGCTTTGTTCCGTTGCTGGTAGGAACTGTGTTCCTTTGGAAGAGGAGAGTCACTCTGCTTTTTAGAGTTTCGAGTTTTTCTGTTCTGTTTTTTCCCCATCTTTGTGGTTTTATCTACTTTTGGTCTTTGATGATGGTGATGTACAGATGGGTTTTTGGTGTGGATGTTCTTTCTGTTTGTTAGTTTTCCTTCTAACAGACAGGACCCTCAGCTGCAGGTCTGTTGGAGTACCCTGCCGTGTGAGGTGTCAGTGTGCCCCTGCTGGGGGGTGCCTCCCAGTTAGGCTGCTTGGGGGTCAGGGACCCACTTGAGGAAGCAGTCTGCCCGTTCTCAGATCTCCAGCTGCGTGCTGGGAGAACCACTGCTCTCTTCAAAGCTGTCAGACAGGGACATTTAAGTCTGCAGAAGTTACTGCTGTCTTTTTGTTTGTCTGTGCCCTGCCCCCAGAGGTGGAGCCTACAGAGGCAGGCAGGCCTCCTTGAGCTGTGGTGGGCTCCACCCAGTTGGAGCTTCCCGGCTGCTTTGTTTACCTAAGCAAGCCTGGGCAATGGCGGGCGCCCCTCCCCCAGCCTCACTGCCGCCTTGCAGTTTGATCTCAGACTGCTGTGCTAGCAATCAGCGAGACTCCGTGGGGTAGGACCCTCCAAGCCAGGTGCGGGGTATAACCTCGTGGTGCGCCGTTTTTTAAGCCTGTCGGAAAAGCGCAGTATTCGGGTGGGAGTGACCCGATTTTCCAGGTGCGTCACCCCTTTCTTTGACTCGGAAAGGGAACTCCCTGACCCCTTGCACTTCCCAAGTGAGGCAATGCCTCGCCCTGCTTCGGCTCGCGCACGGTGCGTGCACCCACTGACCTGCGCCCACTGTCTGGCACTCCCCAGTGAGATGAACCCGGTACCTCAGGTGGAAATGCAGAAATCACCCGTCTTCTGCATCGGTCACGCTGGGAGCTGTAGACAGGAGCTGTTCCTATTCGGCCATCTTGGCTCATCCCCCCTGTGTTTTTTTTCTTTTACCAACCTCACATCAGATCTGGTTAGCTTGTTATTGTTTTATCCCATGATGTGGCTGAGAAAAATATATGAGACATGGTAAAAGCAAAAAAAGAAAAAAAAAGAAAAGAAAAGAAATAGTTATTTTTATTTTGAAAATGAAAATAATAGGTAGATTCCACCATTTCTTTCTCAGAATTGGAAATCTTTTCTCTTTAGAAGCCTTTCTGGTTAGGGAAAAGAGCAGAAACAGAACCGGCCCAGTGAGAGAAAGCACCACATCCCCAGGCGCAGACCACAGGCCTTGGCGCTCACTGGGAGGCACTGCCTAACGATGTTACAGAGTTGGAGGGCCAGGTTAAGAATTAAGGGAAGACTTAATAATCCTTGAAACTGGTAGTTTCTTTATATATATATATACATACATACACACACATATAAATTATAACTTGAAGACTAAACAGTAGGATATTCTAGCTTTGTCTCCATTTGCTGAAAAACAAAATAAAATAAAATAAAATAGGTTTTCATTTTCAAGACAGGAGTAATGCTTATATATTTTCTGAGTTCTGGTTTTTCTGACTTTTTTAAATTAATAGACTTGTTTTAAAGAGCAGTTTTAGGTTTACAGAATAATTGATTGGAAAGTGCATATCTGCCCTCTCCTCCCCAACAGTGTACCCTGTTATTGGCATCTTCATATTCATGTGGTATATTTATTATTATTGATGAACCAAGATTAGTACGTTATGAACTGAAATCCATAATTTACATTAGAGTTCATTTTTGTGCTGTACATTTTTTATGGGTTTTGACAAATTCATAACAACGTGTGTTTGTCATTACTGTATCATACAGAATAATTTCACTGCCCTAAAATCTCCTGTGCTTGTGGTATGAGTATATCTCTCTCCCACTTCCCCTCATCTACCCCCAGTCTCTGGCAATCAATGATCTTTTCACTGTCTCTAGAGTTTTGCCTTTTCCAGGATGTCATATAATTAGAATCATAGAGTATGTAGACTTTTTCAAATTGGCTTCTTTCAGGTAGCAATATGCTTTTCAGGTTCCTCTGTGTCTTTTCGTGGCTTGATAGCTCATTTCTTTTCATCATTGAATAATATTCCAGGATAATCTGTTTTGTATGCATTTGACATTAAAGAAACTTTATACAATTATCGAGCTCCAGAATTCTAGCTCAGAAGTTTGCAGATGTTGATTCATTGCCTACTGACATTTAATATCATAAAGAAGTCAAATCTCATTTTGATTTCTGCTCCTTTATATATAGGCTATTTTTTTCTGCCTATCTCTGGACATTTTTCAGTAGGAGGATTTTTGCTTATGCTGGCACTGTTTTGTGTCATTTCTGTAAAACAATATTCTTTATTTTTAAAAAATCTGCTATCTTCCCCAGTCATCTGTGTCTAACACATTGCCCTCATCCCCTTCTCTCCTTTCTCCTTTCCCTCTACATTATAAACAGAATTGTTCAGATTTGTCCTCAGTTACATGGTGCCATTTATCCAATTTGTGAATGTTTAGGGAGATTTTAACTCTGTAATTGTGTTTTGGTCTCTTCACAATCCTCTTTATCTTAAACCATTTTCCTTGAATGCGAAGTTGTGGACGTTGTGTTACAAGCTGCTACGCAGGTGCTATTTTGTATGTTTATTTGCTTGTCAGTTTTATTTATGACAATAGTAACAATCATGTCCCTGAAGCTGCTAAAAAAATGTCTACAAGTGTCAATGATGAAAAGCAGCGGTTCACCCTCAACACTAACGATGCACAGTTCTACTTCTTTGAGGCAAACACTCCAAAAAAATTGGTTATTTCTGTTGATTGTCTGTTCTAATTTGTTTGATTGCTTTCTAGGCCTTTCACAACACAGGCATTACGAGATTCCTTTGCACTAAGTAGACTGCTAATTTAATGCGTCTTTTATTGCATTCTGCCCCTTTTGTTTTTCTTCTCTGCCCAATGATTTGTTGCTTCTTCCTGCAGGATAAATTATGTTTATTTATATTGTTCATTCTCTTTAAACCACTAGTTTTCTTATGTGTGATAGAATGTCTGTGATTCAGGAAGAATTGAGGGGTGATTAGCTTGGGTGCTATAGGAGGGCCATTTTTCTGTTATTTCTCTACTTCGAAAGGGAACTCTGACACAGGCTGCATTGCCCTGGCCAGAGCTTTGCTTTAGGTGAGTGTTGAGCTTCGACTAGGCATTATTCTTGGGTCCTGCAGATGGTGAAATAGAGCAGGCTTAAGGTTTGAGGTATTTTCAGGTACTGTGTTTGCCCTAATCATCAAAGAAGTTATTTCCATTTCCTCAAAAATTCCATAGGGCTAAATACCAGGCAACCGTTGCTCAACAGAAATACAGAGGGGAAGCAGAAAGCTCTCAAGACAGATGCCAGGCCCTATCCCTGGGGTCCCCTTCTCACTCTCCACCTCCTTCCCCTCTCCATGCAGTCCCTGCTTGCTTTTATTTTAGGCTTACCTCTGTTTCATTTGTCAACCATTTTTATCTGGCTCTATATTTTATGTCATTAAACTAATTATTATTTTTTTTCCATTATTTTTGGTATGATACATTTATTCTCACTAAAATTTTATTATGTAATGTCATTTTTATGTCTTCAGAAAGAAAGAAAATGACGTTCAATTCTCTGTCTTGAAATAGAAGCTTCAAGGTGTCATCTGAAACTAGAAGCATGTTTAACATAAAACAATTGAATTGCAAGTAAAAGTATGTTTATAAGACAACAAAACATTATTTCACTAGAATATTTTACCCACCACTGCTGGATTTTACTTCTTTCTTTTGATCCTAATCTTGGGGTCCCTCTTATGACTCATAAGTGCAACTTCAGAAAGTATTCCTTCAGTAATCACCCAATTCTGTCTTCCTCCCAAGTATTTATTGCATTTTTGTTTTCTTATGTTATCTCCAATGGCCACTCTCTTTGTATGTAGATATAACTTTTGTTTGCCCTCACGATGTATTTGTGGTTTCTGTCTTTTACCCTTAAATATTTCACTAATCCTTTTCTCCCTTCATCACAAATTGACTCTTTCTAGTACTCTATTCTACAACAACATCCATGCCAAGGGTGGCATGTGTACCCAAACTCATTTTCTACATGCATTTTTATTAGGGTAAATGTTAGCATTTTAAAGGTCTCCTTTACCCATTTTTACTATTCCTATCCACCAAGACACTATTGTTCTTGAATAACATTTACAATTATTTTTGAAAATGGTACATTTCTGTTTGCATTTTTACTTAGTACGAGGTCACTTTAACAAGAAGTATCTCTTGAATAATAAGCTCTTCTAAAACTATACATGTTCATTTGAAATGTTGATGGGGTTAGATTCTAAACCCTGTATTTTTTGTTTGTATTTGCTTTTTGTTTTTAATTAATTATTTCTGTAGTAATTATTTCTCTTTTTTGTATTTTACAATAATCTCAAACTAACAGAAGTGTTACAAGTGCAAAAGCTTTTTTTCTGAACCACTTCAATGTAAGTTGTTGACCTGATGCCCCAATACTTGAGTATTTACTACAAATAAAAACATTCTCCTTGATAATCACAATCTAACCATTATAACAAGAAAAGTAGTTGAATAGATTGCTACCTTCTAATTTGCTGATCTTTATTCAAATTTCATCCACTCTCTGATAATTTATTATAAAAGTATTCAGTTTAGAATCACATCATATTTTATTTGTCATTTCTCATTGTCTTTTTCAGTCTGAACCAGCACTTTATTCTTTCTGTGACTGTCATGATGTTGACATTTAAAAATATTCTTATTCAGTTATTTAGAAGAATATACTTCACTTTGCATTTGTCTGATTCTTCCTCATGATTCAAATTAGGTAGTGCATTTAGCAGGGATATTACAGGAATGATGATGTGTTTTGACTGCATTCTATTTGATGGTGGACCATGTCAGATTTTGCCATTACAGGTTATGATTACCTGATTAAGTTGGTGCCTGCCAGGATATATCTATATATACCCACACATATAAGCATAAATAAACACACACATATGCATGCACACACACACATACACACACACACACATACACACACACATACATTTACACATCGATTTTCTTCTATACTTCTGTATCTATTGAAAACCATGAATTCACACTGTCAATACCATATGTTTAGTCTAGTTTCTAAGTTTCCATATTTTAACTTCCTCTTCCAACAGCAAGAAACCAGGCTCCCATTATCCTCAATATAATTACTTATTTAATCAATATGTAATGAATCTCCCTTGTTTGCTGCTACTTCTTCTTTTACACAAGTACCTTCCTTGGCCTGGTGGGACTCTGAAGCCTTCCTCAGGTTCATCTCCTTGTGTAGATGCCTGTTCAGACTCCAACTCTGCAAGCCAGGATGGCCCCATGGAGACACACACCTTGCCCATCTATGGTTCTAACACCCAACAACAGGCTTCCCTATTGTGGGTGTACATTTTCCTCTCTCACCGGACCTCCAACATTTCCTGCATGTGGAGCTTTTCCACAATGTCCTTCTCTCCTGCCTTAGGTTACTACGACCCCCTCAGCCATCCCAGCACTTAAGCCTATTTTGCACTGCCCAAACAAATGACTTTAGTGCAGCATTTGGGGGAAGGGAAGAGAAGGGAAGGGAAAGAGAAAGGGGAAGAACAAACAGGATTCTGCTTCTATGCCATAATTTACAAACCTTTTTAAAGCACCTAACAGATAATTTAAAATCTGGATTTTAAGTCATCAAATATGCTTTGTGAATAAAAAATAAAATAACGTCTCTCCTTGTGACATGTGTGTGCATTTATCTAAAATAAAACAAGTCTCTAGTTGGAATTATTTTGAAATTTAATCTTTTAGTTGCATTCTGTGTCTTTAAAAAGATAAAACTTTAATACAACACTCCCTGAAAACTTCCTTAGTCATTTTTATGAACATATGAGTTGTTTGTTTGTTTTCTTACTTGCTCTAGGTCTGCCTAGTGAACAATTTTTCCCCAATATGAATAACAATAATATCGTTGCCAAGATTTTGCATTGTACTTTGCTATTCTGCCATCACTTCATTTCTTAAACTTAAGGGCCATCTTCTATTTCTTTAAAAAAAAAAAACATCTAAACGAAAACTTACTGCTGAAAACATCTGCAACTACTGTCATTTGCTTTTAAGGACTATGCCTAAAGTCGTGAACAATTTAAAAGCACAATTTGCCATATGGATGCTATAGCAGTTATTTGCTCTGTTGCTTAACATAGGAGTGTATTGGATAGATATAACAGCTTTTGCATTGGCACAGAGAAGTAGCAGATTGGCCAAGAGCTACTAAACAGGTGCTCTCTGTAATGGCAATAGAAGATTCATAATCTTCTCTGAGCTTCGTTCTCTACACAATTTTTGAATGTCTATTTCAAAGCTAGGATAGAAAGACTACTCCAAGATTGCTGCACTAATCTCATGTGCACCAGAAACCGAAGGGGTAGAACGTGATACCTTTAAAATATTATGATGCTGTATCCATTTCATTCTTTGTAATCTATCTCCAAGGACTGTCATTGTCCTTCGGGGTCAGGTCCATTCTGTCCCCATCCCAGACTATTATCATAAATTTCTGTTTTTTCTGTCTCTATGCTTTTGCCTGTTCATGCAAACATTCACGAGTCATGTTAGTTCCTACACTTCCAAGGTTAAGAATCTGTTATGGCTCCAAAGCTTTCCTAAAGTAAATCCCAAATACCTTGTTATTACATTGAGGAGACTCTATGATCTGAAATGATTTTTATTTCCAAACTGTTTTTTATTTGAATATTTTAAAATTTTAAGTTATTCTTATTTATGCATATGTGTCTATCTATCTGCCTTTCAAGTAAGTGTCTACCATAGTTTTGAAATTTGGAATTAGGATTTGATGTCCAAATTCATTCACCCTTCTTTCTGCTGAAGAAGAAAATATATACACAAGTAAATAGTCAAATGGGAACCAAATCACACTTTTTTATGTTCTAACATCCAATCAAGGAACATGTTATAACCAGGTGGAGAATAAAGTTTAGGCCTGAGACCATTGTGAGTTACTTTACTTGCACGTGAAATTTAGGTTTTGAAGCCAGGCAACTTTTCACCTTTAGGAAGAGCTTTCTGCTTCTTATTGGAGGAATGTTATGGAGGCTGAGGCTGAAGTCTGTTTCAAATACAATGAGGCATTATGATCCCACCTATTAGTGAAAGCCTAAATTAGTCAATTCTTTGACCATTATTCTTCTGTGGAAATGATGTTATTTTCTGTATTTCATCCATCGGCCTTACTATTTGAGCCTCTGGTCAACCAGGGATGTCAGCACCATATTTTAGAAAGAAAACAAATATATCAGAAGTTTGCTCCTCCAAAGACGGTACCTAACACTGCTCCTTTCAGAACCTTAATGGACTCATTAGGATGTGCCACATAACACTTGCTCCCAAGGGACACTGAAATGTGCCAGCACAGATTTCACTAACTTCAGAACCTTGAAGCCTATGCTGAATTTTTGCCTCCATTTTGCCTCTTTCACCACAATTGTCCATAAATATATAGAAACTAATTAAATTTAAAAGACGAGACAAAATGTATTATAGAGAATGCCTCATCCTTTATTCAATGCCTGTGACAAACTAAAATCCAAGAAATAAAGACCCCTTCCCTTTCTAAACTAAAATAAGAAAAATTATCTCCCCACTCTTTTATTTATTTCCGTTTCAGCCAAAAAGATCCCAATCAGGTGCAGCTAGCAGTGGTCTAATAGTAGCTTCCTCCTGGGCCATGTTCCCCCAACATGGCTGTACCCCATCAGCATTTTATTTACAGGTGAATTAACCCAATACTGATGTTCTTATGTTTTCCTTTTTCCAGAGGATATGAGTCAATAGAGCATGACAGAATTTATCTCAAGCCAAATAATGTTTCTCAGATTCATATTGCTATTCCAAGAAAAAAAAAAAGAAAATAGTAGGAGTCTAGTATTATCTGGTGGAAAAAGAGAATAACCTAGAAAATATGAAAGATTGGTTTTAGCTTTTCAAGGATGCCAGTCAGCCTACAGATACTTTTCAGAGTTCATATTAGACTCACATTAAGAAAAAATTATCTTCTGACAGTTGTAACCTCATCCTTTTTTAGGACGGAAATTTCATTTATTTATTTTTTTATTTTATCATTATTATACTTTAAGTTTTAAGTTACATGTGCACAATGTGCAGGTTTGTTACATATGTATACATGTGCCATGTTGGTGTGCTGCACCCATTAACTCGTCATTTAGCATTAGGTATATCTCCTAATGCTATCCATCCCCCCTCCCCCCACCCCACAACAGTTCCCAGAGTGTAATGTTCTCTTTCCTGTGTCCATGTGTTCTCATTGTTCAGTTCCCACCTATGAGTGAGAACATGTGGTTTTTGGTTTTTTGTCCTTGCGATAGTTTGCTGAGAATGATGGTTTCCAGTTTCATCCATGTCCCTACAAAGGACATGAACTCTTTCATTTTTTATGGCTGCATAGTATTCCATGGTGTATATATGGAATTTTGTTTTAATCATGGAGTAAACTAAGTTTACTCCTCTCCCACATAGTGGCACATAACACACTGCTCTCATCTTACAAATTTTAGAAATTTGTAAATGTTCAGAAATAAGCAATGAAGATATTTTAAAATGTTCATTAGTAACTAAATACAGCGCCCCTAGGATGCAGGTCTTTTATAAGGTTCTTATTATTACATGTTCATCCTTCATATTTAAAACAATTTAACTTCTATACATGTTTGAATTATGTGTTCTAGACATTCCTATGTTTAGTAAACTTTAGGCCCTTTCAAAGTACATAGCATCTACTCTGTTTTATTAACAGTGTTCACCGAATTTATAATAGGCAACGCTTTTAATGAAATTAATAGCCTGGAATTTTCAATGCTCCCAAGCCCTGACTCCTCTCTCTGTATTTTTCTATTTCTAAGAAAATCTCTGATAACCCTGTAGTATAATGGCCCCAGATATTTTCTAGTCTGTAATTCCTTAGGATAGTGGTTTCCAAGCATTCTTGCACATTATAATGACCTAGGAAGCTTTTAAAAATACTGATGCCTTGGTTGCATGCCATACCAAGTAACATAGGTGAGAATTAAGCATCTATGGTTTGTAAAGATTGCCAGGTGATTTCAATGTGTAGTATAGGATTTAAAGGCCTTTGAAACCTAAACTTTATTTTTAAATAATTTTATTGATTTTTCCTCTACCTTAATTCAGCAAGATAAATAGCCATCTAGAGAATAGGTTGAAAAGCAAATTAAGATGAAAATCATGAACCAGTAATCAAATAAATGTAAATTGCAACTTCAAATGATATTTTAGACCATTCTAACTAATGAAATAGTTTTTAAAAAATATTGGAACAAATGAAACATCCTATTTATTTTCAGAAAGAAAAACAGGTCATCTACAAAATGGCTTTGGGCTTTTCAATGGCAATGCTGAAAAATAGAAAATAGTGAAAAAGTATCTTCAAAATTCATAAGAAGAAAACATTTCCAGCCTAAAAGTTTCTACCAACTCTAGCTATACATTAAGTGTGAATGCAAAAAAACAGACATTGATGAACAAGGACTCTCTCAAAAGCTTCATAGCCTTATGCAGCATTTGTCAAAACATTACTGGAGCATATGTTCCACTAAAATGAAGAAATAAACCAAGAAAGAAGTATGGGACCATGAACGAGGATCCCACAACAGAAAGCTATGGAAGTAATTCCTAGCATGATTGGGAGGTCATAGAACGATTGCTTTGAACCAGAGCAAAACATTCTCATTACATTCCTCTGTAAATCCAGAGGAAGGTAAAGTTCATAGAGAACCTGATGGATCTGTACATATTGAATCAAAACTTAGACATTTCAGGGCTTGTGGATAAGTTAACGATTCATGTGGAGAAAGCTATGTGAAATATTATATATGAAGCAATTGCCAATATCAGGAAAATGTTCTGCAGGAAAGGAAAAAGTAAGCATAACATATTCTATTGTTTGGCTGGGGTAAATATCTACCTTGTCATATTAATGTAAAAAGTGAATATTGATCTAACAAAAAAGACCAAGCCTTTTTTCATACAAAAATATTGGATAACAGGAAGACAGAAAAAAGGCTTATGTTAGTAGAGATAGGGATGATGTATGAAAAAAGGCTAAATCTTTATCTTCTTTGTGGGCATCAGAAGATGTGTCTAAAAGAAAAAACATATTATGTAGAGAAATTGAGGTAAATATCCGAAGAATTGATGATTAAATGAATTGAAGTAATTATCTCTGAAAAAGAGGGAAACAGAAATAAGTCAAGGGGCTACTAGGCATTTTTGTAGCAAACCTTGTAAGATCAATTTACTCAAAAATTACGCTCAGTTTAAAAAAAAACAAAGAAATTAGTCTTAGATATTAGTTTCTGTATGTGGTGTTCTCCGACTAACTTACATAGAGTGTAACTCAGAGCTATTTTAGCCCCTAGCACAAAATATTTTTACGTTTCTATTTATACAGGTATCTGCCTAATAACAAAGTTTGTGGCCAGATAATGAAATGTTTTGAAGGTCATATAAACAAGGTGGTGGGAAAAGAATGATTTCTAGAATCAGAGCAATGGTTCACGTTCTAAATGTGCTACCTACTGGCATCTTACGTAGGGTCACTGTGCTTTAATTCCCTAAAATGTTAATGATGGAATATTTCCCTCTTTCAGAGTTACTATGGATTAAATATCTATGAATCAGCTAAGGTAGTGCCTGGCAGCAAGAAACTTACAACAATTTACCAATTTCTGCTCCTCCTTCTCTGCTAGATGATAATCTTTTTGTGTCTTCTTCAGTTTTGTGTGCAAAGGCTTTGGATATTTAGTAAAGGAATGAATAAATGGGCCTTATAAAAATAAAAATCCTTGGATTTATGATGAATACTAAGTCGGGCATTAATAAGAAATTTCCAGAATGGAGGAGTGAGAAACTCAATAAGTTCACTTCTCCAAAAAAGCAACAAAAACATTGGCAAAATTGTCAAGATTAACCGTTAGAACTTTTAAAATTGATAAAAAGCTTACAACAACCTGAAGAGTGTTTATTCAAGAAAAACTGATGAATTTCTGTAAGAACAGAAGGGATATTAATTTCACCGACCTTCCCAGTTCCACAGCAGCCTTGCAATCCAGCCACCCCTAAACAATAGAAGTTGTAAAACCACCAGAGCTGGCTGACCAAGTTTGGAATTCCTCAGAAGGTCCATCCCCAGAGCTTTGTCAGTATTCTGCCTGTCTGGTAGCTCCCTGGAAGAGCCTCACTCAAAGAGCTTTCCATTATTTGACTTCACTAAGAACTCACTTGGTGGGAAAAATTTCTATCTCTAGGGCATTTGTGGAAAATAATTAGAAGATTGTTTAACATTGTAGCTGCCTAAGGCTGTGACACTAGTTGGGACAAGTAAGAGCCTGAACAAAAATTATAAAGGACCTGGAAAATTCTATGTTCTTAGGCAGCTCTGAAAAGCTCTAACATATCCTTGCAATCTGGAGTTTACATATGCACATAGGGCTGTGTGCCTGTCCAGGGAAGTCCTCAGAGAGTCCCAGTATCTCACTTCTGGTGGACATCAGGCTCTGTGCAAGCAGGAAGTGAAGGGTAAGGTAGAGTTGTAAACTGCCTGAGCACTGAAGACATGTCCCCAAACCCATGGAAGACCCTTGGCAAGAGTGGAAGATTTATTGGCTCAAGGCTTTAAAGAAATCTCTAATCAAATATTAGTTTACCACTAAGCTCACTAAATGGAGATTTCACTGGCTGTGCACTCTAGGGAAATGAAAACTTTACCATATTGGTCCAGGTAAGTCACTAAAGAACAAACAACAACTGCAAGAAAAACCAGCAACAACAAACTTTGGATTGGAGGTGGGAAGGCCTGGTTTCCAGAGTTGCCACTTTATGTTACCTAAAGTATTCAATTTTCAACAAAAAAAAATATAAGACATGCAAAGAAATAGAAAAGTATAGCCCATGCAGCGGGGAAAAGATCAATAGAAACTATCCCTGAATGAGCTTAGAAACTGGACTTACAGCATCAGGCATTACAGAGCCATTAGAGACATCTAGATTTTAAAAACTAAGACCAAGAGAGGTAAAAAAATGATCAGCATCAGTGTTCCTTGTGAACCTTGTGATTCTCAGTACATATTGTTGTGTGGAATTATTGCTTCAATTTTAAGCATCTGTGTGTGTGTGTGTGTGTGTGTGTGTGTGTGTAAAATGGAATAATAATAATGGAATGCAAGGAATTATTTGAAAATGTTTTAGATAAGTCTCTAAACAGCCCTTATGTTTTCATCTCTTTTTCAGGCCCTCCAGTTAATGTCACATGCAACATATTCATCAACAGCTTTGGCTCTATCGCAGAGACGACCATGGTAGGCATTTTACTTTGCAACAAGTTTCACACTAGAGTAATCTGTAATTACATTAATGGCAACATTTTATGTAATTTAAAACCCAAATTAGTATAACAAGATTTTAAAATGTAAAATTAATAGTATAATTAAATTACAGTCACCTGCAGGTAATAACATTTCAGTTAGAGATGGTATATTAGAGTATATAAATATAAGTGAAAACAACATTGATTTTCTCCATTCAACAATCTAATATTAAACTTCAAATTAAAAGCTAAAATGTCACCATAGCAATTATTTTTTTCCAATAATCTTTAATATCCAGACATAAGCAGAGTAGTAAATACTTACATGTTTACTCTGTACCCCACTTACAAATTTGTTTATAATGTTATTTTAAATATTCAATTCGATTACTTTTTCAAATGAATATGGTATTTGCCAAAACATTATACTTATAGATTTTATCAACTGTATTTGAAAACATTTTATATAATCAAGTTATTAAAGCCAGAAAAACATAAAAATTGTCATTACAGACCAAATTTCTTCTGTCTTAAATTTTATAGCTTTTTCTAAAGAGCACATGGTATCTCTGCTTTGCCCTTTAGCTTTTATTGGGCAATTTAACTGTAATAAAATGCAGAAATAGACACATGAACCACTGAACATCTATAAAATTGTCTAGCAGCCAATTTTATTTTTTTTGAAACTGTATAGATGATGATTCTTAAATTAGCTAGAATTGTCTTTGTAAATTTAGTAAGTATGGTTTGTGATACTTCTCAAAGTTAATATTAACTAAAAGATGATATAAAATACTTAAGGATTTATTAGTTTAAAAAACCAATATTAGAGAATTATGTTCTATTTACTTAGAATAGTAAATAGGTAGTAAATTTTCTAGGAAAAACAATCTAATATGCAAATTTTTACATATATGAGGGTGTAAGTGTGTGTAGAGGTGTGTGTGAGTGTGTGTTGGAATCTATCTCAACAGGAAGAGGCTTTATACAGGCATCATTTAAAAAAAAAAAGCTGTTTCCCTCATGTATGCAATATAAGTCATTTACCAGCATCTCTGTGATTCTATTCAAAGTTAGTATAGCTTAACTACAATAAGCATTTGTGGAAAAGAACTGAATTTAAATTTGGAGGCATTATATAGAATTATCTTCAATATGATACAATCTAAGTTAACATGAATGTGTGTATATGAATGTAAACGCAGAGAAGACGTATGTCATTTGGTTAGAAACAGTCTGGTTCTGGTGCAATTTCTTCTCTAAAGTGGCTATAATCCTGTTTTAGACTTTGATATATTCTAGATTCTTGTGGAAAAATTGGCCCTGATTTATACCCAACATTTGTACATATTCAGTCCATAAAATCCACAGTTGAAGGAATCACTATTGGCTTTGTTCTATTTAGGCTTCTCAAATTGTATTTCCAGCCCTGGCAATTTTCTCATTTTGTTTCTATACATGTGTAATCCTAAAAACCTGGAAATATACTTCTCTATATTTTTCTTTTACATGATTGCGTCCATGAAATACTTCCCACAGCAATAGCTGGAAAGATTTAAAGTCTTACCCATCTTTATGGGGTAGGGAGGGAAGGGACTTGGAAAAAAGAGAGGGCATAGGCAGATTTCCTTCCCATTAAGACTTAAAGATTGCCAGTTTTCTGAAAGTGCCTTTTTTATGACATAATTCATCAGTCTACCACTAAAACTGTTATAACACAATCTATAAGATGGCTACACCAGTTAAATTTCTTACCTTAACAATTTAGCCAGACTTTATAGAATAGCATTCTGCAAAAGCTTGCAGGATATTGCAAACACACTCTCACCATAAGTTTTATTTCTCTCCTTCAGCATGCAAGCCTTTCCTTACCTACATACTCCATCATTATGTATTCCTTTTGAAATCACTTTGAGCATCTATCACTCACTTCTTCACAGTCTCAAGCAGTGTCAATGAACATTGTTCAAATATCCCAGAAGTTAAGTATTACAAACCTAATCATGTCCACCTTGGTATTTTTCTTTTTATTCTTCCAAATTTCTAAACATATATCATTTCCATTAAAATGATCAGATTCAATATTTATTAATTTTTAATGGTATCAGCTAAAATAGCTGTGATTTTGATGTTCATCTATATAGGCACAAAGAAAATTAGAACTTGTTAGTATATTTCTATCATAAGAATCATAAAATGTTTTGCTCCCACTTGGTTAAGTTGTTGTATTTTATTCACAGGGTCCACTATCACGACTCTACAACAAAACTTTATCTCATTATTCTATTGCTGTATTTTTTTAATTCAGTAAAAATGCTAATATATGTGTTAATGTATTTTTTAAACTTATTCACACTTCTTACGCTGAATATAGTTTACTTCTGTTCTTTTTTTTTTTGAGACGGAGTCTGTCGCACAGGCTGACTTCTGTTCTTATAATACGAATAATTGAATTCAACTAAGGCAGTCAATTAAAATTGAGAGGATGGAATCTCAAATTATCTGTAATCATTAATGAATATATTTATGTCTGAGAATTCATATTTAAAATAAAACTACGTAATTATCCTCTTCCATATGTGTCTGCTTAACAAGAATCTTAACTGTCTTCAATGTCTTTACTGGCTAAATATATTGAGCTCCCTCTGCTGGTCTAGTCTATAACTGGTATGTCTCACTTTTAAATACAGCTCTCCCATTTGAGGTTATTCTTTAATCCTTGGGAAAATTTCTCTATTAGTCTACTTTTTAGGCCACTTTTTGTTAATTAAGTTAATTCAAACAATGTATTTTTCATATTTTTCTTGCACAAATTTAAAAAAATGCGTGTGCAGTTTAACAATATAAACTCAAATCTCTTTTTAGCTGTTAAACTCCTTTCCCAATATTGTTAATCTGATTAATTTCATGTAGTACCAACCATTCTCACTTGAGTACAGTTTCATTATTTTACACATAGTCACCAAACTTTTTTCTACAAATATTATGAGCATTTTAACTTCCTTATTACCCTCATATATGAGTCATAATGAGATTCTTTAAGGACTTGTTCCACCTCAATTATTTCAAGTTCACATTCTTCTTAAACAGATAATGATTTAACAACTACTGGAAATTCCCGTTCTTAAAAATATTAAATTAAAAATAAAACTAGTTTACCATCATTACTGTTTGGGAACATGGTCTTGGCGAGAGAGGCACATCTGTCCTGCCTTTTAAACTGTGATGATAAAAGAAGCACGTGATTATTTCAATGAGGGGAAGCTTAAGATCTCCACATTAAGTGGCTTTTATATGAAGTGTGCTCCTGCAAACCTATGATGAGTTGTGGATAAGGCTTATGTGCCAGGATGAAAGCATTTGTTAAGTTGGGTCTAACAATGCAAAGAAATGCAAATGCAAAGAAAGGTTTTCTTTGGAAATATACGCAAAAACCAAATTGTAATTTGGTGCATACACACAGACCTGGCTGGTCTTCAGGGTGTCCACAGAACAAAAGAAAAGATTGGGGTTTTATTGGTTAAGAGAAAAGTTTTGTAAAATGTTTTGAAAGAAAGTTCATTGGCCTAGACAAGTTCTTCCAGCTTTGGCAAGCTGTAATTGTTGAGTGATGGTGGTAGGTAAAACTAATCTTGGTGGAAGGTAAACTAATCTTTGAGGCATGGAAGGTAGCAGTTACATGGAAGCAGTTACTAGGTAAAATGGGTTTTAAGATATAGCAAGTTATTTCTGCAGCCTGGCTTGCCAGACAGTTCCTGGAGCAGGAGCTTTGTGACCTGAGTGCTTTTTCCCCATGGTCCTTAACTCCCATCTAGTTGGGTATGACTGTAATAACCCCAAGTCACATCATTAATTTTCACAATTGAGACAATGGAATATTACATAGCAACAACATGGATATTTCTCATAAACATAATTATGAGCTAAAGAAAACAAACACAATAGAACATGTACCAATTACTTCCGTTTGTATGAAGTTCAATAACATGAAAAAATCAATTCTGATGATAAAAGACTTCTGAATTCTGATAGACTATCTTTGGTCAGGGGTGGGAGGTGGTTGGTAACTGATTGTGAGGAGGTACCACGGAGCCTTCTGGGTACCAAAATTGTTCTATTTTTTGATCTGGGTAGTAGTAACACAGGTATATGCATATGTCAGAATCTTTTAATGGACACTGCAGACTTGTGTATGTTATGAATGGCTGTTATATCTTAATTCAAAAGATTATTTAAAAGTAAACAAAAACCTTCACAAATTTAAAATTTAACACGCCAAGTGTGTCAGGCAGAGCATATCTATTTGGTGATCACAGGTGAGAACGTTAGAAGTTAGACAAAAAGCTTTAAATGAAAGCTTTTATTTTTCATCAGAAAAAGTCTGCAGGACTATGAATGTCTACAGCATTAATATGTGATTTCTCTAACCCTATGCCTTCCAGTACTTAAAATACCTAGTTATAAGAACCAAAAATGAATAATCTTGAAGAAAAAAATCACTGAGATGATAAGCAGCTTCCATGATATAGGTAAAAGGGAATTCCATTTGATCTGATCTGGGGATGGGGGCTGGCTATAGGTGGTCCAGATGTTCTCAGCTAACTGTCAAACTTTTAAGAAAAACTCCAAAATAGAAATATGTATATATATACACACACTATGAAGCATAACTATGACAGAAGCAAGAAAGAAATTTCCATCATAGAAGCACCTTATGGGACTGGCTACACCCACGATGACATTAAAAGTCCATTATTTATTTTAAAATTTGAAAAAGAGAGAAAACAACCACCCATAACGCCCCCACACAAACCCAGCACTATTAGCAGTTAGCTACATTTATATTTACTTCTAAATGTTTTGACTGCACATATTTTTTACATGGTTTATGCATTCATTCATTCAGTGAATCTTTTTGTGGGAGCATATAATGAACCAAACATTTTGCTAAGCACAAAGGATGATGTAATCATTTTATTCTGACAAATCACTTCTTTACTTATTACTGAATCATAAACTTTTTTCCATTATAAAGATAAAATAATGAGCCTCCTTTTCCTAACTTTTTATTCAATACATATGCAAAAAAGTGCACAAATTATAGGAGTGAAGTACAGTGAATTAATACAAAGTGCACACATTCATGTAACCACACTCAAGTCAAAAGTAGCATCCCAGAGCCTGCTTATACCCCTTTTAAATCCTACCCCTCACAGTCTCCATAGTAGTTTGGGCATGTATATACAGTAGTACAGTATTTTTAAATGAACATATTGGTTTTATCTATCTTCAAAAAACAGATGACTCTCCATCTTGTTACACATATGTTAGAAAGTTAGAGAATTGTGCTGCTATGTGATTTAAATCAATATTTATACATTGAACCATTACTTTTCACCAGTGCCCATAAAATAAACCATTTTTATAAAATGAGAACAAAAAAGATGAGACATTTTGGGTTAATAGTTTTTCAGGTGTCGGTGTACATAGATGCATGGCACATTGGAAGGAAGGATCTGAGGGTCCAGTGTGATCTCACAGAAGTGTCCAAACCTACAGTTTTTCAATTTTCATACAAATGATAGGCTCACATTTTACTTGCAACAGTAAGCACTTATATATAAATGCTACTTTAAATTATTGAGTCGTTAGATTCTCGAGAGATACCTAAGCCAATACAGCATAAAAAATGATATTATCTATCTATCTCTCCATATATCTATATATATGTTAAGGGAATCTTTAAACTACTAGACATTCTTTTTGAAGTATTTTTTATTAAAAAAAAGTTACAGGCATACCAAGATGCATGGATTATAAGTAACACTAAAAAAAACTATCACCATCTTAAGAAATTAAACAGTACAAATACATGAAACTTCCTTTCTTAAGGTAAGCTTTATTCCTGAGTTTGATATTAAGATATAAATGTTCATTCTGTATGTATGAAAATATAATCAAAATGACCATATTGAAGTATACACATGTAGCTTAGTTTGGCTTCATTTTTCAGGTATAAATTTATGTTTTTTTTGAGATACTCCATGCTTGTATATGTAGACAAGGTTTTTTTCATTTTCATTTCAGTATTTCATAATATATTTATCCATTCTACTTTGCTAGACATGTAGGTTGTTTCTAATGTTTTCAATACTACAGATCATCTCTGCATTGAAAATCATTGCATAGGGCGGATCACCTGAGGTCAGGAGTTCAAGACCAGCCTGGCCAACATGGTGAAACCCCATCTCTACTAAAAAAACAAGAATTAGCCGGCAGGGTGGCAGGAGCCGGTAATTCCGGCTACTCGGGAGGCTGAGGCAGGAGAATTGCTTGAACCCAGGAGGCGGAGTTTGCAGCCAGCTGAAATGGTGCCACTGCACTCCAGCCTAGGCTACAGAGCCAGACTCCCTCTCAAAAAAAAAAAATCATTGTGTATTACCTTCTAATATAGTATATATATGCAAGCTATTCTACAGGGTATATTCCTAGGAGTGAGATAACTTGGTAATTACTTGGAAATTACTAAATTGCTCCCCATTCAAATTACTAAATTGCTCTCCAATGTGGTCATTCTGTTTGAAGCACCTATTAGCAATTTTATGAGATTTCCTATTGTTTTACATGTTCTCCAACACTTAGTATTTACCCACTTCTAATTTTTTAACTTACATAATGGTTGTAAAGTTGGACTTAATTCCTGCTTATCATGTACTTCCTTGATAAACAGTGAGGTTAAGCATTTTAATAAATGATTCAGATGTTCTTTATGCAAAATGCTTCTTAATATATTTTCTCCATTTAAGGTTGCTTGTTTTTATTATACACACACAATTAACACATACACACACAATATTCTGAAGATGAATACTTTGTCAGCTATATGCATTTTAAACATTTATTCTACTCTTCAAGGCATTCTTTTTGATGTATAAATAATTTTAATTCACAAAATTTAACCTTGTTTGCTTAATACTCTATGCTTCTTTGCCATAAGAAATTCTTCTCTCACCCAAGTGCATAAAGATATTTTCTTATACTATCTGATAAAAGAGTTTTGCTTTCTTGTTTAGGTTTTAGTCCCCTTGGAGTTTTGTACAGTTGTATATGTATACGTACATGTAATTTGTAAGGTAGGCATTTATTTTCATTTCACAATTGAATAATTACTTCCAATAATTTGTAATGAAATTTAATGGGTCGGTTTCAAGTTCTATGCTAATGATCTATTTGTCTATGCCTGCACTGATATCACGTTGTCTTGTTTAGTACAGTTTATATTAGACTTGATATTTAATAGGACAACTTACCAAACACACAGTTTAAAAATTCTGTTTAAAGTATTAATTAGTATTCTTGGGAATTGGCTTTTCATAAAGTTTAGAATTATCTTGTCAAATTCCACAAAATAAACTTGAGTTGAATATAAAGATGAGCACTGGGGAAACTGTCATCTCAAACTACTGAGTCTTTCTGTCCATGAATACGATGCATCACTCTCTTTATTTAAATATTATTAATATCATTTAACAAAGGCATATGCCTCATAAATTCTTGCATATCTTTTAGATTTAATTATTTATACTTCATTATTAAAATAGGCTTTTAAAATTATAACCTTTTAGTTATTTTTTAACACTTCATTGTCAATACATAAGAACATGATTATTTTTTACATTGCCCAAAATACTCTCATTTTAGTCCTCATGCTTTATAATTTCTTCATATAATTACACCACCTAGGAATAGTAACATGTTAATTTCTTCCTGTCAGTACTTACACACTCTGCCACTTTTTCTTGTCTTGATGTTTCAACAAAAGCAATGTTAAATGAAATTGAGTTTATTCCTGGCTTTAAAGAGAATATTTCTAATGTTTCCAAAATAAATATGGTGTTTGCTTGAGTTTGCTATAAATATCCTTTATCAAAATTCAAAGTTCTCTCTACCATACTTTCTGAAGAATATGAAAAGCATTAAATACAAAACAAACATAAAATAGGTATTAAGTGCTCTAATCCATGAACATAGTATATCAATTTATTTGCCTTCTTCAGTTACTCAGTTACTCAGAACTATGTTTTTCAGGGGTTGTCATATCTCTTAGTTTATTCCTAAGTATGGATGCATGCTTGTACATGTTATATTTTAAAAATAACCTTTTTATTTTAGAATAGTTTAGGTCTACAAGAAATTTGCAAAGGCAGTACAGAGAATTTTCCTAGATCCCATGCCCAGTTTCCTCTATTATTACCATGTTACATTAGTTAGGATGATATATTTGTTAACATTTGTGAACAAATATTGATGCATTATTATTAATTAAGGTCTGTGCTTTTTGGATTTCTTTAGTTTTTACTAATGTTATTTTTCTGTCCCGTTATCCTATCCAGGATACTACATTATATTTAGTTGCCATGTTTCCACAGGATCCTCTAGATTGTGAAAATTTTTTACATTATTTTTATAACCTCAACCTGAGTATTAGTCAGGTATTTTGTAGAATGTCTCTCAATTGGGTTCATAGATATTTTTCTTATGAATAGATTAGATTATGAGATTTTTGGAAGGAAGCCCACAGAAGTAAAGTACCACTCTCATTACTTTTTATCAAGAGTATATACTATCAATATGACTTATTATTGAATATGTTAAGCTTGATTACAGCCCTGAGGTGGTATCTGTCTGATTTTTCCATTGTAAAGTAACTCCTTTTTTTAACCTTCACTGTGCTGTTCTTGTCATAGTCTGTTTTGCATTGCTATAAAGGAATACCTCAGGCTGGGTAATTTATAAAGAAAACAGTTTTTTGGCCCATAGTTCTGTAGGCTGTTCAAGAAGCATGGCACCAGCATCTACTTCCACTCATGGCAGAAGTAGGAAGGGAACAGGAGCCAGCATGAGGAGATTACAGGACGAGAGTACAGGAAAAGAGAGAGGGAAAGGTGCCAGACTCTTTTTAACAAGCAGTTCTTGCGGGAACTTATATAGTGACAACTCATTGGTTACCATGGGGACAGCACAAAGCCATTCATGAGGGATCCACCCCCGTGACCCAAACATCTCCCACCAGGCCCCACCTGCAACACTGGGGATCAAATTTCAACACGAGATTTGGAAGGGGCAAATATCCAAACTGTATCAGCACTCTTTGAAAGTAAGTCACTGCATGTAGCCCAACTTAAGGGGATAAAGAGATTATGTTCCACCTACCTGAGGGAACCATTTCTGCATATTATTTGAGATTCTTTGATAGAGATTTATTCCTTCCCATTTTTTATTTATACAATAATTTATTCATATCAATATAGACTCTTGCACATTTATTTTATGCTTTGAGTTAAAATTCTAAGCTATGTTATTTAATTTGCTGCTCAAATTGTTCAGTTTGGCCACTGGGAGTTTATTCCCTTAGCTTCTGTGTCTCTGACACATTCCTACCACTTTGGTTTTTGAGCATTTGTGTTCTGTAAATATAAGATGTTCCAGACTCATCTTGTATTTTTCCCACCCCAACCATAGATCAGTCATTTCTGCAAGAATTCTTTTTCTTTTAATTGGAGAATGGTAGTAGAAACCCAGATCTGATCACCAGATGTGTTCATTGCTACAGAGGTTTCATTGCGTCTAGGCTTCACAGCAGACAGAGCTTGGAAGTGTGTGTGTGTGTGTGTGTGTGTGTAAATGTTGTATTTTAAATTTTATTTACCAATTGTTTCTAATTAATATATGGGCAAACAATAAATTTTGCAATATTGACATATTCTCAACTTGATAACTTAATTCAATAGTTCTAGTACTTTTCCAATTTTTTGTATTTTCTATGAATATGTTAATGCAAACTGTTAAGACAGTTGTACTTTTTCCTTTCCAATCCCTCTTACCTTATTGCACTGGTTCAGAACTCCTGTACAATGCTAAATAACAATGGAGAATGGCTACCTTTGTCTTTTTGTTGTTTGACATCAGTTGAAAAGCGCACAGCATTTCACAATTAAGAATGGCATTTGGCCGGGCGCGGGGGCTCACGCCTGTAATCCCGGCACTTTGGGAGGCCGTGGCGGGTGGATCACGAGGTCAGGAGACGAGACCATCCTGGCTAACATGGGGAAACCCCGTCTCTACTAAAAAAAATACAAAATATTAGCCAGGGGAGGTGACGGGTGCCTGTAGTTCCAGCTACTCGGGAGGCTGAGGCAGGAGAATGGCGTGAACCCGGGAGGCGGAGCTTGCAGTGAGCTGAGATCGCGCCACTGCACTCCAGCCTGGGCAAAAGAGCGAGACTCTGTCTCAAAAAAAAAAAAAGAAAAAAAAGAATGGCATTAACTGTAGGTTTCCCATAAATCCTCCTTATTAGATTGAGTTTACTTCCACTGTTGTTTGCTGAGATGTTTTATTATGAAAAGGAATTCAATTTTATTCAATGCTGTCTGAACATTCATTTAAATGATTATGTTTTTCTCCTTCACTCTGTTAATATTATTAATTATATTGATTTATTTCCAAGTAGTAAATCCTTCTTGCGTTCCTTGTATAAATCTCATTTGACCATAATTTATTATTCTTTTTATATATTGCTAGATTTAAATTTCTAATATTTGGTTTAGGATATTTGCTACTGTGTTAACTTTGGATGTTGAACTATTATTTTCTTACAATGTCAAGAGTGGCGTGTGGTATCAGTATTATGCTGGTTTCCTAAAACTATGTTGAAAGTGTTCCTTTTTCTTCTACTCTTTAAAATGGTTCATGTAAAATTGATGAACTGTTATTTCTTCCATGAGTGTTTATTAAAATTCACCAGTAATGCCATCCAAGCCAGTCATTTTATTTGTGTAAAGGTTTTAAGTTCCAAGTTCCATTCCTTAGATATAAAACTATTCGGTTTTTCATAGCATCAGTTTTGTAATAGTTTTGTTTTTCAATGAATTTTTCCTTTCCTTGTCAAATTATTTACATACACTTACCACATCTTATCTTGCAAGATGAGAAGTCTTTGTAATGTTTCCAATTTTATTATTCTTACGGGTAATTTGGTTTTCACTCATTTTTTAAATTAGTTTATATATGGGTGTATTTTTATTCGTTCTGATAGATATTTTTGCTGCTTTCTGAATTTATAATTAATGTTTATCTTCTATGAATAATAATAGTTCGTTTTTGTCTCTTCATTTGTTCTTTCTGCAGAAATTACTATACTGTATATTCTGATTGCTTTCTCTATATCTTAATCTCTCTGTCAGAGTTTCTATAATATCTCTTTATATTTCTGTGTTTCTATCTCTTATACTTCTATATTTAAGAATTGCCTCTGGTAAATAACTTATTGGAAATTCATAAACATCCCAAATAACTTATAATTCATATCAATCCATTTTAGATTCCTTCACTGAAAACAATTTAATGACTTACATAAAGGCAATTTATTCACAGTCTATGATGATATTTTCCTGTGCTACTTTATTTGGCTTTGTTGGAATTGCCTTTTCTCCTTATGCTAATTTGTCATACTTCAATGACATACTATTATTTCATCCAATTTACTTTTAAGTATCCTTTTTCTTTTTTTAATATTTTGTTTAAAGCCATGAATATTTATTTAAAATTTTGTAATGCAGTGTCCATAGGGCAGCAGTTCTCTGTGATTTGCTCATCATTGTATCATTAACAGCTAGCGACATGCTCAGCATAAAGTAGCTCTTAAGTTTATATTGTCAAATATATGTAAGCATGTATTTATTCTGGCCAAAAAAGACTATTTTTTTCCAAAAAGAGAACTTCATTATGTGTTCTTGACACAAGTGGATAAACTGCTATTTTTACTGCTTTGCAATATGATCTGTTTCTGAATTCTGAGTCCTGATCATTGTCATAAATCAATGCTACAGTCTCTAAAATATGAATTAAGCAGCTAATTGTACAATCAAGTTAATGTTGGATAATATAGCCTTAATGAACTTGGCTTTTTTATTCAAATCTTTCAGTGTAATTCTATAATCTTTCTTCTAAAAGCATTTGCTCTTTCACGCATGTTTATAGAAAGATAATTTTGTGAAAAATGCTGAAATTTTTATGGAGAGTTCTCCATGATAAGAAATTAGAGCTCCTATTTATATAGTGATCCAAGAATAATTTTCAAAAATCAAAAATATTAGGGTGCAACTATTTCATAAACAGGCTAGGTTTTACAGTAATTTTTATCACAACTGAAATAAAATGTGTGTAATTTGAAGAAAAGTCCATTTTTTTCTGTTCTTTTGTAAACTTCCCCTAAAATGTGCCATTGGTCCTTTTTATCTAATGCCAATGGGTTAAATTCTTACAAAGGTACATTTATTCACTATTTGTAAGTACCATAATAGCATTCAGTGGCTATTCCGATGTCATTCATATTTATAAATTCAACAATGTTCATGTAGGATATTATTAGATTGATGCTATTTCAGTTCTTTTGGAACAGCCTGAAAGTATCCTGCTATCCTTTTAATGTTAAAATTATATCTGTTTACATCTTATCCTCCTTCTCTTTTTTTTCTTACTTTGAGTAATAGGTAAAGCCAAACCAAATATAGAAATGGCATGGATCTGGAAGATTTTTAATTCCATGCATGAGTAACCAGTGATTGGCAGAATGATTGTGCTCTGATCTATCACATATAAGCATCAATCAGAAATGGGCTTATTTATGGGGATGCTTGCAAAAGATAAGTATGCATGAATGTTATACACTTTGGTGACCCCATGAGGCATATGAATAAATCTCTGCTTAATGAATTCATCCACCAAGTCATCCTTATAATCATCATGCTCAGAAAGGGACTGTCTACAGATCCTGTTCACAAAGGTAAAAATCTCATACAGAATATCATAGAGAATACAATTGTTTATTAGTGCTATAATGTTGTTAAAACAATGTTAAAAGGCACATTTCCAGTTCTGTGGAGGGAAATGTCAAGGAGAAACTGGTGCTAATGACAACGGAAAAAAAAAATCTGTATCCTGAGAGAGAGTCGTCAGGCACAGACCTCTATAAGCTATCTCCTTTATCAGACTGTATATCATTGTAGAGTTTCCTTTCGACAAGTAAATTTAAAAATTGCATTTTTAAGGCATTTGAAATATTTGGGCTGGGAAAGAGAAATAAAGATTGTAGAGTTAAATGTAATGGCAAAGATATGTGTCAAATTCAACTCTTCTCTTTTCTGCCTCCTCTTAATTTGCAATGGAAAATGACCATTACCTGGTCAAGGATCTCTCTAGAGGAAGGTATCGTAGAGATCAATTAAACACTTCTCTTGGCCACCTCTCATAACATAGAAATGATCAGATTATCATGAACAGATCACAGCAATGCTATTCCTCTTCATTATATTCATCATCATCACATTTTTCTAAGAGAATTTGATTTTCTGAAAGAATCCTCTCCAAAATGTCATTTCAGCCTCTAAAGATAAAATGGGCAGCAAGATTGGGAATTGTGTTCTCTAAGATGACTGGCACTAGTCATAATGTGTTACTTAGTTATGAATCTAGCATGTCAATTAGTGTTAAGTTCTTGGCAATCAATTTAAATTGCAGATAGCTCTTCAGCTCTTAGGCTGAATCTCTGACAGATGTGTGAGTTAATATTAACACTGTAGCTCTCTGGACCGTTCAAACGGCATATTTCTGTTGCTGCGATGAGACTTCCAGGTTACCCACAAAACAACAAGCCAACTAAATGCTTCAGAAGGATTCAAACATGCCAGACTGACAAGAACCTGGGGCTGTGCCACAAGTGTCCTGTCAAGTAGAACAGATGCACGCAAGAGTTAAGCCTTCCTTGTTACTTAGGAAGTCAATGAGAAACTGAAAGATTCCTTCTCAACAATGACATATGTATATCAAAATGAATTTAGTTCTTAAAAATTTGGTTTTAAAACAAAAGGGAAGTTATTCTCAATCTCATCAAGGAGGCTTGATAACATAAGCCATTTGTTCTATGGAGAACATGAAGAAACATGGATTTACTGTCACAAAGGTAGTACTATAATCTGCAGCATCTTTTCAAAAATTTTAGTAGTTTCTTGGAATATTGCCAACACTCCAGAGGCTAGATAAAGCATAAGACAAATAATCTTGTCACAAGATTATATTAAGAGGTATAATTAACAAAAATGAGCTTATAACATATATTAACATTAAGAAGATAAACTGAAAATATTCACTGATAAATCCTGGGCAACCTTCACCCGCAAAACCCATTCACTTTACTATGGATATTAATGAAGTATTAATTTCCTCCTACGGTAAGGAAGACATTTGGGAGTGCTTCCTTCTCCATTAAGTCTTCCAGCGCTTCTGGGACTCTTTTCTATCGTCAAACTTTCGGAATAGTGAAGAATTACTCTCTACCTTTTCCTATAAGGACTCATACCCACCCCTTTCTCTCATTCTCTCTCTCTCCAATGGAGTTGCCTCCACTCCTTAATGATGCTAAGCTGTGACATTGTTTCACTTCCAGTCTCTCAGGAAGCCTCGGAACTGGCACAAGACTTTCTACCAGAGGTAATAAGAGAATAGCCAGGTGCCTCTTTGAGCTTATGAGATGAAATTTAACCTCTTTCCCTGATGGAAGTCACTTTGTTTGCTTCAGGTTGTTATTTCACTGTTTCTCCCTATGAGCATCATTTCATACATTGCATCAGCTTCTCTTGTGTTTTTCTGCTCACTCCGTCTTTCAATGATCACTCACTGTGCTAATATACCCTACATCGTATGCTTGTTATATATGCATCTCAAGAAGCAGCTACTAAAAAGGCTAAAAATTCTGATTCTAAATATACTTTACTTCTTTTCATATTATAACTAGCTATAAAGATAATTGCTATTCCTCATCCATGCACTATAAGATTAAGATGATTAATCAAAATTTGACAGCAGACATAAAAAGAAATGACTATGCTTTGCATCCCTTTTCTGTTTAGTTTCTCCTAAAGCAGTGTTTCTCAACACTTTTTTTCATTATGCCTCCCTAAAGACACTTTTTAGACATCTTTTCCCTAATTGCCCTCCCCGTGAAATTTTAGTACTTCAGATGAACTGTAAATTTATTTATATGCTCTGTACATATCTCTGAATTATACATAAAAAGGGTAAGCATTCTTTCACCCACCAAGAACCAATTTTTGCTCCCTCAGGAACCATACTGTCCTCTTTGAAAATAATGTGTGCTCTAAAGTGTATATTTATAAGGATACTAATGAGTAAACTTGCCCAAGAGTAATATTTCTGTACTCATTACTCAGTGGGCTACGTAACAGCAATGCTGTCATATAATGGGAAGAGCACTGGGTATTCTGACGAGGAAGGGATTCATGATTATGCCCCTACCTATTTGCAAAATTAGTAATACTTATAAACTGGAGATCAAACTATATTCTCTTTTATTTTTGTATGAATTTATTCTTTGATGTTATTTTTTAAACTTTCTTTGTGTGCCTGCACACAAACACGTGTACTAATTATAAATACATTCAGACTTGTTTCACATTTATCTTCCACATCTGATGCAAGGGCCATATTACTTTCTTTTTCTGCTGTGATTATATTTATCTATTTATTTCACTCATAAAATGATTGTTGCATCCTGTCTTTCATTATTTGATAAAATTGTTCTCAAAATATTTACATGGAGTTCATTCTTGATGTCTCCTTCGATGGCAACAAATTCTTTGTGAAATTTACACCACACTTATGATGTTTCTATCATGCTTTAACCAGAAAAAGCTTCTATAAAGGTGTGACTTACTAAAAAATGTAGATAGATAGGTAGGTAGCAGGAAGGTAGGTAGGTAGATAGATGATTGATAGATAGATAGATAGATAGATAGATAGATAGATAGATAGATAGACAGACAGACAGGCTTCTCTTTTTTCTGGGTTAGCTGATATAAGGGTAAACTTTGTTTTGAAACTGTCCTAGATAGATCCCTATGTAAAAGTTCTTCATGAGACATTCTTAAGTTTTGTCTGAAAACTTCCCCTAAGAATTTGAAGATCATTAATTCATCTATCAGTAAAGCTTCCAGCCTAGAGATGTCCTGGGCCCTTTATTTCCCAGTGTTATTTTGATTATTCAAAACAAGTGGGATCTTCCTTAATGAGCTACCCATTTATTTCAAGTCTATTAACCTCCTGAGCAACCATCTGCAGTCAAAGATCACTAAGGTTTACATGTTATGAATACCACTCCAAAGCTGCTCCATTTATGATAACAGGATCCATTTTGCTACTTGGATTAAGTACTGCTAAGTTTTTATCTGTCACCTTGGCAATTATCACTATTGAAATCTGGGAGCTCATTTCAGGAGCAATATGTTCAGCTTACAGAGGACAGCCATCACAATGCATTTTTTTTTAAAGATGCTGGCCTTTCATTTACTAATATAATCTTAATCCCTTGGTAAATGGGCCCTCTTAGGGTACATAGCTGGGAAAAGAGAATTAAATGAGGATACATATTAAATCCGTTTCTATGTCTCTTATTTTCTATGTCTTTGGATGTCTCATATATGACAGACTAAGAAATTTGTAATATATAAACATCATTCAGCATAGTCCCCTGCTAGGCCCAGCTTTCAGTCAGCCAAATAACCCATAGGAGCCATTCCTGGCTATCTGAGCTAATACACAGCATCTAGAATCTCTGTAAACACACCTATAGCAATCAGTTTAGCCAATTCTAAAATTTTGTTTCATAATCCATGGTCTAGCACTCTCAGAATCTATTCCACATATAACAATTTATGCACAAAAAATGGTAAAATCTAGCACTTCCTTAGGATACAAAACTTCTCTTCCTTGGATTGAGTATAATTGGCTTTCTAGCTGCTTTCAGAGATCTACTCCATGAGGGCAGTGATGGAAGGTTGAGGTGGGATATAAGAAAAATAGGTATACCCCTCCTTCATCATACATGGGAGGAGGAGCTGCTTCTGCTAACACAAGAGCCTTAGATTTTGTTAGAATTTTCTAAATCTTCCCAATTTTATTTTTCTAATATTTGAACTTTTACTCTTTCCCAACCAAGGAGCTAACACTCATATATGTCACTCTGCAAGAGAGTGAATATAATGTACCTTTTAGTTTAGTAGTCCACAGATTAATCCTTTGTGTTTAGTTTTCAGCCCTACCATCTTCATCCATGAAGGTACAAGAGATAAGATACACATTCAGGAGAGTCATGAAAAATCCCTGGTTCTCTGACCATGCCTTAATATGAGAATTTAATTTTCTGCACCAGATTTTATTTTTTCTTTTAGCTCCCCAATGCAATCAGAAGCAGGCAACCCATTTCTCAGTCCCTGACTCCCTCATGCCTGTGACATTATTCTTTGCTATGGCTTTCAATACTTGGTTTGCAAAATCATGTACTTCAATTCAGGTGGCCATAGGTAAAAAATTTAACTGATTTTGCCACTGGTTTCTGTGTACTTCTAGTATCCTATCATTTAATGGATTCAGATATGCCTGGCCTTCAAACACAAATAGGCCAACTGAACAGTACAAAGTGCCTATTCCCACAACTCCTCTGATGGCAAAGATTGCTCCAGTTGCATTCAGTGGTTGTAACAGAAACCATGCCAGCCACCTCACAGAAAGGAATTTATTTCTGGGAATCAGATGTTTATAAAAGTACTGGAAAGCTGGGGGAGGAGGATTATACCACAGATTTGGCTTGTAAGCAAAGCTGCTACCCTTGCCTGAATCAGGAAGTGGGAAGGCTGCTACTGGAACAGTTGGCTCCAGGAACACACTGCTGAAATCTACGAATCGAGAAACAATAGCAGTCACTGAGCCGCAATTATAATTATTACTAGATAATTTACATTTATTTGTTCTTTCAACAATCATGAAACTAGTGACATGACAGGGAATCTCCATTGACACTACTGTGGAAAAACTCAATGATACTATAATCCCATAAATCCACTTGCAAGTAGAAACTCAGAATGAGCAGATCATGGCTTTGTCTCAATCTCCCACAAGTGCATGTAATTGACTAAACAGAAATCACATCAAGGTCCCTAGCTTTAATATCTTTCTATCTTTCTAATTTCTGCAATACTAGCTGACAGGTTACAAGACAGGTCAAATGGAGGGTGAGTGCTAGTCTTTCACACAAACCTACCCTTAACCTCCAAACCTGTCTTCTGATTCTCAACAGATGACCTTACCTTTGTCTTCACAGAAAACGTAGAGACCGGAACACAAGAAACCTTTTAGCAACCTGCCACCAAACCTAAAATTTAACCTGGGTATAATGTTCCTGCTGATACATTGAGGCATATTTCCCTCCTTTTATATAAGATTAGTTCCCAATTTTTTCTACATCAAATCCTGAAGTCCTTTTTACTCCAGGACCACACTCAATGTATTTCAACTCTTCTTTATGTGTCTTCTCCCTTTAATGTTTTGATTTGCTAACTGCCCTCCTAAAATGAAAGCTTTCCCTGGATTTGTTTATTTCTAGTTATTCCCATATTTCTCTTTCTATTCACAGCCAAATTACTTTAAATGGTTGTACCTGATGCTATTCCTCAATTCCTGGTTTTTCACCAATCGCTTCACTAAAATTGCTATTTCCAAAGTATTCAATAACAACAATGAACCACTTAAGCTTAAACTTTCTTGACATCTTTGCAGAATCTGCCACTGTTGATTATGCTCTTGAAAACTGTCTTACTTTGGCTTTTCTAATTCAACCATCTCTGGTTTTCTGACTCTCTGGCCACTCCTTCCCAAATCTATTTGCACTATTATCTTCTTTCTATTTCTTGAATGCCAGCCATTATTAAGGTTCAATCAGAGGCACTGCCTTTGCTACACATATGCTCTGTATGTACATTTATCCTTGTCCTTGGCTTTATGGCCATCCACATGTATAGTGGTAATTGTCCAGTCAATAGCTATAGCCCAAGTGTCTCCATGTGAAAGGCATGGGGAAGTATAAAACAAACCAAAATAACATTAAAACATAGTATTTGGAACAGCATATATATATGCTATAATGTTATTGGAACAGCATATATATATGCTATAATGTTAAAGGCAAGATTAACTGTACACTGACACAGTAGTCTAATCAGTAAGTTGGTTTCTCAAATATCTGAACTGATTATCTCCCTCAATTGTACAAATTCCTGGAGCTCATCATATCCAAATCTGCTTCACCTGTTTGCTATCTCATTGAGTCAGCCAGAAAATTGAGGACCTATTTCTTCCTGCCTTAAGCTCAATATCTAATGAATCACAAAGGCACAGCAATTCTACCCCGCAAATATTTCCCAGATATGTCACTTTTTCACCACTTTGGGGATCACCTCTCACTGTTGTGACAGGAACCGTCACAGAATCTAACTCTGCTCCTCCCTTACTACCCACCCAATCACTACCCTGGATCTTTCTAAAACTCAAATAAGATCTTGTCATTTTTCTGCTCTTTCATTGGCTCTCAAATAATTCCTGTTGGAGCAAAATTCAAATTTCCATGGCTTATACTAGCCCTGTATAATCTGTCTCACCTTAAGTCATCAGACTGAATTCTCGCCCCACCCCATCTCCTAACCCACTGTGCATTTCAGAATGCCCTTTGAACTCTTACTTTTTAGAGTAGCAATATTTTATCTCACATCTGTTCCTTGCATTTGCTGTTCCTTCATCGACTACTCTTTCCACCACTGCCCTTATGTCCTCGTTGTCTAACTCTTTGATATTCACCTCTTAGGTCACATGGCCACTCCTGAGTACAGCAAAGCAGGGATATATAATTCTTCTTCAAGGAAAGAGCCACAAAGGCAGAAGCCAGAATAATTGGTGACCAATAATAGAAGGATCCATAATATATGTAGTTTGATTATAATTATGTAAACAAACAAATTCTGAGTGTAACACAGACAAGCCCATATTCTTTAATTGTAAGACTTCATTCTTCCTGTGAGTACATGTCAATCTAAGATTCTGTCACTATTTTTCCCTCTTTTGTTGATATATTAGGTTGGTGCAAAAATAATTGCGGTTTTCACCATTAAAAGTAATGACAATTACTTTTGCACCAACCTAATATAATGATTTACATATTTATTGGGTACATGTGAGTATTTGTTTCATGCATAGAATGTGTAGTGTTCAAGTCAGCGTACCTGGGGCATACATCATTTTCACATGGGTTTACCATTTTTATGTATTGGTATCAGAAATATTGGTGGCAGATATTGGTATTGGTGACTCAGGAATTGTGTTGGTAACTGGTAACTATATTGGTAACTCTTCCAGTTACTGTGAAATATACATGATATTGTTGCTAAGTATAGCCATTCTCGTCCTCTATCAAACTCTAGAATTTATTTCTTCTATCTAATTGTATATTTATAACCATAACCAACCTCTCTTAATCCCTCTCTTCCCACTACCCGGTCTCCCCAGTCCCTGGTATCTATCATTCTATTCTCTATGTCCGTGAAGTGATGAGTTTTTTTAGCTCCCACATATGAGTGTGAAGGTGCAATATTTGTCTTTCCATACCTGACTTATTTCACTTAAAAGAATGACCTGCAGCTCTTTCCATGTTGCTGAGAATGAAATTATTTCAAACTTTTTTTAGGCTGAACAGTATCCCATGGTGTATATATGACACATTTTCTTTACTCATTCACCTGTTAATAGACAGTTAGGTTTATTCCATATCTTTGCTACTGCGAATAGTGCTGTGATAAACGTACAAGTGCAGGTATCCCCTTGATATACTGAATTATTTTCCTTTGGATAGATACCCAGTAGTAAGATTGCTGGATTGTGTGGTAGTTCTACTTTTAGTTTTCTGAGAAATCTCCATTCTGTTTCCCATAGTGGTTGTACTAATTTACATTCCTGCCAAGAGTGTATGAGTTCTCTTTTCTCTGCGTCCTCACCAGCATCTGTTATTTTTTCTTATTAATAATAGCCATTCTAACTGGCATAAGATAATATCTAATTGTGTTTTTTATTTGAATTTCCTTAATGATAGTGATGTTGAGCACTTTTTAAGATATGTGTTGGCCACTTCTGTGTCTTCTTTCGAGAAATGTATACTCATGTTTTTTGCCCATCTTTTAATGGGATTATTTGGAACTTTTTTTTTTTTTCCTATTGAGTTGTTCAAGTTCCTTATATGGTCCAAATATTAGTCACCTGTCAGATGAGTAACTTGCAAATATTTTCTCCCATTCTGCAGCTTATCTCCTCATTTTGTTGACTGTTTATTTTGCTTTGTAGGGGCTTTTTAGTTTAATATGGTCTCATTTGTCTATTTTTATTTTTGTGCCTATGCTTTTGAGGTTTTAGCCATAAAATCTTTGCCAAGACCAATGTCCTTTTTATAGGGAAAAGTCAGCACTTAAATGGGTCTTAAGTGTTAGACCCAAAACTATGAAAATACATAGTAAGTATACTTAAATGTACGACCTAAAACTGTGAAAATACATAGTAAGTGCTTACTGTTAGTCTGACGGTAACTACTTTAGGGGTGACTAGATGCTTTTCTCTTGCTGTTTTTAGAATTCTCCTTTGCCATTGACTTCAGACAGTGTGCCTATAAAGTGTCACGGAGACCATTTTGCATTGTATCTCTTTGGGGGACACTGGGCCTCCTGTATATGGATGTCTAAATATCCTGCTAGACTTGGGAAGTATTCATCTATTATTTCATTAAATAGGCTTTCAAACCCTTTTAACATTTCTTCACCTTCAGGAATACCAATAATTTGTATGTTTGGTTGCTTTATGCTATCCCACATATCATAAAGATTTTGTTCATTCTTTTTTCTTTATTTTTCCCTGAGTTATTTCAAAAGACCTGTCTTCAAGTTCTGTGGTTCTTTCTTCTGTTAGATTCAGTCTATTGTTGAAGCTTTTGAGTGTATTTTGCATTTTATTCGGGGAGTTCTTCAGTTACAGAATTTGTGTTTGGTTCTTCACTAAGATAGCTATCCCTTTTGTAAATTTCTCATTCATATCCTGAATTGTTTTTCTGATTTCTGTGTATTGTATTTTCAAAGTCTCTTTATCTCACTAAGCTTTTTTAATATCATAATTTTGAATTCCTTTTTCATAATTTTGTTAATTTCTTTGCAGTTGGGATCTGTTGCTAAGGAATTATTGTGTTCCCTTGAAGGCGTCATATTTCTTTGCTTTATCATGTTTCTGGTGTCCTTATGTTGATATATATGTAACTGGTGTAATAGTCATTTCTTACAATTCTTTGAATTCACAAGGAATGACTTTTTCCTGAATATGTATCAATGGTTTCAATTGGTTAGAACCCTTTGGCTTTGATTCTGGGTGCATGCAGTCGTGCAATCTTTGTATGATTTACTTGACTATAAACAGCATTGGTGGTATTTGTGATTTCCTCAGTGGTTTAGGGTACAGGAACTAGTGGAGGGTATGGTTAAATTTTGCTGGGGGCAGGGACGCCAGGTGGGCCAGTCTTTAGGTCCTGGTCCCAGTGGGGGTAGCAGGGTTTCGAATGTGCCTGTTCTTCGGCTCCCAGGGCAGCATACACCAGCACCTGTGTCAGTAGGACCAGGCAGGCCTCTTCTTGGTCCTCCAAGTGGCTTGCTCTGATGCCAGTAATGGCAGTCACAGGCCACGTAGGTGATTGCGTTCTTAGGTCCCTGAGCAGCCAGTGTGGTGTGGGCAATGGCAGTGGCAGTGGCACTACAACCCTCTGGGTCCCAAGCACCGCACGGTGGTGTTGCCAGTGGCTGCAATGCTGGGTTGCCAACCATAGCCCCAGACACATAGCTCTCAGGCCTAACTACTTTTGATGGCTGCAGCACCACAGCACCATACAGAGTAGGGGAAGAACCCTCTCCTTCCCTTGTGAGCCCAAGCACAAAGGCCATGCTACTAGTGGGGACATAGTCACCACTCACAGCCACAGACCGGCAGCCCTCTGGCTTGCCTGTCCCAGCCTACAATGGCAGCAGCAACAGCTGCAGCTGCAGTGGTGTATGGATCAAGAGAGGGGGTCCTGTTCTGTACTCATAAACCCAGGCACAGAGCTGTCACTTCTAAGATACATTATTTGTGTTTTTTTTCAATTTGAACACCTATTGTATGTAATATCTCAACTTTAGAAATTACAAAATGTTTCAAAAATGCACTAAATATCTATAAGAATTGTTGAAATCCACCAAGATGCAAGGGTTATAAGGAAACCTAAAATATCATGCAAATAGTACCAAATAAGCTTCACTATATCTTTACCATGAATCATCCTGGCAGGTACTTCTTTAATCAAGTGACCAAGCTAAACATCACCCATGAAACAGGTCTACATCATGTGCTATTGGAATGATGCAATGAGAAGGGCACAGTATCCTTTCTGCAGCATTTTTGTTAAAAAGGACTAATACCAATCTAATTATGAGAAAACATCAGACAAACCCAAACTGAGGGACATTCAACAAAATAACTGGCTGGTATATCTCAAAAAGTGTTAAGGATATGAAAGACAGAAAAAAATGAAAAAAGAAAAAAAAGACTATGGGGCTGTCACAGATTAGAAGAGACTAAGTTAAAAGCTAAATGCAATGTGGGATCCTAGATTAGATCCTACACGAGAAAAAAAGGGATATTAGAGGATATTAGATTCTTTAATTTTATAATCTTGAATTCTTTTTTCATAATCTCGTGAAATTCAAAATAGGTCTGCAGGTAAGTTAATGGTATTGTATCAATGTTAATTTTTAGGTTTCAAAAACTACTATGAATATGTAAAATATTAACATTAGCAGAAGCTGTATAAAAGGTTTACAGAAACTCTTATTTTCTGCAACTTTTCTGTAAGACTAAATTTAAAAGAGAGGAAATAGCTTAATTCTGAATTTCCTTTTGAAATAATTTTTATCCCACAACAGCTATGGATATTCCACAACAGATACAGAGTTTTATATAATCAAATAGGTTGTCCTTTCTTGATTCTTTTAAATGGGGAGGGTAAAGTAAAACAAAACAAGCCAACAGAATGGATCTTCAATAATTTTGCCTCTCTCTTCTATGGTATCATCCTTCTCCACCAACTCTGCTCCTAGGGACATAGATTGAGTTTCACAAGGACCAGGGAATCTCAAGAAAAAGAATGATGTATTCATAGCAATTATCTTCCAGTAATTTATATCCTTCTGGGAAAGGTGATGAAGCACCAGGGAACAGGCTTTAAAAGCTATCATTTTTCTGCTGAGATCATAAGGGCTTTGTAATTTTCTAATGGCACATATTGCAAGTCTGAATTTCCATCTATCTTCTTTTTACTCTCAAAACACTGAAGAAAAAGCAAACATCAGAAACAAAGGAGAGAGAGATTTTTCCTCCTTAAATTTCCCCATGAGTTTAGCAGTGTCTTGCCCTGTAAAAGCCCAGTGGCTATTTGATTCAGAATGCAACATATTTTTGCAATTCTCTTTCCTTTCTGGAGTTTCTCTTTCTTATTACTTATATTAAGACTAAATTGCTTGCTCTTGACAATTTTAGTACCAGAGTTATTGCAGAATATGTTATACAACTATTTCATTCTGAACAATACTCAAAGCAAGCTTTAGTGTTCCTACTCTTCAAATTATGTTTCTTAAAATAGCTTATTAAAAACCTCGAATAATATATTTTCTTACCCTCAACTTAATTAGGTGAGTCCTTGGTCAATATCCATTCACACAGCTTCTACTGATGTTAAATATTGAACTACAGATTCAATTTTAGCTTGTCAGCTTTCTAACAAATAAGATTTCTTAAAATTTTAACTATTATTTTTAAAATTACTTTCTTTTAACAACAAAATTGCTGTGATATATTGTGTTTTGTCATACCTGACTTTTTTGTTGTTTTTTAATCATTACTCTCACAAAAACCATGCTAGGGAATTTCTAGCTAATGCCAATTATTCTGTGTGTCTGAGCAAAAGAAAAAACATTTTATATATTTGGATTCAAAGATGAGCAAAACTCAGGTGTGAACAAATAACCTCTTGCCTCACACAGTTTTAAATCTGCTCTTCCTAGGTTCTGCACCATAAGAAAATAGCATTCTAATCTTTTCAACAAATAGTGTTGGAATAATTTGTCAACTATGCAGAAGAAAAAAATAAGCTGCAATACGTACTCATACCTCATACAAAAATTAACTCGTAGTTGACCGCAAACCTAAATATGAAATTTAAAATTATAAAATGATTAGAAGAAAACAAAAACATAGAAAATCTTTGTGACTTTGGGTTAGGTAACGAGCTCTTAGATATAACACCAAAAGCACAATTTAAAAAATATAAATAATGGATAAAGGGATCTTTATCATAATTAAACACCTTTATTTCTGTGAAAAATGCTGTTAATAGAAGGAAAAAAAAGCTACATGCTGTGAAAAAACAAGTTTGCCAATCTCATGTCTGGCAAAGGATATGTATCCAGAATAGTTATAAAGAACTCTAGAAACTTAATAGTAAAATAAAAACAATACTTTTAATGAGCAATTTAAATGTTTGTTACACTTCACTAAAAAGATATACGCATTGCAAATAGGTAGAAAACACTACTTGACATCATTAGCCATTAGCAAAATGCAAATTAAAACCACAATGAGAACAACTACACACATATTAGAAAAGGTGAAATTAATTTTTTAAACAAATCTGAATTTACTAATTACTGATAAGAGTGCAAAGAAACTGTAACTCTCATATATAATTGACGGAAGTGCAAATAGTACAGCCATTCTAGAAAACAGTTTAGCACTTTTTTTCTAAATGTAAACATGCACTTAATATGACCCAGTAATCTCACTCGTAGATATTTACTTACGAGAAACAAACACGTATGCTTACATAAAATCCCATACACAAGTGTATACATCAGCATTATCCATAATCACAAAATACTGGAAAAACACCAGAAGTCCATCAATGGGTGAATAAGCCCTGTGGCACGCCCGTACAATTGAATGCAACTCAGCAATTAGGAGGAATAAACTGATACACACAATAACTTAAGTCAAGAAAGAGCCAGACTCAAAATGTTAAATATTGTGTGATTCCATTTATACAACATTCTAGAAAAGGCAAAACAATGAGGATGAAGAAGGCATCACTGGCTTTGAGGGAATAGGTGTAGGGATGGTTTCAAGACAAAAGGGCAACACAGGGAATATCTGTGGGTGAGAGCTCTATTCTGTAACCTGCCTGTGATGGTGATTACACATCTCTATGCATTTGGTACAGATCTGTATGTAAGCTCTATCTGAATTTTAAAACAAATTAAAGCAGGAACATCAACAATAAAATGGCTTAAAACAACACCAATTTTATTAGGTCTCACATGTATGTGGATCAGGAATATAGGCAGGGATTTGCTGGGTAACTTTTCTGCTCCTCTTGTCATTGATATAAAATCTCTGGTTTCAGCTGGAGGATCAGCATTCAAAATGGTTTCATTCATATGCCTAGTGTCTTGGTGAGGAAGCCTGGAAATCTGGACCCAGCTGGGACTGTTGACCAGAGTTCTTACATGTGGCTCCTTCAGTGTAGTTTCTCTGGGGTTTCTAACTTCTGACATGGCAGCCAGCTGTGTCTCAGAGCGCTTCAAGAGACAGGGTAAAAGCTTTGAGGATTCTTACAACCCATAGGACATCTTTAATCTGACACAGTCGGCCTTCTAGTGACATTGTTTACATTCTTCCAATATGCAAAACATAAACACCCCTTCCTAAAGACCCCAGCTTTTTTGTCCCACTATAGCATTGTTTTGAAGTCTGGAATTGTGTCAACTAAATTAGATGCGAGTGCAAATGAGGTTCCCAAAAGGTGGATCTTATGATTCCTCTCGATCAAAAGACCTGTGAATTTAAGAACAGGTTTTCTATCCCACACAAAGTCAGCCTACAGAGGCGATACAGAATAGGAAAACTGCAATAGGGATAAGGTGTTCCCATTCAATAGGGAAAGGGTGATGGGAAGTACATTGTAGTCACTGGTTCATAGCAATTCTGGAGCCTGGGAAAGCATATCCTTCCAGTTACATTATTAAGGCCCAGTCCTGCTCCCAGAAAATGTGGATCTTGACTTTACCGTGTTGGCTCTTGTTTCTGCCTTCTGAGTCATCTTTCCTTTTCGGTAAAAATGAGCCATGTTTGCTACAAAGTAGCCTTTTCATACCGCTTCCTGCTCATAGAAATGTGGGAACCTTGCAAGCTCTTTGCATTTTGAACTGTCCCTGCCCATTTCAAATGAAGCCAATGGTGCTTCTACTAGTCTAATTCTCTTAACATTTTTGTGGGCTTCCTATGATTCTCTACCTTGGGTTGGGAATCAAGATTCTTTGAGATAATGCTCTTATGATTCTTAGAAACTTTTTAATCTAATTGAGAACATTTATGAGGCACATTTTTAATATTTCTGAAGTATAGGCAAGGGGTCGTAGTCACATCCTTGAGAAGATCTTTACCCAGAGCCCACAAAAAAGTGAAGTGGAATTTTTCAGGAATTTACCAGAAAATATTCTTGGCCAAATGCAACAGTTCATTAGTTGCATATTCTGTTTTCTACATTACTGAAATGAGTTGTCAAGCTTTCTGCCCCACAATGTAGGGGTGGATTTTCTTTTCTCTCCTCTAATAAGAATTTCCTTCTCATTCCTTTAACCATCACAACAATCTCTTCAAATCCTTGCAACCTACTTCTTGCTACCTGCTCCCAGAGTCAAGGGAACATGTTTTAAGTTTTCTTCTTAGAGCAGCACCCACTTCTAGTTTCCTAGTTCTATTCCAGTTGTTGCTGCATAGCAAACTATCCCAAAACTTTGTGGTTTATACAAAACAAACATTTCATTACATGCCATGATTTTGTAAGCCAGAGATCTGAGCAGGGCTTTACTGAGCCTTTTCTACATGGTTTGAACAGAAGTTGCTCAGTGGAATTCAGCTGGTATATGGGCATAGTCCCTGAGAGAAAATAATCTGCCACCATAAAAGAGACCTTGCCTATGAGATGGTGTCACTTGTGGTAAGCAGTATATTATGTGGCATGCTGAGTTATTTTGATAGCAAAAGGCCTGAATGAAAAGCAGTGAGATCTCAGTTGTTGTTCTTGTCCTACAATACACCACTGGTAAAGATGCTTAATTTAGTACATGTGTTCTCATCACTTCAAATAATTTTTTTGTCATGAAAGTATTCGAGTATAAATAGCAAGCTAATTTTACAGAGAAAAGAAATATCAATCGATTCCGAACAGATCAAAACTATAATGTGGAAATGAAATAATCATACTTAAGTATTTCTAAAAGTTTCAGCTGCAACATTATGCTAAACCTACACTAGGATTTACATTCAACAAAATATGAATTTCCTCAAGTTTACATGCTCAAATAGAAGGTAATACTCACAGGTTGCCAAATATTTGTATGCAATGCAAGAACACACCAAAATTTTGCAACCTATCTTTTGCCTGTGATACCCTACATTCAAATACCTTTATATATGTATGCATAAACCCAAATACCTGTAAATGTAGAAATATTAAAATGAGTGGTGTTCTCTACCCAAGTAGAAAATATCTAATGATTGATTACATTTTTCTTTTAATTCTGATTTTAATAGGTTATATATGTCTTATTCAGTTAAGAGTGAATTGTGGACTTTAAAATTTTATTTGTTGCAGAAGAAGCAAACATTTCATCTGTTACTGTCAAGAGCTGTCCTAAATGAGGCAGCAATATTCAATGATAGTTTCTAAAAGAAGTTAATTCCTCTCCAGCTTTACAGTACACTTAACCTCCACAGAGTTCCTTGGCCAATCTCCAAATCAATAAACAACTATGTAAGAATTATCTGAATTGCTCAGAAAGAAAACAAATGCAATTTATTTTTTTTCTTTGACATAATATTTCATTAACTAAAATTCTTCCAAAGTGGAACATTTTTCCTTTAATTTTTAACCTCTCACATTTCATAGTTAGTTGTATGCCATAAAAGTCCTCATGAATTAAAAAAATTCCCAAAGAAAATAAGTGGTTTAAATTTCTGAAAATTTAAATATCAGTTAAAATGTAAAACTGTGATAACAAGCATGAGCATTGGCTGGGCACCGTGGCTCACGCCTGTAATCCCAGCACTTTGGGAGATCGAGGCGTGCGGATCTGATGAGGTCAGGAGTTCGAGACCAGTCTGGCCAACTTGGAGAAACCCCGTCTCTACTAAAAATACAAAATTTCTCCAGACATGGTGGTGGGCACCTATAATCCTGGCTTCTTAGAGCTGAGGCACCAAAATTGCTTGAACCCAGGTGGCAGAGGTCACAGTGAGCTAAGATTGTGCCACTGCACTCCAGCCTGGGCGACAGAGAGAGACTGTCTCAACAACAACAACAACAAAAAACCACAAAAAAAAGCCTTAGCATTCAGAAAAATTTGAAAATAATTATTGGAATAATTATATTTATGTTCAGTTTTCTTACTGAGGACAAATGTCAAATACAACAAAGTTTTTGCCAATAATGTCTATTCCTTTGTTCTTATTTACTAAACCATATCTTTTATCAAATGCCAAGCTACTACGTGTTAATAGTTTAATAAAACTGTGAAGGGAAGTGTGAACCTTTAAATAGATGAAATTTTTAAATATGTGTGTGTATAACTAAAAATCTAGATATCTTTAAACTGGAAACACTTGAGGTAAACAAACTTGGTTCACATTATTTATTTTGGTAAAATTTGATCTTACACAGGCCCAAAATAAATCTTTTTTTCTTTGTTAGTTCTATAACATTAGTCCCAAATTACATATGATATTTTAAAAAAAACACTGATTAGTGTGAAGTAAATAGATAAACCCTGACAGTGTCAGATGTCGCTATCATGAAAAGTACTTGTATGCAAGATGAAGCTGTTAGGCCTTTACAAGCATCAGTATGATCCTGAAACTTTATATACAGGGCAATTTTACTTATTATTTCTTCAATTCCAAATTATTTTTAAAGCATCTAGTTTTATGCCTGAAAGTTAGTATCATTTTATTAATAGTAGCTATTGTTTTCATATTTTATGATGATTGTGGATTCCCATGGGTTTTATGTATAATACATATATACAGGCATTGTGATGGCTTATACATGTACATATACATCATTGTGTATAGAACACTCACTTCCAAAAATATATCTCTGAAACTATTACATATTACATATCACCTTACATACATAATTCTCTCAAAAAGGCCCTTCACACTTCTATAAACAAATGACCTCTGTGTTCTTAAATGTACCATAAAACCTTGTAAAAACTTATGCTAAGTGGAAGAAGCCAGATGCAAAAGGTCACGTATAGTGTGATTCTATTTATTTAAAATATCCAGAGTAGGTAAATCTATGGGGACGGGAAGCAGATGAGTGCTTGCCAGAGACTAGAGGAGGAGGAAAGGAGATCACTAACTGGATACAGGATTTCCTTGTGGGGTGAAAAAAATGTTGTGAAACTAGGTGGTGGTGGTGATGGCTGCGTAATACTGTAATACTGCATAATACTGTTAATGTATAAAATGTCTCTGATGATAAATGTTACGTATATTTGATCACGATTTTTTAAATTTTTAAATTTTTAAAATTTTAAATTTAAATTTATCATCTTTGATGATAAATGTTATGTATATTTGACCACAATTTTTTAAATTTTAAAAACACACATTAATAAAATAGAATACAGTTTATATCAGACATTTAAGGAAACACAGTAGTTAGAATGTCTTCAAAATCATTATGATTCTATGACACTCTTATCCACCTCAAAATTTTGAAGTATCTCCAACTTTTCTCAAAAAATTTTCTTCCCATTACTGGGAAGAAATTCTTAGAAATCTGATTTGAAGATCATTTGTAGTGTTGATTGATAATAGAATGTTCCAAAGACCAAATGATACTTCATTTCCCCAGAGATTTTCACTGTTTTAGGAGCCACGTCATATGTTCCAGTAGTAGAACAATTGTTTAGTGAAGGTCCAAAAATAATAGTAAGCAGATGCCCACATATTAAATATACAAAATGAGGCCAGGCGTGGTGGAATCCCAACACTTTGGGAGGCTGACGTGGGCATATCACCTGAGGTCAGGAGTTCCAGACCAGCCTGGCGAACATGACGGAACCCCATCTCTGCTAAAAAATCCAAAAATTACATGGACGCAGTGGCAGGTGCCTGTAACCCCAGCTACTTGGGAGGCTGAGGCAGGAGAATCGCTTGAACCAGAGAGGTGGAGGTTGCCATGAGCAGAGTTGGCACCACTGCATTCCAGCCTGGGAGACAGAGCCATGCTCCATCTCAAAAAATAAATAAATAAATATACAAAATACAAACTAATGTCTTATGTGTAAACGATTATGTTTATTTTAACATGTAAATTGTGTAATTAACATCAAGCAGCAATAAAATCAATCCAGAGACAATATTCTGTTGGAATGAGTGGATTTGTGATGCAAATTTCAGGTCATGAGCAAAAGTATTAGTAGACTTCCATGTCCATGTTGTCTAAACCAGGAGAAGTAGATGAGCTTCCTCTTCCTAGTGGGTTTGACACAAAATGGAGTAAATTGGAGTTTAGGAGCTGAGAAGTGGGCAGAAAAATGATGTAGAAACTTCTGCCATTTTTTTCTCCTACCCACAGGCTTGTTGACACAACTTGCTGTGAAGGACAGAGTGAAGTCCACCTGGTTATCTAGCCTTTTTTTTTTAAGGCTGAAAATTAGTCATACAATTAGCAGACAAAGGAGAATTGAATAGAAATATTAAGTGAGCATCAAAGACAGAAGGGGCTGGTGGATGAATGGGGGCTTGTGGAGCACAGCTGTGCAGCACCTTAGCGGGAGATTAATTTGTTACCTTGCAATCCAAGAGCAACAAAAATTACTATTTTTCATTGACAGCAAGCAGCTACTAGGAGTACTGGCCCTTTGTAGGTGTTTACACCTAAATCGAGGTGCCCACAAACTGAATGAGCTATATTAATTGAAATCAATTTATTTCAACTTCTGAAAGAGTGTTCCCATGAACTAAGTTTACCTCTCCAGAAATTATTGCATTCGAGTGTACAGAATGGGTAGTATTCTTAATGGAATACAGCTTTGTATTGTTTTTGCTAGTATTTTAATTTTCAATCTTATATTTACGCAGAGGTTACTAAATGAGATATGAAGAGTGTTATTTAATTGATTCAGCACATTTTATGTTCTAATCAATCCCTCTTAATTGCATGTTTCCAGAACTGGTACACAATTAGATTGCTTTTTAAAAAAATTTTGGAATTTTAAAATCTTCTTTTTTCTAGGAGAATAATTGTACATATGGATAATGGAGAAGTCAGAGGGAGATTTAAGATAACCTTTTAAGCCTCTAAATAGTTCTTATAAAATGACTTTCTTCCCTGTTGCTTTAGTAACTGAGAATTGAAAGGCACTTTCCCAATGGGCCATTACTGCAGAATCAGTGGCCCCAGACGACAACTCTCCCTGTGGCGGGGTTCTTAGAGCAGATGGTATAGGCAACATGGGGGATATTACAGAGATGATGTTAGAAGCAATTATTGCACCATTGGGTGTCGGTATTCTGTGCTTCCTGACGCATGGGAACCTATATTGTACAGCACTTCAGAACTGTAAAAGCTTATGCAGCTAAACCAGTGAGACATTGGTAAGAAGTCTGAGCTTCATTCTTGATTATTTGACAAAGGTGAATTATTTTCTGATCATTTTGAAATTTGCCAAGATCTCTGATTAGGATTTTTTAAAACAGAAAGAATTCTGGATTATTTTTTCCATCTGGCTATGAATCCAGTGGTATTTGCCTTAAGTTTTCTACCATCTCCAATTACCGGCCAAAAAAAAAAGAAAGTCTATTGTTTTAGAGATGTCTTCGAAAACTGGTAATAATATTGTATGCAAATCAGTTCAAAAAGATATAATAGTTTCCTATTGCTACTGTAACACATTGCCACAAATTGAGTGGTGTTTTTATTCTTTTATGAGATGGTCAGTCTGATGTGGCCACAGAAGAAACAGGGAGACTCAGGAAAAAACACAGTTTATTATACTCACGGGTCCTAGAGACAAGAGGCACAGCATCCCATGCAGGGCCATGTGGGAAAGACATCATGGTGGTCAGGAAGCAGAAGGTAGGAGCATGAAAGTTTAAGCCACAGCCTTTATTGAGGTTTCTTCTGCAAAGGCAGGCAGGGCAAGGTGAACTGTTTATTTAAGGTTGCCTCGTTTGAATAATTTTGCCAGGCTTTGGGCTATAGAGATGGTTTCTAGTTGCCTGGTACCTAGCCCTGAGATGACTAAGGCACAGGAACACTGTCTTCTGGGTGCACTGGCTGATAGAGGGGGGAAGGTTCTGAGGTTATGAGTTTGTTTACTCAAGACATGCTCCAGGCTGGGCCCTTTGCTATCTTTGAAATTTGACTGGCACTGGGGAGAGGTAGTCTCTTCACAGCCAGAAGGATTTTTTAAGATGTCAAAAAAACACAACATACAGAAAACTTTAAAAATATTTATTCTGCAAGTGGCTTAAACAACACAAATGTATTACCTTACACTTCTTGAGGTCAGAGGTCCAGTGTGTTTTGCCAGACTAAATTCAAGGTGTCTACAGGGCTGTGTTCCTTCTGGAGGCTCTAGGAGAAAATCCATTCCTTTGCTTTTACAGCTTCTAGAGGCTGCCCACATTCTTTGGCTCTTTCTTGGCCTTTTTCCTCTACCAGAGACCCAGTCAGTTTCACATCACCTCATTTTGGCACTGACTCTCTTCCTCCTCTTTCAGCTATAAGGATTCTTATGATAACACAATTTCTTTTGGTATATAATTACATACATAATATATATGTGATGATGTATAATTTAATAACATAAACACTATTGAATCCTTTACCTAGACTTAGAGCTAAAACATTACCAATATTAAAGATACCTGTATAATTCACTATCTCATTCCCCAGCATTTCCCTAGCTAATCACTATCATAAAGTTGGTAGTTATAATTCTATATTGATGAATATGTATATGTATGTATATACACACACATACACATACATACACACATACATACATACACATAAATATATATATATATAGAGAGAGAGAGAGAGAGAAATTGCTTGGTTTTGAATTTTACAAAAATGGTGCCATACATTATATCTCCAGCATTTGCTTTTTTTGTTTTTACTGTTTTACATTTGTAAGATTCATCCTCATCATTGGAAATGGTGGTAATTTATTTTCACTACTAGGTATTTGATTTTATTGACGTGGCACAGTTTATTACGCATTTTTCTGCCAATGGATATTTGAATTGGTTCCAGGTTTTGGTTTGGTTTGTCTTGGTTTTTCCTTAGAGCTAACAGTGTTGCTATAAATACTTTTGTATATGTCTTCTGTTGCACAAGCATAAGGATTTAAGTTTTGTATTTTGAACTAAAATGTTTGTATCCTGAGTGTGCATATATCAAATTTATGTTACAATGTTAATTTTTCCTTTTTTTTTTTTTTTTAATTTTTGAGTCGGAGTCTCGCTCTGTCGCCAGGCTGGAGTGCAGAGGCGTGATCTCGGCTCACTGCAAGCTCCGCCTCCTGGGTTCAAGCGTCTCTCCTGCTTCAGCCTCCCAAGTAGCTGGGACTACAGGCGCACGCCACCACACCCAGCTAATTTTTGTGTTTTTAGTAGAGATGGGGTTTCACCATGTTGGCCAGGATGGTCTCTGTCTCTTGACCTCGTGATCCGCCCACCTCGGCCTCCCGAAGTGCTGGGATTAAAGGCATAAGCCACTGCACCTGGCCAATTTTTTCCATCTTTTTATACTTTTCGCGGCGATGTATAAAGGATCATTTTGCCCTGTATTTTTGACAAATTCTGATATCATCAAAAGTCTCATTTTTAACAGCCCAGTAAATATAAAATGGTATCTCATTAGTATCTTAATTTGCACTTCTTTGTTTACTTATGTGGTTGAACATTTTTTCAGATACTTCTTGGGTATTTGCAATGCCTGCCTAGTAAAATGTTGTGATTGTTTTGGCCATTTTTCTACTCAGTTGTTTCTCTTTTTCTCAATTATTGGTATGAAATATTTTAAAGCATGTTAATAATCAACTGTCAGTTGTATATGTGGCAAATACCTTCTTGCAGTATAATTTATGTTTTCATTAACCTTAAGTGACCTTTGGATGAACAGAATTTCTTAATTCTGACATCGTAGAATTTATTAACCTTTATTTTATGATCAATATTATTGTGCTTTTTAAATAATTTGTCCTACCTCAAGGCCACATACTCTGCTAAATTTTCTTTTAAAAAATTTTACCCATCATATTTGAACTTTTAATTCACTCCAAGTTGCCTTCTTGAGTAGCGTCATGTAGAGATGTAATTTAACCTTTTGCCATATACAAAATGTGTTGTACAAGGCCCTTTTTCTTCTTCACTCCAGGGAATTTTATTACAGGCAAGTTATTTCAAGTCTAGTTATTAGGACTTCTCTTAGGGTGGTACTATTTTGACTGTCCGTTTACTTGCCCCTTTCTTTACACATTTTCACAAATGGCCAAAATTCAAAAATAATTAATATAATTGGTTGCTGGGTATAATGGGATACTGTGGCTATGAAGAATCAGCCTTAAAAAAACATTTTTGAAATGCTGAATTTGGTTATTTAATAGCTTTCCATCTCAATGTTCATTTGCAGGCAAAGCAAAACCAAAACTGTAAGGAGCAGTAAAATCTTAGTTTCTAAGGTTTTCAGGACATGGTTATTTTTGTTTTGCTTTGAACCCTGGCCCTGAACCAAAGCATAGAAAGATTTAATCAAGCTAATTAACATATTCATCATCTCACTAACTTAATATAGTTTAGGAGTGAGAATGTCAAAAATTTATTCTTTTAGCGATTTTGAAATATACATTATTATTAACTGTACTTACCATGCAGTACAATAGACCACAAAATCATATTTTCCATGCTGTCATGAATGACAGGATTATTGTCATCCAGGGGCCTCATGTGGTTCTTACTTCCCTAAACTAAATGTATTAAGAGATAGAGATATTTCAGAAAGAGCATTACAATGGGTATATGATAACATTTGGCCTTGGTGACAGGTGACTGTTGCTTTTTCCTTGTATTACTTAGAAGCTGAAAGATACTAAACATCTTTTCTAGCACATATTTGGAGCAAAAAGTGTTCCCGGAAGAAATGAAAATGTATCTGTAAAGTTTATCACTAGTACTAATAACATAAGGATAAAGAGATTCTACCAAATTTTATTACATATACTGCAACTTAAAGAGTACTTTTATTTTAGCCTAAGTGTGGTGAACAGCTACAGAGAGTTCTAAATCAAGAAATGTTACAGCAAAAGTGCTTCAAACAACTTGATTATGTATCTTATAAATCAGTACAAATGTACATTCTTTACTAGTCAGTTATCTTTCCTGGCAGGTATGATTATAACTTGACCTTGTTCAGTCTTCTCCTGGCTATAAAGCAGAGAGAAACTGATTTGGTCAATCACTGATTCCTTTAGTGGTATTGAGGGCACACACTGGAGAATGGCGAAGGAAACAAGAACTGGCCACCAACCATGGAGCTGTGCTTCCTGGTGCCCTGGACTACAGGCTAAGAGAAGATGACCTATTCTAGGCTGGTAGAAGCTTGTTCACATATCCCCATTTACAGGTTCTGTAGATCCTTGTGGCGAGTGAGATTTCCACAATATCGTGAGCTTTCTGGCAAAAAGCTGAAGTGAATTCTGCTCCATTGTCACTTTGGAAGATACATGGGGCAGCTAGCAAGCAGAAAAAATATTTTCTGGTGTGTAACCTTAGTTGCAGTTAGAATATAGTCTCAGGGCACAAATATTGATCAAGAGGATGTACAGATTTGTAACATTCAGTACAAACTCTGACTTTGACCTACCAATAACATAAGCAATCTACCTGTTCTGATATTATTAAAGCATCCGTTGTGATTGGTTGGTTACTATATTCTGATGTCTCATAATTTGGTATTCAAGAAATAGAAAAATAGATGAAAAATGGTTTTCAGTTCTTGTGAGTATCTTCAGCCTTGGCTATTTTGCATGCAAATGAAGTGGTCTTATAATGTTTGCTTTAATCATGCTTACAATGAGGTCTATATTTAATTTATTGGCTCATTTCAAAAATCTAGAAAAAAATATTTATAAAGACATATATGGTACTTATTTTCATATACTGTGTATATACAAACACTACACATATACTCAGCTGTCAACATTTGTCATTCTACGCGTTAGTCCAAAATTGTGAGCAATAATTTAGTTGAAATCATTGACTCCTTTTAAAATTAACTATGAAAGATCTAATTGGGAAATCTCTTTAGCCAAATCTTCTTGAAGTATTATGGACAATAATCGTCCTTTATTATTCTTTCATTATTATAAAATCAGCTTTTATTTTTCTCAAATTACTTATTTCATAGAACTTACATGCTATATTAAACATGAGAAAATGGGCTTTCATTGTGAAAAAGTGTATATGGTCATTTTTGTAACACAGAGAGCTTTTAAGAAAAGTTCACTAAATATATTCTGGATGTTATTGGATATCTACTAAAATAAATTATTCTAAAAATAAATGCAAAGAAGAAAATATCTTTCTCTAAGTGTCTAACAGCATTCCAACATTTTATTCTGACAAAGCAAGAAAGTAAAATTTGAATGGAACAGCAAGTTTTAAACATGATAAATTGTGGTCTTTTCTTTGGAGGCATATAGGTCACTGAAGACATGGCCAAAACCTCAGAACTAGGATGACTGTTTTACGTGGTAATCAGTGAGGATCCTGGGGGATGGGAGTACCCGAGGATGCCATTGGTTCCTGTTATAATTCAGAAAAACCCAAAGAACAGTATATAAGATCCAAAACTCTTTTTTATAAGACTTTATTTTTTAGAGGAGTTTTAGGTTTACAGCAAAATTGAGAAGAAGGTACAGAGATTTCCATCCTCCCTCTGTCCCAACACTTGTATAGCCTCCTCCATTAACTATACACCCCGTCCCCAAGAGGGGTATATTTTCTACAGTTGATGAGCCTGCCTTGGCACCACACTGACACTATGGATTTTAAACTTTTTAAAGCAGGGTTTTTTTTTTTCTTTCTTTCATTATTTTATCATAGGATTACAGAGTGAATATCTTTCTTCGTCAGAAATGGAATGATCCCCGCCTCGCGTACAGTGAATATCCTGACGACTCTTTAGACCTCGACCCCTCCATGTTGGACTCCATTTGGAAACCTGATTTGTTCTTTGCCAATGAAAAGGGTGCCAACTTTCATGAAGTCACTACAGACAACAAATTGCTAAGAATTTTCAAAAATGGAAATGTTCTTTATTCAATAAGGTGAGTCGTGGACTTAAATTGCCGATTTCAGTGAAATAGAATATCATGGTGTATTGTTGGTTGGTTTGTTTGGTGAAAGTTTTGACATTTTTGAACAAGTGCTATCATTGTTGCACTTCAGTTCCTCTAATAGACTGTTTCCCAAATATGTCTGATCAATAATAACAGACCCAAGTTCCAGATTCAGGAACTATATAAGTAATTCTTGGAAATCCACTTTTTAAACAAATGTCCCTGGTGATTCTTAATATCAGCCAGGTTGTCAGGAATCTTAAAGGCAAAGTGAAAGGCAGCTGAATCATGCATTGTGATAATACTTTTATGTATATATGTCTTCTTTAAATATTTACAGGTTAAGAAATGTTTAGGTTTCTCATCTGAGATACATTCTACATAGATTATTTTTCAGGTATATGTGTTGTTTTTTAAAAATATCCTTGAGCTTCTCTGGTCATTCTTTTGCATTTTTGCCCTAACTGTTCAAGTTTCATCCTTTCTAACATGCTGCAAAGTGATGATTTGTTAATAAACTTTGAACAAGGCAGGGAAGAAAAAAAATCACTGTATTATGTGAAAATGGATGACAAAACCTTAATCACAATCCCTGGAAAAGACCTTATTTACATTTATGTTCCTAATTATTGACTTATCAGAAAAGTGTATAGCATTAAAAAAAACCCAATATTGAATAATAATTAATACCAAACAATAAACACTAATAAAAATTTTTGACAGTTGAACTCTAGGATTCACTTAACTTTGGCAGTTCATTAAATATGAAACAAATGTAGAGTCAGTAAATAGCTACTTACATGATATATTTGATGATCTTTGTCACATCTGAAAAAATCTTCTAAAATAGTGATTATTTAAAAATTTTCCATAATTGTTTTTCTAATTTAGTTTAGTTGTGAAGAACAGGACGTAAGAACAGAATTCATGTCATGTCTCTTAGAAGAGGGAGAATATGTTATACTTCTAGCAAGAGCCAAATATTTAAATACTTTTTTCACCAGTATCATGTTTTAAAAGGTATCAAGGTAGGCTTAATATTGAGGTCTTAGGCTTAAAATTAATTCATTCTGTTTTATCTCTCTCTTATCTTCTCTTTTGTAAACTTTCCTTCTCATCAGGAATGGGGGTATTTGATTTGGAGTTCATATGCCCAATATCAGGGATAAAATAGTAGGATTCTAAAATGTAATCTTAATAGCTTAGTGATTTTGAAAATGTTTTTTTCTGCAAAGTGGTTTTATAAATAATGCTTTATCCCATGTCTGCTCTTCATCTCTGCATCCCAATACATTATGTCTGCTTTTCACATTTACCTAGTTCATGAGAACAGATTTCTTTTCCATAGATTTATTGATTTCTAAAAGTGACAGGGTGACATCACTCTATTGTGAATTGACCCTTTCATCAGAATTCTGAGAAACAACTAATATGTACTAATATAATCTTAAGTGATTAACTGCTACATATGGCACAAAGGAAGATTTCAGGTTCCACCACTAATAAGCCCTATACTCCCATATGGATGAGTAAATTAATGGTGAATTCCAGGTCTATGCAAGATAATTTTGCACCTTTTAAAAAAATTACCAAAAGTCCACCCCTCCCCCAACCCCGCCCCACCACTAAATATCAAAAGATAGCAAGAATCTCACTTCGGGGAAGATGGAACAGACATACTTTTTTCTATTCTACCTGCTAAGTACAACTAAAAAACCTGGACACAGTATGTATAACAAACTTAGGGAGATGCCCAGTGGTGGATATAAGCACAGGCTGGCTGTGTACCTTGGAACCTGAGGAACAACGTGGAGGTGAATTCCCAGAATTTTCCTTTTGCTTCGTACATCCTAGACTTGAAGATGAAGAAACTGGCAACATGGCAACATCAGCAGGTACAGACAAAAATCAAAGTCCCAACAAAAGCCTAATTTCTCTAGCAAATCTAATATTCCCTAGAGGTTAGGAAAGGGGAAGCCTAGCAAGACAGAAAAGCTTTAGACAACTGCTCTACTCCAGCCCAACACCACAGGAAGAAATGCAATCCCCCTTAAGACAGCAAAGCCCAAATGGGGAGCCCAGACTTCCAGTCTTACCAGGTGGTATTGAGGTACCATCACACCTAACTCAAGATAGTGTCAGGAAAGGACAAATAATGAACTGGATTTTCATGCCCCACCATCCTATAGTGAGCTTCATACCTCACAGAGCCAGGAAGACCACATAGAAAGCCAGGAATTCCTCCCTTTCCCTGCAGAAACAAGGCATACCTTCCCTCTCTGCTGAGGTGGTTTTAGAGAAGACTTAGTGGACAGTCAATATTTTCAACATCACCTAGCAGTTCTGAGGCCACTCTCACCATAGTGTCAGTGGACATCATGCTTACACCTGGGACATCCAGCAATAAGGCGGAGCCTCTCCCCTCACAGGCCTGTATAGAGAGTGGTTAGGAAACAGACACAAGATAACACCTTCCCTTGCCTAAGCAGAGCAATGTCAGAGAAAACCAAAAAAGTTTAAATAAGAGCCAGAGTCTAATAAAATAGTATTTATATGTCTAGGCTTCAACCAAGAAACATTCATCATACAAAGAACCAGAAATCATACAAAGAACCATAAATGTTCAATAATTCTGGAAAAAGACAATCAACTGATAGCAACATCCAAATGACAAAGATGAGGCCAGGAGTGGTGGCTCACACCCTGTAATCTCAGCACTTTGGGAGGCTGAGGCAGGCAAATTGCTTGAGCCCAGGAGTTTGAGACCAGCCCAGGCAACGTGATAAAACCCTGTCTCTACAAAAAAACACAAAAATTAGCTGGGCAAGGTGGCGTTCACCTGTGTTCCCAGTGACTAGGAAGACTAAGGTGGGAGGATCTCTTGAGCCTAAGAGGCAGCGGTTGCAGTGAGCCCAGATCGCACCACTGCACTCCAGCCTGGGTAAAAAAGCAAGTCCCTGTCTCAAAAGAAAAGACAAAAATGTTAGATATCTGGCAAAGACTTTAAAGTAGCCATGATAAATTTGCTTCAGTGAGCAATTACAAATATGCTTGAAACAAATGAGAAAAATAGCCTCAGCAAAGAAATAGAAGCTACAAAGTGAAACCAAATCAAAATTTTAGACCTAAAAATACAATAATCAAAATGAAAGCTCAGTGTATGGGTGGACCAAAAAAAATGGAGAAGATGGAAAAGAGAATCAGTGAACCATAAAACAGAATAACAAAAATTACCCAATCTGAGCAACAGAGATGAATAGATTGGCCGTGGGGCCTGGGAAACAGCCTCAGGGATCTGTGAGATTACAACAAATGATCTAACATTCATGTCATCAGAGTGTCAGATAGAGGGGGAAAGGGTATGAAGCTAAAAAAAACTAGAGAAAACAATGGCTGAAATGTTAATACATTTTGCAAATGGCGTGAGCCTGCAGATTCAAGAAGTTGAGTTCCCAAACAAGATAAATCCAAAGATGTCCATATGAAGACACATAATGCATAAACTTCTGAAAACTAAATACAAATCCTGAAAGCATCCAGAAAATAGTGATATCTTATGCAGGAAAAACAATGAGAATGAGAGTAGATTTTTCTAGACGTCACTGAAGCCAGAAAGAAGCTACAAATATTTTTTTAGGTGCTGAAAGGAAGGAACTCTCATCTGAGAATCTTGTACCCAGGGAATATATCCTTCGGGAATAAAGGGGAAATCAAAACATTCTTGGATAAAGGAAAATAGAGAATTAATCACAAGTAAATCTGCCTGGAAAGTATGGTCAAAGAAGCTTTCTAAAAAAAAGAAAATGATAAAAGAAGAAGCATACGAATATCAAGAAGGAAAAAAGGACACAGGAAGCAAAAATATGAGTGAATACAATAGACTTTCCTTCTCATTTTGAGTTTCCTAAATTATATTTGACAGTTCAAGCAAAAATTATAAGACAGATGTAAGGGGAAAATGAAAGAAACAAATGAGATAACTTTTTTTATAAATGCATTGACAGAAGTTAATGAGACCGGTAAGATTTCGAGCTGTCTAATAGCCCTTCTGTGGTCACATGACTTGATGTTAACTGGGAAGAGGATTTGTCAAGATATATAAAAATATGAAACTCATTTATCCTTCAATTCAGCATTTCTATTTCTAGGAATCTAAATTACATATGTATGTGTACATAAGATATCTTTTACAAAGAGACCCACTGAAACACTGAAATAGCAACAAAAAAGGGCCTATATATGTTCACTAATAAGAACATGACTGAACACAGTAATAACCCCATATTATGAAATAACTTGCATGAGATAGACCTGAGTGTAAGCCTACATGATATATTTCAGTTCAAGAAAAATGTTTTGTATATTTTTAAGGCATATATATATATATACATATATATATACACACACACACACAAATATATATATGCATAGCTATGTATGTAAAAATATACATATATATGTCTATAGAAGAAGTTTAGACGAACCCCAAACAATTTAGAAATGAATAGGAATAGTGGAATTTGGGCAGGAATAAAGGGGAACTGTACATTTTGCTATATGTAATTTTATATTGTTTGAATTTTTCATAACAAGTTATGTATCACTTATGAATTAAACACATATATTTTAAGTTATAAAGTCTCTTAACATGAGGTCATGATTCTTCACTCCTCTGTGCTGTGGGCTCAAGAATATTATCAGGGGACCCATGACAGGGTATAAATAAAATAAATTTCATTCTTTCCTGCTAAGTTAAAAATTATTTTTGTAAAAGGTGTCATTTTATTTTTAATTATATTTTGAAGTACTGTTTCACTTCAGACAGATTTGGGGTTGCATAGGTTGCAAAAATATATCACCAGGTAGCATGGAATAGTCATTTTGCAAAGATAGAATATCTAGATTATTTATTGTAGTTGTGTGTGTTTGTATGTAACATATCTTACATGATTATCAACATGTATTTGTTTATTTTAAGTCTTATTGGAGTTGGAGAAAGTCAACACAAAGAACACACTACTGAGCTTTTAGTATTTCCCTGATCATTGAACAAAATAGAATATAAAACCTAGACTACTTTTTGTTTGAGAGGCTTCTTACTAACAATATGTCATCAAAGACAAAAGCGCTTAATTCCGTCCATCCTAAAAATTTGTCAAATAGGATAGATCTTGTTATTAAGAAGATTTCAAGATGACAGTTGTACTAAAACCCTTAACTGTGCCCATTCAAATGCATTATATTAAAGAATACTAAATTTATTATATTGAACACTTAAATAATTTAAATACAATTAATGAGATCTTGCTACTATGTCCCCTGGAAATGCTCAAGTATTTTCTGTCATAAAGTATTGGAATAAAACTGGAATTTTGTCTCTTATAAATGACATCATCCATTATGAATTGCTCACATTTCTTCTAATATTTTGAAGAAAGGTATGAAATAATTTAGAAATGCATCTTTTGTCTTTCAGTATGAATTCAAATGAAACAGATGGTCTCTCGGCTCCTAGATTTTGTTTGCTATATCCTGGCTTGCACAATCCAAAACTTAATTTTTTCTGAGTTGTTTTTGAAAATCTCACAGGACTTTGAAATCTTCAAATGCTTCATATCTTCAGTTTCTTTGTTAACAAAAATTGTGCTAGAAAAAGAAAAAATCTTGTTGAATTTACAAATGGAGCATCTGTTATGTTTCATGAGAGATCTGGCTTTCCTGCTTTTTTAAAGAAAGAAGAAGAAGGTCCTTGCAAAGACGACTAATTGAACTTACATATTTATCTGTATTTCCTCTGAAACCCCATTAAAAAAAGGAAATAAACGGAATAAAGAATAAAAATGTCGTTAACACACAGGAGGATGAAAGTAATGGGGAAAAAACAGCAACAGATGAGTGATAACATGTTTAGGAAACTTAAAAATGAATGCACTTCTGAAAACTGACTTAGACAGAGATAGTGGAAACCTACGTCAACATAGGGGAATTCAAAAGGAAGAGAATAATTAATATTTTCAAATTTTTAGAAATGTAAAGCACCTGGGACTTCAGAAAGTAGAGGCCAGAAGAGATCTAAGAGGAGTATAATTTATTTAAGCTTTGTAGGACAAGTGGACCCTCTATTCCTGATTTCCTTCCCATGCACTCAGGTTAGGGACTGCCCTTTTTACCTTTTGAACTAAGCAGGAAGCAAGAGGACAGAAAATGCTGGAGAGGCTCTTTCAAAAGCTTTAGGCATAGGGGTTTCAGGCACAACTGCTACCTGTCATGAGGCATCATACCAACAAAATAAGAATGACAGGACCCCTTGCTGGCCCTAAAATGCTGAAAGGCAGACTTAAACTTCTTCCACTGAGCAGTAGACAAGAATACAGATGATACATATAGATACAGATATAGATATAGATATAGATAGATATACAGATAGATTATACCTTATAGATACAGGTATAGGCAATATGGCTGTCCAGAGTTTCTCCAAATGCCAGAATCTGTAGATCTTTTCTCTTAGGCAAGTTAGTTTCCCTATTTGTTATATATATACACATATATACACATACACACATACACACACATATATATATACACACACATATACACACACATATGTATACACACATATACACACACATATATATACACACACATATTTTTTCATATACATCTATATGTATATATACACACACACACACATATATATACACACATATTTTTTTCCTCTTAGTTATATGGCATTTATATCTGTCTTAGATATATAGATATATATGTATCTGGAAAACTAATTTGCCTAAGAGAAAAGATCTACACATTCTGGCATTTGGAGAACCTCTGAGCAGCCATATTACTATCCTACAGTCAAGACCATTACTCAATGAGCCATCTGCTACTAACTGAGCTCCAGATAGTTTTTAGTGCCTCATTCTTAAATATATTTAAAATTTTATGAAATTTGTAACATAATTATTACTTGTTTATATATGTTATATATGTTATATATATGTGTGTATATATATGTTATATATAACAAAAAGTTATACAAGTGCTATAACAAACTACCAAGCTTAATCAGGAGCAAGAATTACATATTTATAACATGTAAACACTGAATATTAATTTAACCACAAATCTTTATATAATTCATGAATGTCACTTAAAAGTTCACACAGTTTTCACTTTGGGAAGCTGAGGTGGGAAGATCATGAGGTCAGGAGATGGAGACCATCCTAGCCAACACGGTGAAACCCCGTCTCTACTAAAAATACAAAAATTAGCTAGGCGTGGTGGCGCATGCCTGTAATCTCAGCTACTCGGGAGGCTGAGGCAGGAGAATCTCTTGAACCAGGGAGGTGGAGGTTCCAGTGTGCCAAGATCACACCACCGCACTCCAGCCCTGATGACAGAGCAAGACTCCATCTCAAAAACACACACACACACACACACACACACACACACACAAAGTTCACACAGTTCTATAAAACATATAAAAAACAGTTGTACTTTTGCCCTGCCCATCCTTACACCCAGTTCTGGCTTGTCAGAGAGGTAGCCTTTGTTTAGCTATTTGTCTACCACTCACATTCATATACTTAAGTTGCTGTAATATCATGCTTGATTTTTAAAATATTTGAAATTGTCTATTAATTCTTATAAAGGAAAACTAGAGTTTGTTTCCCTGATATGATACTCCATGTACATTTAACTCTCTACCACTGACTTTGGGAATCCACTACTTTTATAGCAAGCTGTAAGCAAGCCTTCTCTTTGAAAGATGTTCTCATCTCTCAAAATTATCAGCTGCATAAACAACCCTGGAAAATGGCTCAGATGAAAGAATGATTAGAGCTTTGCAGTCTTGGCATACAAGCTAGAGGAGGTATAGGAGCACAAGAGGATCAAGGAGAAATATATCTCCCAGCCCAGATCGAGGCTCTGCTATTGACTAGCTGTGATTTGGGTTAAGTCTCTTTACTTCTAAAAGGCTCATTTTTTCTTAGATACATGGCAGTGACAATACTAATTACCTTGAGCCTGAAATAATGTATTAAAATACATTAAATAAAGCACCCAGCATAGTGCCAGACATACAATAGGCACTAAAGTTGTTATTTTTACCTTTAAAGAAAAGTATACGTTCTGTTTTTTTACAGAATCCATAAACCTGTACTGCATGGACTCTTGAGTTATTAAGATGTCTCAGCCTCAGTTTTGTCACTTGTAAAAAGAGGATAGTAATATCTTTACCACAGAATAATGGAATCCCATCATAGGCAGTTAAATATGATATACTTTCTTACTTTACTAATATTACTAAGAAACCCAACTTTTCTACTCGTAGTACAGAGGCATTCTTGCATTAAAAATCAGATCACGGGAAGAAATTTTATGTTAAAGATGCTATGCATAGCAACTTGACAAAGATCATGATATAATTTTAATTTTTATTTAAGCTAAATATAATCACTCTGTGAAATTTGTGAAAATAACTAAAGTTTACTTGTATGAGAATATGTATTTTTAACATTGATAGCCATTAATTTTTAAATAAGAAAGCAAACTTATTTTGACAGTTGCTTTTTTAAGTGCTGTTTATTCAAGGGTAATCAATTTACAATGCTATAAAATGCATGTCGTAAGAAGAATTTGGCATACATTTAATTGTGTATGTTTTTCTTAAGCGGTCCATAGCTTCATAAAGAAACCATCAACAATAATGAGATTGCTTTGGTAATGGGTTGCTGAGTTAATGATTGTCTCTATGATCAGATGACAATTAAGCTCCAGAAGTAGGTTACAGAAGCTCATTCTAATCTCCCTTCTAGTGCTCCAGCAATCTAATCTCTCCTAAGAGTGATTTACCCCTTAGAAAATCATTCATAATCATATACCAAATCATTCAAATATATCAAATCTCTGGGGAAATTCCTTATATTTTCTACAGTTTAACTACATTTCTCTGATTTCTTTTGGAAGAATTATTTATGTAGGTTTTTATAAAAATTATTTATGCATGTTTTACTTTAAATTTCACTATAATATAACTATAATTTCACTATAAATAACTGATATGTGCATGCAATATATCATTTCTTGTATTATAAGAAATACATAATTTAAAATGTCATATTAATTACAGAACCCATTTTCATGAAAAATGCTTCAATGCTTTTGAGAGGCAGTATACTTAAAGGTTAAAAGCACGAGGCCGGGCGCGGTGGCTCACGCCTGTAATCCCAGCACTTTGGGAGGCCGAGGCGGGCGGATCACGAGGTCAGGAGATCGAGACCATCCTGGCTAACACGGTGAAACCCCGTCTCTACTAAAAATACAAAAAATTAGCCGGGCGAGGTGGCGGGCGCCTGTAGTCCCAGCTACTCGGGAGGCTGAGGCAGGAGAATGGGGTGAACCCCAGGGGGCGGAGCCTGCAGTGAGCCGAGATTGCGCCACTGCACTCCAGCCTGGGCGACAGCGAGACTCCGTCTCAAAAAAAAAAAAAAAAAAAAAAAGCACGAAATCTAGAACTAGAACCCCAGGGCTGCAAATTCAGCTGTAGCAATTTTTGCTGTGTAATGTCAGGTGAGTTACTTAACCTCTAAGTTTCCTCATCTCTAAAACAGGGTGATATCATTTACCTATTCTTGTAAATTTGTAGTACGGAGTAAATGAGTTAACATACACAAAGTGTTTAAAATACTGCCTACTGCACAGTAAACATTGTCTAATAGATGTGTTAGCTAATATGATATTACAGATAATATAGATTAAAACTGATTAAATTGCTAATTGAAGCCATTGTTTTTAAGACACCAAATAGAGAAATATTAGGATCTAATAAAAATACTCATTTATATACAAAGTCTATAATAGAGTCAGCAAACATTTTTTAATTCAACTAGTGGTTGAGATAGACACATGAAACAATGCTTGTACAAAAGTGGTCAATAATTGAATTTTAATGAGGTCAATTGTTTGTCACAAATTATTATCAGCTTTTTAAACATTACTGTTTCACTAAGTACTAATGTTAAAAGTCTTTCCCAAGACTTCTTAAAGGAAAAGAAGAAACGCCATATCCTGTTTATGTATCTTGTCTCAGAAAGAGAACTTAGTGTCTCTCTTACACAAGTAAACATTTATTTCCAAAACAGTAGAATGTGATTAATTGCCTCTTGATTTAATTTTCTTTTGATGTGGTCAAGACATGTCTTTAATTTATATGTAGTGTTTTGACAAAGAAATTCAGTATCAAACCCACCAAGTTGACACGTATTTTTCAGTATGCTGTGAAAGGAGCAATTGTATTGTACCTTAAACAAAAAGAAAGAAAAGTCGATGAATAGATTTTTTCAGGATATGATTTATGACCGAAGTCCTACAAACTGTGTTTTTCTTTGCCAAATAATTCCTTTCAAGTGCTATTTTTTTAGAATTATGTAATGTCTCTTTTTTTATGCCAGAAAAATAGCCAGGATATGAATTTGACATCACATGCATGGTGAGAGCATGGAAAAGATTCTGAGAATGCTATTTACTTCCAAACAAAAGGTCACAGAATTAATTCTGCAAGTCAACATTTGAAACTGGCTGTCTGAGAGCCTTGGATATTTGGAAAATTAATGTGTGTACATTCAAAATATATGTGTGCATACACTTCTAATAAGCCCTTTCACAAGGCAAAAAACATTGTGTCTACCTAATTTTAAAATTGCCTTTTTAAGAGAGAACTTTGTAAAATTACACAATCATACTTAACCTAGCTGAGCCAGGAGAAAAATTCCTTTTGAATGTTGAACTCCATGAATTATTCTAGTGTGTTATGGACTCTGACTCGAATGAATTACCAGATTATCCTCCTAAGACTCTTAAAATTCAGCAGCTTCACTGTCTCTCCATTTATGTGTCCCAAATTATGTTAATTGGACCTAACTCACCAAGCATACTCTCTGTAGACTATACATCATTCTAACTTTATGTCTATGGTCTACATAAAAATGTCAGCTTGACGAATGTGGTTATATTTAGTAGAGCTGCAGACTATTTTTTGTTAAAGCTTAAATAGTTCTTTTTTATTCCTTTCTTCTTTCTTTTTCCTTCCTTCCTTTCCTTCTTTCTTTCCTCCCTCCTTTCTTTGTTTCTTTGTTTCTTCTTTCTTTCCTTCTTTCTTTTTCTTTCTTTCTCTCTCTTTCTCTCTCTCTCTCTCCCTCCCTCCCTCCCTTCCTTCCTGCATGCCTTCCTTTCTTTTTTTTTTTTTTAAGAGACAAGATCTTGCTCTGTCACCCAGGCTATAGTTCAGCAGTGTGAGCCTAGCTCACTGCAGTCTCGACCTCCTGGGCTCAAGCCATACTCTCACCTCAGCTTCCTGAGTAGCCAGGATTACAGGTGCACAAGCCATACCTGGCTAATTTAAAATATATATATATATATATTTGTAGAGATAGAGTATTTTTATGTTGCCCAGGATGATCACAAACTACTGGGCTCAAGCGATCCTCTCTTCTTAGCCTCCCAAAGCGCTGGAATTACAGGCGTAAGACACCACGCCTGGCTAAATAGTTCTTAATATGTAATTTAATTTAGTCATCTTTGTGCCCACACTATAGAATTTGGCAGATGAGTAAATGAAGGAGTCTAGGAGTGGCTGAATATACTAATAATCACTAACAACCACTGTTTGTTGAGTGTTTGCTATGGCTTAAGCACTTGTCTAAGCACTTATGTGTGTTAACGCATGTACTGCTCATAGCAACTCTCTGGAGTAGGTACTATTGTTATCTTCATTTTAAAGATGAGAAAACTGCAATATAGGGGATTTGAAGTAATCTGCCTAGGGTCACGAAGTTTAAGTAAACTAATCCACCTAGGGTGCTCATGAAGACACTGAATTTCAATGGGAATATTCTCAGTGCAAGAGGCTTGCTAAAGAGTTCTCAGAAAAGAACTTCATTTGAATAAACTTGAGTGGATCTCACCATCTCTTCCTCAGGTGTAGGAACCAGAAAAACTACCCTGAAGAGATCTGGGTAGAATGCTTTTCCAGCAAAAAGTATTCAAAGGTGATGAATTTTCTGGAATGTCAACATACTAATTCTCTCTGGAAGTTGGAGGAGAGCCTTTCCAATGAGCGGAATACTGGTATACAGCATCTAGGTTATCCTTTGTGTGAAGCCAAATCAGAAGTTTGTTTGATGAGCATAGAATCAGATCATGAATATTCTAGAGGGCTATTTCCTGACCCTGATGATTCCCTTATCCCACACCGGGGAACATGAGGCCGAACTTTTCAAGTCCTCCAGATTCACTTTACTAAATACACTGCTGAATGTTCACTGACAACATCAGGGTCGTTAGAATGATGACTGAACGTTACATATGATTGCTCCTCTCCACCCTGCTTTTCCACGTTTAGAACTCTAATGCCTCTGGAATATAGCATGTGATTTGCAAGGAAAGATACCTTTTGACGTTTGGCATTAATTTTATAGGATCCACTCTTGAATTTCTCTTTTGAGGATGTCGTCTTGGAATACAGACATTTTCTAGACATCCACAGCCCTTTCTAATTGAATAAATAAACATATAGATATATAAATATGACGGGATGCTTATATTTAGGTTAGTGCAAAAGTAATTGCTGTTTTGCCAGCACTTTTAATGGCAAAACCCACGATTACTTTAGCACCAGCCTAAGATATGCAATTATCCAACCCCCAGCCCACCAAAGCCAGATTTGTATATAAGGGCATAGCTATTTTATAGTAAGTAGGATACATAAGCTGGAGAAATTTTTACTTAAATCTGAGTTAGTCACCAGCAAAGCAACATTGTTTCTCCTGTACAATAGAATATTAATATAATGTCATAAATTTCCTTTAAAAATAATTACTTTGACTTTCAGATTAACATTAACACTTTCCTGTCCAATGGATCTCAAGAATTTTCCCATGGATGTACAAACATGTATAATGCAACTGGAAAGCTGTAAGTATGAACCACTTACTTTTTAAAATACTTTTACATTATAGTAGATACAAGCTTTTAATGCCTAATATGGATAATTTATTTTGTAATCATTTTGGTCACATATTTACTGAATAGGCATGTAACCTTTCACCAGGTACTGAAAATAATGATACCTATCAACACATGCACTCCACACTATGAGAAAGAAACAAATTGAGGATCTAAAAATAACAGATTTTCAAAGCTTGATATTTAGATATGTGTTTCCATACACATCATCAGAAGTGAAAAGGATGGTAATCATTAAAAACAAACTATCACTTATTTATTGGGAGCCTCTTCTCAACGAAGTGTCTATATATATTTTTTCTTATACTGACAACAAAGATATTGTTATCCCTACGTTTTCAAATGTGAAAGTGGTCATGTTGAATGGTTGAGTATTCGGCTCCAACTCACAAAGGTGACAGTGACAAACTGCCTCCAAACCTATGCTGCTTCAGATAAGCAATGTTTATTATTTTAATATCACTCTGCTGGGTATGTTATGTATGTTAGCTCAGAAGAAAAAATGTCTCACACTTTCTCACAGATTTATTCAAGCTTTCAGGTATTCCTCTACATTTCTTCTTTCAAAGTAGACCCATATGCCTCACTGATCAACGTTAACACAGATGAACATTTCACATCCTACCCTTTCTCTGATCTATATAATTAGTCCTAAATTAATTGTTTACAGTGTTTAATCTCATATAAAAATTAAGCAATATGCAATATTTTACCTTATGACAGTATGTTATCCGAGGGGGAATAAAAGGACTGTTTGACACATTCCTTGAGGAAAATTTGAAGGCCGAGCCTCAGACTCCAGGTGTCAAAGACAAGGCTTGTAGTGTGATGGAGCTGTCACTAGATGGCAGACCAACTTTGTGGGGCAACGTGACTATACCCCTCCCTCTCCTGTTTGGTTTTTCTTAAGAAGTGGAAATATCAATTTCTCTGATAACTCCTCCTTGGAAAATTTAAATTGATTACTTTTATAAGTAGTTCTTAAATAATTAGCATACATATGGATAAAGTACTAACGTAAATGAGAGGAAATAAAATAAATTAAAATTTGGGGGGCTACTTAGCAATCAATCTACATGGGGAGAAGCAGCAGACCTGATTTTGAAATTGAAGAAGGGCAATTTGAGGACAGGCTGATTGTATATCTTGGTTGAAAAATTAAGTACATTTAGGGCAAAGAGTTTAAAATGTGCGGGACCCTCTAAGTGGCACCCTAAAATGGTTCAACATATAAGGGGCAAGAAAATTGTTTGGTCCTTGCTGTACCTCTTAAAGATTATTTTAGTTAAATGAACCAAGATTGTTTAAGAAGTTTTCATAATTTTCCAGAAAAAGAACAGAAAGTAGGACAAAGAGCAATTATGTGGAAGGTAGAAACAGGAGAGGCTGATTCGCAGTGGTTGTGAAGTCACTGAATGCCTGTGTGTCAGAGAGAAATAGCTTAGATAAACGGATCAGATTAGAAGCATTGATGAAGAAAGGGAACAGGGGATGAGAAGCAAATGTTGATGGGACAATTGATAAAATCCATCTTAATATGTTTGAGGTCTGGGAAATTTAGGTCTAAAGCCAAAGAGGGAGTGAAAAGTGAAGATCAACTATTAAAAGCCATATACAGAGTGGTTCAAGAATCAGATGAAATAGCTGAAGAGGCGAATGTAGAGAGGAAATAAAACACAAACAAGAACAGACGCTTAAGAAATGCCTACATTTAGAAGTTGTTGGAAAAAATTCCAGACAAAGGCAAAGATGGCAAATTAAAATCAACACGATTCAACCTCGAAAGAGAAAGGACTGTGAAGGAGTTCTGTGTAACAAAATCAAATGCTGCAAAGAAAGTTTTGTAAGGTACTTGAAAAAAGCAATTGTTATTGTTAACGAAGACAAATGTGATTAGAATAATGATGGTCAAAGCTGGAATCTAAAAAGGTTTTTTGTTTTTAGGTGAGTGATGAGGAAGTGGGAGCAGCAAGTGAAATCGTTTATTCCAAGAATGTTAGTTATTAAAGAAAGATGAGAAAAAGTACAGTGCCTGAGGGTTGGTTAGATCACTGGGCTTATGTTTTGAATAAGGAAAGCTTACTGGGGCTATTTTGCAGGACACAAAAGCTGACATAGTAAGACCTCCCATGTGTCTGCCTTTCTCAGAACATTTCTCAACATGAGAAAAGAGAGCCTCTTTTCTTTCCCCTTTGTTTCTTAATTCCTCTATAAGAAATATGAGTGGATTGTTCAAGGGGTTCTTTAATATTTCAGTCATTAAGCACTTCCTGCTCTCTTATTAGGAATTAATTTTAATTTAGCTAACCATAGAGACTTTGTTTATTAAACCTCTGTGGCAGATGCTAATGTCAGTCAAAGTAGAAGCTTCTGAAGTCAAGTTCTTCAAGGCGTTTTTTTCTTAAAACTTTTTTAGGACAATTACATATACATACACACACTCACATGTAATATACTATATAATATATACATATATTAAGAAATGCCTACATTTCTGTGTATATATACATATGTGTGTATATATATGCATATATGTGTGTGTATATATATACTCATACATACAAATCTACATATATATGTGTGTATATATGCATGTTTTAAGAACAATTTGTATCTATTTTTTTCTTTTCTCCTTAAATAGTGGTTTAAAATGACAAGATAAAAGATTGTAAATCGGTGGAACCCACTGGAAAGTAGGCAAAAAGAGTTTAACCTACTGGAAAGCAAGAGCTGTCAGAATCCCAGGGTCCACTTTTGAATGAAATCTGACTGCAGAAAGGAAGAAAAGAAAATGTTCAATAATATTAAGACGTGGGAAGTAGGCAAAAAGGAAACATAATTTAAAAGCAAACACTTTAATGGCTTGCAATGGTACAACTTCCTTAAATTCAGTAAAAGTTCAATAAATATATGTCAATGGTCAAAACTGTTCCAAGTGGCCTGAGAAATATTCTTTCATTTAGGCATCAATTGAAAAATATTTATCAAATACCTAATATATTCCACATATTATGTTGGGTGGTATAACAATAAATAAAGCAAAAAAGTCTCTGTTTCAAGAATTTCAGAGGCTACCTGAAATATAATGATAAAAATTATATTTATGCCAATATAATAATTCAATTAAAGATGATAAGCAAATCTTAATGGTATACTGTTAAAACAAAGGAGAAAGTGAATAAGAGAAGAACAAAATTAACAATGAATAACTAACTTAGAAAAGACTACTTTGTCTAAACTATCAATGATCCTATGCCCTCAAAAGTGTACATTTATGACTTATAATTGAAACCATGGATGATACAAAATTCCTAGTTAGAGGAAAAGAAATTATTGGGGAAGAGGCTTATGCAAGGAAAATCCAGGGTAAGAGAAGACTTGCATTAGAAATTGATGAGAAAAAAAAAGTATGAGTTAAGGATAATATCAAAGAATAAAAATAGAATAAAAGGGTTAAATTCATGTAGAAAAAAAGAGATTCTCAAACTAGATGTTAACAAATATTAAGACCCAACAATATGTTGACAACTAGACACTTTCTAAGAATACCACACAAAAAAATTTGGTAAAGAAAAATGAAAAAATGTATATCTGAGAAATGTACCTTGAAAAAGTCCAGAATAATTTTAACCAGAAAAAAATTAATGGCAGAAAAAAATTATGAGGCACAAACACTTGAGTGGCATGCTGGTAAAAAATCAATATGCCGTGGCTCACGCCTTTAATCCCAGCATTTTAGGAGGCTGAGGCAGGTGGATCACTTGAGGTCAGGTGTTTGAGACCAGCCTAGCCAATATAGTGAAACCCCATCTCTACTAAAAATACAAAAATTAGCCAGGCGTGGTGGCACTTGCCTGTAGTCCCAGCTGCTCGGGTGGCTGAGGCTGGAGAATCGCTTGAACCCGGGAGGTGGGGGTTGCAGTGAGCCAAGATGGTGCCACTGCACTCAGCATGGGCGACAGAGTGAGACTCTCTCTAAAAAAAAAAAAAATATATATATATATATAATTAGGAAAATCTAAGTATGTAACCATATAACTTCTAAATATAATAAGCAAAAGCAGGATGAACTGCATAAAAAACAGATAAATCAACAATTTACTGGATTGTACAAGCACAGTATATTTGAACAAAACAAATCATAGAGAGAGAGAATTTTTATTCTTTGTTAAATTTTGTTTTCAGCATATGGAAACATTTATTTATGTTATACACCACCAAGGAAGTTTCAGTAACCTCTTATGAATCAACATGTTATAAAATGTGATTTCTAACTAAAATGCAATAAAATTAGAAACCAATAACAATATAGAATTACTGTAAGTTGCTACAAATTCCCATACATTATTATATATTAATATACACTTGTATAACTGGAATGAAAAACAAATACTAAATGACTATTTGATTAAAGTGAAAATTAAGAAAAACTTGATGTTAAGTTACAATGAAAGCACAATATATCAAAATTTCTAGATACAAATAAGCCAGGTTTTTTTAATAAAAATGATTTCACTAAGCATTCTATTCAAAAAGACCAAAAAGACACAATAGAGTGTCCAAAGAATCACAAAAACCCCTAAACCTGGTGCTTTGAAAAATCTCAGAACCTAGACACATCCCTGGAGAAATTATTTAAAGAAAAAAAAATTAGGTTGATTGAATATCAAAAATACAGAATGAAGAAATAGAAATAATCGTAGTATGCCAGCTTAAAAGCAATGAAAGAAAATCCTGAGCAATTCTATCTTTTTCAGTCATAGTTATGGAAAGGAAACTCAGCCAAAACCTTTATTTGAAAACAAGAAGGAAGACTGGGGGAAAAACGTCCGCGTAAAGAGCTAACTTTGTTATAAATTAATGAGAATTTCCAAGAGCGGAGACAATAATGATAGGAACAACAACAAACATTTTGAAAACCTGTTCAAATATTTGCTATATAAAAAGAAGAATTATGCATAAAGATGATTTCCTCAAGTTTCCTCTCAATCGGGAGAACTGGATATTTAGCTTTGTTTACATTAATCTGAAAAAAGAAGGTGATTCATGGAAAAAGTAGATCAGAGCTGATGTCTGCTTAACTGTGCTGTGTTTTTTGTGAAAATTTTTGTTCAACTAAAAATTTACTTTGAGTTATGGGAAATTTTAGGATAGAGCTTGAATTAGGAATGTTTGTACAAATATAGAGACACAACCTTAGAAGTACTGCTTATTGAGACATGGATAAGCATGCAGACATGAAAATCAATGAAATTTCTGGAGATAGCATAGAAAACGACCACCAAAAGAGAGCCAGAGAAAGACAGCATCATCAAGTTTTAGAAAAACTGGAAGAAGTGAAACAGAGAAAGACAATAAGGAACTCTTTGTGATATTTTAACAATATGTTTCCTAGAGGCTATTTGGAAAATATGATTAATCTAGTTTATTCATGGAGGGTAGACTCATTAAAGGTAAAAAAAAAAAAAAGAAAATCAACATTATGTTTTCTTCAATATTTAGGTATAAAAATGTATTAGCTGCAACACAAGTGGTATTTATCATAGTGTTTCACTCTGCTGCCATTTAAAAATCAAAATAAAATAACTGCACTAAAGTTGAATCTTTACTGTTACAGTAATTTAGAATGCTAACTCATCACTGAGAATTCCACTGAAGTCAAAGGAAAAAATGTGGCCCCGTTTATATGTTCCAAGTTCGGATGTTTCCCTTATCAAATTATAAAGGCCTCTCTGGGAATGTGCTTATTCCTCAAATCTCAACAGAGTTTCATGTAACTGCTTGTATAAAAGCCAGAAGTTCAACATACTGTTTATTCCTCTGATCTAGAACATACTTAATTCAACTTCATTCTGGGATAAATACTATAAATGTTTGCTTTTAGGTATGAAGAAAACGTGTTGCTTTCATTTATTTTCTCTCTTTTTAATACTCATTTTTCACTCTCAAAGTCGGTAAGAAGACACAGGCCAGTTCCCATGACAATATGCATATCCAAAATTCACACTTTATTCTCAAAATTCATATTTTATTAGGAGAAACCTAAGAAAGTAACAATAAAAATATCAAACCATACATACCACACAGAGAATTCTGCAATGAAGACTTGTTTTTCACTAACTGTTTTAAATTTGAGCCCCAATTTTTATGTGCAGTTCTTGATTGTAATAAATGAAACTGAGGAAAGTTCCTAGTGAAGACAAACTACTAAAGTGATCACTGGCCTTCCTTCTCAGGATTAGATTGCATTAGTTTACTGATTACTTATCAGATGCCATTACCTGAATTTTTTAAAGCTGTTTGAAGCGCTAGCAACATGAGGTAATTTTCAACGGATACGTTTTCATTTATATCACAATTTATAAATACATTTTTACATAAATGCAATTATAATTATTTTATTTGACGCAAAAGAAATAACTAATATAGAATGATATAGAAGAGAAAGAGGTACAACTACCTATATTAAGATCTAGACTATGCCCCTAAGGAATGCTTGATGGAAGTTGATGTACAGGGCTAGAGGCAGGAAAAAAACTCAAAACTGAATTTTCAGTTTTTTATTTACATTAAAAGGAAAATTCCTAACTGTTTTTTTTTTTAATTTGCTAGTTGAAAAAAAAAAGCCAGGAAGGATTTTTTTAATCATGGAAAAACATTGGATAATAATTTCTTAGAATCAGAATAATAGTTAACAGGCATTGATGACACATGGTGCATAAACTATTACTACTTCCATAAAGGGTCTAATTCTGTAGTTCATATCTAAAGAGGAATGTATTGCACTGCAGCCCGGGCAACAAGAGCGAAACTCCATCTCAAAAAAAAAAAAAAAGAGTAAAAGTTAAAATATTATTTAGATTTGAAAAGACAATATAAGAAAATGACTCAGTGAAGAAGTATTGTCTGCCAAAAAGAACAGCCTAAATCTCGAAAATTACAGGGTAATTGTTAAGGGCCAACTTGAAAAAAAAAATTAACAAAAGCTTTAAGAAACTTGATATATACTTTAGTAGTATTGTTGGATAGAAATATATAAAGATAGAATACACTTTAATGGGGTTTTGGGATAGAAATTTCTAAAGAGAGATGAGAGGATTTTATGATTTAATTTCTCAGATTCATTTAAAAACCAGGTTTGACATTACTCAGACCGCTTACTCTGGAATTTATGCTAAATTAGCTAAGGCAAAAGATAAGATTTGGTGATGATTTTTTGCAATTATTTTATAATAGTCTCTACTCTTATCCAAGCTCTTTCATAATTTAAAAGTTTGGATACTGTTCAAAATAATATTATGTTTTTTGTTTGCCTAGTGAGAAATACAGATGGTTCTTGTTTGCTGAGTATTTGTTGCTTAAACCTCTGCAGTTACAGTGTTAGCTAGAAAACAGAAGTCCTCCCAAGACAAAACTATACAGTAATGAACTCGCTACTTATAAAATAAATCTCCACTTAAACATTAAGTATTCCATCCTATGCAACACCAATGGCCATTCTCTTCTAGTCTGTCCACATCTTTCTAGGTTGAATTTTTACTGATCATCAGGTATTCTAAGCATATTGACTACAGTCAGTCATATGGTCAAATTATGCTTCGAGAAGTGAAGTGACTTTCCCAAGGTCACACAACTGTGAAGTGGACAGAGAAAACGATATGATTTAATAGCTCACAAACTTTTCATACAACCATTGGTCATTTTAAAATCTATGTGATGATTTCCAAATATTTATAAATTGTAATTGTGGTATCCTTAAATTATCTCTGCAAGTTAAACACACCCAGTAATTTCATTCGTTTTCTCATATGAAAAGACTTAGAGTTCCCTCCTTTGCCTATTTCCCTTCCCCTAGACGTCTTTCCATGTATTAAAATTGGCCTAAACCGAGACTGCAGAGTAGGGCTTCCCCCCCGTGACAGTGCCAATCATTCTGTTACTATTGCAGTTTCAGATGACACATACATTAGAGATAGCTGCAAAACAGTCTTGACTCAGAACACATCTACAGTCATCTGAGTACTACAACTAAGTTCTATGTCCCCCATCCATGTTTACTAAATTGGTTCACTGGAATAAATACAAAGTACTTTACCTTTTTTCTAGTTAAAGATCATCTTACTAGTTTTAGTCCATAATTCTACTTTGATGATCCATGTCTCTGCTGGTTAATCATCCAGAGAATTGAACAATATATCATTATACACTCCCAGAAGGACAGGACTGAAAACCTTGCAACAGTGCACTACAGGTATTTGTCTTGATTTATTACTACTGAAAAAAATCAACAATTGCTTTTTCAATCAGCTATAAATTACTTAAATGGATATCCATTTCAAAATTTTGAAATCCTTGCTTATAAGAATAACATTAGAATTCATCAGATATCTTGCTGAGAACACTATAGTATCCCTTAATATTCTAGCATAGTTGGTAATAAGATTATAATATGATATCAATGTAGCATGGCTTTTCCTTTATGACCCTAATTCTGGCTCCTACTGACCACAGCTTCCTGCTCTACCTGTTCACAGATATAATCTTAACTATTCTGGAATTGTATGGATTTGGTGTTACGCTCCTTTAAAATTCACAGAATCTACCTGTTAATAAACTTGAAAATATTCTCAACATTAGTCTCTTAGCAGCTTTGTAAAATTCTTTATCACCCCTTTGAGATTCCATATAGCATCAGCAATCTCATCTGCAAACATCTTCATGCTCTGGAATTTTATTTTCCTTCGGAGAAAAGATACAGATAAAAAGTTTATCTTTCTCTTGTCCTGCTCAAGCAGGGTTCCTATTTCTTTCTATTCTTATAGAACCCGAGGATCCCTTTTTTGTTTGCATTTTCAACTTCAATATGGATGAAATTAAATGTATAGCCTGAATACATCAAGAAAATATTTATTGTTACTTTTGGTTTCAATGTTGTGTTTGGCTTATCATTTACCTCCTTTACTTCACTTTTGTATACTTTTTCAGTTGTTACAAAGATGTTTGATGTCAAATGAAATGCTTATCTATTTATTTCAACATTGTGCTTTTGTGGTTATTAATGATGGGGTTACCATAATCCTTATGTCAGATAAAACTGTGCTCTTCTCTCTGCCTAAAATGTGTTTCCTGAAGATTTATCGATAGCTTGACCCATCGGATCATTCCGCCAGGCCATTTCTGAACATTTTTTTTTTCTTTTTTTTTTCTGAGACGGAGTCTCGCCCTTTCGCCCAGGCTGGAGTGCAGTGGCGTGAACTCGGCTCACTGCAAGCTCTGCCTCCCGGGTTCACGCCATTCTCCTGTCTCAGCCTCCCGAGTAGCTGGGACTACAGGTGCCCGCCACCACGCCCGGCTAATTTTTTGTATTTTTTAGTAGAGACGGGGTTTCACCATGTTACACAGGATGGTCTGGATTCCTGACCTTGTGATCCACCCACCTTGGCCTCCCAAAGTGTGATAATCTTTTCTTAAGTTAGCTCTCTTCTCCCCAGTTGCTTCCTATCCCATTAAATTATAAATTTATTTCAAAATACATATCACCATCTGAAATGATTATTTTATTTCTGATAACGTTTGTATTGCCCTCCCCACCCCCACCCCACTACATGCAAGTTCCATGTAGACGGGGAAAATGTCTCTCATTTCTCACTTGTTATCACTAGAAATTCTAGCAAAAATTAAGACAGTGATCTCTTTGTTTCTCTTAACGACAGTCAATAATTTGGTCATATTTTTTACAGTGCAGTTAATATAGCCCACTTGTAGCCATATTTCACCCAAAGATCCATTAAAGAAAACATCAAGTTGGTTGTCCGGAATGACTCCCCTCTTCTCTTACATAACTGAAAAGACTATTGGAGGCTAATTCATTGTATTTACCCAGGTTCTACTTTCAACTCATGTCATGATACCACAAGGTCTTCTGCACACTGTGCATCCCTCTTTTATTTCCTCCCCCAGAAATTCATCAGTCTTTTCTTCTTTTATTTTTTAATTGTGGTAAAATCCATGTCTTAGTCTGTATTGTGCTGCTATGACACAATACCACAGATTAGGTCATTTTTAATGGATAGAAATGTATTGGCTCACAGTTCTGGAGGCTGGAAAATCCAAAATGAAGCTGCCAGCATCTGCTAGGGCGTTTTCATTGCATCACCCCACAGAAGACAGAAGGGCCCGGCACAAAAAGGGGCTGAAACCACCCTTTTATAATGGCAGTAATTCCACCTATGAGGGTAGAGACCTCATGACCCAATCTCCTGTTAAAGGTCTCGCCTCTTAACTCTGCTACAATTGCAACCGAATTTAAACATGAGTTATGAAGGGACAAACATTCAAAGTATAACAATATACAAACAAAATGTACCATCTTAACCATTTTCAAGCATTCGGTTCAGTAGTATTTGGTATCTTCACAATGTTGTACAAGCAATCTCCCAAACTATTTCATCTTGCAAAACTGAACTCTACATTCATTAAACAACTCTCCATTTCCCCCTTCCTCTTGCCACTGAGAACCACCATTCCACATTTTGCTTATATGAGTTTAGCTACTCTAAATTCATATATAAGTAGATTCATACAGTATTTGTCTTTGTGTGACTGGCTTATTTCACTTAACAAAGTTCTCAAAGTTTATCTATGTTATAGTATATGTCAGGATTTTCTTCCTTTTTAAGTTTGAATAATGTTCCATTGTATGTATATAATATTTTATTTCTCCATTCATCCATTGATGGAAATGGGTTACTTTCATATTTTGGCTATAGTGAGTAATGCTGCTATGAACACGAATGTCAAATACCTTTTTGAGACCCTGCTTTGAATTCTTTTGGACATATATCCAGAGGTAAAATTGCTAGATAATATGGTCATTCATTTTTAATTATTTAAAAAGCAGCCATATTTTTTATAGCAGCTGCACCATCTTATACTCCACCAGCAGTACACTAGAGTTCCAATTTCTTTACACCCTTGCCAACACTTGTTAGGATGTGTGATTCAGATAGTAGCCATCTTCTTTGTGTGAGAATCAGTAGACTTTTTAGAACACCCTAGATCACCTGTAATTTAAAGCATTTTATTTCTGTGATCCTGCCATTTGCTGCTATTCTTTACTACTCAGAGCTGTCACCATTTTTTGTATATAGGGTCTGACTCTGTTGCCCGCGCTGGAGTGCAGTGGTGTGACCTCAGCTCACTGCAACCTCCACCTCCAGGCTCAAGCGATCCTCCCACCTCAGCTTCCCAAGTAGCTGGGACTACAGACATACACCACTACATCTGGCTAATTTTTGTATTTTTGATAGAGATGGGGTTTTGCCATGTTGCCCAGGTTGGTCTCGAACACTTGATCTCAAGTGATCCAACCACCTCAGCACCCCCAAAAAATGGGATTACATGCCTGTGCCACCGTGCCCAGCCTCTTTCATCCTTAATTAATTCTCAAAATAATCTGTTCCTTCAACCCTCATATCCCTTCAATTCCCCTAAATCAAATGGCCTTTCCAGATAATGCTTTTTCAAAACTTTGGTAGCATATCCCCAAACAGGACCCTGGTGTTCAATCTCAACAATCCCTTAAATTATGCAGTGCATTGGCTGCTACCTGCATAAAAGGAGGAATTCAGAAAACATACCCTTCAGTCTTTCACTGAGAAACTATATAAGTTATATAAATCCGCTCATTTTCAGAGGCTCAGTTTTCTATTTTATAAGATAAGTGAGCGGCATTAGATGACAGCAAAAGTCATCTCAACTCTAGGATTCCATAAATTCTTTAAACATAGAAGACCACAAATCTGTGAATTAGGAACATAGCATTGGAAAACCATGGAATATCTGTAAAAAGGATCAAGAGGAAAACAAAACCTAATAAGTAAACAAAAACAGTGTGAATTATATGTAGTGAGGATCAAGAGGGAAGCCAGCCAAACTAGAAAACAGGAAAATGGAAATAATAAATAATAGTTTGTCAATAAAAATTTAGAGAAAATAATCTATTTTTTGAAAAGGTACACAGAGTGTGATTCAAGCATTTACATTAATAAATGAGTGAGGTGGACTTTAGGAGTGTTTTGATACCATACTGAGATCAAAGCCCAGGAGCTGTGAATCATGAAGGCAATGGCTCCACTGCTTCCTTTATACTTTTACCTCTAGGGCAGCCAAGTTCATAGATCCTCACCAGTGGATTCTTCATTGTTTGTATGACAAATGTTCCACTCTCAATCCAGAGGATTTGAAGTTTCTAAGGCATTTGAAGAATGCCAAATCAAATTTCTGAGCTCTCAGAAGTTCCAAGTAGCCTGTTTCTTCACAACATAGCCCACTTATAGTCCCCAGTTCCTGGCAATTTGTTGATTTCTCTGAGTTCTGCTATCAGGAAAATCTACATGCAGATTTGCAAAAAGCAAAACCTTGCCCAAGTGTTAGCACTGGGCGTGAGTAAGGGAGATTCATACCACTTCCAGTCACCAGGCCTGCTAAAGAACTGTTGATTAGAAATTGTAATTATAATGTGTAACTCATTAAATGTGAGGGTTCACTATAGTATGTCCTTTATATATGAATATGATTCAAATATACCATCAATAGAATTTAAAATATTTTCTAAAGAAGCATGAGGCTCACTTGAGGCCAGGAGTTTGAGACTAGTCTGGGAAACATAGTGAGACCATGTATCTACAAAAAATTAAAAAATTATCCAGGTGTGATGATGCATGCCTGCAGTCCTAGCTATTCAGGAGGCTGAGGTGAAAGGACCACTTGAGCCCAGGACTTCAAGGTTGCAGTGAGCTATGATCACGGCACTGCACCCCAGCCTGGGCAACAGAGCAAGACTCTGTCTCAAAAAATAAAAATATTTCTAGGAATGGTGATTTTTTTTTTCTAACTCACCAATAGTATCACAAATTTTCCCAACACAGCTGTTTTAAAACTGAGGGAATATATTTGAATATAGGGATACCTTAGAGCTATTGCTGGTTCAGTTCCAGACTATGACAGTAAAGCAGTTACATTAATTTTTTGGTTTCCCAGTGTATATAAAAGTTATATTTATACTGTACTGTAGCCTATAAGTGTGCAATAGCATTTTATGTCTAAAAATAATGTACATATCTTAATTTTTAAATACTTTATTGCTAAAAATGCTGATAATCTGAGCCTTCAGTGAGTCATAATCATTTTCCTGGTGGAGGGTCTTGCCTCAGTGTTGATGGTTGCTGATTGATGGGATGCTGGTTGCTGAAGGTTGGCATGGCTGTGGAAATTACTTAAAATTAGACAAGAATGTAGTTTGCTTCATTGAGTGACTCTTCCTTTCATTAAACATTTGTCTGTAGTATGTGATTCTGTTTGATAGCATTTTACCAACAGTAGAACTTTCCTAATTGGAATCAATCCTCTGAAACTCTGCCACCGCTTTATCAACTAAGTGCATGTAATATTCTAAATCCTTTGTTGTCATTTCAACAATGTTCACGGTGTCTTCACCAGTAGATTTCATCTCAAGAAACCACTTTCTTTGCTCATGCTTAAGAAGCAACTCCTTATCTGTTCAAGTTTGATCATGAGATTGTAGCAATTTGGTGACATCTTGAGGCTCCTCTTCTAATTTTAGTTCTCTTGCTGTTTCTGCCACATCTGCAATTACTTCCTCCACTGAAGTCTTAAACCCCTCAGAGTCATCCATGAGGGTTGAAATCAACTTCTTCCAAATTCCTGTTAATGTTGATATTACAACTTCCTCCCCGAATCATGAATGTTTTTAGTGGCGTCATTATAGAATAGTGAATTGTTACATGTAGGTTTTCAGTTTACTTTGCCCAGATCCATAAGAGGAATCACTATCTATGGCAGCTATAGCCTTACAGAATGGACAAAATGTTTTTCTTAAGTTATAAGACTAAAAGTCAAAATTACTCCTTGATCTAGGGGCCACAGAATGGATGCTATGTTAGAAGGCTTGAAAACAACAATCTCCCTGTACATCTCCATCAGAGCTCTTGGTTGACTGGGTTAATTGGCATCAGCAGTGATATTTTGAAAGGAATCTTTTATTCTGAGCAATAGGTCTCAACTGTGGGCTTAAAGTATTCAGTTAACTATGCGGTAAACAGGTGGGCTGTCATCCAGGCTTGTTCCATTTATAGACAACAGGCAGAGTAGATTTAGCATAATAATTGTTAAGGGCCCTAGGATCTTTGAGCGGTGAATGAGTACTGGCTTCAACTTAGAGTCATCAGCTTCATTAGCCCCTAGGAAGAGAGTCAGCCTGTTCTTTGAAGCTTTGAAGCCAGGCATTGACTTCTCCTCTCTAGCTATGAAAGTCCCAGATGGCATCTTTTTCCAATAGAAGATTGTTTCATCTACATTGAAAATCTGTTGTTTAATGTGTCCACCTTCATCAATTATCTTAGCTAGGTCTTCTGGATATCTTGCTGCAGCTTCTACATCAGCACTTTCTGCTTCACCTTGCACTTTTATGTGGAGAGGGCTTCTTTGCTTAATCCTCATAAACTAACCTCTGCTAGCTTCCAATTTTAATTCTGCAGCTTCTTCACCTCTCTCAGATTTCATAATATGGATGAGTTAGGATCTTGCTGTAGATTTGGTTTAGGCTTAAGGAAATGTTGTTGCTGGTTTGATCTATGCAGACCACTCAAACTTTCTCCATATCTTCAATAAGGTTGTTTTGCTTTCTTATTGTCCATGTGTTCAGTGCAGTAGCACTGTTAATTTCCTTCAATAACTTTTCCTTTACCATCATAACTTGGTTAACTCTTAGGTGCCAGACGCCTAGCTTTCATCCTATCTAAGCTTCCAACATACCTTCCTCACTAAGCTTAACCATTTCTAGCTTTTGATTTAAAGTGAGAGATGTGTTGCTTTTCCTTTCAGCGACTACTTAAAGGTCTTCGTAGTTATTAATTGGCTAATAATTTGCCATCATATAGGGAGGTAGTTTGTAGCACCCAAAAACAATTATAATGGTAACATCAAATATCACTGACCACAGATTATTATTACAGATATCGTAATAATGACAAAGTTTGAAATATTATGACAAGTACTGAAATATGACACAGAGACATGAGGTGATGACAGGTTGCTGGAAAAATGGAGCTGATAGACTTGCTTAATATAGGGTTGCCACAAATCTTCAATTTGTAAAATATTCAATATCTACAAAGCACAATAAAGAAAAGCTCAATAAAACAAGCTATGCCTGCAGTAAAGACACAGAAAATGGTGAAAATTTCTCTGGCTATAGTTAACTTGCTCATTTGTGATTAAAACTTCATCTTCTACCTAATTACAATCACTGTTTCTGTCATCTCCATTAGAAAATAGCCTTAATATATCCTTGGGCTATACAAACTCTGTACCTTGAGTTAGTTTTTCATTTTTATGATAGAAATCAGCATATACTTAACAATTTATAAATTAGGACACAGAAAACATATCCTGGGAGTGTGGATTACAACACAATTGAATCATTTAACAAATAATTTTGTTAAGTTTAACAAATTATTAATTAAATAATTAACAAATTAAGTATTAATTAAATAATTAATGCATTAATTATTAATTAATAATTAACAAATAAATTATTAATTATTAATTAAATAATTAACAAATAATGTTAAATATTTAACAAATATTAATTCTCTAAAATAAGGATAATTTAAACAGTACAAATTTGAAGTTCTGGTTCCTTTGTGATGAGCAACTTAAGACCTGCAGAACTTCAACTAATATGCCTTAAATACTTCTTAAGTGATCCTTCCATCCAAAAGATATACCACATTTGAAAACATACTAACTTAGATAGAATTTTATTATTACAGTAGTCCTCATAACAATATATTAGGAATTAGTGCTTTCCTGCATAATTCTATTACACAGCTATGATTTTGCTATATAATTATATTTTTAAGGTGCAACAGAATACTGTGGAGTTGCTCACTTCCAATTACTTGAACATCTTTCTGTGCCAATGTCATTTTCATTGTAGGTATACTTGATATTGTAGGCTTTGATTGCATGTAAAACATCAGCTATCTTTTGCCTTGTCTGGCAGTATTATTTTCTGTTTAAATTTTAAAAAGTAAGTTTAAAAAGTAATTATGGCCAGACATGGTGGCTCATGCTTGTAATCCCAGCACTTTGGGAGGCTGAGACGGGTTGATGACCTAAGGTCAGGAGTTCGAGACCAGCCTGACCAATATGGTGAAACCCTGTCTCTACTAAAAAATACAAAAAAAATTAGCCAGGCGTGGTGACATACGCCTGTAGTCCCAGTTGCTCAGGTGGCCGAGACAGGAGAATCACTTGAACCTGGGAAGTGGAGGTTGCAGTAAGCTGAGATCACACCACTGCACTCCAGCCCGGGCAACAAAGCAAGACCCCGTCTCCAAAAAAAAAAAAAAAGTAATTATAAGCTTCTGAGACCTGAGAGGAACAATGTGGCTTTATATATATGGCAAATTATATAATAATAAATGATTTACAGTAATGTCTGGGTCTCTGTCCAGAATAGCTTGCATCAGTTTTTATTATACTGTGTATTAAATGCGAATTTTAGTGTTTGAAATCTGTCCATACCATGCTAATTACCTCTCTCAAGTACTTCAATAAATATATTGCAATAATAGACATTTTTTATCTCACCTTAAGGAGAAGTTGCACACAAAATATATAATTTTATTCTCTGATGTTTAAGCTATCCAATCATGTTAAAATTTTAATTTTATAGTATTACAAAGACTTTTTCATAATAATACTCTTCAAATGCTTCCAGCAATATGAATTTGAAGTGGATCATCTTGCTAATATTATGCAGAACTTTCTTCCCTTGTTTTGGTTTTGGTTTTGTATAGGTTTTGGTTCTTACAAATAAATAGTGGTACTGAAAAATCAGGCTTCAAAAATCCCAAGATCAGGCACAGCATGGTGGCTCACACTTGTAATCCCAACAATTTGGGAGGCTGAAGTGGGAGGATTTCTTGAGCCCAGGAGTTTGAGATCACCCTGGGGAACATAAGAAGACCCCCATCTCTACAAAAAAATTAAAAACCCAAAAAAGTAGCTGGGCATGGTGACACCTGCCTGTAGTCCCAGCTACTTGGGAGGATCACTTTTGTCCCGGAGTTTGATGCTACAGTGAGCTGTGATTGCTTCACTGCACTCCAGCCTGGGCAACAGAGTGAGACCCTATCTCTAAAAAATATATAAATATATCAAAAATAAAAAAACCCAAGACCAGTCAAAGCATTATTGCCTTACTATTCTCTATTCAAAACATTACACAACTTTCAGATATTGCTAAAGTGGTTTGGCTCACAGTGTCGGTTATGATTTGGGGCCTATTTAGTGAATTGATTATTTCACAAATTTGAGCAGATCTGAACCTCCAACATCCTGGGAGGCAGACACAGAATGTTTTCTCACAACCTGAAGTTTATTCCAAAAAGGTAGTCGGGCAAGACCCTCTTATAACCTCTCCTACAGTGAAATCCAACCAACCACGATGCCTTTCCTCATTAAAATGGGCTCAGGGTCAGGTCATTTTCTGATTTTCACTGAAATTTCTCACAAAAACTTTAAACTTTGTGTGTTCAAAGTGTGGCAATTTTGTGAAGTTTTGAGAAATATGAACAAAGTTATTGTTGTGTTTGTCATTTAAGAAGAGCAGTTAGGGGTCACAAATTATATATCCACACTTTTCCCAAGAGAAAGGGGGAAACTTTAAGTCTGTGATATACGTTAAAATGTCTCATAAGATAATGGTGATAGGTCAGCTATACCAGAAGTTTTAGAGAAAATGTAATTGCTAAGAAGATGCTTAATTTACCAGACCAATAATTTAAATGAAACCACATGTAATGGCCTGATTTATGGTAAGAGTATTCAAATGAAATGCACAAATTATAAATAAAAATGTTTTAGTTAAATGCGTTTTGACATAGCAGTTGTTCCTTGTCAGGTCAATGAAATTTACTTGAGCAATATTTCTCCTAGCAATAGTCAGCATGTGCCAAGAGTGAGCATTTTCTTCCTTCTGCTTTTTGAATTCCAGCTGCTAATTAAGAACATAAGCATTTGCAAACTGGGTCAAACTAGAAATCTCTCTCTGTCTCCACCCTAACCCTGCCTAACTTTTGAGATAGCTGGACCAAATATGATTCTGGTTTACTTTTAAAACAAAATGTGAATCTATAATTTATTAGTAAATCTTTAAACTCGTTTTCAACTTAAGTGTATTCACAGCCCACATTCTCCCTTTGAATAAGTGCTTCTTTTATATATTTACCCGTTGTGTAAAGTTTTATATAACCTCTTTTCTCATGTGTAGTCTTTTAAGCTATTTTTAAACCACCAAAGATTTTATGATTTTTAAAAAGTGATAATGTAATAAATTTGAATGTATTCTTCAAAACTGGTATGTTTGTGCTAGGAAATTTGAATAGAAACTGAGAAACAAACAAAAATGAATGCATTAGTAGCCTCTACTCATAATCCTCCTTTCTAGCCTTAGCTACTTTGTTTGCCTCATTACCAGTTCCCTTTTACTTTCTCTTCCTTACTTTCTCTCCCTCTCTCTCTCTGTCATACATATGCATTTGTGTTTGTTTCTATGAATACATATGTGTATGTACCTATACTATATGAATGATTATAAATCCAAAAGATATTTCAAACAAAAATACAGTAAATTTAAAAACATTTTTGTACCAAGCTCATATTAACATTGCCACTTAATGTCAGATTTAAGGTTTTTTATCTAATCTCATGGATATAAATTTGTATTTTGTTGTATTTTCATTTCCTTTAGTTTGAGCTTTTCTTCCTGCATACTTAGTAACCATTGCTGTTTCTTCTGTAAGTTGCCTGTTTAAACCTTTAATATAGAATTATCTTTTCATTTTTATAATATTATTATATTATATTAAATTATATTGTATTGTATTATATTTGTTACATATGTTGTTTTCCATATGTTATTCACGTTTCAACTTTACAATATCTTTCATAGTAAAGTTTTAAATATACATATAATAAAATTTGTTTTTCTTTAAAAATTATGCTTTATACATGCCAATATTACAAAATATTATCATTTACTTTAATCCAGAACTTGTATAGCACAAATTATGTTTATATTTTAAATACAATTAGATTTTCTTTTTGCGTCACTCCTTTTTCTAAGTGGATAGAATTTTTTCTCATCATCATTTATTAAAATTTTGCCACATTAATTTAAAGCATCATTTTTTTAATGATATTGATTCTTCCTATCCATTAGCATGGGATATTTTTCCATTTGTTTGTGTCTTCTCTAATTTTTTTAAGGAGTGTTTTGTAATTGTCATTGTAGAGATCTTTCTTTCATCTCCCTGGTTATTCCTAGGTATTTTATTATTTTATTATTTTGTGCCAATTGTAAATTGAATTGCCTTTCTGATTTGGCTCTCAGTGTGGCTGTTGTTGGTGTATAGGAATGATAGTGATTTTTGTACATTGATTTTGTATCCTGAAACTTTGCTGAAGTTGTTTATCAGCTGGAGGAACTTTTGAGCCAAGACTATGGGGTTTTCTAGACATAAAATAATGTCATCTACAAACAGAGGTAGTTTGACATCCCCTCTTCCTATTTGGATATCCTTTATTTCTTTGTCTTGCCTGATAGCTCTGCCTAGTACTTTCAATACTATGTTGAATAAAAGTGGTGAGAGAGGACATTCTCGTCTTGTGCCAGTTTTCAAGGGGAATGCTTCCAGCTTTTGACCATTCAGTATAATGTTGGCTGCAGGTTTGTCAGAGATGGGTCCTATTACTTTGAGGTATTTTCCTTCAATACCTAGTTTATTGAGAGTTTTTAACATGAAAGGGTGTTGAATTTTATCAAAAGCTTTCTCTGAGTCTATTGAGATAATCATGTGATTTTTGTCTTTTGTTCTGTTTACATGATGAATCACATTTATCGATTTGCATATGTTGAACCAATCTTGCATCCTGGGAATGAAGCCTACTTGATCATGGTGGATTAGCTTTTGATGTGCTGCTGGTTTCAGTTTGAAATTATTTTGTAGAGAATTTTTGCACCGATGTTCTTCAAGGATATTGGCCTGAAGTTTTCTTTTTTTGTTGCGTCTTTGCCAGGTTTTAGTATCAAGATGATTCTGGCCTCATATAATAAGTTGAGGAGGAGTCCCTCCTCCTCAATTTTTCGGAATAGCTTCTGTAAAAATGGTACCAGCTCTTCTTTGTACAAATCTGGTAAAATTCAGAACTACCATTCTGTGAATCTTTCAGCTCCCAGGCATTTTTTTTGGTTGGTAGGCTATTTATTACTGATTCAATTTTGGAGGTTGTTATTGATCTGTTTAGGAAATCAATTTCTTCTTGGCTTATTCTTGGGAAACTGTATGTGTCCAGGAATTTAAGCACCCCTTCTAGGTTTTCTAGTTTGTGTGCATAGAGGTGTTCATGGTAGTCTCTGATGGTTGTTTTCATTTCTGTGGAGTCAGTAGTAACATTCTCTTCATCATTTCTAATTATATTTATCTGGACGTTCTCTCTTTTCTGCTTTATTAGTCTAGCTAGTGGCCTATGTTTTATTAATGTTTTCAAAAAAACAACTCCTGGCTTTCGAATGGCTTTTTTGTGGCTTGATTTCCTTCTGTGCCACTCTGATTTTTGTTATTTCTTGTCTTCTGCTAGCTTTGGGGTTGATTTGTTTTTGCTTCTCTAATTCTTTCAGTTGTGAAGTTAAGCTGTTAATTTGAGATCTTTCCAACTTTTTGATGTGGACATTTACTGCTATCAATGTCCTTCTTAACACTGCCTTAGCTGTGTCCCAGAGATTCTGGTATGTTGTATCTTTGTTCTCATTGTTTTCAAATAACTTTATTTCTGCCTTAATTTTATTATTTACCCCAAAGTTGTTCAGGAGCATGTTGTTTAACTGTCATGTGTTTGCATGCTTTTGAGTAATTTTCATAGTGCGGACTTCTGTTTTGATTGCACTGTGGTTCAAGAGTGTGTTTGGTATGATTTCATTAGTTTTAAATTTGTTGATGATTGTTTTTTGTCCACTTACATGGTCAATTTTAGGGTATGTGCCTTGTAGTGAAGAGAAGAAAGTATATTCTGTTGGTTTTGGGTGGAAAGTGCTGTAAAGGTCTATCAGATCCTTTTGGTCCAATGTCGAGTTTACATTCTGAATATGTTTTTTACTTTTCTGACTTGATGATCTGACTAATACTGTCAGTGGAGTGTTTAAGTCTCGCGCTATTATTGTGTGGGAGTCTGTTTCTCTTTGTAGGTCTCTAAGAACTTGCTTTATGAATCTCAATGCCCCCTGTGGTAGGTGCATATATATTTAGGACAGTTAGGTCTTCTTGTTGAATTGAACCCGTTACCATTATGTAATGCCCTTCTTTGTCATGTTTTATCTTTTTTGGTTTTAAATCTGTTTGGTCTAAAACCAGGATTGCAACCCTTGCTTTTTCTGTTTTCCGTTTGCTTGGTAGATTTTCCTCCATATCTGTACTTTGAGCAGTGGGTGTCATTACCTGTGAGATTGGTCTCTTGAGGACAGTATACTATTAGGTCTTTTTTTTAAATCCAGCTTGCCACTCTGTGCCTTTTAAGTGGGGCATTTATCCCATTTACATTTAAGGTTAGCCCAAAGCGATTTACAGATTAAATGCTATTTCTATAAAATTAACAATGACATTCTTCACAGAACTAGAAAAAAACTATTTTAAAATTCATATGGAACCAAGGAGGAGCCTGAATAGCCAAGGCAATCCTAAGCAAAATATAGAGGCATCATGCTACCCAACTTTAAACTATACTACAAGGCTAGAGTAACCAAAAGAGCAGGGTACTGGTACAAAAACAGACATATAGACCAACTGAACAGAATAGAGAGCCCAGAAAGAAGATGAAACATCTACAACCATCTGATCTTTGAAAAAGCTGACAAAAAAAATCAATGGGGAAGAGATTCCCTATTCAATAAATGGTGCTGGGATAACTGGCTAGTGATATGCAAAAGATTGAAGCTGGACCCCTTCCTTACACCATATACAAAAATCAACTCAAGATGGATTAAATATTTAAAGGTAAATCCCAATACTGTAAAAACTCTAGAAGATAACTTAAGAAATACAATCCTGGACATAAAAATGGACAAAGATTTCATGATAAAGACACCAAAAGCAATTGCAACAAAAACAAAAATCAACAAGTGGGATCTAATTATATTTAAGAGTTTCTGCACAGTAAAAGAGACTATCAACAGTGTAAACAGACAACCCACAGAATGGGAGAAAATATTTGAAAACTATGCATCTGACAAAGGCTAAAACCCAACATCTATAAAGAATTTGAACAAATTTACAATAAGAGAACACACAACCCCATTAAGAAGTGGGCAAATGACATAAACAGACACTTTTCTTTTTTTTTTTTTATTTTTTTTTTATTGATCATTTTTGGGTGTTTCTCGCAGAGGGGAATTTGGCAGGGTCACAGGACAATAGTGGAGGGAAGGTCAGCAGATAAACAAGTGAACAAAGGTCTCTGGTTTTCCTAGGCAGAGGACCCCGCGGCCTTCTGCAGTGTTTGTGTCCCTGGGTACTTGAGATTAGGGAGTGGTGATGACTCTTAACGAGCATGCTGCCTTCAAGCATCTGTTTAACAAAGCACATCTTGCACCGCCCTTAATCCATTTAACCCTGAGTGGACACAGCACATGTTTCAGAGAGCACAGGGTTGGGGGTAAGGTCACAGATCAACAGGATCACAAGGCAGAAGAATTTTTCTTAGTACAGAACAAAATGAAAGGTCTCCCATGTCTACCTCTTTCTACACAGACACGGCAACCATCCGATTTCTCAATCTTTTCCCCACCTTTCCCCCCTTTCTATTCCACAAAACCGCCATTGTCATCATGGCCCGTTCTCAGTGAGCTGTTGGGTACACCTCCCAGATGGGGTGGTGGCCGGGAAGAGGGGCTCCTCACTTCCCAGTAGGGGCGGCCAGGCAGAGGCGCCCCTCATCTCCCGGACGTGGCGGCTGGCCGAGCGGGGGGCTGACCCCCCCACCTCCCTCCCAGACGGGGCGGCTGGCCGGGTGGGGTGCTGACCCCCCCACCTCCCTCGCGGATGGGGCGGCTGGCCTGGCGGGGGCTGACCCCCACCTCCCTCCCGGACGGGGTGGCTGCTGGGTGGAGACGCTCCTCACTTCCCAGACAGGGTGGCTGCTGGGCGGAGGGGCTCCTCACTTCTCAGACGGGGCAGTTGCCAGGCGGAGGGTCTCCTCACTTCTCAGACAGGGCGGCCCAGCAGAGACGCTCCTCACCTCCCAGACGGGGTGGTGGCCGGGTAGAGGCGCTCCTCACATCCCAGACGGGGCGGCGGGGCAGAGGCGCTCCCCTTATCTCAGACGATGGGCGGCCGGGCAGAGACACTCCTCACTTCCTAGATGGGATGGCGGCCGGGCAGAGAAGCTCCTCACTTTCCAGACTGGGCAGCCAGGCAGAGGGGCTCCTCACATCCCAGACGATGGGCGGCCAGGCAGAGACGCTCCTCACTTCCCAGATGGGGTGGCGGCCGGGCAGAGGCTGCAATCTTGGCACTTTGGGAGGCCAAGGCAGGCAGCTGGGAGGTGGAGGTTGTAGCGAGCCGAGATCACGCCACTGCACTCCAGCCTGGGCACCATTGAGCACTGAGTGAACCAGACTCCGTCTGCAATCCCGGCACCTCGGGAGGCCGAGGCTGGCGGATCACTCGCGGTTACGAGCTGGAGACCAGCCCAGCCAACACAGCGAAACCCCGTCTCCACCAAAAAAATACGAAAACCAGTCAGGCGTGGCGGCGCGCGCGCCTGCAATCGCAGGCACTCGGCAGGCTGAGGCAGGAGAATCAGGCAGGGAGGTTGCAGTGAGCCGAGATGGCAGCAGTACAGTCCAGCTTTGGCTGGGCATCAGAGGGAGACCGTGGAAAGAGAGGGAGAGGGAGACCGTGGGGAGAGAGAGGGGAGAGGGGAGAGGGGACAAACAGACACTTTTCAAAAGAAGACAAGTGGCCAGCACATTTTTTCTTATGAAAAAAAGTTCAACATCACTGACCATTAGAGAAATCCAAGTCAAAACCACAATGAGATACCATCTTACACTAGTCAAAATGGCTATTACTAAAAAGTCAAAATGGCTATTACTAAAAAGTCAAAAAAATGACAGATGCTGCTGAGGTTGCAGAGATAAAAGAACACTTATTCACTGTTAGTGAGAGTGTAAATAAGTTCAACCATTGTGGAAAGCAGTATGGCCATTCCTGAAGGAGCTAAAAGCAGAACTACCATTCAACCCAGCAATTCTATTACTGGATATATACCCAGAAGAATATAAATCACTGTACCATAAAGACACATGCACACGAATGTTTACAGCAGCACTATTCACAATTGCAAAGACTTGAAATCAACCTAAATACCCATCCATGACAAGCTGGATAAAGGGATAAAGAAAATGTGGTACATATAGAAAAGGGAATACTATGCAGCCATAAAAAAGAACAAGGTCATGTATTTTGTGGGAACATTGATGGAGCTGGAGGCTATTATCCTTGGCAAACTAATTGCAGGAAGCAAAAAACAAATACCTCATGTTCTCACTTATAAGTGGGAACCAAATGATAAGAACCTATGAACACAAAGAAGGGAACAACAGACACTGGCATCTACTTGAGGTGGGAGAGGAAGAGAAGGGAGAGGCCCAGAAAAGACAACTATTGGATACTGGACTTAATACCTAGGTGATGAAATAATATGTACAGCAAAGCCCTGTGACATGTGTTTACGTATGTAACAAACTTTCAAATGTACCCTCAAACCTAAAATTTAAAACTGAATAAATAAATACAATAATAACAAACAAAAACTACACAACAAAAAGTGTCATTTTTACCTTAAATTTCCACACATAGGTCTGATTTTGGACTCTGTTTTGAACCATTCATCTAAATTGTCCATTCCTGAGGTTATTTAAATACATTATTGTGAAAATGTTATTCTCTCAGAATTGAGCCATAATTTCAATGCAATGTAAATGAAAATACTAACATGATTTTCAATTGGATATTAATCTGAAATATAAAAGTCTATGCATGGTAAAGGTAGTTTTGAAAATAATAAAGAAGTAGGCCCTTCTAACAGAAAACAAATATACAAATAAAGTTATAGTGTTTAAATAACTTCTAAGTCCATGTGTACACATTATTTTTTTCCCACTTACAAGTGAGAACATGCGGTATTTGTCTTCTGCATCTGACTTGTTTTATTTAGGATAATGGCCGCCAGTTACATCTATGTTGATGCAAAAGACATAGTTTCATTCTTTTTATGGCTGAATAGTATTCCGTTGTGCATATATTCCACATTTTCTTTATCTAGTCATCCACTGATGGACATCAATGGTTTGAAATCTGTTTTGTCTGAAACTAGGATTGCAACTCCTGAATTTTTCTGTTTTTCATTTGCTTGGCAAATTTTTCTCCATCCCTTTACTTTGAGCCTATGAATATTATTACTTGTGAGATAGGTCTCTTGAAGACAGCATACCATTAGGTCTTGCTTTTTTTTTTTTTTTTTTTTTTTTTTTTTAATGCGACTTACCACTCTGTGCCTTTTAAGTGGGGCATTTAGCCTGTTTACATTCAAGGTTAGCCTAGAGCATTTTGTAGATTCATAAATAATCCATATCTTTGCTACGGTGGATAGTGCTGCAGAACATATGGACGGAGTGTAGAATGATAGACAGAGGAAACTCAGAAGGCTGACAGGGTGGGAAGAGGGGGAGGTTGAGAAGTTACTTAATGGATATAATGTACATTATTTGGGTAATGGATACTCTAAAAGCCGTGACTTCAATGCTATGCAATCTATGCATGTAACAAAATTATACTTGTACTCCATAAATTTATGCAAAATATAAAGAAGTCAGGCTTCAGAGGCTTTTTCCGCATCTCTCAAGATTATATCTACATCTTACTTTGCTGCTACACAGATATTCATATTGCTATGGTCCATTTGATATTCCACTATTCTTACTGCAATACTTGCAAATAGTACAATTATTAGATGTGTATACATACTTAGATTTCTTTCTAAATTTTATCTTTGATTCCTTTGATGAGTCTTCCTATTTCAATAACAGAACCAAATGCTTCTTATTGTTTTATTTTATAGTGCATTTTAATTAGACAGGTTTGTAAAGCTATATTTAATTGTTTTATAAAACCAAAGAGTTGGAAAGCCTTAGAGTTCATCTACTTTAAATAAACCAGTTAGTTTTAACTAAAACATTGAATGTCTCTTATACCTGAAAAATGATTTCCCAGCCTCTGCTTGTGGGAAACTTATCACCTTAAAATCCTATGATCAGACAATTCCATTAGATACTCTCATTTCTATTTAGCTGAAATGTACCTCTTTGGATTTTCTGTTTTGATTATTACTTTCCTGTCATCACTTTTCTCTTCCTAAGCGTTCTCTAAGATTCTTTATAGCTCTTCCTCTTCATTTACATATTCCCTCTCTGATGTTTTCAAATAATCAATAATTTTAATTAGTATATGTAGATAGTGATTCTTAACTTAAATCTCCAATCCTAAACTCATTTCCAATATCTAGTTCCATGATTTCAACTACCTTCAACATATAAGTCAATGTTGAGACTTCTTAGGCTCAACACCTGCATCTTCTGCTACCATCTCAAATTCAAGGCAACCCAAAATAACGTCACACACACACACACACACACACACACACACACACACACTTCCTCCTTCCCCTTTATCCCTTCTCTATTTCTAATTCAAATATTCAAGCACCTGCTATATGCTGGCCACATACTATTTTAGGTAATAGAAAATATGCCACTGACTAAAACAGAATAAGTCTCTGCTTCTATAAAGAATAAATTCTAGGGGACAAAGTAGGAAAACAAAATAAAAAATCTGATGAATATATATAATGTCAAAACCTGATGAATATATATATATATATATATATATATATATATATATATATATATATATATGATGTCAGGTAAGGATAAGTACTATGGAAAAAATAAACAGAAAATAGGTAAGGTAGAGCAACTGGAGGAAAGGTGTTTTATTAGATGGTCAAAGAAAGCTACTGTAATGTCATGAGGTATGAAATACAAGCAAATATTGTTGCATAGCTACTTGTCAGTGACTTAGACTGAAAACTTTGAAATTTTCCTTTTTTTTCTGTAAACACATAGTTAATTATGTGCCAATTTTGGTTAAATTATCTACTGAAGTGTTACCTCTGACTTATAATCCTTGTGGACCACTGCAGAAGAATGAGAGGGTTTTCGTTTTGTTTTGTTTTGTTTTGCCTTCTTCTGAAGGCAAAAAACTTTTAGTCTCTTAAAGATTAATTGCAATGTGGAATTGGAAACCATATCAATGAACTCTTCCTACTCTTTTAAATTAAAACTAACTTGTCTACCTTGCACTTTGAATGGGTCTTTCATGTATGCTTTTTAAACATGTTTTGGTCATTTTGAAAATATCAGATTGATGAGTTATTTAGATCTTCCAAACAGCTGACACACTTCATCGTACATATCAAAGTATCACATTTGTGGATGTCACCATCAAGCCCATCAAAAAATCTCTTAAGTATTGGGAAGCTATGAAGCTCATGGTGTAACAACAATTTCTCCAAAATTCCAATTTTGACTTCAAAGTTCAAAATTTATCATTGACAGCAAATACTGTCTGTTGTTCCCTTAACATGACAAGTTCAGATAAGTTCACTTCCTTCATCTTTGAGAAAATGGTCTGCCAAATACCTAGGCACAGTAACCAGTTTCCACCCATTTTTTTCACATAAAAAATAGTATTTCACGAAAACCCCAAGCTAGTTCAGCTTGCAACTCAAACACACCAGTGATTTTCCTTGAAAGAATCATATTACAGCCTGCAGCTGAGTATTTTGTGCAGACTTCCCATTTTGACACACAGAATATTAAAAGGTACTTACATAGGGTCCAAATTTACTAAAATTAATAATTGTTAATGCTTCATCAAAGATCAAGAACATTCCGAAATAAAAGTGGCATTGTTTTTACTGTAAGATATTTACTGTTTCATGAAGGATCAAAGACATTCATAAATAAAAATGGGATTGTTTTTGCTGCAAGATATGGCAGTAAAAATACAGTAACTCCTAGCACAGTTTGGTGCCAGCCCCTTTATTTGTGTTAAAGCACTAGAAGTTTTACCCACCATTGTTTTTTCAACATCAGGGCAAATGTTGACTCAATGAAAAAGGCAAATGTCTTATTATGGTTATGAAAGCAGTTTTGACCTTGTGAATTCCATGAAAGGATCCTGGTAGAGTAATGCTACTCAAGCACAAATTTTGTGGTTCACCCCTTGCTCAAAAGATTCCAATGATCAAAATTTTAAACTGGAAATTTGAACTTTACATCATCTTACATTATTTGACACTTTATATGCTTCTTCATGCAAACTGGCTCTAGACAAATGAAGCTGTTCCCATTGCTATTATAAACCTTGGGAGTTCGCAGTTTCTTTCAAATGATTTTGCTGCTTCTTGAGCCTGAAGTGCCTCACCTTCTTTTGCATACTTTATATGAAGCCCCTGCCTTGTTTTCAAGATCCAGCTCAAATGAGGCCTAGGTAGATATCACAGAACCCCGCGCTAAATGCACACAGCAGTTTCTGCCTGTCTCGTGCCACTTACTCTTTACTCGGCAATAATATCTCACATTGCCTGAAGCCTAGCAGGACATCTTCCTTACAGTTGGTACTCAATAAGTAACTATTTGGTAAAACAAGCGTTTGGTTGCCCTGAGCCATTGGTTTACATGTTTTATTGTAGCTACCATATGAGATTGTTGACTGAAGTTAGGGTTAATGTCTGTTCCCTGAATAAATTAGTTTTCATTGGGAAGCTTATTGTGGTATCAGGTAATTCAGCTCACAAGCTTGATCTCATTAACCAGTCTGTTCTCTTTAGCATTCTCAGACTTGTATAAAGATCTGCCAACCAAAAGCATAAGGATCTTAAAACATTTTGAATTGTGTAAAAAAGTATTGATTTTTTAAAATTATGTTTGAGAGTTTATTAAGACAATATTACCACTTAGTTGTTATCATTAACAACCAGTAAGTTACTCAAATAAAGGAATTGCCCCCAACCATGGCCTCTTACTATTTTCCTTCTGGTTTCAAACTTAAGTATTTTTTGAACCATAGTGAAGTAGAATAGTATGACTATGAAATACACATACCTAAACTAATGTGGATGACTGTTTTAAACAAAAGCAAGATACATATACTGTCTATAAATTGTATTAGCCACTAAATAAAGCTTGTCTTTGAAGGAATTTCATAAAGCTAGTTTCATTTCACAGAATATCTTGAGAAAAATTTAGAATATAAAAATGAATTGAAGTTTCAGGTCATTTTTCCATTCATCTGTCTAAATTGGGACACAATCTCATATATTTTGTCTTCAGTGATTATAGGTGTGGAAGAATGAGAAACATGTCTTATCTGGCAGAAGGTAGAATTGGTGCCTATTTTGCTATCCTTAAATCATTGAGAAATGTGCATCTACTTTCTCGGTAAAATGGTATTTATAATGGACATATTAAAGGATTTATGAATGAAAGTGAAAGCTTTCTATTATTACCAATCAAATCATTATTAATTGCAGGGGTCAATGAAATGTATTCTAGTATAAGCAGGTATTAAGTCCCTGCTGTGTTAAATCCATCAGCCTAGGGGACAGTCCTTCAGGTTCCCACATCTGTTCTGGAGTCAAAATTCAGATGTAGATGCGTGCTTCCTTCAATCTCAATGACTTTCACAAACTCTACCGAATAGCACTTGCTCCATAATGAGCCGTCACACTGATGATACTTCTGCTGAAAACTTCAGAAGCAGAATCCCATACAGTCTAAAGAGATCTGGTTACTGATGCTCTTGCTACTACCATCTCCACTGCCTGTAGAGTGGACGGTGTGAGATATACCTAGGGGTCAAGTGTGGTAGGGCATCTGGCTCCAGTCACTACCACCACAGCTGGAGCAGATTTCACTGTGTCTGGGAGAGTTTTTCCCAGGTATTGGGGAGGGTGGAAGGTGATCAGTTCCTTTCCCTACTCAATGTTCTATTCAGCTTAACCAGCTCCATGCCAGTTGTTTCCAGTCACTCACATAGCCTCTTCTCTACAATACAAGCTTGTTTCCAGGAGAATTTGTTTGGGACCATTTCCCTTCTGTGCTGCCTCACAGACCTGGAGCTTCTGTTTTTGTTTTTTTTGCTTTGTTTTGTTTTGTTTTTTGAGACAGGGTCTTACTCTGTTGCCCAGGCTGGAGTGCAATGGTCGATCTCAGCTCACTACAACCTCCGCCTCCCAGGTTCAAATGATTCTCCTGCCTCAGCCTCCCAAGTAGCTGGGATTAGAGGTGCCCACCACCACGCCCGGCTAATTTTTGTGTTTTTTAGTAGAAACGGGCTTTCACCATGTTGGCCAGGCTGGTCTCAAACTCCTGACTTCAGCTGATCGGCCCGCCTCGGCCTTCCAAAGTGCTGGTATTACAGATGTGAGACACTGCGCCCAAGCGCTTTTAACATACCGACCATTTGACTTGGTTCAGAGGCCACACCGTGCCTCCTCTCTCTACCTCCATGGTAATTGTGCATCAAGAAACTCATTGATCAAAGTAACAACAATTCTGCCTCACAGGTCTCATTCACTTTTGACTCATTTTGTGCAGTAGTCTTTAAACATACATTTCAATAGCTTCTCACTCAGAGGGAAGGAGAAGATAAAAATCTGCAGTTCTTAGATACCTCCCATATAGAAATATGAAATTTTAGTTTACTAAAGGCTGCTGACCTATTACAAAATCCATTAATCAATTCTATCCTGAATTCCCTGATATTATGTGCAAAGGTTTCCACTTCCACAAACTGTCCCATGTTTAATGATTAAATCAAGGAGGCATTATGTGGTAGTACTTTTCCCCCACAAATGTTATAGTTTAAGTCATTTTCTTTTTCTTTTTTTTTTAACCCCAAGTTGTTATTTATTTTCATGAGGGGGAAAAAGAGAATCCTTTATGGTAGTGAAAATATACTTTTTTTTAAAATACAATAGCTGCCAGCAATATACTGGTGTAGATGTTCCAAAGAGAAAAGAAAATACATGAGTTCTATAATAAGCTTTCATTTGCCTGTTCAAGAAATTCTAAAGAAAATACTCCAATTCTATTCAACATTATGGCTTAAGGAGTTGAAATTTTTCCATGATAAAAATATAATGTGTCTGGCCCAAACCTTGACTATTTATAAAGGATGGAAATTTTAAAAGCCCATATATATCAATAATGAATGCTACCCTCTCTTTGAATTAAGTACTTAATTCAAATTAATCTAAGAAATTGGTGAATCATTAAATGATGAAATGTGTATCAAAATCTTCACGAAAAAATCAATTTCTATTTCCTCTCCATTTTTGCTTTGTAGATATTTTCTAAATGGGTTTAAGTGCACAGAAATAAATGCTATCTACATGCAACTCTGGAGAGATTCAAAACACAGCAGAAGTAAAATTAACATGCCTAAATCCTTGAGCAATCTGTATATAATTAAGAGATTTCTGACATTTATTCTTACACTAAGTTTAAGTCATTTTTCTGTCTGGGCGCGGTGGCTGACGCCTGTAATCCCAGCACTTTGGGAGGCCAAGGCAGGCAGATCATGAGGTCAGGAGTTTGAGACCAGCCTGGCCAATATGGTAAAACCCCGTCTCTACTAAAAATACAAAAATTAGCAGGGCATGGTGGCATGTGCCTGTAGTCCCAGCTACTCGGGAGGCTGAGGCACAAGAATCACTTGAACCCAGGAGGCTGAGGTTGCGGTGAGCTGAGATCACACCACTGCACTCCAGCCTGGGTGACAGAGTGAGACTCCGTCTCAAAAAAAAAAAAAGTCATTTTCTAACGAGTGACAATTTCAGTTTTTATTGAGAAAGTCCTGAATAATTTGAAAGAAAGTAAGGAGAAACCAGATGGAATGAAATCAAAATGAAAATTACAAAATTAATCTAGTAGCTACCCATCCCAAGGAAAGAATGTATATGCATGCCCCTTCAAGTTTTGACATGCCATGGTATACTTTTAATGAGTCCATTTTGTTTTCTCATATTATTTGGTGGGAGTTCCACGTGAATAGACTTCAACAGACATTTATGAAACGGAATTGGGCAATGAATAGCTCCATCCACAGAGTTACTATAAGATGACACTGTTTGGTCTTCTCATCCTATGTGACTATAAAGTAATTTGCATTTCTTTTCTTTGAATGCCCTTTTTAGACTATTCATATTTTTATTATGTTTTGCCTAGTTGGGTACACAATGAATGATCTCATTTTTGAATGGCAAGATGAGGCACCCGTACAAGTGGCAGAAGGACTCACTTTGCCCCAGTTTCTGTTGAAAGAAGAAAAAGATTTACGATACTGCACTAAACATTACAATACAGGTAGGGGTTGAGTAGTGTTCTTTACACTTACTACTTGTGGTTTTATGATATCCAGATGTTTCTTCATTATAATGCTAAGTTATTTAACTGTTCATAGATCAATGTTTTTCTTATATAGCAGAAAATGGATGCATTTGAAACCTATGAATACTTTGATTCATTGCATATTGTTAAATAATTGGTCTGTATGAGACGAAAGTAATGCTTGGTGTTCAATTATCTTTAAATAATTTTTAATGAAAAGCTCATAATTACATAGTAATAATGTTTCCAAAACTATTCCTTTAATTTCTGTGAACAATAAAATGTGTTTTTAACCATTCTTGGGCAGTAAACACTGTATCTGTTAAGAACATTTTTTTTTAAATTGCATTTTTTAAAAAAGAAAAAAGCTTTGTTGCCTAATTTTTCCCTTTGTCATATTTTCGTGCATTTCAGTGTATTTTTACCTAAGCATCTACTATTCACACTAAGACACTTGAGATAAATATCAGATATAGTTCTCAACACTAAGAATTGAGAGACTCAATGTGATATTTGTACATCGGCAAATTCTGTTCAGTTGCTTTAACTAACATGGGCTATTTCCATAAGACGTATTCTAACTATACAGTTAGAATGTATACATACAGTTAGAAAGTAATGGAATTCTCTGAATGCCATTAAACAGCCCATGATTGAGGCATCACTCCATTGTGGTGAGTACATGACCTCCCACTAGCATCAGCTTCTGTTCTTATCATTTCATTACAGTAACTATGATTCATCGTGGACTCAGCATTTTCCAGAACTGTGCTGTGACCTTTCACTATTCAAAGTCCCTAGTCTCTCTTATCTCCTTAGCAAATTCACAATATCGGATCAAAAAGTCACTACCATTTTCCTTTTAACTCAGAGATGAAGCTGATATCTAACTTATTAGGGAGTTCAAGTTTAACATCTCAACACAAAGATAAAGAGCAGGCAAGTCAATAGCACTGTCCTTGCTCAGTTCCCTTAGACAGATGCTAAAAATCCCCTAGAGTTGGCTTAGGGAGGTATATTAGTTTTCTAGGGCTGCCATAATAACCTATCACAAACGGTGTCTTAAAACAACAGAAATGTGTTCTCTCGCAGTTCTGGAGGGTAGGAGTCCAAAATTCAAGGTGTCAGCAGGGCCGTGCTTTCCCTCAAAGCTTTAGGGAAGAGTTGTTCCCTGTCTCTTCCTGACTACCTATTTCTGGAAAACCTTGTTTCTCAGCTTGCAGATGCATCATTTCAGTCTCTGCCTCCAGAGTCACATGGGATTCCCCTGTGTGTCTGTGTTTCCATGTCCAAATTTCCCTCTTTCTATAAGGACATAAGTAATGTTGGATTTGGGACCCCCTCTTATCCAGGACAATTTCATTTTAACTTGATTGTATCTGCAAATACTTTATTTTCAAGTCAGTTCACATTCACACATTCTGGGTGGACATGAATCTTAGGGAGATATCATTTAATCCAGAACAAGAGGTGAAGTTATAAACATCAATTAGGGATGAATTTTTATGATAGAGGGTCTCAAGACACTTCCTTAGTGTAAAGTAAGTTTGCATACTTCCTTGAGTTATCAAATGAGCTATTACAGCTTAAAGGAAAAGAACTTACATTTATGAATGCCTACTATAAGCAAGGAATGGGACATCTTGGGTGGTATCGTAGAGATCTTACAACTTTACATTCTAGAAGCACTGTACTGTCCAGAAGCAAAATAACGTGCCCAAATTATGTAGAGAATAAAAGCATCTCATAGAGTCCTCATTCAAGTATGTGGTTAATTTGCTTCAGATCCCAGACTCCATTTCATATTTGCTTTTACATTACACAAGAATCTTTTGTTTTCCAATAATAGGCCTAGATACCACATATACCTTTTATGTTGCTTGTGAAAATACAACAAACAACAATAGTAGGTTACCTAAGAACCACATTTATAAAATACCCTTTCCCCCCAGAAAATGAAATATACTTAAGTTAAAAATGTTTTCATACACAAATTAATTGCACAAAATTAGAGGATTTATTCAGTTTTATTTTCACTATCCTGAAGTATTTATTAGTTATGTGCTACAGCATCCTATGATCTGTCTCCTTCTAATAATTTCTCCAAAATCTTTTACCTCTCTTCCCCTTGCTCCGTAATACCCTGCCACAATGACTTGCTTGCTTATATACACCAAACTCATCTCTGTCTGTCTCAGGGCCTTTGCTCTTGCTCTTCCTTCTGCATGTAAAGTTCTTCCTGAAATTGTTCCAAGCCTAATACTCCCACTTTCTTCAGGGTTATTCAAATGCCAACTCTTGAAACATCCATATGTAACAATATGTGTTAAACGCCCAAATTCTGCTTTCACCATCTGAAATTATATCATTCAATTTTATGTTTACTTATTTTTTGCATGTTTCTTTCATTGCCCTAAGTTTGTATTATATTTATTCTGTTGATCACTGTATTTCTGGGGTCTGCTGCCATGCATAAGTGATGGATTTTTTTGTCCAACTTGTTCTTTTATCTCATCAGATCCACATATACTGAGTATATTTATTTATGTACAAGCAATGGTGTATATTTGTGTTCATGTGTGTATCCCTTTATTTTCTTTCCCAGCAATATTATAAAAACATTTTTTAATTTTTATAGATACATAATAGCTGTACATGTTTTTGGAGGTACATGTGATATTTTGATACAAACATAAAATCTGTAATGATCAAATCTGGGTAATTGGGACATCTATCACCTCATAGATTTATCAATTCTTTGTGTTGGGAACATTCCAAATCTTTTCTTCTTTCTACTTTGAAATGTACGATAAAGTATTGTTAACTGTAATTGTCCCCATTATGCTATTGAACACTAGAATTTATTCATTCTAAGTGTATTTTTAAACCCACTCACCAACCTCTTCACCTGCCTTCTTCTCAGCCTCTCGAAACCACTATTTGCTTTACTACAACCATGAAGTCAATTATTTTAGCTCCCACATGTGAATAATAATATGTGATATTGTCTTTCTATGCCTGGCTTATTTCATCTAGTTCTATCCATGTTGCTACAAATGATAGAATTGCATTCTTTTTTGTTTGAATAATATTCCATTGTGTATATACACTACATTTTCTTTATCCATTCTTCCACTGAGGGACACTTGGGTTGGTTCCTTATCTTAGCTATTGTGAATAGGGCTTCAACAAACATGTATCTCTTCAATACACTGATTTTCTTTCTTTTGGATATATACCCCGTAGTCCATATGGTACCTTTATTTTTACTTTTTAAAGGAACTCCTATACTCTTTTCTCCGGTAGCTGGACTAATCTATATTCCCACCAATGGTGTACAAGTGTTCCCCTTTCTCTGCTTCCTCATCAGCATTTGTTATTTTCTGCCTTTTTGATAATAGTTATTTCATTGGGGTGAGATAATATCTTATTTTGCTTTGTTTTGTTTTGTTTTTTTGAGTTGGAGTCTCGCTCTGTCACCCAGGCTGGAATGTAGTGGCAAGATCTCCGCTTACTGCAAGCAGGTTCACACCATTCTCCTGCCTCAGCCCCCTGAGTAGCTGGGACTACAGGCGCCCACCACCACGACTGGCTAATTTTTTGTATTTTTAGTAGAGACGGGGTTGCACCGGGTTAGCCAGGTTGGTCTCCATCTCCTGACCTCATGATTCTCCCGCCTCGGCCTCCCAAAGTGCTGGGATTGCACTTATTGTGGTTTTGATTTGCATTTTTCTGATGATTAGTGATTTTGAACTTTGAAAAACACTCTTTTTAAATAAAAACACAGTGGAGCTTATTTTTTTCCTTGAGAATCACCTGAAATTTAGAGAATTTATACAAAGTATCTGAATGGTTAGTATTTGTTACTAATTATGCTATGGGATTACTTAGTGAGTTATTTAACTGATATTATAAATATGTTTCAGTTATTCTTGTTTTATTCCATTTCATTATTTCTCATAGCAAAATTTAAATCTTTATATTTAATAGCACTTTAAAATCTAAAGTATTTTCATATATTTCAGGAATCTTTAGGCATTTTGTATATATTTGATAAATCAATAAAAGGATCATGTATGGTTTGCACATATGTTTCTGATTGCTATTCACTTAAGAGTGGAATCCACGTTTTCTGGACTTTATGAACTTTTGTTGAGACTTAAGCTCTGGAAACACATGCATGGGTTCATCCAGATATAGTGCCTGTGCATCACCTGTGCAATCACGCACGGCCCAAGTCACATGAATAGAAGCTTTGCACTGAGCCCTACCTAGCAATAGGACAGCAATTGCTCTTTAACATCTTTCTTTCATCATAAGTAACAGAATGTTACTTAAAGAGCAGAATGTTAACTTTCTGACCTCATCCTTCTTGAAATAACTCAAATAAAAACAATTAAACCAAGAACTGGGTGATTTAGAAGAACAATTTTTATAAAGGAGAGATAACATAGAGTAGTATAAATCAATATCAATAGAGTAGGGAGTAGAACCAGGACACAAGCAAAAAATATCGACTTAATGTTTATTAAACCATCATTTACTCCTCTATGTATTGCTTACCAAAATAGAGGTAAATAATAGAGACATAAAAGCATAAGTGTATAGTACAAATGGATCCCTTTGTTTTTAGTGTGTTTTTAAGTTATTTTCAAATTTATTAATGGGAAATAACACATATTTTCCTATTTGTTTGCTTTATTATTCAAGGAATAATTCGTGTTCAATTGTGTTTATCCTCTAGCACTTACTTTAAAGAAAATGGAAAGGCTTCTGCAACAAATAGCACCTGGCTCTAAAGAAGCACTCAAAACACCAGAAACAGTCTATGAGTAAAGAAGATCTTTATATAATAAGTATATATTTCTCCTGTCTGCCTCAGAAGCAATTGTCGTAATCAAGTGAAATAATAAATCTTTGGATATCTTGACAAGTGTAAAGCACTTTTCAAGTCGGAAGTAATAAAGTTTCCTACTATTTCCTAAAAGAGTACGCTCTCTTTACTACATTGCTTCTTGATGCTAACAGTGAAAAATATTTTTTCAAGAATCAATACGAGACTCTTTTCATTGTCATGGAAAGTTTTATAACAGAATCCTTATCAAAATGAAATTGTGAGGCCGGGAGCAGTGGCTCCCACCTGTAATCCCAACACTTTGGGAGGCTGAGGTGGGCAGATTACCTGAGGTCAGGAATTCGACACCAGCCTGGCCAACATGGTGAAACCACATCTCTACAAAAAAAAAAAAAATTAGCCGGGCTTGGTGGTGCATGCCTGTAATCCCAGCTACTTGGGAGGCTGAGGCAGGAGAAACTCTTGAATCCAGGAGGCGCAGGCTACAGTGAGCTGAGATCATGCCACTTCACTCCAGCCTGGGGGACAGAGTGAGACCCTGTCTCAAAAAAAAAAGAGAAATTGTGATATTTGATGCCGTAACAAAGACCTATTTGTACTAATTGCTGTATTTACCTTACCACCAATTAGGAAAGTTTACGTGTATAGAAGTGCGATTCCATCTGGAGCGACAAATGGGATACTATCTGATCCAGATGTACATTCCCAGTCTCCTGATTGTTATTCTATCCTGGGTTTCATTCTGGATCAACATGGATGCAGCACCGGCCAGGGTAGCTCTGGGGATAACCACTGTGCTAACGATGACTACACAGAGTTCAGGATCACGAGCTTCCTTGCCAAAAGTAAGTGCACTGAATGAGCATGCACATCTTTGCACACACACTTATAAATCTTGCAAAGATATCATTGTCAGCTTTGGTCAGATATTTTTCAATGGCATTTCAATGGCATTACTGGTTTTTAAAGTAATATATAACCAAAGCAGAAAACATGTAAAACAGAAATAAATGAAAAAAATTCTGCAAACCAGTGATATCCGCTATTCACATTTTGTGTTATTATTCCCAATTATTTAAATATCAATAATACTCTTATACACTATGGAATTATTTGTATCAATAGGTTTTAAAATATTTAGAAATATATTAAACATTTAAGTTGAATCTACATGGTAATTTTAAATGGTGGCATAGTACTCCATTGTATGGATATGCCATAATTTACTTAGTCACTCTTAGGACTGATACTATAATAAATGTTATATATATGAATATATATGTATATGTGTGTGTGCCTGTGTCTATACATATCACACATATCATCTATATTTATAAACACACATATTTTATGGAAACACACATATATATCCATATATAGACACAAACACATACACACACATAGCTTTACACATATTTTGTATTATGTTCTTAGCATATATTCTTATAAACAGAATTGCTGCAGTGATAGCCATATGCATTGATATGTATTGCCAAATTTATTTCCAGAAGAAATATACCAATTATACTACAAGTATTTTATCAGAGTGCCCATAGTGCTGCACCCTGAGCCCAATATGGTATATATTATTTTTGTGTTTTTTTCTCCCTTTTGCTTTTAAGTAACCATAAGTCAATAGGAAGGAGACCTTATCTAATTCCACGATTTTCATCCATGCTGAGCTGCCAGAATTAAAATAAAATTGTTCCCTCTGTGAGGTTTGTAAAAGACCCAATATTGCTTTGCATAAGATATAGTGAAATAAAACTCTTTTCATTTATTTAGCTGCATAGAAATAGAAAATTATTTTCTTCCCCTAAAATGACGTCTAAGAAGAAGTTTCTGTCATCTAAATTAAGTAATTCTGCATAGCTTCCAAGAAGCTTTACTATTACTTTCATTGAAATGAAGTACTTCAATGCAATAAAATCATATTAACTTTTTTTGTGTGCATTTGATGCTATCTTCTTGCTACACCAAGTAAATTATAAATCTATTGTCATGGCTCCCTTAGTCCTTTCTATTAGTTCATTCTATGATTCAATTTATTAGATTGAAATGCCCATATAAATAAAAATTGAAAATAGGAATTTTATCATTAAAATATGATATTAACATGCTCTGCCTCACTAAAAGTTAATGGTTGTCTTTCCTAATAATGTCTACTTTTATTAACAATTAATTGTATTTTCAAAATTGTTCGCATCAACTAGTGTTTTCTAAAATATTTTTCATGTGAAAATTATAAATCTGTTTATAAATGTAAACTAATAATACTCAATGCTTATTTACGTAAGGATAAACGTTGCAAGAGCTCTGGGTAATAGTGGAAATTTCATAGTTAATTTGTAAAGGAAATCGTCAGTTTACTCACTGATCTTCATGAGCTAAACAGAAATGAAAGCTCATTTGTCTGTATGCTGTCAGTCAGAAAAAGGAGAATCTATGGCTTCTACAAGGCACAACAGAAAGACGTTTAGATACAGAGAGTAAGGTAGAATTGGGGGAGCATGGAAATGTGAGTAGAGGATGCAGAAATAAAGCAAGCAATAAATTAAAAACACAGAATGGAGGCACAACTTAAAAAAAAGAAGAATGTCTAGGACTGCTTTGTATTTTTTTCTCAAGAAATAGGAGACATTTTTAAAAGGCTTTAATTTCCACAAGAACTTACAGAAGAAATAAATTTTCAGCCATGAGTTCAGCTATACACATACATGTGTACAAAGTCTATCTCTCTGATCATAGAGACAATGACATCTAAAAATGTGATGACAGGTGTGACTCTGACCCACAAAAGGAATTGATTGAGAAAGTGATACCTTAAAAGAAGTTGACTGTATCATCTTAGAATTCAAGATAAGTCAGGAATAGGAGGTTTGGCATAATTAATTACTTACATTCAATTTTAGTAGGGCAGACCCCAAGGACCCAGGATAAACAAAAGAATTAATCTATTGGATGAGACCATTCAAAAGAGTAGAAAATCTCTTTAAAAGTACAATTCTGATTCTGCAACTATTTTGGGCCAGAGAGACAGGAGGTGAGGGCTTTATAACTTGCATTTAGAAACAGATGTGTGAGACCGTGCACCTTAAGATCTTCTGTTCTCAATCTCACAAAAGAACCCTCAGAAGTCTGAGAGTCTTGCCACTAAAACACCCAGAATTTACCTACTGACAATTTCTAGGAAGTAGGAAAACAAAGTTACATTCAGGAAAATTGACTATAAAACATAGGACAGTGAAACAATAAATCATAATTTTGTGATCTTTGCCTAGTGTTTGGTCTAGGCTCTGTGTCAATACATCTCCTGTAAGATAAGAAAGAGCTCAGAAATTGCTTAAGTAAGACTCAGAGAATGAAATCTCAAAGAATGTACTTTAGCCAGCTTCTAGAGAACTACAGAGCTGATATTCCTCTCTGATATTTTCTATTGCATCAGCCTCTACAATGTCATGATAACTCAAGCATGTAGTCTCTCAAAGCAAGAACACTCCTGTGATTGATTCCTTGAAACTTGAACTCTTTTACATTTTTGCAGTGTCTGTATCAGGTGGCCATAAGAAGGTGATATATGCATTCTATTCCCAGCAAATTTTCAAGGTTGTGTAACTTTAGGAGCACTTTCTTACACCATGTGCTTGGGGCAGAGTGAGAAAAGATGGTAATGATCATGGGGCCTATCAAGGAAGACTTCATAGGCCTTGGTAATGATTGGGTTTAATTTGGGTGCAGCAATGGGCCACTGATGAATTTTAATAAGGGGAGCAATTACACTGACTTCTGTTTGAAGACCAGATAGAAGAGGCAGAGTGGGAGCAAGGAGTCTACCAAGCAAGCTATTGTAGTCCACAGCAGATGATGATCTGGCAAGATTGGTAGCAACAGAGCTAGAGAGTAGCAGATGGCTTTAGAAAGAAGTAAATGTTTCTGAAAAAATATATTTGGAAGTAAAACAGACAGGATTTGCTTATGAATTGAACATGGAAAATTCAGGGAAATGCAGGAGTCAAGGGTAGCATTCAAGTAAGTAACTAGGCAAGTAGAGATGATAGTTACTAATAGGGAAGGTTAGGGGAAAGGTTAATTGTGGGTTCTTTTCTAAAACATGTTAACTTGGAGACATTTACAAGACAATCACATGGAATTGTCAAAAACTAAGAACTTCCAAAGTTCTGACCAAAGACATCCAGCCCTCAGACTTTAGGGTGTAAACTACAAATGAATTGGGAAGTGGAATAGAGGTGATTTTTCTAGTGGAAGAAAGCCTGGAAAGACAGGGAAAGAAGATATATTTGTGCTTGGCTCTCTTCCTCCAGCTGAAAATCTTCTCTCTCTGTTCCCCTCCCGGGGCTATCCCTACCCATAAACAGAATATATTAGACAGTTTGGTTAAAGGCAAGACCCACTCACCCCAAAACTTTACTCCCAAACTCTTTGAGATCTCAGCATTCTGTAATCTTTTTTTTAGATATGGAAAATCCTCCTTCTTAGGAGGATTCATTTCATCAGGGTTGAAAGAGGAGATAGTAATAATAATTCAATTATTTTTAGTATAAATTTGATTTCAATATTCAGTTAAGACCTTGGCACTGAAGGAATTAAGTATGGGGATGGGTAAGAATAGAGAAAATCAGTAGAAGAGACAAAATATAATTTTAATTTGTAAACTCTGAGTACTAGAAGGAATCCACATTAGGGAACTCTGGAGAAATCTTGAAATATACAGCAATATTATATACACCTTACCCTTTATTTTATGATTTCAACAATCAATTAATTCCTATTAGAGACCTACCCTCATCATTTTTTTTCATCCTGTTTCATAGAGACTGGCTAAGGACCAGGTCTGTTGTGTGTTTTATGTTTCATATCATCTGCAGAAGTACACAAGTGTCACTATGCATACCTTATTTTAGTCTTTTAAACTTATTATCATATCAGAGACTTTTGAACATAGCATATCAAACAGATGCACACACACACATGCACACACACTATACACAACGCACACATTCACATACACAGATAGAAACTTGGCAGGGTGGGGGAATCTCTAGATTCAAGTTTATCCAAACCCTAGCTCTTAACACAATATATTAATATTATGAGATTCTTGGCACTTGGGGCTGATAATCCAGTTACATCGCAATTATCCTGCATAACAACTTCTGAATCTCAATGGTTTACAACATTTCTTCTTGCTCACAGGACTGTGAGGTGCCTGTATCTCTTCTGCGCTTGCCCTGAGATTGGCTGTTCGAGTGGGCTTGGATCTAGGCTGTGGAGTGGGTTTCAGATCTGCTCCCTCTGTGTCCTCATTCTGGGGCTGCAGGGACCTGTAACATGGTCTTTCCATGGAGGAGTGCTGGAGATCAAGAAGGCAAGCAGAAACATGCAAGGCTTGTGCTCAGAATTGGCACACAGTCACTTCTGTTCTCATTCCACAAATTATACAAGTCTCATGGCCAAACCGAAAGTCAATAGGGTGGAAGAGTGCACTCCACCCACAGGGAAGACTTGGAGAGGAAGAAAGAAAAAGGGAATTGTAAATAATCTTATCTACCTTGGGAAAATTATTTGTTTAAGTTTTCGGTCTCCTTTCTTAGACCACGCTCTGGCTTGTCAGTAAATGTTCAGAAAAACAAGAGGGGTGGAAGGGATAGGAAAGAAATAGGGAAGTATCCTAGGGAGATTCTATGTGGACTTCTCTGCTCCCATCACTATGGCCATCTCATTGAAAACAGCTACTAAACATTAAAAAATAATGAGTCCTTGAAATTTCAAATATGGCTTTTTGATAAAATATTTTACAGAAGCTCAGAAGCTGGTAGCCTGTGGAGATTGCAAATTCTGCACCAAAAACTGTTTATGGTCAATGATTACTTAGAACCTTTTACCTTTCTCAATTCCACTCATTTTTTCCCTTTCAATTTCTCTGTGAAACTGTCCTCATTTTCAGAGATAGCGTCTGGGCACGGTGGCTCACATCTGTAATCCCAGCACTTTGGGAGGCAGAAGCGGGTGGATCACTTGAGGCTAGGAGTTTCAGAACAGCCTAGCCAACATGGCAAAACCCCGTCTCTACTAAAAAATACAAAAATTAGCTGGGCGTGGTGGCGGGCATCTGTAATCCCAGCTACTCTAGAGGCTGAGGCACCAGAATCACTTAAACCCGGGAGGCAGAGGTTGCAGTGAGCTGAGATTGCACCACTGCACTCCAGCCTGGGTGACAGAATGAGACTCTGTCTCAAAAAAATAATAAAAAATAAGAAAAATAATGAGGATAGCTTTTATATTATATTAAGTTTTCATTCTTCATAACACCAATTTTAAAAATGATTATAACTATTAGAAAATATAAATTGAACTGATACATTTTTTGAACACCACAATTGTGTTGGCACACAGATATCTATGTGTGGTTGATTACAATAAAAGGATAGGAAATGGGAAGAAAAATGAAGGATTTATATTCACTGTTGTGTTCATAGCTAATTAGCAAATACGCAGTCTTATTCTTCTAAAAAAAAACCCTTAAATTTTAAAGGAGAGTACATTGTGTTAGTGATAATGTAATGGGGTCAGGAGAGCTACATAGTAATCAGGTTTTCCTATTAATATAGCAATTAATAGTTATTATTGTCAGTAATATTTTGGTCCAAACCATTTAAACATAACATTTTAATATTTACTGAAAATGTAGTTAACTAATGTTACTTCAATCAAGTTCAGTACAAACATGATCCAAGTGAGTTCATTTTAAGTTTATTACTGTGACAGAATGTGTAATAAATTTAACTTTATGATACAGTGTTTGATATAAGCAACATATTCAACTAAATTTTTTAAATGTTCATGGATCATACTAGCTAATATGATTCCATATACATTAATTTAGAAAAAAGGGGAAAAAGAAAAAAGGCCCAGAAAATGAAATAATTATTTATTCATACCCTTATCACAAGATATAATGTATATGAATACCATCCAATTTTATTACTGATAAAAAAAATTATCTGTTTTGTAAATAAAAAAGTCCTAAAAATGGGTGGATTCTATGATAAGAAGGATAGAAATTGATGGATATCTCTAGTTCTACATTTCATCTTAGGACCTCCTTTACTAGACTTACTAGATTTCATCAAGGACCTACTTAGGACCTACTTTACTAGAAATATTAGATTCCATCAAGCTGAAAAATTAATGATTATCAAGCATTTTCTCTGTACTTGAGATAGAGACAGGGCTGCTACATAAATTCTTAAATCTGATAGAACTAGGGAAAGTATATGGCCGAATCATAAACTTTAAAACTGTTTTAAAATGGCATGATACCACAGCTTTGACATCAAACTAAGTTTAAAAACAAAGATATGTTTGCAATTTGGAGACTACGTAAACAATGTCATCCACCACGTTCATATATATCCTAGAATCGTACCCTGAGTCCCCAAAAGATAAAAGTGAATGTAAAACTACCACTTCGCCAGTGAAAGAAAGCACTTTGCCCCAAAATCAGAGTAAAACAAACACCTTTACAGGCTTTATCTGTCTCCATGATTCCTATTTGAAGTTTTAAATGAAGCTCTTGAACTCCAGAGGAAAAGGGAATAGGAACTTATATGATTACAATAAAAATGATGCTATAGAAGCACAAAACCTTCACTACAAAAATGAAGAAAAGAGAGGTCACAATTATAATTTAGCCTGAGTAGATCAAAAAAAGGTAATATATTAAGAAATGCCAGGAAGTCTAACGGCATGCACCTAAGAAGCATTTTCAGTGACATCTAGATTTGACAATTTCATATCAGTGTTAAATATAAGAAAAAGAGCTACATCCTACAGAAAAAATGATGGTAAAACTCCAGTTACTGAAGTGGGAGTCAGAGATAACTGTGTCTTTTCAAAATTCTTTAGTCTTTTTGGTTGTACTTTCCTTGTCTGGTGACGAAAGTATTGGTTAAATTCACCTCTTTGGAAACAATGAAGTTTTGTTATTATGTGATTCTCTGTTGTATTTTATCTCATGAAGTAAAAACCATTACGTGAGTGGCTCACACCTGTAATCCCAGCACTTTGGGAGGCTGAGGTGGGAGGATCGCTTGAGGCCAGGAGTTCAAGGCTAGCCTGAGCAACATAGTGAGACTCTTGTCTCCACATTTCTTTTTTAATTAGCAAAGTGTGGTAACACACACCCATAGTCCTAGCTGCTTGGGAGGCTGAGGCAGGAGAATTGCTTGAGCCCAGGAACTTGAGGCTGCAGTGAGTTATGATTACACCACTGCACTTCAGCCTGGGTGACAGAGAAAAACCCTTTCACAAAAACAAAACAAAACAAAAATCCCTTATGTGAAAAATAAATATTGTGTTAGAAGCATCATTCATTTACTGAGGGTTATGACTATGATAATCAGCATGAACATTCCACCAGCAAGACTGTTGTGAGTCACCCTCCAGGATAATAAATGTCAGAATGTCGAAACTCACAATATCCTGGGCCGTAAGTTTCATTGCCTAGTTATTCATGCTCCGAGAAAGTAGTCCTTGAGTTACCTCCTTTTGCCTTTTCAGTATCAGCTTCATTCCACTTCAACACCTGTCTTTAAAACATTATTTATTATTTTCTTTTGTCCAGATTCCTTGCTCGCTGGCTTTAGGTCTTAATGAAGTTTGAAATGCTTTTGAGATTAATATTATTTTTTCCTGTTACAAAATGTAAAATTCTTATACAGGTTCTTGCACTAAGGAGAAATGTAGGATTAAGGGTACTACAAATTTGTATTTTAAAAATGAATGATTAAATGAATAGTCAATGAGATCTGAAATTAAAACCTCACAAAACAAGGCATAACACAAGCAGAGACATTTTCGGCATATCTCAGAGAAAAAGCAGTTATCTGTAGGCTTCAATCACTTGCCCATCGCACAGCCAAAAGTACTCATCACAGTTTACTTGACATTTCTGAGGAACTAGGGCAATCCACCAGGATTGAATGTTATTAAAGGAAGAACCAATTACCCTATTCAAAGGGCTATTTTAGCTCATCAAAAGCATACACTGTGATGTTTTATTACACTTTTTTCTCAAATAAAAAGCAAGTTTGGATTGAGAAAAGAATTGACAAACTATCTCTCTTAAGGGATCCCTGGAAATTTACCTTATAGAGTTCCTACACGTAGGTGTAGATGAGATTTTGTGATTCAAACTCCAGGTTCTGGTTTAATCAATTTCTTTTTCTTAAGTTTAAACTATGCTGTTTATAAATACATTTAAATTTCTATTTCTAGAATCCATTGATTAATGGTCATCTGGGTTATAATTTAGCTAGCCACATCAAATATATCTTTGCCCATTAATATATTGTTGTCTATAAGCTGTAACAGGAATTTATTGGTCACAGGAAAATCCTTTTGACCACCTCCATGTGGACTGAAGTAAAGGCATACATCTCGGCAGGTCTCTCAACCATAGCATATACTGCCGTAGTTATAATACAGCTCACTCAATGTACTTGTTAAGGAATATGATCCAAAATTACTGCTATTCAATAATCCTATCAAAAGTTCGTGCAAAAGTAAACGTAGTTATGAAGGATTACCTGAGATATATGCAAACCATCTATTTCTCTGGACTTGTTTTAGTCCATTTTTCACATTGCTATAAAGAACTACCTGAGACTGGGTAATTTATAAAGAAAAGAGGATTAATTGGCTCATGATTCTATGGGCTATCCAGGCTTCTGTTTCTGGGGGGCCTCAGGAAACTTACAATCATAGTGGAAGGTGAAGGGGAAGTAAGCACTTCTTACATGGCTGGAGCAGGAGGAAGAAGATTGAAAGGGAAGGTGCCACACACTTTTAAACAACCAGATCTCACGAGAACTCTGTCACAAGACAGCACTAGAGGGATGGTGCCAAACCATTAGAAACCAACCCCACGATGGAACTACCTCCCACCAAGCCCCACCTCCAACACCAGGTATTACAATTCAACAGGAGTTTTGGGTGGGGGCACAGATCCAAACCATATCAGGATCAAAGAGCACAAAGTCAAATGACTTCAGGGGTCAGTTGCACAAATAAATGAACAAAGTGGTCTGGTATAATTAATGAAGGGAAGAGGGATGAGCAGTATGGTTAACTGATGATGAGCATTCCGTGCTTAGAAGCATATTCTTTTTCTTTTTTAAGATATTGTGCAGTCCAAACAAACTTATTCTCATACATAAATTTGGCTTGCAGACTGCCTGTCTTTACTCTCTGCAACTAGAGAATTGATTATCTGTCTTAGGTTAAGTTAGTGCTTCAAAGCACTACCTGGACTCTACTTTTTTGTACCTCCTTACAATTCATATTACTGAATTTGGACCTGACACTATCGTTTTATGAAATTTTTGGCAGAAAATCAGGGGACATTTCTTATTCTTTGTCATACCCTAATTAATTGACAGCTTCTTTCCATAAAGCAGTGAGTTTTTCTCTTTAACAAAGCTGCCTTTATGTGCTATTCAAGATATCACAGTGATCAGATCATAATCCACAGGTTCCTCAATTCTGTGCTTATGAGGATTCTTGTTTCAGAAGGACAAATAGAAATCGCCCTCCTGACTTTCTCTGGAGTTATCATAATGCTCTGTGCCACGAAGGCCACTTTCCCCTCTAGGCATGTGGTAGGATTACATCTCCTAGTGCTCTTGTGATCAGGGTTGACTGTGAGTAGTTCTGGCTAATGAACTTTGAGCAGAAACAACCTGTGCCACTACCAGTCTGGAACATTTATGACCAAATGTGAGAACCACCAGCGACTTGGTTTTCCTCTGCTGCTGTGTTACAAGTGAGGATAGCAATGACAACACCATTTCAGGGTCAGCATTCGACTCAAAGTAGACATGCAGTATGAGAGCAAAATATACCTTTGTTTCTTCAAGCCAGTGAAATTTTGTGGTTGTTTGCTACTTGCATTGTATCCTAGCTTGAATCCTCCCTATGACAAACCCCTCATGTCACTGGAGGGGTAGATACGGAGAAATCTCATGGTTAGGCAAGCTCCCTGAACATGACTGCTTCTCAGAGCCAAAGTGACTTGATTCTGTGTTTAATAACCAAGATGACTGACAGCAATAAAATCCAATTATATATATATATATATATATAATATATATATATATATATATTCTTATTTGAGATGCAAGAGGCAGGCTTTCTCTATTTCTAATGATAATTTTGCAAAAAAGAAAAACTGCATAATTTCTTGGGGAAAAAAGTGTAAGAAATCTACAGACCATATGGTGCTTATATTCCTTTTCCTAAATTATAAAACTTTTTTTAGAATGAAAAAGACTAGTCCTTGCAATAACCTAGCTTGTGTACTCTATTGATCATTTATCAAGCTGATCTCTTCCTGGATTGTTACATGGCAAGTAAACAATAGCCTCCTGTCTCCTGGCTCATAAACAACTTTAGTATATTTACTACTGCTGGGGGACATACATGGTATTTTGTAGGATAAAATATTTCTCTTATCTTAATAGTTTTGCTTCACCTGGGCAACTAGTTTGTTTTCATCTAGTAAATATAATGACCATTTCTTTTCATACGTTGTCTACTAGGAAGTTGACTGTCAGATTTTAGGATCAAAGCTAGCAAATATGGAGGATCTTACAGTATGTATTTTGTGCACTGACATTACTCTTAAATATCAGATGAAATTTATAGAGCCTGGAATTTTAAGATACAGAGAGGAATTCCAATTTACATTGTTTACAGTTGTTGATTTGCAGTAGTATCTTAAATGGAAGCAGCCTAATAACTAGGTGATATAGAATAGTAGTTAAGTTCATAAGCTCTGGAACCATATGAGTTATATTCAAATCCTAGTTTTGCAACTTGGTAGCCATGTGGCCTTAAGCAAGTTATTTCACTGCAACTGTTTCCTCATCTTTAAAATAAGGATGATTCCCTCTATTGTTGTGGGGATTAAGTGTTACCATATGAACACTACTGTATGAAGAGCATTTCCTGGCATATTAGTTAATATAATTATTTCTCTAATAATAAATGGCCAGTGATTACAAGTCAATACACAGGAGTCAACCCAACTGAGAGCCTTTACCATAAAGAACCTTGTGCTGCATCCTAGAGATACAAAAATGCATAAGGTCTGGCCTTTGTCTTAGCTCATGGAATGTAACAGCCTAAAAGCAGAAGATACATAAGTGGATAATGTCAGTACAGTGAGACGAAATCAATGATACAATGGAGTTATTTGGTATTTGCTATCAATACATATTTTGTTAACATATTAGGATAGACATCTCATCTTCAAATCTTCATGGACATACTAATTTTTGCATCCTTCTAATCAAAGTTTTTGGAAAGTGGAAAGCACTTAAAACTTGCAGGATAGAGTAATTAACTGATGGTGGGGCATTCAAGTGGTGCTAGCCAGCAGACATCTTACAGGATCTACCACAAAAATAAATATAATTATTGTTGTAATGAGTGACCTTTGAAAAAAGTGGAAGTGGGATGCTGAGATGCGTTATTCTGGCCTGGGCATTTGAAGATAGTTTCCCTGAAGAAGTAGCTTACAAGCTGAGACCTACAGGATGAACAGTAGTTACCCAAAGAAGGAGGGTTCCAGTCCAAAGTAATAGCAAAAAAAAAAAAAAAAAAAGTAAATACAAAGCAGCTGAGGCAGAGTGGAGCTTGTCAATTGCTTTCAGGTTTCAAAAACTAAAAGAAGGGAAATATAGCTACTACATAATAAGCAATTAAGAAACTGGCATAAGGTGGTAATTATCCCTTCCACAGGGAGGTCTTCCCTGGCCACTGCCATCTAACATAGCCTCCTTCTCCCAGTCTTTCATATCGTTACCCTCCCAAATTTTCTTTACAACACTTCTTTTAAATTATCTTATGTATGTGTTTGCTTTTATTGTATGTTTTTCTAACTTGAGTATAAGCTCCATTAATAATAGAGCTTGTCTGTCTTTCTCATCTCTATACCTGTAACACCTAACAACAGAACTTGGGTTCATCATCGGCATTCAGTAAATGTTGAATAAAAAACAAAAATGAAAGCTAGTCTTTATGTGAAGGGTTAATATGAATTATTATGAAGGGCTAATTTTGAAGGGCTTTATACCCCATAAAACAGATTTTGAACATTAAATTAACAGAAAGCAAATGAAGAACTGTAAGCCTAAAGCAATGCAATCAGATTTGCATTTAAGATTCACTAACTGTTGTGTCAAGGATATCGCTGAGGGACTAGGACACACTGTGGCTTCAATCAGTGTGATGACAGTATAAGGAAGAACAGAAATTGATAAACTTGAGAAATGGAAAGAAAACATAATTAACAGGGCTGAATCTTTGAAAAGAGAGAGTGAGAAGCCTCCTAGATTTGGGGGTGAACAACTGCAGAGTGGAGTCTCTTAATGAGAAGAGAGGGGAGCTGTGCATATTTGCTGTTGTTGTTTTTTTGTTTGTTTGTTTTGGTGGGGGAGGTGGTAGTCTGGTAGAGATTCTTGACTCCTTTTTAGTCAAATTCAGTTTGAGGCGTGGGAGACAGTCAGAGTGCCGTGAAGGAAGAACCTGGATAAAGGGGGCTTTAGTCAGGAAATAGAGATTTGGGGATCATGAGCACAGAAGAGGAACTGAATCCATAGGGATAGATACGATGGATTAGTGAGTCGTGTCCCAGTGAGAATAGAAAAGGGCCCAGGCCATCTCCCTAAGCAGCTCAGGAAAAGAAAGAGAATCCACAAAGCCGATGGGGTGGAGTGGAGGGAGGGAAACCCAGAAAACACAGGTCACAGAAGCCATGGAAAGAGCACCCCCTGAGAAGGAAGCTTTCTTCTGCAGGATGGCTTGGGAGTGGTTTCTGGGACAAAGGTCCCCTGACCAGTGCACCTCATTAGTAAACCTTTAGATTTTATTTCCATAGACACTGGTATTCACAGAGTTATACCGAGGAGGCATTCTTCCAGAATATAGAACTAGGATTCCAGTGGACAATGGGTCTTTTGGGAAGGTGGTCAAGATTGGAATGATACTGCCCAAAAGGGAGACATACAGGAGGGGGAGCAAAGAAGGTAATGACTCTGAATCCATGGGGAGTGCGCTGTGTGTCATGAGTGTGTTGTGAATGCATTGAAGTAAGAACTGCTGTCTTTATTTTAAAGTTACTAGCCCCAAAGTTCCAAACTTCCCACGTCCTGTGTTTGCTGTACTTGGCGGAGAAGCTAGAATGGAGGAGGAGAAACAGACTTGAAATTGGTGAAGGGGTTCGAAGAGATGATGAGGAAAGTAGGCCTTTAGGCTCAATGCTTTTAAGCTGTTAACAATTAGCAGAACCCTGACAGGCACAAATGATGTTTCCACATATTTGTTGTCACTGAAAACACTCATTGAATTAATTTGGAAATTATATTTCTGATGTAATTTCTGTGGTTCATGTCATTATGGATTCAGGATGCTCAAGAATGCACAAATACTTTATGAGTCATATTCGTTCAGGAATAATGTGGCTTGAGACAGCATCTTTGAAAGCCATATTACTTGTTCCAGGACTGTATATATTTGGAAGCAGCCAGAAATTTCTGGCCGAATTACAGAATTTATGAGATTTAAATCTATACTTGCAAACAGATGGACATTTGATACAGCACTGGAATAAAGTGAGATGCACTGCTCTTTGCCCAGTGGAGATGATTCTGATCAGTAGAAGTCACACTTAAAATGCAGGAGGAGATGCAGTGTGCTTCCCTGTTGAAATACTTCATATGTAAGTTGACACCCTTCCGAGTGTCAAGAAATAAACTCTTTCAAAAAGAAAATCAACCCAATTGAAGGTATTAAGAAAGCATTGCTCCAGAAAGTGAATCTCCATATGTCATCTATGATTCAGTTTCTCCCCCGACGCCTGTAGTTTACCATTTAATGCCTTCATTTATCTGTCCATTCACTCAGCAGATATGTACATGTGACAAACGCTGATGTGATGGTGACCAAAACAGAGATGTCATCTGCCCTCAAAGAGTTCACATTACAAACAGGAAAAAAAAAAAAAGAAAAAAAAAAAAACAAGGAATAACAATTCCAATGCAATGTGTTAGGGTAACACAGCAAGTCAGCACAGGTACCATGAGATTCTGAACCAGATTTGGGCAAAGTCTAGCCTGAGACCTGAAGAACCTGCTGGGAAAGATAGGAAAGAGCTTTTTCCTTACTTTATTTACCACTCCTGCCACCCTAACTTTCCCCCAAATGTTGAGCCACTTATCCTTTAAAACTACTATCTAAATCTGTTCAAAATTCCCACAGGCTAACGTTTCATAAAAATAGCTGCACTAAATATTGAAGATGAAAGAGGAAAGAATACAGAAGATATAAACAGCACAAAGACAGGCAAGTTCTTAAAATGTAGGGTGTTGATCCTTAAGATAATTATGCATTGGGTCCAAAGAAGTAGGGCAAATTAGTTTGAACCCAGCCTGACATTCTGTTCTCCCAGATCCACATCTTCTTGGAAGTAAGGATATTTATTTTTATAGCAAGGAAACAGACTTGTAGCTAATTGTCCATTTCCAATGAAAGATGGAAAAACATCTTACCTTTCATAAATATAAGTATCTCTCATTTTTATTTCTAATACTTGGCAAATGACAGCATTTTACACATCTAATTGGCTATATAAAGTATGAAACAAAATGAATTATCTCATGCTCACTCCACAAAAGGTATGTTTTTGCTGGCATTGCTTGCAAGATATGCTTCCTTAACTCTGGAATATATGCACATGTATACAATAAGAGCGGAAACTAATACTCAAGCAAATTTTCAACCTTGAGCAATGGACATATACACAGATATGAGTTCAGCTACAACCTCAAATCACTGCCCAATTAAACTGAGTATGAAAACAGTTGCTTAAAGGTTACTGAATTACTTTTTCTAAGGGACTTAGGTCTGTATAAGTCTATTTCTAGAAAATACGGACGTAGCTTTTCTTTTTACTCTTCTCTTCCTGTCTCTTCCCTTTGTGTTCATTTTTAAAGTTGTCTGTTTTTTCCATTCTTTTTCTTGTTCTTCCCTTCCCTTTTCTACCTTTGAGGTGACAAGACACAGTGAGACCTGTAGGGCCATAGCTGAGCAGGTGTCAGAATCAAGGAGGCTGGCTGGGTCTGGTGGAACCAGAGTCAAGGATGCTGCCAGATTGCCAGATCCTATGGAGCAGGATAAATAGTTAGTTAGGACCAAGGCCAGTGGGGCCATTGGGGGATGGGACCAGGAGCAAGGAGCCAAATGGGGCCAATGGTGGCCAAATAGAAGCCTCCAGCCATAATCCTCCCAACAGGAAGGCCAAATGCAACAACAATCTGCACACAAAAAGCACCTTCATAAGAACCAAAAATGAGGTGAATGATCACAGTATCTGGTTCTACCATTATATTAAGGTGCTGAGGCTGAAAATATGGTTGGCAGAATTGAGATGTTAGTCACATACACGGTGAATGATCAAGTACATGTTGAGGATAATGGGAGTCAAGTTTTCCACTTTTAGAGAAAAATTTTGCATATATAGAAAGGGTATAGGCTAAAGGGAACCCTGTGGTGTTGAGTTAGATATAGAGATGTAATGTAAGCTCATGTTTGATGGATAGATGGATAGATAGAGATGATACAGAAATTTACACAGGTGCTACATTTTATGTGTGTGTGTGAATATGTGTGTGTGTGTGTGATTGCTAGCTCTGTCCACTATGAGAGCCTAGAAACGATACCACTTAGGGAGATGTGAATACACCCAGTGCCCAGATCTTGGTTTCTAAAAACCACTCTTCACTACAGAAGAGTTCCTGAGAGAAAGGGCTGACTCAAAAACAAGAACAGGAAAAGTACAAGATGAATCTGGAGTATCTTGTGCCAGAAAGTGAGGAAATGCTCAAATAATGAGGGCGACTTGTCAAACGGATATATGTGCTAACATCTAGGGGCTTCTAATGGCCCAATCCAGAATAATGTGAGCATCAAAATAAATAATGATGTTAATGTATTACATCACTTGGAAGAAAACAGTTATCCATAAGTTTATACACATATAAATAAACAAATGAATAAACAGATAAATGTAGAAGACAGGAATTTTTCTTACAGTAGAATGCTAATTGATAAATATAGATGAATAAAGAAATTAGAAAATCACCACTGAGTAACCATCATTGTAATAATTGCTTCAGGCAAAAATCATCAACGAATGTTAAAACTAGTGTGTGAAGATTTAAAGAGTAACAGAATACTTATATAGCTTCAAAATATTCCATGCATGGGAAGATTAGCAATTTTATAATAGAGCAACCTAGCAGACATTACCTTCATCAATTGATCAACATTGTGTGCCTCCTGATATGATGCACTGTGGAGAACAGGGAATCACTGGTTGGGAATTCCTACTAAAAATCCATCATCTGAATGTAAATGAGGAAATATCAGGCAAACTTTAGAAAATAACTGGCCTGTACTCATCAAAAGTAACAATGCCACAAAAAAGCAAGGAGAGACAGATAATGTCCCACACTGAAAACTAAAGAGATATGGCAACAAAATGCAGCACATGATCATGGATTAAATCCTGGGCTGGAAAACAAATAACAAAAAAAGTCTGTTTTTTAAATTAAAAAGGGCATTCTTGAGACAATTGGTGAAATGGGAGGGATTTAAGGATTAGGTGGTAGGATTTTATCAATGTTATAAATGTCAAATTTTTGATTTTGTTGAGTGTATGGTGTTGTGTCTACAAATTACACTCAAATAGTTTGAGGGAATATATATATGTGTATATATATATACACACACATACACACACAACAATAAATGTAGTTAAATATTAACGACTGAAGAAGCTGATAGTCCTTATTACTATTTTTTTTTTTTTTGAGACAGAATTCTACTCTTTTGCCCTGGCTGGAGTGAAGTGGCGTGATCTCGGCTCACTGCAACCTCTGCCCCCTGGGTTCAAGCGATTCTCCTGCCTCAGCCTCCCAAGTAGCTGGGATTATAGGCGCCCGCCACCACACCCGGCTAATTTTTGTATTTTTAAAACAGATGGAGTTTCACAATGTTGGCTAGGCTGGTCTCGAACTCTTGACCTCAGGTGATCCACCCGCCTTGGCATACCAAAGTTCTAGGATTACAGGCGTGAGCCACTGAGCCTGACCTCTTTGCACTATTCTTATAACATGTCTTTATAAAAGTCAAAAAATATTTCAAAATAGATAGCAAATAACCATATATTATTTATAAATGCAATGAAAGAAAAATATCTTAACAGAATTAATAAATACAATTTTAATTTTTTTAAAAAAATTGATGAAAATATGGAACTAAAAAGCCAACAGCATTATCTATATTTCAATGTTCATACTTTTCAAGCAGTATACTGTTCTGAAGGTAAAATTATATTTCATCTTATGTTTTCTTTCATCGTGTTTGGGCTATTGCCTAAATTTGAAAAAAATTAACAAAATGCTCATAATACATAAAATTTACAAAAATAACTAAGGAAACTTCAAGAAAAAATTGTCATTTTCTTTATTTTTTAAAACTTATGTATAAATGACATAATTCAGAATCAGAAAAACTCAGTTTTGTTCTCAAAGGAAGTAACAATATAAGTGAATTTGCTTGCTTTCTCTTTCTCTCTTGGCTAGGTTTCATATGTCAAAGCTATTGATATTTGGATGGCAGTATGCCTCCTTTTTGTGTTTTCAGCACTTCTGGAGTATGCAGCTGTAAATTTTGTATCAAGACAACACAAAGAACTTCTGAGATTTCGACGAAAGAGAAAGAATAAGGTAAGTGATTAAACGTATTGGGTTTGGCAGAATCCAGTTTTCACTCGAAAGTGAATTTGTTGTATTTAATAGAGATGAAAAGAGAAGCAATTGGGACTGGGGATGAAATGATATAATATTCCTTTCATTTTTTTCCAATCCAAACTAAAAGTGTCAAAAATAGCTTTAGGGAGAAAATGATGACACCTAGCTCTACTTTAAACAGCATATCCGATGACATGGGACCTATATCAAGTTCTTTTTAATGCGCTTCCTGGAACAACACTTTTTAAATTTTAATTAATGAATTATGTCATTTCTTACTTGCAATGTTAGAGCATTTCTAATAGTTTCACTTGATATAAGTCATCAAATGTAATTATTCATGTTCCTTTGTCAGAGCTAATTCATTTCATTATTTCCATCAAATATTACTTATTTACTAATACCATGATGATAAATACATGCAAATCTCTGTGGTCTCTTCTTGATGCATATTGTCATGAGCTAAAGACATTTCTTTTGAAACCCTGTGGGAAACACAATAAAGTGCTTTTGTTGCCTGGCTACTATCTGATAAGTGATGAAACCAGGAGGAAACTTAGAACATCATGAAGACACCGTAGGAAGTTGCAGAAGTAAACCCCTAATTGGATTTGGATGCCCTAAATGAAGTTCTTCCTCTATGCAGAACTGTAATGGCATCTTCCTTGACATGCATGTGGTTTTGACCAATCCCCTTTCTTTTTCTATAAGAGAGAGCCTCTATCAACCGCAGATCCACGCATTTACTTCTAATGTGAATGTGCCAACAGACATTTTAAAAGCAAATGGTCTTTTAAAGCAATGGACAATAATGTCAAAATTTTGTGTAATTGTGGCAAGGATCCAATATCCTGGCATATTTGTCAAAAGATAAACCTTAATGGTAACAGTCTAGTTCACATAGTGTGCATTTTTAAGTATTTAAAGGTTTCAATTTTTTAAGGTTTCTTTATAAATTATACTGCAATTTATGTATTGATTAAACTTCTTTAAAAAGCACTAAGCTTTGACCTCTCAGTGCTTGAATCTACTTAGTATTAAACATATTCTAAAGCAGTAACTTTACTTATCATTTCTAATTGGCCTTCCCAAAAGCATCACTGCTCCAATAAACACACAATTAACAGCTACGTGGAAAGAACATCAGCATTCAGCATCGGGAGATTTAGTAATACATGAACAAAAAACAGGCTAAGACTTGCATTTAATTAAATTTTTATGAAAACAGACGCATATCTTTTGTACACTGAAACATATTGTGATGGGGAGATTAACTTTATCTTCTTCCCTCACCTCACCCTGGTCTACTGGTCTGTTACATTTCTCATTTCTCCTCATTCTGCCTTTATCTCTTTTTCTTCCTCTTCTCTCTCCCTCTCCACCGCCTACTTTCTCATCTTTTCTTTCATGATAACTGGCACCGGTTGAACAACGACAGTACAAATGCTGTATCACAGGGATGACACTCTGGTCTTTCTTCGTTACTAGTAACTGATAAAGACCACTTTCCCTTCTAGTATCATTAATTAGAAGTAAAGCAATACGCATGTTCCCTATCATTATGATTTGCTTTTTGTCATTTTGGTTTTCCATTTCTTTACCTTTTTCCTTCTCCTTATACAATTTAGAATGTATCAAGCATGTCCTGTAAATTCTAGAAAAGAGAAGTATTGTGCATCCGGTGTCCAAATGGGTAAACTGTGAAAGCTCAGACATATCCTACATCCACCACACATCCAGTAATCATAATATCCAGTAGAAAAAGTATTAGACAACAAGTTTAGATGCTCAATTCTGGTTCCTTCTTTTAAAAAATTATTTTTACCAAAGTGCCTCTTTATTCAGTTTTACCACATGTAAAAGTGAAATTAAAATATTTGATGCTCCTTCCTCTTTAGCTCATAGAAAGAGGGAAACATTCATTTTCTCCAGTGATTGGTACCCTGGGAAAATGCAGAAATGCAAAAACAATCATATCTTATTATTTTCTGATAACTACTTGATATATTCAGGGAGCAAATGTAATTAAACATAATTATGATTTAATGAAGAAAAAAGGTTTTTTAAGTTCAGTTTTGTATGTTGGGGTAGATACTTTGCATATGTGAAAATCTATTAATTGCTACATATGTCTGTTCAAATGGTATATACAATTACAACCAATTGTGTAATTATATTTAATCATATATGAATTGATTCTCTGGTTTCTCAATTCCTCTTGGTCCACTTTACCTTCCCACAGACAGAAGCTTTTGCACTGGAGAAGTTTTACCGTTTCTCAGATATGGTAAATTGACTTTCTTAACTCTAAATAGAGGAATGTGGTCATCAGTAAAAAGCAGACAGCATATTCTGCACTACCAAGGCAGTGTTTGGTGGGGAAACACAGCCCCTTTTGTATTGAAAGCTGAGCAAATATCATCCCCCTTCAGCTAAGAAGGGTATTTTCTTTTTCTAAAAACTTTATTCTTGTCTTCTCTCATCAATAAAAGGATATTTAAATATTACCCTTCATTTTATTAACAGAGCTATTTGATTGGTCAAAATGATTTAAAAATATATGTTAAAGAGAAATATCACATATATCTTGTAATAATCACCAGAGAAGAAACACTCAGATGCTTGCATAAAATTAGTTGAAAATAAATGGAAAATTTATTTATACAAACAAATTCTAAAAGCAACTGCACAAGAGACCTCAAAATAAGGCAACAAAATGCTTCGTGCCTTCTGTGTATCTTTAGAATCCATTCTAAATGTTAAAATATGTTGAGGTTACTTATAGCAAGTGAACAATTTAGTTTTGATAGCAGCATCCTTTGAAATTATCAAATAAAAAGAGGTCACAAAGACACATGTCCAAGTATAATGACTAAATATTAGGAAAGCAATCTAAAATAGATAGTTTGGGTCTGTACGTGGTTTAACTTGGGGGTTCATAATATAGTATGCAATAATTAAACAGAAATCTACTGAAGCCAAGAATTTAGCCTGAGAAGTCACACACAAATAGTTCTGTCTACTAAACTTAATTTCTGGGGTAAACTATATTTATAAGTAGTTCTCCAGATGATTCTATTGTACACTGCAGGTAAGCATCTCTGCAAGAGACTTAATGTTAAATAATTCTTGCAGTAATCTCAACCTCATAACAGATTGTCTAGACCTGGTATTATTTTAAAGTACTTGCTACGTTCTCTTATAATATATAATCACTCAGCGATTGTCCTTTGCAACTAAAGTTTACATCTTATTTCCCAGCATCCATTTCTCCCTTTGTTTTTCATCCCTGAAAGATAATTTCACATGATCCACTTGCTTTTATTTGATTATCTTAACTGTAAATTTTTCATTGCATGGAAATTACATAATTAGATATAGTGTTTGCAATATATATTTATAGATACAAGTAGGTATTAGACTATACAGCAGACTCTCTAATCTTTCTCTGGGAGACCAACATAATTATATCTCCAGTAGCTAAACAGTTAATGTTTATAGAAACTATAGAGTGAAAGGTACCTATTTAATTAAATATTACTTTATGAAAACTCTAATGAAAAAACAGGCTTATCTTATGGGAAGTCAATACATTCTTATTTTTATAGAAGAAACAATAATATAACACAGATATATTCATAAGAAAGTTTATACATCCCATTTGTTTTTAAAATATTTCAAGCATTGGGCAAATTTGGGGGTGGTTGTTTTCTTTGACTTGTTGAAAACTATTTCCCTAAACTAACAATGCTCTGGGCTGATCAAATTTGTCATTTAAAACTATGTATTTTGCTTAGAAACAGTCTGAGTAATCTAAATTTTGAAATAAATAGAATCAAAATGAGTCTCAATGTTGGTACTATGCCCTTTATTGTCATGAGTACTGGTTTACATGAATTTTCTTCAGTACTCTAATTTGGCAGAACAGGCAAAGTAAATAAAATAGTCTCACTGTAGAAAGTTTGTCACAACAGGGGACCTTACATTAATGCAATTATTATTCCTAGGAAAGTTTTAACTAGGCTCAGCATTGGCTTAGTTATTGTATACCGCTTTTTTAAACTTACTTTTCCCTCTGTGAAGGTACCAGAGAATCCTGCATCTATTGTGAAAGAACACAAGTTTGCTCTTGTATCCAAATTTCCCCACCCCACACTGTCCCAGCCTGCTGTGTGCTGATTACGCACTGCACCATGTCATGGATGCTATCTCCAGTGCTGTGTGTGTGTGCTTGTGTGTGTCTGTATGCATGATATGGAAGCATTTTGGTTAGAGTCGCTATTCCCATGTATGATATCATTACTTTAGTCCTGGAGGCTTAAAAAGACATGCCAAGGTATTTCCGAACATGTTATTTGTTGAGAGATATGAATGAAATGAGATTGCTTTAATGCATTTCATGTAGCTTCCTCCACAATGCAATGTAATAGTGCAATGGTTTGCTGCAAGAAAACATAGGCACACAGTATTCTAGTGCCTGTTTCCCTACTGATGATTATTTATTAATTATTATTTATATATGCAAATGAAATAGGAATGGATCATTAGTTCTAGATTTAAGAAATCCTAGCCAAGTTTATGTTTTGCTAGGCACAATGGTTATCTTTTGAAAAAATAAAGATATCATTGACTGCATTTTGACCATCTGTACACAAACTTTATTTTATTTGCTTATGTTTTTATATGCTGTCTTACTTTAAAAATAATTCATGATAGCTTCTAAGGATAATAAATAATTGATTTTCTGCCCTGTGCATTTGTCAAGTCTATAGTCTAAGGATAAACACAAACGTACGTATATACTATTCTGATGAACGTGAGAAGGATTCACGGTTGAAAGCCATATGGCATCCATATACACTAATTATTCAATAATCTTTCCATTCCAGGTCAGCTTATGCTATTCTAGAGCTAAGATGTTCTTTAAATAGATAAAGTGTTTCCTACAAATGTCTTTCATGCATACCCGAAGAAAACTTATTTCCCAATAACTTAGATTCAAACAAAATTCTGTTTGAATGACTCTACTATCAGGAGTTGAAATCGCATCCTCTCAAATAAGACAAAAATTGCAAGACTTCAGTTATTCCCTGTAAACAAATATTTAGATATTTAGTTTATGTTAAACGCAGCTATTTCTTATAGCTATATTCTCTGAAAATCTGTTCAGGAAAATAATACTTAATAAAATAATATAATCTCTGTTCAAATTTACATGCATTTTAGTGACTTCCATCTCAATGTTAATTAAAATAGAAATGCTGCTTTTTAACATATGATGTCTATTGTAATACCCTATGTCACTCCGTAATTATAAGTTGGCAGTAAGTGAATCTAACATATTATGCTAGATATAGATATATAGATTTTTAAATAAATCATTCCATTGATTTCTTATCCGTCCTCTATAATATTTCATCTAAAACATTCATCTTTTTAAATTTAAATTTTACCATTTATCAATGTCCAAACTATTTCTGAATCTAAGTTTAATATGCCAAGTGTATACTTGGCTAATTAATAGCTAATTCAGATGTCATCTATAATAAATGCAGGGTTCTCTTGGAGTGAACTTTCAAATAATTTTATATTAACGATTGACTTACAACAGCAAAGTATTTTTTAAACCTCATCTATAATTGCATTATTTTAGACCTTCCATTTATAAATGATATAAAAATGTGTGTAGATATATGAAACTGAATATTTTATTTTAGACAGATATTTTAGAAAAACAATTTTAATTCATTCACATTTTTCATCTGTTCTTCATATTCTCAAAGGACAATGATTTTTCCCAACAAAATAAGTCATTGCTGTTTATTAGCAATTTAAAATAATCTACACATTTTGAAACCATATAAATAGAGATTAATAACAATTTAATTTTCCTTTGTTTTTTACATTCCTATTTGGTAATAAAGTTACAAAAAAGTATTTGGCAAAAAGACATTTGGAATAATCTATTTAATACTTTAATTGTATAAGCATTGCCCCAAAGGTACCTACTAAGGGAGAAACTTTAAGATGCAAATAATGTGTTTAATGCTGTTATATCTTACAGCAATTCACATAATCAATACTTCATGCTGTTCTAGATGCTTAATGTTTTGTTCACACTCAATAGCAATATTCATGCCTTCATCACTCTCACATCCACATAAGTTTTCTTTTTTCTGGTCAATTTTGAGGACTAAGAAGAAGATACAAAATTAGTCCTTGCCTCACACATGTGTTAATATACAGTATCATGTTTGGTGACAGAGATGAAGCAATTTTATTCAATGACTGTATGCACCCTTCTATTTTCTGTCTGTCTCTAATATTTCTAGCTATAACTTGCATTTTATATGAATCAGTGCTTGGCATAATAATTGAAATAAAATGAAAAGAGACATACAAAGTCTCACAGTATGATATAGAAGCATAATGACTGAAATTTTTTTTTGTCAGTTTTAAATTTACAGAAAAAAGATACTCCTGTAAAAAGAATTGTGCAGTAGCTAAATGGTTATCTCCATTCTTCGTTGCCTACCATTCTAACTTGCTTGAAACATAGTAAGAAGGTTTACTTGTGGGTAAACTAAACTACTTCTTTAACTTTTTAATCAGCGATTTTGCCCACTTTCTATATTTTATGTTGTCAAGGGCCTTAATTTTATAACCACTAAATATTGGCTAACACATAATGTCTCTGAGTCAAAAGTTCTAGACTTATTTTTTATTCCTTGCTTTTTTGACATGTAATCCATGAGAATGTAAGCTGAAGCTATTTCCAGAAAATTAAATTATCTCAAAAAAAATTTGAGTGCTAATTATAATAAGGAATATCACTGCACACGTAAGCATACATAAACACAGGATAATTTATGACTGGGTAATGCAAAGCAGAAAAATTAGTAATAAAATATTTCAGTGCTTCTTCTAATTTAGTAATCTAATAATAATAATAAGCTGATAGAAAAGCTTCATCCATGCTTAAAATTATTGTTTAGGTCATTAAAAAAAAAACTTGATGTTTTTAAGGTCCAGGGGCTCATGGTCTCTCTCATCCCCTGTCTTACTGCGAGAGCAGACAGGACCCTGTACAGGAGTCTGTTCCTTTCCTTCCCACAGAGTTGAGATCCTGTTTCTGAAAGGGGTCTGATATGACTCCACATGCCTCATCTCATGGGCACATTCAAAATGATCTGCACTCTTTCATGGAACACATTTAAAACACAAAGACTCTTTGGTTCCATAAATTAGATTTGCAAGGAATTCTAGCAGTCACATGGCAAAACCCATGTATTGTAATAATAAGACAGTGAGGACTTGAGGGGTGAATGATGTTTTTACTTTTATGCTGTTGGTTAACCTTTTAGTGTAATAGTGCTCAAATGCAAGGCCACCTGGAGAACAGGTGACTGGGTAGGCCTATTTTACATAGTATTTTAGTGCTAGTTTGGTTACTCTGAGTTTAAAACATCTAATAGTAAAATGATTCAAGTTGTTATTTGTATTCTTTCCTATTGTGCTTTGTGCAATTTCTAGAATAATGTAATATTACACTCAAAATATGAATAATATAATAGCAGCAATTTGAGTGCTTTGTCCGGTGGTTTATATATTTTCTCTCACCCTAAAAGAACTGATAGGTAGTATAATAAATATTTTCCTGGAATAAGAAACCAATAATCATAAAGTTAAGTAGCTAAATTAAGGCTATGCAGACTTTCCATGTCCTTGTCATCTCATCTTTAATAATTAAATGTTTTAATTGGCCATTCCAATATCCGTTTAAGCCTTTGCTCTCTGGGCAGATGGGATATGAGGTACTCTTCCTATGCTGTGCCCTTGGGCCATGTTGTGCATTTTGGGCTAAAATGTGTTCCTTTGTTCAGTGAGATCTATCTGAGAAGCCCAAGCTAATATAAAGATGCCTTGTTCCAAGCCCTTAATAGTATATTCAGCTATGGCTTTTGTTACAACGTAAACAAAACCCAAGATGGAATATCTGTCAATTTCAGGCAAAAGCCACTGAATCCTCCAGAAGCCAAGGGCAAGAACCCTAGGTATTTCATCTACAGCTATGTGTTAGCACTTGTCCATGGAAGATTCAAGCCAAAAGCAATTTTCATACAAGTTTTCTCTTGTTGATACTCAGGACAAGCTCTCACCACATATGGGACTTTCCACTGGTAAACTAGATGGTCTGTTTTGCCTCTGTTGAAAGAGAGTCATGAGGTTCAGACCATTCTGGGTACTCAGCTGCAGGGTCCATCATTGGCCCATTGTCACACAGAATTTTTTTACATGGACATGATACACTTCAGCAGAGTCACTTCCCTTGAGTTGGTCTTGAATACACTATTTTAATTTTGCCAGGGCACTTAGACTGGAATGCCTTTTTGACATCACCCATGATGGGGTAGGTATTTCAGGCCTAGATATGGACTGATGCCTTTCAGATTCCTTTGGTCTGGGCGGCTGTTTCTAATCAGAACTCAAGAGAATGTCAGTAGCTGTCATTCATGTAGCTTATACCTGCTGACAGTGTCAGAGGATTTTCTAGTCTAGAATCCTAGCAGCCACCTTAGAGTGCCACTATTGAGCTTTTTCCAGAAACTCCAGTCTATGTGTGTTTTAGCAGCAGATACTTGCACAATCAGTGAATGTTAAGACCTCAGAGGGACCAGCTTGGCTACTGCGTGCTTTAGATCTCTCACAGTCTGCTTTAGTTTCCCTTTGAAATTCAGTCTGGTTACTTTATACAGTGGGGCCAACAGAAATCCAAAATGTACCTGCCAAATTTTAACAGTGCCACAAGTTTTTTCTCTTTTTTTTAATAATAGAAAGCAGAAGAAATAGCAGTTTGTCCCTTAATGTTTGTGACTTGTAGCTAATGTCCTCAGACAAGGTTATGCCTTGTAAGTGGACTCATGGGGCTGGACCTTGCACCTTATCTGGATTAATTAGCCACCCGTACCTAGTCACAGGTGCCACTAGTTTCCAAACTCTTCCCTGACTTTCTGCTTGGTCAGGGAAAGTATCACTTATTAAAAAACTTACTTTTGACAATGATCTGGACCAAATTGTTTCTTATCCGGTTGTGACAACATACTGGAGAATTTAGGCTCCTTTAGGGATGGACAGTAAGATTATAATTGTGTCCACCTCACATGAAGACATGCTGTGTTTGACTTTTTTTTTTACCAATGAGACTAAAAACAAAGCATCAGTCAAGTCTATCAAATCCAACCAGCCATCTCTGTCCTGAACTCTTGGATAGAGTTTTGCGTCCAAAACTCTTGAATAGTTTTCACCACATCCAGCCAGCATGGTGGAGGCTGTTGGGAAACTTCTTTACTGAACCCAAATAGTCAGCAGTCAGCCTGTAGGATCCATCTAGCTTTATCGTAGGCCAGACAGGCTATTCTAGAGAGAATTAATGAAAACTACCACCCCTGCGCCATTCCCTTAATCAGAGCTGAGAGTTCCTGTAATCTTCCTAAAAAGGACGAGTTAGGCAATTCTAAGGGCTCCCATTTTATTACATCCAATTAAAACTGGGCTAAGGAATGACTTGCCCAGGACTAGGCTCAAGCCAGAGATGCCAAGATCCTTCATTTATGTATCACATCCTTTCCAATCATACATTTGGTTAAAGGCAGTGCCACCTACTGAGTATATCTTACTCTCTTTTTTCCTACCTACAGTTTTTAGTGTGACCATGATACCTGCTACTATAGCTGATCCTTTGCCTCCTTCCCTGCTCAAGCAGCTTCTGTTTGACTCTTTATATTGCTTTCCTGTTCCCCAGCATATTACCACATATTTTGCTTTGGCATCAGGTAATTGCAAGAAGCTGTGTTCACTACCCCCATGACAATTCATCTTTAACCATAGCACAGCCATAGAGCCCCATTAAGAATTGGGCATGGAAATCCTGGCCTTCGAGTCAGTCTGTTTCTTTCAGCTGCCTTAACTGATGGAGTAAATTTAGCAACCTATGTCAGTGCCTTTTGTTTCCATTCCCCATTGGCACCGTGGGATTTAACTTCTGAGCTGAAAAGAACAGATCGAACAGGGTTCCTTAGTGGAGTCCGCTGCCAAAATTGGAACAGATTTCCGTCCTCCCAGCAGGCAATAATCTGCTGGGAAATAGTTCACAGAAATCCTGTCAATTTTTGCTGTGTTCTTTTTGTGTCTTAACAGCCACCTAAAGAGAGCTTATAGATGTACCTCTGGCCATGATCTTTCTTCTGAACAGCCTAGATTTTCTTCTCATCAGTAAAACCCAGTGTAGTAGCTCCAAGAGTTAATATACCCATGAATCAAAACACCCTCCTGCCTTCCCAGAATGAGGGCCACATGCCTAAGGACTCTCCTAACCCAGTGCTTACCCAAGTTTTGGTTGGGGGATATGGTTTGGGTAGGCTTCTTTCTCATTGTCATATGGCCACCCCAGATTTGCTGCTATACTTAACATATCTACTCTTCTGTAGAGGTGTTACATTTCACAGCAGTGAGAGCATCAGTCAGTCCTTCTCAGCAGAGATTGATTGATTGATTGATTGATTCTGAGATGGAGTTTTCACTCTTGTCATCCAGGCTGGAGTGCAATGGCATGATCTTGGCTCACTGCAACCTCTACGTCCTGGGTTCAAGTGATTCTCCTGCTTCAGCCTCTCGAGTAGCTGGGATTATAGGCATGTACCACCACGCCTGGCTAATTTTTTTTGTATTTTTAGTAGAGACAGGGTTTCGCCATCTTGGCCAGGCTGGTCTCGAATTCCTGACCTCAGGTGATCTGCCTGCCTTGGCCTCTCAAAGTGCTAGGATTAGAGGCGTAAGCTGCCACACTCAGTCCTCAACATAGATTTATACCACCCCAGGCTTCACCTACTCCAAAAGAGTCATTGACATTACACCTGCCAGTAATTCCTGAATGGTAACACTGCAGCAGATTGGGGGTTAGCATTCACACCAAACATTACTTTTCACACTACTGCATCCAAAAATATGTTATCAGCTCCTTAGTCAATTAAATTAAAGATGTAGGAAAGCATGGATTCCCTAGAGAACTGCTACCACTTCTTAGCAAAGTGACCCAGCTTCTTTATGCTTTGTCCAATTTGGTAGCTACTAGCCTCATGTGGTTATTGAGCACTAGAAATTTAGAGTCTGAATTGAGATGTGCTGTGAATGTAAAACACATGCCAGGTTTCAAGGACTTTGTATGAAATAAAGAATGAAAACTATCTCAATTTTTCCTTCAATAAGTGTTGAAAAGATATTGGGAACATACTGAGTTATTTTTTTTTTCAAACTGAAGTTATTTTGACCTGTTGCCTTTAACTTGTTAAATGTAGTTAATGTAAAAATTAAAATCACACACATGGCTTTTATTTGTGGCTCACATTATGTTTTTATGGAACAGGGCTGCACTATAGTCACTAGTTTGCAGTGTCACTTGCCTGGAGTTGCAGAAGGGAAGATTAAAATTAAGGGCAGTGTCCTTCCAAGTACCAACTGGGCTTTTGTTTTCATCTTGAGCTCAGGTCATGAAGCTGCTTGCTTTACTGGCTGTGTCTCTTTCCCTTGAGTAGTTTTTTCCATGAGTTTTTTTTTTTTTTCTTGAGATGGGATCTCTCACTCTGTCACCCAGGTTGGAGTGCAGTGGCGCGATCTTAGCTTACTGCAGCCTCTGCTTCCCGGTTCAAGCAATCCTCCCACCTCAGCCTCCAGAGTAGCTGGGCCCACAGGCGCCCACCACCACACCTGGCTAATTTTTCATAATTTTGGTAGAGATGGGGTTTCACCATGTTGGCCAGGCTGGTCCCCAACTCCTGCGCTCAAGCAATCCACCTGCCTTGGCCTCCCAAAGTTCTGCGATTATGGGCGTGAGCCTCCGCCCCCAGCCCCCGAAATTATTAATAGGAAACAAGGAATTAACTGTCTCTTGAGCCACTTTCCTCTCAATTTTATCTCACAGATCATCCATCTGCCAATTCAACAGGGGATAAACCTGTGCGATCCATGTTCCAATAATAAGATTCAGCATGTTATTTTCTGTAGCACTTTGGCTACCTCAAAACCGGATTGGATCAGCATCAGATTCTCCTCAGAACTCCCTCCTGGAACATTTGGCCATATTGAGTCTCAAAGGATCTGAAAGCCTGGTCAGCTTCTGTCCACCACTGCTGAGATTTGAGGTTCCAATTGTCATACAGACTCTCAGAACACCCATAGGCTTTAATCTAACCTTATGTTCACTCAGCCCCCTAGGAGGATGTGAGGCAGGAAACCCATCAGACCTCCAGCATCTGCCTCACACAGGAGACTCAGCAGGTTCTCAAGAGCTTCCTTTGCCCCTCATCACACAGGACACATAGGTACAGCTGCCATGGACAAAAGTCAGGGTGTTTATGATTGCCTTCACACAGGGAATCACAGCCTTTGTTCCAAACCACACTTGCATACCATCTAGTCACATGGGCCAAAGGTCTTCAGGCCAATACACAGCTCCCCCAGTGCAGGTGCAGCCCCTCACAGTAAAAAAGGCCGACTCCAATTCCCCCTGTAGCTTATCTCCATTGTTTTCAAGGAAATGATGCTTTAGGAATCAGGGGTCATTCTCAGCACTACTGTAACAGCCCAGGCTGGGTATTAACTCTTTACTCACCCTCAGCTATATGGAAAGATACAATTGAGAAAAATTCGGTTGCTCACTAATATGTTAATTTTAAATAGATTATGTTTGTTTTGAGATGAGCAGCTAAGGTCTCTAAAGATTTTAAAATAAGTTATTCAGAACAGATCATTAGAAAGGTAGTCAATGAATTCTGCTTTACTAAGCACATCAGCTAGAATCCTGATATCTGAGCATTTTGATAATGAATTTCTCAACTGCTTCAATTAACATGTCAACACCTCATTGGAAATGCTCACTGAGAAGTCATATTTTGTCTTACTTTGAGATAGATGTCTTTTAACACATAGGTTGCTATAGTTTAAAAGCCTATTTTATACTTCAACATTCAGGTGATTTTTACACAAAATAGTGCAAATTACCTGGGTAACCTACATTTTCCTTTAGAAATGCAAACACCAGCATGATTTTCTAAGTTATAAGGATGCTATTTTAGCATTTACATAAGAACAATTTAATTCTAATTTGTAGGATATGGAAAACTTTAAGGCAAATAATAAATTTGCCTTAAAAATTTCATGGACGCCAAAGAAATGGTAGTCTAAATGAACATGCTTGTTAAAGAGTAGTGGAAAATCGATTTTCAATTTTTGCGAGCTTACAACAGTAGTCTCAGGTAGTTTGGACTGTCAGTTTTTCTTTCAAACTTGTGTCCTCAAAATTCAATGGCTTATACATCTTACAGTTGAAATATTTTCCAATAATCATATACTTTTGTTTTGCAGGTGGAATCACGTTACTTTCATAATTCCCAAAATAACTATTTTATACCTTACTGCATCAATTTTGGTCATCTTCTCATTTTTAGAATCCATAATAATTTCTATTTTTTCACTTTCATATTTTATAATATATTATTCATTGAGGAGCTACTTTCACAGAACCAACATCATTTTCTTTTTTTTTTTTTTTTTTGGAGACGGAGTCTCACTCTGTCGCTCAGGCTGGAGGGCTGGAGTGCAGTGGTGCGATCTCAGCTCACTACAATCTCCACCTCCAGGGATCAAGCGATTCTCCTGCCTCAGCCTCCCGAGTAGCTGGGACTACAGGCGTGTGCCACCACACCCAGCTAATTTTTGTATTTTTAGTAGAGATGGTGTTTCAGCATACTGTCCAAGATGGTCTCGATCTCCTGACCTTGTGATCCACCTGCCTCAGCCTCCCAAAGTGCTGGGGTTACAGGCATGAGCCACTATGCCCAGCCCATAATTTTCAAGAGTTCAAGCCAATTATTTGATCTTTTATATTATTATGAAAAAGCATTATCATAGGAGAGATATAACAACTTTATTAAATGTCTTCTCATCTTTTAGACCTTCAATTTAGTAGCCAAATAAACCATTACTCATTGGTAGCCAGCTACCATTACACTCTAAATAAATGTGTTAAAGTAAATTATTAATAATTTGCATTGTTATTAAATATTATATTTCTCTCAAGTATATTTCATCATATATTATTAAATAATTTTTTATTTAAATTTTTCTTTATTCCCTTCATTTACAAACATGGAAAATTCTCTTCAGTTTGCCACATTTAAAAGAAATGATACTTTTTAGAAGAACATAGTAATAAATTTATGAAAAGTTTATGTTCTTAACATGAAATAAACTTCTGCCAGATATAATTCACAATTTCAACCAAACCAATGTGCCTGGAACATAGTCATATATAAACTAGAATACATGGCCATCTTCTAAGTATTCCAAAAAGGTTAGTGTAAAACAGAAAAGTAGCATAAAGGGAGAATAACATAAACCAAACAGTATTATTGAACTAGACTGTATTTTCTGAGGAATTGACTTCGAATTGAAAGAAAAACTTTAAAAGGTTTGTCTCCATGAGAAAGAAAAATTCAGTCAATGATCCTGGTATGTTCCCCTTCGACATCACACATTTATCCATTTAAAAAAAAATGCAAAAAAAAAAATCTAGTTTATGAACATATATAACACAATAGATTTTATCTTGTTTTTTTTTTAATTTAGATATTCAAGCAATATGTAGAAAATATCAGAATTTAGTTTTCCCATTAAAACATACCCTTTGGGATTTCACATTTATTAATGGGCACAGCTATACAATGCAGCAAGATAAATTAATAAAACTTCAATAGGGAATAAAAACCAATTCATCTTTATATGCTTCGGTTATCTTTTCCTTATATTAATGTAAATATTAACCATGATAAAATTGGTTATGATTCTGAGATGCCTGTTATACATGCTCTATTGTATTATTAAAGGGCCTTGTCACATTTTTCTTTGACAGGATGATGAGGTAAGGGAAAGCCGATTCAGCTTCACAGCCTATGGAATGGGACCATGTCTACAAGCAAAGGATGGCATGACTCCAAAGGGCCCCAACCACCCTGTCCAGGTAATGCCAAAAAGTCCTGATGAAATGAGGAAGGTCTTTATCGACCGGGCCAAGAAGATTGATACCATCTCCCGAGCCTGCTTCCCATTAGCTTTTTTGATTTTTAATATTTTCTACTGGGTTATCTATAAAATTCTTAGGCATGAGGATATTCATCAGCAGCAAGATTAAGTCTCTGGGGGCATGCAAATGCAAATGGTCAATTCAGAAGAAAGTGTCTCTGCCATAGGTGTGTATGTGTATATGTGTGCGTGTGGTATACAAATGATGACCATTGTATTAAAATGGCATATGGAAAAGCTTTGTATTTTGGTTAGCTATGCAAAGTCATGAGAAAGATGAGATTCTTTTAATGAATATAAAATATTTATTAGGGGATTCTATTTCATATTAATTCCAGGTGATTTGTTTTTTCACAGTAAACCATGTAAGTGGAAGCTTTACTGCCAATGTGTTTATATGTTATATAATATCTCATAATAGTAGACATGAAAACTACTTTGAAATTCCTTGATTTGTAATTCAATGCTATTAAATCATACAAAAGCAAATTTTGCACAGTAAACCAATAGTTTGAGATTTAAAACTATTTTCTTATAGTATAGTTACAAAATGGGAAAATAATTAGTTACAGTGGGAAATTCACTCATATTAATGGAGGATTGTACATATAAATACTATTTAAACAACATATGTAATTTTGAAAATTTTTAAATAAGAGCATTAAAAGACTTTAATGATTTGGAATACTAAATTTAATTGTTTAGAATATTAAGTTTTCCTCTGTGCAAATTTAAAACAAATAACAAGAGATCGTGTTACAGTCACAATCTACTTTTCTTAAACTTTGTATCTCTAGGAACGAAGGTGGAAATACGGGAAACAACTTTGTTTTTAAATAAGTATTATAGCTATGTATTTTTAGTTATTGCCAAACATTGAACAATTCAAGCCAGCACCCTTGTTTTTGTTAGACTTTTAATAGCTACTTAACTGTATGTGATTGTGTTTAATAATTTGATATAACAGGACAAAATTCAGTAAGACTTTTATATTTTAGTTTAGAATGTGACTTTAAAATTCAATGGGATTAAAGTATTTACATTTTGATAAAAATGAATACAATGAAAACAAAATGGATTCATGGAAGATTTTTTAATAAAAACCATTTTCCCATCAATGTTTTATGGGTCTCAACTCCTATCTCCAAATATAAGTAGGGAAAGTTTTAATTTTAAATGATATAAGTAAGTCATTTCTATAAAGTGAGGACTCTTTTTCTATTTCTGAATTAATGATTTCAAAATCTAAGCCATTCGCAAGATGTGAATAATTTTAAATGAAATTTTTACATAAAATTTTTCAATGACCCCATGGGATTACTTCAACAAAAACAGAGCATTAGTAACTTGTTTTTTGCAGTGTAATTGGGTGCAAATGTATGATAGAGTTCTTGGTAAACAGAACCAGACTCTGACTCTTTTTCAGTTTTGCTATTTTTTTAACTATTTTTACCATAAATTTATTTGGAAAAGCTTTGGAATGCTTTTTAGGTATTTTAATTATTGGTCAGATGCACAAACTCAGTCCACCAAATTATTCACAGAGAAAACTTTAAAGATTAAGAAAACAATGAACTCAGATGTACAATAGAAAAGCCAGTTCTTTAACAAGATGCTATTTTCTACCCTTCAACCACTTTCAAATTAAAAGCAAAAACTACCATTTAAAACTAAAACCTTTACAATGTTATTGTACATCAGCTTATACAATTGTAATTTTTTAAAATAACATTTTAAAAAATAGTAAATGTTAAGCAGTTTTTGCTAGTAAAAGACCAAGTTCCCCTCCTTTATAAGTAACTTAAAACAACACTATAAGGAAATAATATCATGTTTGGCATTATGTGCAAATGACACAACCAAAAGAATTTGTTACTCTGTAAGTACCCACGTTGAGGACTGTGCACCTGAAAATTAAACATATGCTTCTTCATTTGGTGTGTATTTAACAAAACCATGGAAACATATTCTTGTTCTAAAGATTAGAGCAAGATATGTCATTTGTATTCCTTGAGAATTAGCAGGAGAGTTTGAGGTAATTATAAACTACATCATCTCGATGTGTCTCTGAAATACCTGAATACGTTTTTCTATACTTTCCACATCTTATTTCAAAAGTTTCCCAACATTGCTTAAGTGAATTCTGCCAGGAGCAAACAGAAATATAATGAATGCAAACATGCTTACTTCCAAAAGAAATTCACAGACATCACTTCTTTCCATATTTGAGAATATTATAAATGTGTCTTTGTTAAATCAGAAACTTAGAAAGTGAAAATACCAAACATGAGACAATATTGTCAACAAGGACGTTGGTACATTAGAAATCTATCTCAAAAGTATTACACTTTCCTTAGGCATAGTTTTCCTTTCCTATTATATTTGTCACTGTCTTACTGCACTAAGAAAATACTTTAACAGCTTTCACTCACAAGGCAACAGTGACAAGGTGCATGTGGCTGAATCCAATATGTTTAAAGGAATGTGTCTCCTCCTTCGAACTCTTATAGACCTTTTAAAACTGAAAAATTACATTGCAGTTAGCATCCTGAGATAATATTTGCCTCAATAAGCCCTGTGTCCAACCAGAATATTTTAAATTAAACCAACCACAAAATTATTAATGGCAAGAAATTAAAAATGTGTGCATATACATTAACTACTAAACACACAAATTGGAATTCCAATGTGCATATTCTGAAGTATTTTAAAATAGCCACATTAGAAAATATGGGATTTTCATGTATGCAGTTTATATCATTTTCTTAAAAAGAATTATTTGTATGTCAATCATTGAAATATTTGATTCCATAGCATATGAATTTATAGGCTATCTTATACATTAGCATATATGTGCCCAACCTTTTCTTTCTTTCCCAACCATTAGAATTGAACTTAAACCATAATGAGGCTCTAGAACTTACTTTACAACTTTAAATAGATTCAAGAGTCACTGTATTTTCAAGAAAGCTGAGGGTGTTTAAAACTTCTCCAACCCTTCCAAAAGTTTCTCCATGGCGCTGGAGACCCCATCCAACTCTCAGTGGCTATATTAGGGAATCATCCGGACTGCTCATCTTATTCTAAAATTAATTCTTATTCTGTTGATATATTCTAATAACTTTTATCTTAATTTGGAATTTAATTGCTTGTATATTTATATATCCCTAAGACATGAATTCATGTATTAGTTTATGAATACCCAGGATCTCATGGAAGGTAAGGGAAATTTTAGAAAAAAAAATGAATAATCTAAATGTTTAACTAACAGAAGAGAGCAAGCTGTTCACTACTTTAGTACTCAGTGCAACTTAAGTAGTTATAATATTTGAAAAAAGATTTAGATGTATCTTCCATACTATACATCCCTTTTTCTGAACATTTTTTATTCCACTTTTTAAAATATGCTTTTCTATTTTTCTCAACACAACATACTTCAACCTGCTGGTTACTTGGGAGGACTGAATATTATACTGGCAGCTAAATTTTTATTTCATCTATAAAGTACACATTCCAGGAAATGGACATGAGAGAATACAAGAGACTTGCCAAAATTGAAATGGAAAATACTTGCAGTATTTTGTAAATGGAAAAGAAGGAAACTGACAGCATTGTTTTTCACAGGTGTCCCCTAAAAATTTAGAACACTCTAAGAACAAAACTCTGAGAACAAAAATGTATCTAATGATCCTTAGACAGATATCATTAACAATCCTTGAGGTCATGATATCTTCTACTCCAAAAGTGATTCCACACTCTTTGCAACATAGATAATAGCATAAACTCCCAAAATTTATCAGCATATACGACCTATATTTTTCATCTAGTTAATATTGAACTAGCAAAGAAAAGCAAGCCATTCCAAATATAAGACAATCTGGTGTTAATACAATATATTAGAAGAAATAGTGTAAATGTTCACACAGATTCCCTCTTGCAAATAAAGTACCCATAATACCCATTGCATCTTGTACCTGTATAAGAGACATCTTCCTCAGCAGATGCATTGGTTTTTATTTCCTTATTTGTGTGCTACAGTGGTAAATATAGCCTCACTGCATTTTTTTTATTGTTATATAAACCTTTCATGGATAAATAAGCAGTGTACACTGTAAATTGCATTAATTTAATTAACTTTAAAATTAAACTTTTATCTCAGCCCCCATTCCTCTTTACAAACATAGTGATATTAAAAAGTGAACTTCCATAGGGAGACACCTGGTACTCCAATTACTTCAAAAGTAAAGTGATGCATATTCTTCCATAACAAAGATACTTATAGGCCATGTGTAAAATATAACTCTCTACAATTTAAACGGAACTAGGGCAGGGAAAAATATCCTGGGGAAGCTTCTTCCAGATATGAGGACAAGAGATATAATCCCAAGTTAGTAGCTAGGACCCACTTACCTGTTTTTTTGGTCTACATTTTACATCTTAATAATGCCTTCATCTCTTCCCTTTCCCTCTCTCTCTCTCTCTTTCACACACACACACACACACACACACACACACACACACATACACATATTGGTAATGAGATGAATTCCTTTAGATTAAAAATACAAAGACAGTCAATTTTTCTAGACAAAGGTTCATAATCCTGTGATATGTTTTGCAATATTAAGTGATTCCTGGTGGAAAATATGAACCATGCAGTCATTCGATTTGGCCAGCTCTTAATCATGCAACAATCTTTTGCCTCAAAAACACATAAACAAAGCTAACTGGATCAAGTCTTTAACCCTTAACAATCGAATTCTAAAACACTATTTGAACCGTTTTTGAAGAACAGCTAAATAACTGTCAAAAACCTTTTTCAAAAGACAGCTAGTAATATTGGATGACTTTGTAGTGTCTGAACAGGTGGTTTTCTCAGTAGTTTTTGTGGTTAACACATAAACAAAGAGGAGACATTTAAGGTGATGGAGTATTATTTTTAAAAAGTGATTTTGAACCCTGGCTATGTGTTGGAATTCCTTACACATTTTAAAAATACATACATATGCTTGGTGTCCAACATAGAAGATTATGATTTAATCATTGATTAAACAAATATTCATTGAGTACCTTATGTGTGCCTGGCACTGTCCCAAGTGCTAAATTTAGTATTTTTGGAATAAGATCTGAAATTCTGGATGATTGAAAAAATTCCAGAAGTGAGAGAATTCGTGTGAACTTACACAAGCTTATTCTCTTAATAAGGATCAATTTAACACTTTTTAAGTTTTATCATTTTTTCTTTCTTCAAGCAACTAATTTTAGTTGTCTCTCATTTATATTCTTAGAATTAAAAATAGGCCCGGCCAGGTGGCTCACGCCTGTAATCCCAGCACTTTGGGAGGCCGAGGCAGTCAAATCACTTGAGGTCAGGAGTTAAGACACCAGCCTGGCCAATATGATAAAACCCTGTCTCTACTAAAAATACAAAAATTAGCCAGGCATGATGGCAGGTGCCTGTAATCCCAGTTACTCAAGGGAGGCTGAGGTGGAAGAATGGCTTGAGCCCAGGAGATGGAGGTTGCAGTGAGCCAAGATCGCACCACTGCACTCCAAACTGGGTGACAGAGTGAGACTCTGTCTCACAAACAAACAGACAGACAAAAAAAGAATTTAAAATAAATCTTTGATGCGTTTCAATTCAGCTTTCCTCCCAATGTCAGAATCTTCACCATTACATTATCCACATTCTTCGAGCACCCAGATAGCAACAGGTAGCTCATTACTCTGAGGGCAGTCTTCTGTTCCATTGTGACATAACTCTAGATGATAAAAATGTTAATCTTCATCAAGAAATGACTTTTACTTCCTAAAATACCAAGTAAGTTTATTCCCCTCCTATAAGACAACTAGCATATATTTTCACATTTCTGCTGTCTGTGTTTAAGTTCAATCAACCCCTTATCACTAGCTTTATTCTTATTTAAACCATTCATGAGAGCATTGTAAGTGTTAAACAATGATGAGATATTTTCAGGCTTATAAAATAATGAAATATAAAATTAATTATCTACATAGATAAATAGAAATTGATGAAAATTTCTATGTATATTATTTTCAGTAACTGTTAATGTCTTCCTATAACAGCAATAAATTTAAATTAAATATTTTTAAATTTATTTCAGATATGAAGATATTATATAAAACTCTACAAAGTAATATGAATTTAAAAAAACTAGCAGCAAACCATATTAACCATATTGTGTGTTTTTAGAGTAAAGCTATAACAAAAGTACAGGGGATTAAGTTGTTTTATTTTAATAGCTGCTTTTACTCTGGGGTGGTTTTAGCAATGGCGCCTTTGGGCAACCCCGCTCACATACACAGTATCCAGCCTGGGTGGTTAATACTAGGGAGCTGTGACTTAAATGGCAGGAAAGGATTCAGATGTAAAATTGTACTTGAATATGCTTGAATAATTTTGCACTTCTTCACTTTTTTCTCTATGAATTATTCAATGGTCATTACTTAAATTTGTATTTTAATGTATGATAAATGATAATATGGGGGGGGAAATAGAGTGAAGTACCCTGACATTCTACAGATATAATATGATATGCTATGAAAAACAAAACAAAAAGAAAATGTGCCATATATTTTCCATGTACCATCTTTATATGATATACAGTGACTTCATTATTAGTGAGTCAAGTTGTTTAAAGGACTACCAAAAGAAGTATTGCTATTTTATGGTTTTTATGGTGTAAATTATTTTTCTGTCTTCTTGAGTCTTATGTCTAAGTCTGTCTTCCTTGTCCAGATGCTGTCATATTTTTCCAGGAAATTATACTGAAAACATATTTAAAAATTTATGCACGATTTCATCAACTTGTTTTTCATTATATTATATTTAGTTCAATTTTGCAACTAACAGACTCTCTATCAGAGTCATTAACCTGTGAACAGTATAAAGTATTTAACATGTAACTATAGATAATTTGATCCGAAACAATAAAAATGAACACTTTTCAAGAATATGGATACCTCTTTTGTCTAATTTTTTTAAAGACCAGATTTTACCAAAGAATCATGTTGTCTTCCTGACAAAAGTCATGCTACATTCCTGTTCTCATGGAAACTATTACATCTAGGATTACAAAGTCAGTGATATATCATTCAGAGAAGTCTTAATATATGCATTTCATTATAGGAAAAGCACAATGAGAAGGATGGTGAATGGAACTTTTCTACTAAGGATAGAATGAGAGAAGAAGTATTACTAACTAGAAAAATGATTTGGCATTAGTGTATTTGTAGTTTTTGTTTGTTTGAAAGACTTCTTAAAATCTGTTTATTGAATAAACCACTTTCACTTGACTTACCCATAGAGACTATTTCAAAATGGAATACTGATGTTTTTTTAAACCTATAATTTCATCTTTCTTTTTTCCTCCACAGAGTTAGACTGGAGTTTAGTGATAGAATAGTAGTAAACAAATAGGAATTGTTTTTTTTTTTGAGACGGAGTCTCGCTCTGTCACCCAGGCTGGAGTGTAGTAGTGCGATCTCAGCTCACTGCAACCTCCGCTTCCCGGGTTCAAGCAATTCTCCTGCCTCAGCCTCCCAAGTAGCTGGGGCTACAAGTGCCCGCCACCATGCCCGGCTAATTTTTTGTATTTTTGGTAGAGATGGGGTTTCACCGTGTTAGCCAGGATGGTCTCGATCTCCTGACCTCATGATCCGCCCCCCCTCGGCCTCCAAAAATACTTGGCCTCCAAAAATACGCCCGGCCAAGAAATTTAAGAAAATATTACTATTTGGTGTGTGATAATTAGTCTATCATTTTTAAAGTACCTATAATTTATATGTAATAGTGTTTGACACTTTTATATATTGACTGGCACAAAGTTCAGGAAAAAAACTTAGATTGAAAATTCCTTGCTAAATCAGCATGATGATTTTCTTCAGTAAGCTGGCCTTCACTAATTGCTTATGTGGTTCATATCATGACATCAGCAAAAACTCTGTACTGAAATACTGCCATAGAATCAGTCCAGGTCATCTGTAAGTACAAGTGTTAGCGATATCTATAGGTAATGGATCCCTAAACAAAATGTATAGGAATAAATGTAATGTGACCACACTAAGAATGGAAAGAAGCTTATTGGTAAACTGTGATTAATTAAGTCAATTTATACTACTATGGTTTAAAATACTTTCATTACTCTCATGATATTCATCATTTTCCATATCACTACATTGGTTATTTTTCTTTACATAGTTTATTTCAATATACTCTTGCTGACAGTTGCTTTCTGCCTTGATAAACTGATTTTCTAAATATATTCCTTCTTTGTAATTTTGTGTAATTTGCATTTTTAAATACGCATTCATTGGAATCCTAAATTGAATTAGACCATATTTACTGAACTATACTATAAATATTTAGTTTGTTTTTATGTTTCTTTATATTTGTATATTTGACCCCATGTGTTGTCTTATCAGGTTATCTCTGTTGATGCTCTTTATCCAACATTGTACTGCTCTGACAGTATTTAAAAATTCACTTGGGCAAACTGTTAACTGGAAGCTGGGTTGTGAACAGAAGCTGGCACTGTGAAAGAAAAGCAGAGCTGGACATAAGTTAAAGCAGTGAAGGCAAATTTTATTCAGGAACTATTGCACTGGGGACAGAGAGACCTCAGTATAGAACGGGGCTGCATTCTGAATACCAGGATAAGTGGGGATTTTGGATAAGTGATGGTCAGTGGGTGGAAAATTACTAGAGAGGAAACCTCGAAGGGATTCTGGCTAAACTGACTTAGCAAAATTCTTGCTGAATGCAGCCAGGGTGATAAGATACTGAATGTGGGGGGGATAAGAAATTTGATTAGATATCAAAGATAAGGGATTTTCGTTAAACTGAACCAGCAGAATTCTTGCCTAATTGAACTAACTAGGCCAAGAACAGAACCCAAGTTGGGGCCTAATCAAAAAGGGATCTCAGAGGAGTATGACCAGAGCGTGGTCCAGGAGAGAATCCTATCATCATCTATAGCCCATTCTGTGACATGAGGAATGAATTGTCTGAACACTTGTTCTTCAAACAATGAAGGAATACTAGTTAAAATGCATGTGACATTCACTCACAGTTCTGTAACCTAATGGCTCTTGATCTTCCAAACTGGTCTCTGTTCTTAAGCCGTTACAAAATCTCTATTTTGATGTCAGGTTCCTTTTCTTTCTGGGGGAAAAAAATAACTCTTCTAAATGATCTGTTACAGAAATAAGTATGTTTATAGAGTCTTATTTAAATGACTTCTCCCTCCCCAAAAAGCAAATTCCTACAGATTGACCTTGTTTGAAATACTTATTCTGTGGAAGATCAAGCTTACAGGTATAACATTGAATTTCCTAAGTGGCTAATCAAAGAAAATTGGAATGAAATATAAATCAAAAACAATAAATTTATTAAAATTGCCAAATTATTTGACAGATAATAGAAAATCCAAAAGCACAAATTTATTTTTAATTGCCAGAAAGTTAAAGAAGATTGATAATAAATTATTAGATCCTTTCTAAGAAACACTGCTTTACTCTATCACATTTTATTTGATAAATACCAGAATTGAAGCTGGGTGCTTCCTTTGTTCTCCTCTTTATCATCAGCAAATTTTTTGAGTCGCCACATTATTAGGCCATGAAAACTTCAATGGGTAACAAACAGAAAAGCTTCCTCCACTTTCAGGAGCAAAGCAAAACAGGAAATAATCTGCAGGAACCGTGTGTCATAGACAAGAGTTTTCTTTTATTTTCACTTTAGGTTAGTAATTCTCCTGGGTAATCAATAATCTCTAAGCAAGAATCAGTCTTTTCTAAAGTGATGGAACTTATATTGATGCATTGCATATAGTGGATTGAAATATCCTTCCAACTTAGGTGATTAATTTGTGTTTTTTCCTTCTTGAATGAAAAAGAATATGAGAAACAAATGAACATGTTATGTTATTTGCAATTTACTTTAAATCAAATATATTAGAATCCATTTACTGTTGCGAATTGGTTATATTTGAAATATCTTTTTATATTATCTGTGAACATTAATGAAAATGCTGGGGTAAATGAAAAAAGATGAAATTTCAAGTCACCAAATATACAACTAGGGAAATTATGTTCATATGCCTTATTCACCTAATGGATAATATAATTTCATTTCTGAAAAGAAACTTTAAAAAGTAATATTAATGTGCTAGTATAAGTCATGAGTTGCTTAATGACAGGAATATGTTCTAAGAAATGTGTCATTAGATGATTTGTCATTGTGTAAACACCATAGGGTGTATTTCTATATACCTACATGGGATAGACCACTACATCTAGGCTAGAGTATATGGGATAGTCTGTTGCTTCTAGGCTACAAACCTGTACAGCATGTTACTATACTGAATAGTGCAGACAACTGTAATACGATGGTAAGTATTTGTGTTTCTAAACATATGTAAGCATAGAAAAGGTACAATAAAAATATAGAATAAAAGGTAAAATGCAGTACACCTATATAGGGCATTTAACTTGAAAGGAGCCTGCAGACTGGAAGTTGCCCTGAGTAAGTGGTGAGTGAGTATGAAGTCCTAGGATATTATTACACTACTGTTGACCTTTTTTTTTTTTTTTTTTTTTTTGAGATGGAGTCTCGCTTTGTAGCCCAGGCTAGAGTACAGTGGCGTGATCTCAGATCACTGCAACCTCTGCCTCCCGGGTTCAAGCAATTCTCCTTGCCTCAGCCTCCTGAGTACCTGAGATTACAGGCGCCCACGACCATGCCCAGCTAACTTTTGTATTTTTTAGTAGAGATGGGATTTCACCACATTGGGCAGGCTGGTCTTGAACTCCTGACCTCAGGTGATCCATCTGCTTTGGCCTCCTAACATGCTAGGATTACAGGCATGAGCCACCATGCCCAGCCACACTACTGTAGAGTTTTTAAAGGCTGTACACTTAGGCTACAGTAAGTTTAATTTTTGAAATTTCTTTAATAATAATTAACCTTAGCTTCATAAATTTTTTACTTAATTTTTTACCTTTTAATATGTGTTATATATTGTATTCTTAAGCAACAAAATATAGCAAGTTCACCTGCTGTTATAAGCATGGTAAATCCCTAAGTGATCAAAATGTTTGATGCTTATCACTCAGAAATACAGTTAAAGAGTATAAAAGGTATTTAATGTGCAGTTATCTATTTTAATGTCATTATTTTGTCCTCTACTTCCTAAGTGAGGTGACCTGAACCACTTTGGTGTCTTTACTGATCATTATAACTACTAACCAAGTATATACTGAAAGGTTTTTACTAAATAAGAATATAATTACAGACAGCAACATACTATGTGCTGCATACTTTTAGTTTCAAAAACTCCCCTGAATTATTTAAAGAACAAGTATACATATCCAAAATTGTAATTTTTAAATTTCCTATAAATTTTAGATCATATTCAGTAGGTATCTAAGGTTGTTACATTTTTCAAAGATTATACATTCTTGTATCTTATAAATGCAGCTAGAACATAAGCCACTCTATGCCTAAACCACAAGAGGGCTCCCTCTCATTGGTTTCGGAATTGTAGATGTCATTCAAAAAAAACCATGAGGCTAATTTCATTAATGATTGGGGGCAAGATTTTGGCATAAAAGGGTGTTTTAAATCTTTTTAATACAACAAGTCAATATAAACCTTATACTTTAACAGCTTCATTAAACAGTTTTGTGGCAGAACTTTCTCAAAACCCTTATTTACAAGCAATGAAATGGAGCCTAAGGATATAAGGCAATTTTGTTCGAGGCTACTGATGCTAGTCACTGTTGAAGCCAGAACTATACTCTCCATCAGTCTCTGTTCTTGATCTTCAAATTGTAGTAAGAGGGTTTAGCAACTGTGAGATAAATGCTAATATCTTCCTGTGGAGACAATTTTACTATAAAGTTTGAAAGAAATACATACTAAAAATGTAAAATTAGAATGAGTATAAAATCTGAAACAGAAACAGAAAAAAAATTCAGTGTTACAGAAGAGAATATGCCATAGATACCTGTTTTGTCTTCCAATTACTTTCCAATTTCACTAAGGCTTCTTGGTGGAAATGTTTAACCATCGCTGGAAACCATGCTGCTCTCTTGAGCTAATTTAAGAAATAGAAAGACAGGGTACTGATGAGTATGTATATTAATTTCGAAGTCAAGAAAGCATGTGCAAGGGTCTCATTAGCATTTAGATCCCTAACATGAAGTTCCTGTTCCACTTCTCTGTGCTTCATTTGAAGTCAATGTACTCTTCCACACAGTTGACTGAATGCCAAAATGTTGGATATGCTAAATGTAGACACAACTTTACATGCAAAAAGAAGATGAAGAGACAAAGAGAATTCTCGCTTAGTTCTCCATTATTATAGCATATAAGAAACCTCTACCTTAAAATACTAAAACAACTGGTTTATTTGATTGAGTTAACCAGCCATTAATAGTATAAAGATTTAGCACCATGGTATCACATATATAAGAGATAGAATCTATGGAATATCAAAATATGTTGTCAAGATGGCCACGTTTTAGTTACAATTATATGTCATGTTCTTTGCCTTATTTCAACGTGTGACTTAAAATCTATACCTTCAAAGTAACAATAGTGTCTTAATTGCAATGTTTAAACCACAAAGCAAATATTTGTTAATTTAGGTGTGTTCTTTGACTGTTACTTTCTGGCTTTCAACATATGGCTAAATTTCATTCTTAATATCAATTTCTACTTAATAGTGAAAATATAAATATTTCAATTAGACATTAAAAACTTTTATCTCATGCATGAAACTAATTTTGAAAAGCATTTGGATAAGATTCCTTGATTCATCTCTCCTTTATGTCTTTCTGAAGAAAAATAAAATATACTGTAAATCAACATCTTAGGCACATGGTAAAATTATAATTTAGGAATACAAAATATAAATAATATGACCCTCCAATTTCAGAATAATCTAAAAACATAGGAATTGGCATCCCTAAAAACCATGCTAATCTTCTAGAATTGTAATACAGAAAAGCACATTTTGGAAAAAGAAAGGGAACATGAAATTATTTGAACTAGGCTAACCTTTAAAAGTTAATTTGGCCAGCACAGTGGCTCACGCCTGTAATCTTAACACTTAGAAAGGCTGAGGCAGGCGGATGGAGTGAGCCCTGGAGTTCAAGAGCACCTTGGGCAACATGGCAAAACCCCGTCTCTAATTAAATAAATATAATACATAAATAAATACGTAACAATTTTTAAAAAGTTAATTTGGGTGCCTCTTTGTTCTTCATTATTCTCCTTTGTTTTTTCCTAAGTACATGTTTATTGTTTAATAAATTTATGATATTTTTATTGCTTACTGGAGGTTTGGTATAAAGGTTGAAGCCATGAGTTTACTTTCAATTTCTGTGTATTCATTAATAATAAAATTTACTTAAAATGTTGCAGCTTATAAACTTTTTGGCAGTCATTTTCAAAACCTGAAAAACAAACACATAAATCAAATGATAGTCATGGTTGAAACAATCAGAAGGGTTTTCAATGAATAAAATAATTTTTGTGTCACTCTTTCTGACAAGTTAGAAACTATTGCAATAGACCAGGCACAGTGACTCACACCTGTAATCCCAGCACTTTGAGAGGCAGAAGCGGGTGGACCACTTGAGGTCAGAAGCTCAAGACCAGCCTGGCCAACATGGTGAAACCTTGTCTCTACAAAAAATACAAAAATTAGCTGGGTGTGGTGGCACAGTCCTGTAGTCCCAGCTACTTGGGAGCCTGAGGCACAAGAATCACTTGAACCCTTGAACCCAGGAGGCGGAGGTTGCAGTGAGCCAAGATTGCACCACCACACTCCAGCCTGGGAGATGAAGTGAGACTCTGTCTCAAAAAAATAAATAAATAAAAACAAACTCTTACAATAAAGTCAACAAGTCAGAAGTTTAATTGAAATATTTCAAGATAAATATATTGTCTTTGCTTCTTCCAAATTTATGCTTGCCCTAGGTCATCACAGGTTTTAAAATTTAGGAGATTAATTAGGTTCAAGGTCCCTGCTCAGTATGTTCAGTAGAGCCAGAGGGACACCTGTGAGGGGAAGAACAATACCACATTAAATTACACAATCGGGGCATTGAAAAGCATTCTAAACCTTGGGGGTGGATTCATAGTAGTCCAGTTACCTAGAAGTCATGTTAGTTTTCTATAGTCATCTCTAGTGAGGAATAAACAAAAACAAAAACAAAAAACAGAGTGCTTGAGGCCAAAATGGTATGCATTTTCCTTTCTTAGAAATGCTGGAAGTCATAGCCTCTCGCCTAGTATTAACCTGATTTAGTCACCGAGACCTTTACCCAGTCATAGTGAATGTGACTCCATGCTTGAAACCATGAGTAAGCTGTTCCTCATACAACAAGATGGATAGTTTTTACAGTCTTTCCATTAATGGGGTGAGTTAAAGTTTAGTAATGAGGATCAAGATCAACAGAAGACTTACACACATTCTAATTCATGTCTCTAATACCACATGACTGTAATTGCTGTATATACATGCCACCACTAAAACTGCAATCCCTAGAGTAAGGACCATTTATTATTTATTTTTGAAACCTCAAGCACTTGTCTAGTAAGTAATCAGTAGTATGTGGTCGTCTAATAAATGAATCAATGAAATATAGCCAGTTATCAAATGTTGGTTATAGTGGAAATTGAGACATACAATGGATTGTCAGGGTGACTGTAGCCTAGATTATTTAATCATTTTCTTAAGAAAATTAAATATAACTATTCTGACTGGATATAAGTATCAATTCTATTTATGGCTTATTTGTCTTGTGCCTGTGTCCTTCCACATTACAGGGAGTTATATTACCTTTCAAAACAGATACAATAATGCATTGCAGTGCACCACACCTCTCACATTGAGAATTTATGGACTTACACATGCCTTGAAGTCGGAAAGTTGAGAGTAAAAAAGAATCTGAATGACAATATAACCACAATTTTTTTATAGTACATTTCATGTGGTTAAAAAGATTATTTAAAAATACAAAATGGTCTTTTATTTGTCCCAGAAAGTGTTATTATTACAAGGCAAATTTTTACTCTGATCTCTAATACGTTAATCACATGTTCCCAAAATTATCACCACTCAAATTTGCAATTATCCAGATGATTTATTATGATTTAGTCTAAATATTATTATCAATCCAGATGATGTATTATGATTTAGTCTAAATATTATTGTCATGACAATTGCTGAGTTTGTTTTACTGTTTGGTGTTCCCCCAAATTCCCTCCAACTCTATCACGCCAGATTTTTTAACCTGGCGAAGCCATTTCGAATCAATGTGATCCTCTGATTTTTTGCTCTCTCACTCCAAAGAAAACCAGAAGAATTTTCTCCAAGCAATTCTGCCTAGTTTTTTTGTGAGGCTCGGATGTATTTATAAACATAACAGGAATGGAAGCTGCCAGCAGCACTGTGCTAAATGGGCTCAGCATACACGCCAACCATGGGGACGTGTAAAAAGCAAGTCAGTGAAAGATTTACTAACATTTGCAATGTGTTTCCTTGGTAACGAGTTCACACTTCAGGGGATAACTTTGAAAGCCACCTGAAACATTTTGAACATTTTAATCCTTTTACACCAATGAATTACAATAGAATATGTGCAACTTTGAATTTTAACAATCATTGTCCCAGTGGGGCTAGTGGGTAAATATCAAAAACATCTGCGGTAGATTCTGGGATCTTGGCAAATTACATCAAGATTCAATCATTGAAACAAAAATGGGAAGGTAAATCATATTCAAAATATGCTTGTCAGTAATGAGTGTGAATATAATACTTTGTATATGGTGTTTATCACACTTTTATACATTGAGGAGGCAGAATGAGGTCAACCAGATGTTGCATACGGGTTTCAAGTATCCACGTTTTCAACCTTTTCACACAATTTTACGTAGTAAAACAACCTAAAGAAAATGAAAAAAAAAAAAGTGTATCCAAACCAATAGAGATTTACACATAGCAAAGGTGAGAATGACATTGAAAACTTTCTCAGTGATATTATATAACAACGTAAGTCATCTTGCAGAAGAATTACTGTAGTATCTGGAGGCTAACTGTATTATGTCAATTCACCCCTATGATTCAGAACTTATGGCATATAAAAGATATGTTAATATTGCACATATCCCTTTGGAAATCACTGCGATTCATGATGATGTCACTGTATACAATAATATGTGCTTCTACAGTGATTGATGGTTCTAGAAAGATTTCAAAGAACAGTTAGTACCTGTTGATGTAACTGGTGACAAGGTAACCAATAATATTGTCACCTCATCATCCTATAGTATTTGTAGTCCTCTAGCTGTAGATAGTTGTGATGATGTGTATTCAAGACTGAATAGGACACCTATCCTCAAGAAAAATGAAATTAGGAGACAAAAGATGAGTATTGGATTATAAAATCATATCCATATAAATGTAATTACTGAGAACACAAAGGGAATTCTACCAAAATTGTTTTAAAAGGTAGCATAGAAAAGTGATTAAGAGACTGTTGGAGCCAAACTACCTAAATTAAAAAGCTGTTTGCACCATCTGCTAGTAATAGGTGGTACTACTAGCAGCATCTACTTTAGGCAATTTTTAAACCTCTTTTTGCCTTTATTTCCCCTTATTAAAATGTGGATACTTTTAAAAATTGTCATGAAACTTCAATGAATCAATATTTGTAAAAGACACACATATAAGACTGCCTGTTAAAATGAAATAAACAAATCACATTTTTATTTGTTAAACTCAGACTACAAGGAACAAATGCTCACTTGGATTAATTCAGGTAATACAAGTTAATTATTAAGATACAGAAAAAATGATGAAAATAATCTTGGCCATTGGGATATAAACTCCAGGAAGGTGAGTGCACTACTGTTCATTAATGTATCCTGATTTGGAATATGCACTTGGCCTGTAGGCACTTGATAAGTATTTGTGTAAATAATAGTGATTGAAGCATGGGAAAGCCAGTATTTCTAGATACTGGAAAGTCATTTAAAATATACACCAAAACACTAGCAATAATTAACTACCTGATTAGACCCTGAGAGCAAGCATACACTACTTCCTACTCTACAACTACTGAGAGGAGTAGGAGAAAGTCTTCACCTGACTTGTAGTTTCTCTACAATCACTTTCAGCTTCTTCTCTCACCACCAAATGCTAACCTCCTCAGTAGATCCCCTAGTCAGACCCTCCAAAAACAAGAATTTAATTGCTTTGGCCACATTCCAATATAGCCTCCCTCTATTGGGCAGAGTTTTGCATCTGGGCTACCTCTCAATCTTTTAGCCACTTTATAAGTTGACTTAGTTTGGTTTACATAACCACTCCTGGTTTCATTAGCTGTGGCCAAGATAAGAGAAATCTCATACAGAAATAGTATAAAGATAGCATGCAATCTGTGTGTAAGAAAACTTTAAGAAGACTGTAAGAATGGCATTCGTTTGGAAGCTACCTAGAAAGGAACTGTATAAAATAGGAAAAAGTTTACTTCTCCTATCTAAGACAAATTGATTGAAAAATGGTTTCATTTGGGAAAGGGGGAAAACCCTAAAGTACACTAAATAATAAACAACATAATTATTAATAGTAAGATGCAACCACTTGCATGTAAAGGAATAGTTTATAAATAGTTCAACCACGAGGGTAGCTGTAAGAGGGATAAAATGTCCATTTAGGAGGACTTTATTTATCAGTTGTGTCACCAAAATAAAATGGAATTGGTTTAAAACTTATGGAACTAGCAGCAAATGTCAGGGGTTGCCCGTTCTCTGTGCTAATCTATTCTTGTAATTATGAGTATTCTTCAATAGACCCAGTTGCAGAGTGTAAAGTTGGTATTCCCGAAGACAGGAAACACAAACTAAGTTCCGCCATGGCATACATTGGCCTATTAAAACTCTTTACATGTTGAGAAAATTTTGGCAATCTATCCATCTGACAGTGGGCTAATATCCAGAATCTACGAGGAACTTAAACAAATTTCCAAGAAATAAACAACCCCTTCAAAAAGTGGGCAATGGATATGAACAGACATTTCTCAAAGGAAGACATTTATGCAGCCAACAAACATATGAAAAAAAGCTCATCATTGGTCATTAGAGAAATGCAAATCAAAACCACAATGAGATACCATTTCATGCCAGTTAGAATGGTGATCATTAAAAAGTTAGGAAACAACAGATGCTGGAGAGGATGTGGAGAAATAGGAATGCTTTTACACTGTTGGTGGGAGTGTAAATTAGTTCAACCATTGTGGAAGAAAGTGGGGCAATTCCTCAAGGATCTAGAACCAGAAATACCATTTGACATAGCCATCCCATCACTGGTTATATACCCAAAGGATTATAAATCATTCTACTATAAAGACACATGCACACATATGTTTATTGCAGCACTGTTCACAATAGCAAAGACTTGGAACCAACCTAAATGCCCGTCGATGATAGACTGGATAAAGAAAATGTGGCACATATACACCATGGAATACTATGCAGCCATAGAAAGGATGAGTTAATGTCCATTACAGGGACATGGATGAAGCTGGAAACCATCATTCTCAGCAAACTAACACAGGAACAGAAAACCAAACACGGCATGTTCTCACTCATAGGTGGGAGTTTAACAATGAGAACACATGGACACAGGGAGGGGAACATCACACACCGGGGCCTGTCAGGGGGTAGGGGGCCGGGGGAGGGATAGCATTAGGAGAAATACCTAATGTAGATGACAGGTTGATGGGTGCAGCAAACCATCATGGCACTTGTATACCTATGTAACAAACCTGCACGTTCTGCACGTGTATCCCAGAACTTAAAGTATAATAATAGTAAAAAAACTCTTCCTATGTTTACTTAAGTATAGCGCTTCTATTTTATTTTGCTCATTCACATAAATAAATTATTTGCCATACATCACATCTTCAATAACATTTATTGAAACAGATTATCTTAACTCAAAACTGTCACCAGCATTATTCCTAGAGTACTATTTCAATTATAGCCTGATTAAAGGGTTTCCAATTCAAACAACTTTAATACTATGATTGTCACAAAAAAATACATTATTAATAAATTGCAAAAAAGAGACACATATTGAATCAATCAATGCTTAATAGTCAAGAAATGAAAACATAGCTCTAAGTAACTTTTATAACACTTTTATTGAGGTATAATGCAGATGCCACATTTTTTTAATGTACAATTCATTGGGTCTTTGTATATTCACAGAGTTACATAAACATCACGACTATCTAAGTCCAAAATATGTCATCACCCTAAAAAGAAACCTCATATGCATTTCCAGTCATTCCCCATTCCCTCCCATCCTTCCCTTACCCATTGGTAACCACTGATCTATCTATTTCTGAACATTTCATTTGAATGAACTCATGTAATACATGGCCTTTTGTGTATGGCTTGTTTCACTTAGCATAATGTTTTTAAAGTTCATCCTTGTTGCAGCATGTATCACTATTTTATTTCTTTTTTATGGTAGGATAATACTCTATTGCATGAACATAACAGCTCTTGTTCATTCTTGTCACAGCATTTAGAAATACAATGATTAGAAGCATTGTTGGGACCACATGGTGCAGAGCACTCTTCTGGGCAAGAATAAATAGGTAAAAACGCCATCTACAAGCAATCATGGTTCAACTGTTTGGGCTAAAATGGTCAATCAATTCTGTTAACAAGACTCTAAAAATGACGACTCAAAACTTGATGTAACTCGACAGTCATCTCAGAAAATAAATTTTTAAAAAATTGAATATAGATATAAAGTGTTCAAAAGAAACAATCCTCAATGATATTTGAGTCTCAGTTTCTTTTTTTTTTTTTCTTTTGGAGACAGGGTCTCACTTTGTTGCCCAGGCTGGAGCACAGTGGCCATTCCCAGGCTCACAGGCACGGTCACAGTGCACTGCAGCCTCAAACTCCTGGGCTGAAGTGATTCTTCCACCTCAGCTTTCAGAGTAGCTGAGATCATAGGCACATGCAACTGCAGCCAGCTCTCCTCATATTTTTGAGAATTATATTCTCTCCTGTTTTTCCTATTATACAGGGCCATTTAGCTGATAAGAGGACAATCTGAGATACTGTGTATCTCATGTGTTTTTCCTTCTGTAATATGAAAATAACCCAGTCATTATACTCCTCAGATGCTTTTTGATTGAGTCATAACTGTATGATTGGTCAAAATATTATAGCATATTCAACTATTTTAAAATATATGTATTGGATCCAGGGAATGTACTAGACATTGTCCATGATGTAAATATATCCATTGTTACTTGGTATGGACATTTTAAGGCAGTAGCATATAATTGTCTTGTATTAAAATTATTATGTAATTTACTAAGCAAGTACTCTATAAACATAACATAGTTAAAATTCTATCAACCTATATGCTTGGAGAATGGGTATTTTTACTTGATTTTTAAAAATTCAGTATTATATAAGAACCTATTTTTGTAAAAAAATAAAATGGTGTCTGTTAAAATGAAATAAAACCAGATTGCATTTTTATTAGTTAGATTTGGACTGTAAGAAACAAAGCCACACTTGGATTAATTTGGGTGATAAAGGTTTATTATAAAGATACAGAGAAAATTATTAAAATAATCTCAGCCATTGGAATATAAATTCCTACTATTGGACATTTTTAAGAACTTGGTAAAATTGTATGTTTTGAAAAATGAGAATTTAAATGACAAAAGACAATATAAGCACAATTTTTATTGTGTGATTATGGATATACAGGAGTATACAAGTAGTAAATATAAATGCTTAATTTACTTTTCCTATCAAATATTAAATCCAAGAAAGCAAATCTAATAAAAATCCTATTAATTAAGCTTCCTTATTACTTAGTTACAGGTTAATTTTCAGTTTTATGTATTTATGGAGTTTACAATCTAAGTTTTTTAAACTTTAATTTGTTCCTAATCTCCTTGACCTTTCTTGCTATGTAACCCATGATATGGTTAATACCAAGAATTCTGTGAGTGATATGTTTCATGTATCTGCTTAGAAATAATGTCCAGAATCAGAAGGGACAGAACAAGGAAATGATGGAAAATACTAAGTGCATAGGACATTGAATGAGAAAATAAAAGCTTACATGAAAACAACATGCTACAGTCAACTAAAGACGACATGCTTGGCACAAAGGGACTAAACTTTCAGAAAAAAAAATAATGAATGGCATAAATTAATTTAAAGCTTTCAACAAAATTGTTGCTCTCAGATGGATGTTTCATGAAAAGAAACATTAAGTCTCATTGTGTTGTCATTAAGACATGGCCAATGGGGTGTAAGGCTGTAAGCCTTCAGAAGCTCATTACTTTAAGCATTCCGACACATGATTATAAAATTAAGTGTGATCCTGGTTGAAATTTGAATTAGGAACATTTCATACCAATCTGAATAAGTCTCATGTAAACAATAGCTGGTGTATACCTCAAAAAAACTTACAAAATATTCTTGTTTCCAATACTTAAAATTAAATGTGCATGTTTGGTATTATAACATCTTATGCTACTTTTGGGAATTTTTTTTTTGCCTTGTTTTTTGAAGTAGGGCACCTTTTCTTTCATAGAAGTCATAACACATCAATGAACAATAGGCCATTTCAGTTTTAACATATATATGTGATAAAAATAACAACAAAAATAAACAAACAATAAACTTCACTCCTTTTATTATTCCTTACACATGTAGAAATGCATACACATGCTTGGTGTCCAACATAGAAGATTATGATTTAATCATTGATTAAAAGATAGTCATCGAATACCTTGTGTGTTCCTAGCACTGTTCCAAGTGCCACTGTACTCCAGCCTAGGTGACAAAGCAAGCCCCATCTCTAAATTTTAAAAATTTAATTTTTTTATCATGGTGGATAAGCTTTTTGATGTGCTGCTGGATTCAGTTTGCCAGTATTTTATTGAGGATTTTCTCATCGATGTTCATCAGGGATATTGGCTTGAAGTTTTCTTTTTTTTGCTGTGTCTCTGCCAGGTTTTGGTATCAGGATGATGCTGGCCTCATAAAATTAGTTAGGGAGGATTCCTTCTTGTTCTATTTTTTGGAATAGTTTCAGAAGGAATGGTACCAGCTCCTCTTTGTACCTCTGGTAGAATTCAGCTGTGAATCCATCTGGTCCTGGACTTTTTTTGGTTGGTAGGCTATTAATTACTGCCTCAATCTCAAAACTTGTTATTGGTTTATTCAGGGATTCTACTTCTTCCTGGCTTAGACTTGGGAGGGTGTATGTGTCCAGGAATTTATTCATTTCTTCTAGATTTTCTAGTTCATTTGCATAGAGGTGTTTATAGTATTCTCTAATGGAAGTTTGTATTTCTGTGGGATCCGTGGTGATATCACCTATATCATTTTTTATTGCATCTATTTGATTCTTCTCTCTTTTCTTCTTTATTAGTCTCACTAGCAGTCTATTTTGTTGATCTTTTAAGAAAACCAGCTCCTGGATTCATTGATTTTTTGAAGGGTTTTTCATGTCTCTATCTCCTTCAGTTCTGTTCTGACCTTATTTCTTGTCTTCTGCTGGATTTTGAATTTGTTTGCTGTTGCTTCTGTAGTTCTTTTAATTTTGATGTTAGGGTGTCCATTTTAGATCTTTCTTGCTTTCTCCTGTGGGCTTTTATTGCTATAAATTTCCCTCCACACACTGTTTTAAATGTGTCCCAGAGATTCTGGTACGTTGTGTCTTCGTTCTCATTGGTTTCAAAGAACATCTTTATTTCTGCCTTCATTTCTTTACTTACCCAGTAGTCACTCAGGAGCAGGTTGTTCAGTTTCCATGTAGTTGTGCAGTTTTGAGTGAGTTTCTTAATCCTGAGTTCTACTTTGATTGCACTGTGGTCTGAGAGACTGTTATGATTTCTGTTCTTTTGCATTTGCTGAGGAGTGTTTCACTTCCAATTATGTAGTCAATTTTAGAATAAGTGCGATGTGGTGCCGAGAAGAATGTATATTCTGTTAATTTGGGGTGGAGCGTTCTGTAGATGTCTATTAGGTCTGCTTGGTCCAGAGCTGAGTTCAAGTCCTGAATATCCGTGTTGATTTTCTGTCTTGATCTGTCTAATATTGACAGTGGGATGTTAAAGTCACCCACTATTATTGTATGGGAGTCTAAGTCTCTTTGTAGGTCTCTATGAACTTAATTTATGAATCTGGGTGCTCCTGTATTGGGTGCATATATATTTGGGATAGCTAGCTCTTCTTGCTGTATTGATCCCTTTACCACTATGTAATGCCCTTCTTTGTCTCTTTTGATCTTTGTTGGTTTAAAGTCTGTTTCATCAGAGATTAGGATTGCAACTCCTGCTTTTTTTTACTTTCCATTTGCTTGTAAATATTCCTCCATCTCTTTATTTTGAGCCTATGTGTGTTTTTGCATGTGAGATGGGTCTCCTGAATATAGTACACTGATGGGTCTTGACTCTTTATCCAATTTGCCAGTCTGTGTCTTTTAATTGGGGCACTTAACCAGTTTACATTTAAGGTTAATATTGTTATGTGTGAATCTGATCCTGTCATTATGATACCAGCTGGTTGTTTTGCCTGTTAGTTGATGCAGTTTCTTCGTAGAGTCGATGTCCTTTACAATTTGGTATGTTTTTTGAGTGGCTAGTACCGGTTGTTCCTTTCCATGTTTAGTGCTTCCTTCAAGAGCTCTTGTAAAGCAGGCCTGGTGGTGACAAAAATCTCTCAGCATTTGCTTGTCTGTAAAGGATTTTATTTCTCCTTCGCTTATGAAGGAGAAGCTTATTTTGGCTGGATATGAAATTCTGGGTTGAAATTCTTTTAAGAATGTTGAATATTGGTCCCCAATCTCTTCTGGCTTGTAGAGTTTCTGCCGAGAGATCCGCTGTTAGTCTGATGGGTTCCTCTTTGTGGGTAACCTGACCTTTCTCTGTGGCTGCCCTTAACATTTTTTCCTTCATTTCAACCTTGGTGAATCTGATGATTATGTGTTTTGGGGTTGCTCTTCTCGAGGAGTATCTTTGTGGTGCTCCTGTATTTCCTGAAGTTGAATGTTGGCCTGTCTTGCTAGGTTGGGGAAGTTCTCCTGGATAATATCCTGAGGAGTGTTTTCCAACTTGATTGCATTCTCCTCGTCACTTTCAGGTACACCAATCAAATGTTGATTTGGTCTTTTCACATAGTCCCATATTTCTTGGAGGCTTTGTTCATTCCTTTTTAGTCTTTTTTCTCTAATCTTGTCTTCTCTCTTTATTTCATTAAGTTGATCTTCAATCACTGATATCCTTTCTTCCACTTGATCGATTCGGCTATTGAAACTTGTGCGTGCTTCATGAAGTGAAGTTTTTCAGCTCCGTCAGGTCATTTATGTTCTTCTCTACACTGGTTATTCTAGCTAGCAGTTCATCTAACGTTTTTTCAAGGTTCTTAGCTTCCTTGCATTGGGTTAGAACCTGTTCCTTTAGCTCGGAGGAGTTTGTTATTACCCACCTTCTGAAGCCGAGTTCTGTCAATTCATCAAACTCATTTTTCTTCCAGCTTTGTTCCCTTGCTGGCAAGGAGTTGTTATCCTGTGGAAGAGAAAAGGCATTCTGTCTTTTGGAATTTTCAGCCTTTTTGTGCTGGCTTCTCCCCATCTTTGTGGATTTATCTACCTTTGGTCTTTGATGTTGGTGACCTTCAGATGGGGTCTTTGAGTGGACGTGCTATTCCTTTCTGTTTGTTTGTTTTCATTCTGACAATCTGACAATCAGGCCCCTCTGCTGCCCGTCTGCTGGAGTTTGCTGGAGGTCCATTCCCAACCCTGTTTGCCTGCTATCAGCAGCGAAGGCTGCAGAACAGCAAAGATTGCTGCCTGATCTTTCCTCTGGAAGCTTCATCCCAGAGTGCACCTGCCAGATGCCAGCCAGAGCTCTCCTGTATGAAGTGTCTCCTTTGTCCTGCAATTCTCTGTCTCTAAATGCAGGCTTTCAGCAATATTTGCCTCCCTCTAGCCCTTTAGTTCTAGCTACCTTTCACTTTACTGGGCTTTGACATCTCATGAAGTTCTCCCTACAAAAGTGGGGTCCTGCATTCCCCTACTATTTGAGCTCCCCTCACACTGTACTTTGAATATTTTCACATAGAAAGTTCTAGAAGGACAAATCAAGGGCATGACACTGGGAGCAAGAATGTAAGAGAGCATGTGGCTTAGGTGAAGGAGTGGACCTGCCTAAAGGAAAGTTTCAGTCACAAAGATCTGGATAGCTCAGACCGTGCCTGCTGCTCAGACACCTGCGTTTATTTCTACCTTTTTTTTTTTTTTTGCTTGGCATATTTTATACTACTTCAAAGGTAAACTACCATCTTTCATGATAAACCTATATAATATATTGGTATATAATAACCCTAGAAATTATTTTACAAGCCAGTTTGTCATAGGTGAGTGGTGACTATCTGGGCCAATGGTGCAGGTGATAAGAAGTTACCAAAACAGTAATAGGTAAAGGAGGGCAGATTTATTAGAGAAGATAAGAAAATATATTACAAGGGAGCAACAGGCAGACTAGCAAGAGAGGAGCTGACTGCAAGGAGATAAAGGCTGGCTGGGGAATAGGGTGCTTGTGCTGTGTGCTAATGAGGGTTTTGTGCAGTATTGATAATGCCAAGGTTGCAGTGAGCTAACATGTATTTTTTATCAGCCGAGGATCTGGTGATAACTGGGTGCAGGAAGATTGTTAGTTATTTGCACAGGAGAGCTATGTGCCCTGGACCATGAAAAAAAGGCAGACTTATAGCTTATCTGCTTCCTTCTTTTTGCTTTCTCTTGGAAAGGAGCCAGCCTGACTCTTTTTCTCAATTAGGACTCCATACAATTAGAAGGATTGACTTTAGGATAGTTAGTGGAAAACATGAAGTTCAACTCCTAGCATGCCTTCCTTCTGCTACTTTACTAACAATGTGAACATAGGTGAGTTCAAGAAGCCTGGGTGCCTGCCATTGGCACTATCACCTTTTGAGAAAATGGTCCTAACCTGTTTTTTCCTTTTCTCCTTAGTCACTGTTGCTTCTACCATATGATCTTTAGGGAACTGCAAAATACTGCTAACTTAAAGGCACAGGAAGGTACTATATTTACTCTGCACATGTCAAAGGTAACTTTATATGAAGGGCAGGTAAGGAAATCCAGCCACCTTTATTGTGGTTGGCATGCATTCTGCCCAAAACAGATATTCTATATCAAAAAGCTAGAAACAAATAAAATCATAATGATCATTTTTAATTGTTACTATTGAAAAGTATTGTACTGGTTTTTCAAAATACATTATTTCATTTAATCTTTATGATACAATGTGAGTAGAGGTTAAGACTCCATTTTTACAGACAAGAAAATGAAAGCTTTTAGAGAAGTTGAGTAAAATGCCAGAAATAGTCAACCCCACTGGAAATGAGGGAAAAAAATGCCTGAGATAACATAGCAGGTAAGTGGCAGAGATAGAATTTGTTTGTTTGTCTCTTTGTTTATTTATTTATTTATTTATTGAGACAGAGTCTTGCTTTGTTACCCAGGCTAGAGTGTAGTGGCACAATCTCAGCTCACTGTAACCTCCACCTCCCGGGTTCAAATGCTTCTCCTGCCTCCGTCTCCTGTGTAGCTGGGATTACAGGCGTGCACCACCATGCCTAGCTATTTTTTTTATTTTTAGTATAGTCACAATTTCACCATGTTGGCAAGGCTGGTCTCAAACTCCTGACCTCAAGTGATGGGCCCACCTCAGCCTCCCAAATGGCAGAGATAGAATTTAAACCAAATAAACAACATGTATGAAAATGTATTAATAATTAATACTTATAAAAGGCAAGGTGTAGCTACGACCAGAAAAAGAGAACTTTGACATTATGTGTAAAAATCAGCCTAAAGACTTCATTCATTCAAGTTCACGGTGAGTCATAGCTCTTCCAGGCTGCAAGTAGATCTAATTGGCAACTGACTTCTTAAAAAAGAGAAGCAAAAAGACAATTTTCAACTTTTTCTTGTCAACTCATTTCAAAAGGAAGTTAAGGTTATCATATTCAATATCACCGTCTCTTAGTACAAACTGGAATGTTATTTTTCCCTGTTATGGATTCCTGATATTTTCAGTTAAGTTTATTTATTTAATTCCTCCCATACAGCATACATCACTCTCTATCCTGGAGATGCAACAGTAAACAAGGAAAGCAGTGTCCCTTCTGTCATGGAGTTTATATTCTAGTACAGGAAGCATAAATTAATAAATTACAAATCAGGATTCATGACATAATAGTTTATAAGAGCTTAGATACAGAATTTAAAAATGGGCTTGTCAGGAAAGATGTCTTTAAGCAAATTTAGTGGATTTCGTATGCTTTGCTCTATCCAGCTGCATCTCATGGATCCGTGAACTATTTGTTCTCAGTGCTTAGAAAATTTTGGTAAGACTTGGTCAAGGGGCCTACTCTGCCTACCACAGAGAGAGAATTATGAGTCCTTTCTCCTCAACAGTGATTAGTTTGAGGATGAGCACATAGCCAAGCAAGGCCAACCAGGGAGGAAGCTTAACTTTAAGTAGGAAGAAGTTCCCATCCTAATAGAGTTGCTTAGCTTGTAAGAAGTGGGCTGCTATCAAATTTGCAACTTAGAGGGAATTTGTTCAAGAATTTAGAAAGAAATGGAGCCATCAATACCAAATACAATTGTGATGACAGCAAGAATCTACTTCTGCACATTTTAGTTTGAGGCTAATAAATTTCCCTTAAATTGTTTTAGCTAGTTTGTGTTTGGTTCTTTTATCACTATACTGAAAGAATCAACAATTTTTCACGGTTGGCACGGAATCTTTGGTATGATTAATGTGAAGGAAACAGTTCTATGAGGACTATGGACAAAATAACATTCCTGGCAGAGAAATGGGCATCAGAAAATTTCTCAAGGTGGAAAATAATATTATATGTTCTAGAAACAACTGCATAATCCATTAAGAGAAGGCAACAAACAATGGTCACTACCACTATTAAAAAATCAACATTGCGCTGAAATTTCCTTGCCAATAAAAGAAAAAAGTAAAAGAAATTAAGGATAGCAGGGTAAAAAAAGAAGAGACATAACTGTTATATGTAAACATTTGTCTACATAAACAAATTCAAAAATATGTATAGACAACCTGTTAGAGTTTAGCAGGAGCTCTGCAGAGAGATCAATATAGTCAATGATGCTTTTGCACAACATCAATAACCTATTAGAGAATATAATAATATAAAAGATTCTATTTGTGATACCAGCAATAAACATAGAGTTCCTAGGAACAAAACATGCAAAATGATGTACAAAACTGCTATTCAGAAAATTACAGAATCTAACAGATGGACATAAAACAAAGTGAATATATCTTGAGAAAGGCATAATTAATAAGTAGGAAGATTCACTGTTGTAAATATTTCTATTTCCTCTCAAATTTACCTAGAAGTTGAACGTGATTCCAATGAGAATATTCAGAAAACTTTTCACGATGCTACATAAGTGAATTAGAAAAATAGAAGTCCAAGAACACCCCAGAAAATTTGGAAACCCAGCCAGGCCATTCAAGTCAAATAGCTCTTCTTCAGTATCCTGCTCAAAGGGTGCTCTACCACTAAGAGCACTACAGTGTCCCAAGGGCTCCTGAGTCATACAGAATCCAAGGCTTCACCCAGGCTTACGGAATTAGATATATTAACAAAAATCCCCAAGTAAGCTACGTTTGCAAGAAAGTTTTCAAAGCAATCACCTAGTGTTCATCATTGTACCTTCTCTTTATAGATCTGACCTTTTTGACCTTTGATTATAAATTAAGGCACAGGCTTTTAGGCTCAAAATCCCAAGATTTAGATAACATGGTTTGTGTTAATTCTATAAGATTTGTTTAATATGGTCAAGAACTGATCTAAATGTTCCAGATGCATTTTCTTTATATAAAAAGGTGAGAAGAGTGAAAATCTGTCTCAAAAACAAAAAAGAAACACACACACACACACGAAGAGGCAGGCAGATCACAAGGTCAGGAGTTTGAGGCCAGCCTGGCCAACATAGTGAAACCCCATCTCTACTAAAAATACGAAAACAATTAGCTGGGCGTGGTGGCAGGCACCTGTAATCCCAGCTACTTGGGAGGCTGAGGCAGGAGAATCACTTGAACCTGGGAGGCAGAGGTTGCAGTGAGCTGAGATTGTGCCACTGCACTCCAGCCTGGGCGACAGTGCGAGACTCTATCAAACACACACACACACACACACACACACACACACAAGAAATATTATCCCAAATTAGTCATGTATACGTTGCATCCTACCATATTTAATTAAGGAATGCTATTTTATCTATTCTCTCTCCATAAGTCACTTCTCAAATGACATACAGAGAAATAAATGAGTAACGTCATAGGTTATACATGCAGGTAAAATAGGGAAGTAGTGAGTGCTCTCTAATACTTCAGTAGTAATATTGCCTTTTCTTTCTTTGCTCAATTTAGTGTTTAATTTTTGTGGTTGGCTTTCTTGTTCTTTTTTATGGTAGCAACACGCAAGCCTTTACTGGTTTTGAAGTTTACCCTGCTAAAATTCTTCCTGTAAATACAGGAACTTCCCTCTCTATTACAGTTCCTGTAAATACAGGAACTGTTAACTTCCCTCTCTATTATCAGAAGATCAAGATCCTGAGACATTTATTTGTTCCTTCCATCATCATAGCATTACCAGTGTATCAGAGTAATAGTCATAGAACAGAACAAATGTACTTTTTCTCCTTTGTATTTCCTTTTACCAACTTCATCTGTATTCCATGGAAGTCATTCCTTTGCCTTAAGGTGGCTTCAGATTCCTAGTAAAGAATGTGAAGGTAAATAGAATGAATATTCGGGCTTCAGATACAGGAGACTTTCGAGACTACAATAAGATTATAGACTTAAATAAAAAGCTTTGTCAAAAGAAGGATGTTCTAAATGCTTTAGGAGCCCAATAATATAACAAGGACAGAAATGGTCTAATTGTTAAGATTTCAGTAAGCCACGGATATTTATAAACCAATGGAGGGTGGAAGAATATGCTTCCCCTACCCCCAATATACCTCTTTGATATAAGGATTTTTTTCATATAAAGGCACTTGATAAACAGCAGAAGCAAAAGGACATTCTAATCTTCTCTTTTCTTCCTAAAAACAGGAGATAAAAACTGCCATGTAAAAAATGCCCTCTCTGTACCAGGAGAAAAAAATATTTGACAGAGAATCATAGCCAAGAGAATTCTGTACAAACAGACTTTGTTAAAATAATTCTTATCTTTCATTAGCCTCCCCACATAATTTAGTTACTTTTCCAGAATTGCTGCTCTTTGTTAAACCTGATAATATGGTTTAGATGTTTTTTTCCACTCCAAGTCTCATGATGTAATGTGATCCTCAGTGTGGGAGGTGGGGTTTGGTGGGAGGTGTTTGAGTGGATCCCTCATGAATGGTGATATGGGTTGGCTGTGTCTACCCCCAGATCTCATCTTGAATTGTAGCTCCCATAATTCCCTTGTGTTGTGGAAGGGACCAAGTGGGAGATATTTGAATCATGGGGGCAGTTTCTCCCATACTGTTCTCATGGTATTGAATAAGTCTCACAAGATCTGATGGTTTTATAAGGGGAAACTCCTTTCTCTTGGCTCTCATTCTCTTCTGCTGTCTGCCACCATGTGAGATGTGCCTTTCACCTTCTGTCATGATAGTAAGGCCTCACCAGCCATGTGGAACTGTGAGTCCATTAAACCTCTTTCTTTTGTAAAATGCCCAGTCTTGGGTATGTCTTTATCAGCAGTGTGAAAACGGACTGGTAATAGACTGGTAATGTACAGTAATGGACTGGTACCAGTAGAGTGGGGCACTGCTGAAAAGATACCAAAAAATGTGGAATTGACTTTGAAACGGGGTAATAGGCAGGGGTTGGAACAGTCTGGAGGGCTCATAAGAAGATAGGAAAATGTGGGAAAGTTTGGAATTTCCTAGAGACATGTTGAATAGCTTCACCCAAAATGCTGATAATGATATGGACAATAAAGACCAGGCTGAGGTGGTCTCAGATGGAAATGAGGAAATGTTGGGAACTGGAGCAAAAGTGACTCTTGTTATGTTTTAGCAAAGGTACTGGCAGCATTTTACCCCTGCCCTAGAGATTTGTGGAACTTTGAACTTGAGAGAGATGATTTAGGGTACCTGGTGGAAGAAATTTCTAAGCAGCAAAGCATTCAAGAGATGACTTGGATGCTGTTAAAGGCATTCAGTTTTAAAAGGGAAACAGAGCATAAAAGTTCAGAAAATTTGCAGCCTGAAAATGCGATAGAAAAGAAAATCCCATTTTCTGAGGAGAAATTCAAGCCAGCTGCAGAAATTCGCTAAAGTAGTGAGGAGCCAAATGTTAATCCCCATGACAACGGGGAAAATGTCTCCAGGGCATGTCAGAGGTTTTCACTACAGCCCCTCTCATCCCAGGCCCTGAGGCCCCAAGATAACTTGGGGCTCCTGGGCCTGTCAGAAAGTGGCATTCTTTACTTACCACTGGTCAGGAACCCTGTACAGGAACTGTGTAGACAAGGTATGAGGCCAGTTTTCCCAAGGGATTTTTATTTGCTCTATAAGTCCAGTTTGATTCCTTAAAGGAAAGCACACCATTTCAGTCAAAACCTTGGTAAAATAACCAGTTTCTATAATTGTGTCCTGTTACAATTGAAAACAGATTTTTCTTGCACTTATGCAAATAACTATATTGCCATAAATAAAGAATACTCACAAGTAGTTTCCAAATTCTGGAGAAATCAGGTAGAGAGAAACAAATATGTTCCAAATTTTGTTCATAGGAGTATAGTAACTTGTTAAAAGATGTCAATAGCTCAAAAAAATTTCCTTGGCTCTGAAAAACAAAACGAAGGATCAAGAACATTTTAAGAAAAAAGTCAAAAAGATTAGTTCAGTCTTCTGTTAGTTCAGTTCATGCAGGTAATTCCTGTTCTGCATGATATTCATGAACATTTCAGCTCTCTGTGAGACCTGAAAGTTTTTCCTCTATTCTGATGTCACAATCTCCATAGTTATCAGAAACCTGCATTCGAGAGAACCTGTTAGGGCTTTATAGGTGATTATAAAACCAGCTTCTAATGAGGACCAAAGGCTGGGTGTAGTGGCTCACACCTGTAATCCTAGCCCTTTGGGAGGCCAAGGTGGGTAGAGCACCTGACGTCAGGAGTTCGAGACCAGCCTGGCCAACATGGTGAAACCCCATCTCTACAATAAATACAAAAATTAGCCAAGCATGATGGCAAGTGCCTATAATCTCAGCTACTCAGGAGGCTGAGGCAAAAGAATCACTTGAACCCAGGAAGTGGAGGTTGCAGTGAGCCAAGATTGCACCATTGCACTCCAGCCTCGGCAACAAGAGCAAAATTCCATCTTAAAAAAAAAAAAAAAAAGCAATTGTCCATTGTGATGGTTAATACTGAATGCTCACTTGATTGAATTGAAGGATACAAAGTATTGATCCTAGGAATATCTCCTTGCTCCTTAGCCTGCAGATGGCCTATTGTGGGACCTTGTGATGGTGTGAGTTAAGACTTACCATAAGTTAGTTAAGTATTAACATACATGCATATATATATTCCATTAGTTCTGTCCCTCTAGAGAACCTTGACTAATACATCTATGGATGACAAAATGTTTTAGAGAAAACATAGTCAAAGACACAATTGACAAGGACATTTGTTTCCTCTGTGGTATACAATAATTTAATATAACAATTATAATTATTACTGGTAATGTACACTAAGTCATATCAGAATTAAAGAGTTTCTCATAATTTTGGAACATATACCAATAACATATTTATACAAATATAGCCCAAAGAAAACCAAACACCATTTCACATTTTACAATGCTTCCTGTATAATTTTTACACCAAATAAGACAAATATGTCATTTTTTGGACTTTAGGGAACCTAATATCTTAAAGGATTAATTAGGTCAGAAAAATACATAATTTATAATTTGATTTTGGAAAGTTTGTCAAATATCAAAGGTTTAAAACACTTGATATCACAAAATAGGATCACAAGTCAATGTAAAATAAATCATTCATTTAACCAAAATGGTAATTGAAGGATTTCAAAAAATGGCAAAAACCTTCATTCTTTGAAAGAGGAGACTTAATTTTTCAGCCAATAAGCCCCAATAAAAACAGCATGAATTCAATTATATTTGTTTTCCAATATTTTATAAACAATCTATAAAATTTTCATCTTGACCCATAAGATACAACTTCCCTTTTATAGCCTTTATAGCTTTTATTAAGGAGTTAATTCATGCTTCAAGAAAACCTTGTTACTCTGACACAGGGGCCTATATGCTGGTCTTTCATCAGTGTGCATTTGATGTTAATAGTTAATTTATAGAGAAAATGAATTTACTTTATCTCTCAAAATTGGCCTTTACATTCTCGCCTGCCCACCTCTTCCATGATAATCCCTTGGCCTTGAGGAGTTGAATAGCTTTAATTTCTGCCCCTGTGTCTCAGGAACACAGTTTATTTTGATTGGCATCTTCTACAGGGCCTGCAGATGAGGCTTTAATTGCTGTCAGAGTTTGAGATTTGGCAGTACTTGGTGTCCTTTTGAGACTCAGGAGTCAAATCCTTGTAGCTCAATGTCACAAGAACCTTAAAGGCACATACAGAAAGATACAAGGATATAACAACTTTAATTTTTAAAAAAATTTCATCTGTTTTTTTTTTTAGGCAAACCAAAACTTAATAATAATGGCATAGGAATTACTTTGATTAAACATAAAATCTATTAGGCCAGTTATCAAAAGACAGAGGAAAAGACCTGCAGTGCACAGAATATTATGTTGAAAGAAAACGTTTCCTTTAGGCCTTTAACAAAACATTGTTAGGCCAGGCATAGTGGCTGATGCCTGTAATCCCAGCACTTTAGGAGACAGAGGCGGGCAGATCATCTAAGGTAAGAGTTTGAAACCAGGCATGTCAATATGACAAAACCCTGTCTCTACTAAAAATACAAAAATTAGCTGGGCGTGGTGGAAAATGCCTGTAATCCCTGCTACTCAGGAGGCTGAGGCAGTAGAATTGCTTGAATCTGGGAGGTGGAGATTTCAGTGAATCTAGATCTCACCACTGCACTCCATCCAGCCTGGGCTACAGAGCAAGACACAGTCTCAAAAAAAAAAAAAAAAAAGAGAAAGAAAACGTTGCTAGCATCAGCCCACAGCGAATAGAACTTGAAGGAATAAAAACTTTTATGATCTGAAAATAAGTTGAAGAAGAGCATTACTATTTCGCACTTTCTAAAAGAGAAGAGAAAACAGAAAACATCAAGAAACAATACAAGTTGAACTTTGGGTTTAAAACAAATTAAAATCTCTTATAATTCATTAAGAGTAAATCAATCCTTTAAGAAAATTTTATTGTTCTAATCAATTCTTTTGTGTATAAGTGTTTTTATCATCAAATTTAATCTCTAGAAAGACCACTATAAATCCCTTTAATTATAGACAACTTGATCATATTAACTTTTTTTGGGTTTTGTTTGTTTGTTTGTTTTTTAGACAGAATGTTTTCCTACAATATATTTTTATTGGAAAATACCCAAATAATGAAATATATATTATTTAATTTAATATAAATTTTGATTCTAAATTATGACAAGTTTGTTTACAAGTGTTTATCCCATTACATTTACCTAATTATTTTATTTTAATCATTTACCAAGATTATGAAAACTGTGATAGGCATCATTTAAAGTTATGAAACTCCCCATTGCAAAATTATAACTGAGACATTAAAAAAGATATGACCTCACTGACTCCATCTTGCTGCTAACCTCCAAGCTGTCCTTGTTCATTCTTGGGCATAGGCTGAACTAACTTTGGAAGGAACTTAGTTTATAGTTTAGCTTTGAAAAAAGATGGTAACAGTCCTCTTACAAACAAACCTCCTTATTGCCTGTGGTCTGGACTGCCTAAAGCCAGAAGATTATGGGTTGTGGTAATTTTATTAAATAATTTGAGATGTAGCTATTTTCATTAAACCAATATCAATATCTTATCTATTAAAAATTACACAAGAAAGATCATTCCATTTTGGGCTGTGTTTATAGTTTTATAAACCCTATGCCAAATTTTGACACCTTATAGTATTTGGCAGGGATAAGTATGCAATTGCTTGATAATAATTTTTAAGACATTTCTAATACTACTTTACTAATAATTTTAAGCTACCTTATTTATTAAAGATTTTACTTAAGTCACATAAAATTGAAAAAGCATTTGACTAGTCTTTCCTTTTTCTCCGATGAAGTATTTGATTTAAGGACTTTTATTTTTCTTGAAGCCAATTAATAAGAGCTCTTTTATATATTTTAGTAGTGAAATATTGTGTAGAGAACACACAAATACATAGATGTGTTAGGCATAATGATAAAAATACACTTTATGAATTCCTACGACCTCCTTTTTTTTTCCGTATCTTAGACTTGCAAACTCTTGATAAACTGATTCATTATCCTGGCAGTTGTCAGGTAAACAGCCCTAAATTTGCATATTGAAGGAAACAACTCTTAGATTAAAAATCAGATTAGCAAAATTTACATCTCAAGGTACAGAGAAAAAAGGTCTGGTGATGCTACAGGGAGATTAAAGATAGATGCTAAATCAAACATAAAATTGTAGAAATCTATCACAGGATTGCATGAGGAGAACAATTTTATTTAGATAGGGACTATCTATCTTCTAACTGGATCTCTGAACTCTGGGCAGAGTCCACACTGAATCCTGGATCTCTAAAAAGGGAGAATTATTATGAAGCTAGACCTCGTGATGCTTTTACAGTGCACTTTAAAAAAATTTTTTTAAACAAAAACATTTGTTTAAACTTCACTTTCTTAAAAACCCAAGTATAGCCTATGTTGCAATAACTATTTTAGTCAAAAAATCAGGTAACACAAGTATCTAAACTTTACTTCCTTAAAAACCCAAGAGTAACCTCTATTGCAATAATTATTTTAGTCAAAAAATCCGGTAACATAATACAAAAGCAAGCAGTTTAAGAGCTGAGATGAACTTGTCTGTTTGGAAAACACTCTTGGAGTTCCATAAGTAAAAACAGTGGTTTTTCCCCAAAAGAGAGTCTGGCACCTTCTCCATTTTCCTTAAGGAACCCCAGGCTATTATAAACTATTTTAGGTCCCTCATGCAGCACAGGGTGCAAGAGAAAGGAGAGACAGCAGAAGTAAATGAAGGAAACATAATTCAGTCAAATGAGATGAAAAAGACAAAGTCCTAAGAGAAAAAAAAAAAAACAAAACACACACGCACACAAAATAAAAAAGGTGAAGGCCTTTTAAATACAAAAACACACACATGCAGACATACGCACACACATTTTGGATGTTAGTTTTTAATTAAGCTGACTTTTAACCACTGAGCTCCTTCAAAAAAAATGTTTTAATCTATTTACCATATTTCAGCTCGGACAAATTGCTGCTGTTTCAGAAGTGCCAAGTATCCAAACAGAAAGGGCTTGATTTAGGCACCAAACCCAGGCTGTCATGGTGGAAAAATAGAAGGCAGAACTCTTAGCTATGGAACTGCAGCATGGGGCAACAGCCATTGCTCTTTCAGTTTGGCCTGGCTAGCAAAAAGGTGGTATTGCTATGTAAATAAAGCCCCTCGAGTAATCAAAAGCAGAATCTCTCCTTTCTGTTTTCCTTTTGCTGTATGTTTTTCTCCCCCCGCCCCCGACCACACCACCTTGTTGTTGTCATTGTTTTCTTATGGGAATTTAGCCACTTCAGAGGCCTTGTTCCTCATAATTTGGAACTTTCCTTTGTATTTGATCAAGTCAGAGTTGATCAAACCCAATGGAGAAAATATGGAAATAACAACAAAAACAGAAACAAGCAAACAACAACAACAAAAATTAAGCAAAACAAACAATGGCGCAACTTGTAAGATTACGGAGTGTGTTAATGGTAAGGTGAAATTAAGATCAGCTGGTTTGTCTTGGCTAAAATCTTAACTTTAGCCAAGACAAACACCAATTCAGTTACTCACCCAGGGATAGGTCTCAGACTTAAGACTGCTCTCTACCATCCTAGAAGCAGGAAAATCTCAAATTTGTCTTTCCTCTTGGAAGTGAGTTCAAACTCCATACAGGAGTTACCTGCCTTCCATTGTCATGGAAGCAGGAAAAACTTGCCTTCCTTGTTTTGGAAACAAGTAAAACTCCAAGAAAAAAAAAAAAGAGTTGTACAGCAATAAACTTTAGATCTTGACCAAATATTGGAAGATCAGGGATGCTCTGGAGGGAGCACTTCCAGGCCTCAGCAAATTGTCCTATTGGTTAGACCCACAAAGATAGCTCAAGCTGGTACCAAGCACCAATAGGAGATTTGTCAAAGGTCAGGGGCACCTTCACTCAGAATCCCTTCGTGGTTACCAAAATGTGAACTGCAAATATCTGAGACAGGTCTCAGTTAATTTAGAAAGTTTATTTTGCCAAGGTTGAGGATGCATGCCCATGACACAGACTCAGGAGGTCCTGATGACTTGTGCCCAAGGTGGTCAGGGCACAGCTTGGTTTTATACATTTTAGGGAGACATGAGACATCAATCAACATATGTAAGATGTACATTGGTTCCATCTGGAAAGGTGGGACAACTCAAGCAGAGAAGGGGCTTCCATTCATAGGTAGGTGAGAGACAAACAGCTGAATTCTTTTGAGTTTCTGATTAGCCTTTAAAAAGGAGGCAATCAGATATGCATTTATCTCAGTGAGCAGAGGGATAACTTGAATAGAATGGGAGGCAGGTTTGCCCTAAGCAGTTCCCAGCTTGACTTTCCCCTTTAGCTTAGTGATTTGGGGGCCCCAAGATTTATTTTCCTTTCACAGAATCCTAGCAATTATCCACTGGCACATCTGACTTTTAGCATAATTAAAGAGGGGAGCAGTGAGACTGTGGGCACGCACTAGGCTACAGTGGCAGTGACTGGCAAAGCCTGCACTAACCCCTGGGCCGTCTCACTTTCTCAGTACCACATTACTTTTTATTCATATATTTTACTGTAGGCCCAGTGGAGAGTAAGATGGAAACACTGAAAAGTCACTGAAAAGTACTAGCTTTGGGAAACTGGCTGTTGAAGCTCTGAATGAGCAGAGACACTAGGCCCTGAAGAGAAAGTTAAAGGAGGATAGCCGATTCCACACAGGGCACATATGATATGTTTTCTGAAGAAAGAAAGTTAATATGTCGATTTTTCTGTAGGACTTAAGAGTCTGGAGCTTGAGAGAAGTGTAAATTAAAGATATATATTTGAAGAACACTAAGCTTATAGAATAACAAGCTTTATACACCATCTGGCCTATAAAGCCACAAGAGTGGAAAAGATTGCTCAAAATCAACAATCCTTTTTACATTAAAATAATATGAGCAGATCAGATTTTAAAATATTAATTTTACTAGATATACAATTGTGGGCTGGGAAATATCAAAATAGTTTCAGGAATACCAATAAGTATGCCTTTAATATCAAAAATTAAATTCAATAGTTACTGAAAACCACCAGTAGAATAAGTGAGTTCAGATGAATATTTAAAGTCATATCTTTGGATTCCCACAAAAAAACATGTAGTTTTCTATCAGCGACTTCTAACACTTTATGGTACATGTCTTCTTTTTTTTTTTTTTTTTGAGATGGAGTCTTGCTCTATTGGCAGGCTGGAGTGCAGTGGCGCAATCTCGGCTCACTGCAACCTCCGCCTCCTGGATTCAAGCAATTCTCCTGCCTCAGCCTCCTGAGTAGCTGGGACTACAGGTGCGCACCACCATGCCCGGCTAATTTTTGTATTTTTAATAGAGACGGGGTTTCACCATGTTGGCCAGGATGGTCTCCATGTCTTGACCTCATGATCCGCCCTCCTCAGCCTCCCAAAGTGCTGGGATTACAGGCGTGAGCCACTGCGCCCAGCTGGTACATGTCTATTTTTATTTTATAGTTCCTAGCCTACTATTTCAAGGAATGCAAGTTAGGAATTCAATTCAATAAACATTAATTCAACTGCTAGTATTTGCCAAGTATTGGAATACAAGATAAAAAGTATAGCAGCTGTATATAAGCCTTCTTTGTTTCATGAACTAATTTTTTGTGTGTCTACTAGTTTCTAGACACTGTCCTGGCATTAATATAATAGTAAATAAGAGAAACCCAACCTTCAAGTGTTCACATCCTAGTAGGTTTTTAGTCTCAGTTGTTTAACGTATGTTGAATCAGCACAGGAAGATAAGTGTTCTTACGTAATGGTTACTTAGGCAACCTGACAGCCTGAGTTAAGTAGCCCATCCACCTTGAAGAGCACATTGCTTAGTGATTTGAACATCTGTGTCCTCCAAATACAGGAAGGAGGCTATCATTTAGTCAGTATTATATAATGCTGACAAATTCTTAGTAAACATTCATGTACTCCCACACCGTATAAAAACTTCTTTGGTTTCCCTTTGGAACTAACAGTGTTGTAATTCCGATATGCATCTACAGTAGTTAATCCTTTACAGCCTAGATTTGTATCTTCCCCTTAATGTATAAATAGCTTTCAAATTTTAGCATTAGCATAATTTTCAAAGTTCTCTGAGGTGAAAATCTGCCCAGTTTATTTTATGTAAAATTGTGATATCCTAACCTATGTGAGACTTCCTCTTTATAGTCCTGGAATTCTAATTCCAGTATTAGAGTCTTTTCTGGCCACTCATTCAATCTTTTGACCAAATTTTCAGGGGAAAATTGACATTACTGTTAGAAGGTATTTGGCATTTTGTACCAAGTCACAATACATATGTTCTTCTCCCCTTTCTTTGAAGTCCAAAATCATCAAACCTCATTATCGTCCTAGAAAATAGAATGGAACAGGTATTGTATTAACTTGAGACAATAGTGAATGGAATATTAGAGGTTAAGATATGCAAAGAGTCCTTAAAAGATTAAATACTAAGGACAATATTAAGACATGCTAAATAGGCCAGGTTTGGTGGCTCATGCCTTTATTCCAGAACTTTGGGAAGCTGAAGCAGGGGGATTGCTTGAGCCCAGGAGTTCAACCAGCCTGGGCAACATAGTGAGACCCCCATCTCTACAAAACAAATACATAAATAAATAACTAGCCAGTCATGATGGTGCGTGCCTGTGGCCCCAGCTACTCAGGAGGTCAAAGTGGGAGAACTGCTTGAGCGCAAGAGTTTGAGACTGCATTGAGCAATGACGGTGCCATGGCACTCCAGCCTGAGTGACACAGTGAGACACTATTTCTTAAAAAAAAAAAAAAAAAAAAAAAATTAAAACTTAAAATGTGCTAAACAGTAAATTCCTTTAAGTCCACAAACTGTACAACAAATTATCACTCTGAGGGATTATCATCTCTTCTGGCTCATGAATTCTGTTTTTGAGGGAAGGATTTTTCCCTAGTTGAGGCATATCAGAGTTCATTTTGTAATTTTTCATAACTCTGTATTATTTATTTCATTTTTTACCAAAACACACAGGGTTTGATCTAGGTCCTGCTGCTCACTGCACAGAAAGCGAATCACTGAGATGACAGATATTGCCAAGGAAGAAGGCTTTAATTAGGTGCTACAGGAGATGGGAGCTCAGTCTCAGATCCATCTCCCTGACTGACTAAAACTAGGAGTTTATATAGCAAGAAAGAAATATAACAATGTTCAAGAACTAGGAAAGGGCTAGGAAGCAATCATAATGAATGAGGGGCCTGTCATCTCATTGTGAGGATGTGGTGATCTGGTGAGATTCGGTTTTTTGATGCTTTTTTAAAGAGGCCAGAAGGTCCTTTCCTCAAAGAAAACAAATGTAAGCTTGAAGCTTTAAGATCGGAAAGGTTAATTTCTATGTTTATCCAAAAGAACAGTCTATGGGACTATTGGGGCAGTTTCATATGTTTGTAGTACTGAGGAACTTTACAAGATTCCTGCTTCGGTGGCACTACCTTCATTCAGTATAACAAAGTCCAGATTCCTTAGTGGGTTATTTCTGCAGTGGAGGAAAAGGGATTGTTTGTTTCCTCGTATTTTGTTTGTCTTTTGTAATACATGAACTACTCAAAAATTTATCCCTTTGCTACATTCTTTTTGACCATCTAATTTCTAAGGGTCACTTCTTTCTGTTTTGATTTTTTCTCCTACAGAGGCTATAGGTTTCAAAAACTGTCACTTCACATCATACATGCTGTTAAGTCCCTTCCCTGCAAACCATGCTCTGGTCTTTTCTCCTGCAGACTTACTTTTGGAAGTTGGTAAGGTCAATCTTATGGCCATCATTTTCTCTCTCCTCTCTTCCCATAGTTTTTCATGACCTGTTTTTTCTTGCCACAAAGACTTACAGTAGGATAGGACAGCAAGAGATTGCTTACTGGACATTTACAATTTTATTCTTAAAATTTCAAGTTATTTTGAGATATGAGCATTCTCTGTCTTTACATAATGCTGAGGTCATTGTTTTGGGATAGGTTTATTTTGTTTTTGCTTTTCTTACCTTCTTGTTTTTCTGTGTTATTTTGGGGGGAAAAGTTGGGAGACAGGAACCTAAGCAACTACCATTGTCTTTAGCTATCCTGAAATCCAAGGATATTCTTATCAACAAATAGTGTTTAAACAATGGGGTATATGCCAGGAGAGAAAAAAAATGAACTTTAACTCCTTCTTCGTACCATGCACAGAAATTAATTCAAGGTGGATCATAAAACCAAACACAAAGTCTAAAACTAGAAATCTTTTGGAAGAAATCATAGGATAATATCTCCCTGACCTGAGGTTAGACAAAGATTTCTCAAGAATGACATAGAGTGCAATAACCATAAAAGAAAAGAATTAATGGACTTCATCAAAATTTAAAACTTCTGCTCATCAAAAGACTCTATTAAAATGAACATGCAAATTTTAAAATTTGAATTTTAAAATGATTTGAAAAATTATTTCAAAAGGCTGTATGAATGGCTAAAAGGCACCGTTTAAAATTATTCAGCCTCATTAATTATCAGGGAAATGCAAATGAAAGCCACAATGAAATGCTACAATACATGGATGAGAATTGCTAAAATTAAATACCTGACAGTATATTAGGTTGGGGAGCAACTGGAAAACTCATATGTTGCTGGTTGGAATGTAAAATGGTACAACAAACTTGGGGAAAGGTTTGGCAGTTTCTTATAGATTAAATATATACTTACAATATGGTCGAGCAATTGCATCCCTACTAATTTAGCCAAGAGAACTAATTTAGCCAAGAGAACAATACCTTGTACAAAAATGTCCATAGCAGCTTTATTTATAATAGCTGAAAACTATAGACAACCAAAATGTCCATCAGCACGACAAGGCATAAACAAATTTTGGTGTATTCATTCAATGGAAAAATTCTCGGGAAAAAAAATAAAAGAAAAAAGAACCTACCATTACATTCAAGGACATAGAAGAATCTCTCAGACATTATCTGTAGCAAAAGCCAGGCACAAAAGAGTACATACTCTGTAAGTCCATTAATATAAACAGTTCTATTATAAGCAAATCTGTGGTTTGGGAAAAAATCATAACATTGGCTGTCTCTAAAGGTTGGGAGAAGGGGTGGTAATTATCGGAGAAGAGAGTATGAGGGCATTTTCCAGAGATAATCACATCCTATTCTGATGGGATCGTGGTTTCATATGTGTACACGTTTGTCAAAACTCACAAAACTGCAGGCTTTTATGTTTGGGGAGTTTCTCCCCTTAAAGAAATAGGTGGAGACTGCAATAAGTATTATAGTATATAATTTGTGTATACTACAATTTCTATGGTGACTATAAAACACAAAAAATAACAAAAACTTAAAGGAAAAGAAATCTTCCATAGAATAGAAATGCTTGGATTATGTATTTGGCCTAGTCTCAAGCATGTTTTATATGCAGCAAGCTCTTGTGTTAGCATGCATTCTATCATATGATTATGGTAAAGCTGGTGGAAATAGTTAAAGGAATGTTAGCATAGACCACCAAACTTGCTGTAGCAAAAGTTTTTGCCTTCAAATGTATTCTCATGCTTTCAAGTTGTGACTATTAACAGTAATCAGATGGAACTCAAAAATTACTCACAAAATTGATTCTTATTACTTAAGCATTTGTCATCCTTGAGGAGAGAATGGGAGGAGCTGGGACAAAGCCTAGAATTCCATTATTCACTTTTGTTTGGTTAGCACTTGTTGGATACTAAATGTTTTAAACTTGTTCCTGTTGAACAATGTTGCATAGTAAAAACACAAACCGTAATTGGCAGAGAAAACTAAGAAAGCCCCCAAAACAAGGGCCCACGGCATTTAGTTTTAGATACACTGCCTGAGTTAATTTAAAAAGGAAAGAATGAAGCCAGTATCCTAGTTTGAACAGTCCTATCATATTATCATTTCATGAGAACCTGGCATTACATTATGAAAAAGCCAAAGTCTAAAGTTGTAACTTGTTTTAAAGTAGCTAATCATGTTCATGTATTTTTAAAAGATAACTTTGCCCTGATTACTATAAATTGACTATTTTTGTTTCCTCATAAGAAATAATTTAAAGAGAATCTGAAAGACAACGTATGGACTGGGAAAGTTTTTTTTATTTATTTATTTTTACTTTGTATTTTTTTTGAGAGGGAGTTTTGCTCTTGTTTCCCAGGCTGGAGTGCAATGGCGCCATCTTGGCTCGCCACAACATCCGCCTCACAGGTTCAAGCAATTCTCCTGCCTCAGCCTCCCGAGTAGCTGGGATTACAGGCATGCACCACCACGCCCAGCTAATTTTGTACTTTTAGTAGAGATGGGGTTTCTCCATGTTGAGGCTGGTCTCGAACTCCTGACCTCAGGTGATCTGCCCGCCTCGGCCTCCAAAAGTGCTGGGATTACAGGCGTGAGCCACCGTGCCTGGCCTGGACTGGGAAAGTTTTTATAAACCACATATCTGACAAGGGCCTAGCATCCAAAATTTATAAAGAACTCTTACAACTCAATAGTAGAAAAACAAAAAAACCCGATTTATAAATGGGCAAAGAAGGCCAGGTGCTGTGGCTCATGCCTGTAATCATAGCACTTTGGGAGGCCGAGGCAGGCAGATCACGAGGTCAGGATATCAAGACCATCCTGGCTAACACCGTGAAACCCCGTCTGTATTAAAAATACAAAAATTAGCTGGGCGTGGTGGCACATAACCGTAGTCCCAGCTACTCGGGAGGCTGAGGCAGGAGAATCTCTTGAACCTGGGAGGTGGAGGTTGCAGTGAGCTGAGATCATGCCACTGCACTCCAGCCTGGGTGGCAGAACAAGATTCTGCTAAAAAAAAAAAAAAAAAAAAATGGACAAAGTACCTGAACAGACATTTCTCCAAAGATACAAAAATGTCCAACAGGTCTATGAAAAGGTGCTCATACCAATCAAAGGGAAATGCAAATTAAAACTATTATGAGATATCACTTCACACTCGTAAGGATGGCTATTATCAAAAAGAGAAGCAATAACAAATGTTGGTGAGGATGCTGAGAAAAGGGAACCCAAATGCACAATTGGTGGAAATGTATGTTGGTAGGGCCATTATGGAAAAGAGAATGGATGCTCCTAAAGAAATTAAAAATAGAACCACCATACGACCCAGCAGCACCTCTTCTGGGCATATACCCAAAGGAGATGAAATAAGCACCTCATAAAAATGTCTACATTCCCATGTTCATTGCAGTATCATTCACAATAGCCAGGATATGGAAAAAAACTAAATGTCCATTGATGGACAAATGGATAAGAAAATATGGTAGAAATAGACAATGGAATACTACTCAGCCATTAAAAAGAAGGAATTTTGTCATTTGCCACAACATAGATGAACCCGGAGGACATTATGCTAAGTAAAATAAGCCAGTCGCAGAAAGAAAAATATTTTATGATCTCACTTATATGTGGAATATTTTTAAGAGCTCAAATACAGAAATAGAAAATGAAACAGTTGTTACCACAGGCAGGAGGAGGGAGGGAGAAGAAATAGGGAGATCTAGGTTGAAGGATACAAAATAGCAGATATGCAGGATGATCAAGTTCAGAGATCTCATGTGTATCATGAGTTCTAAAGTTAGTAAAACTATAGTATTAGGAATTTTTGTTAAAGAAGTTGATTTTATCTGCTCTTATCACAAAAATAAGAACTATCTGAGATGACAGATATGTTAATTTGTTCATCTGCTTCACTGTAATAACCATCTTGCTATTTGTACTCCTTAACATTATGTTGTAAACCTCAAATATATGCAATAAAATTTATTTAAAAGAAAAAGATAAGCTCATGATTTTGACATGTTTAGTAAACCACTACATTAGTGAATTGTCCACTTGTTTCAAATAGTTTTACTTATATTTCCTGGGTTATTACCCACAAATAAAATTTTCTCTCTCTCCTTTTTTTGTGGGGGAGGGACAGAGTCTCACTTTGTCGCCCAGGCTGGAGTGCAGTGGCGTGTTCTCAATTCACTACAACCTCCACCTCCTGGGTTCAAGTGATTCTCCTTCCTCAGCCTCCTGAGCAGCTGAAATTACAGGCACCTGCCACCATGTCCAGCTAATTTTTGAATTTTTAGCAGAAACAGGGTTTCACCATTTTGGCCAGGCTGGTCTCAAGCTCCTGACCTCAAGTGATCTGCCTGCCTCAGCCTCCCAAAGTGCTGGGATTACAGGTGTGAGCCACTGCGCTTGGCCAGAATTTTTTCTCTTACTTCGTCAATGTTTCATACTGAATCTGATGGTTAGGGGTATTTTGGTTTGACTTTTAAGGTTTTTTTCCCTGCGTTGTTAATTTATCTGAGTGTAAATGATAACACTTCTTAATCTGATAATTTACACAAAGTTTTTCTTTTGCCATGCTAGCTAAGAAAACAAAAAATGGCTCAGTCTTTTTTTTTTTTTTTTTTTTTTTTGAGATGGAGTTTCTCTCTGGTTGCCCAGGCTGGAGTGCAATGGCACAATCTTGGCTCACTGCAACCTCTGCCTCCCAGGTTCAAGCGATTCTCCTGCCTCAGTCTCTCGAGTAGCTGGGATTACAGGCATGCACCACCACGCCTGGCGAATTTTGTAATTTTATATTTTTAGTGGAGATGGGGTTTCTCCGTGTTGGTCAGGGTGATCTCGAACTCCTGACCTCAAGTGATCCACCTGTCTCAACCTCCCAAAGTGCTGGGATTACAGGCGTAAGTCACCGTTTCCGTCCACTCAAAGTCTTTAATCTGACATATACTGCCTTAGCAATATAGAAAACAAATGAGAGACAAAAAATCCTACTCTAATCCCATCATTCCATCAGGACTGCATTATTATAAATCAGCTCCAGTCCAACATCTCAATCACAATTTACCTGAGGTAATAACAGGCATGCATGTATTTACTAAAAGATAAAGGGTATACTTGCCTTTTCCTATTAATTGACTTCCTTTGATTTTCTATTAAGACATCACACAAGCTAAGTTTGGTGACTCCCTGTTCATTTTAAGCAGAGTGCTATATTGTGGAGGTTCACAAAGCAGCTAATGAATGATTATGACAGCATCAGTTAGTTGATGAAAGAAGATTTGTTAAAAAGGTCTGCAAGGAAATTATAAGAGAAGATTCAGAGAGGAGCAATCACTCAATCACTTTACACTAGGCTTTTTGTTAACATGGCTCTGCTCCCTCTGTTGTGAAAATTGCCGTATTGTCTGAAAGCCATTACTTCTTTAGCTTTTTTCTGTCATTTATTCCTTCAAATATTTTTTATCAGAACCTAGTATAGTTGGTTCCAGGAAATACAATGATAAAATAAATATTTCCTTCTCTCAAGTTGCTCAGTACAGTGAAGGAGAGAGGCAACAGAATAAAATATTAAAATGCAGAATGATATGATAAACAGTACACATTGCTGTGTCAACAGATAACTGAAAGGGAGACAGGGATGAGAAGAGAGTTAGGGAAACCTTCCCAGAGGATGCTGTGCTTCAGAGTAATCAGGAGCTATCCAGCAGAAGAAGATAAAAGCATCTTTACAGCAGAAGCAGCAGTAAATGCACAAATGCCCAGGAAACACGGGACAAGAGAGGAACACCAGCAGATGAACATACACACAGGCTGAAAATGTCAAGACAGAGGGCTGGACAGATACATTATTCAATATTCTTTTTTTTTCTTTTTTTGAGACAGAGTCTTGCTCTGTTGCCCAGGCTGGTGTGCAGTGGCGTGATCTTGGCTCACTGCAATCTCTGCCTCCTGGGTTCAAGCTATTCTCCTGCCTCAGCCTCCCGAGTAGCTGGGATTACAGGTGCCTGCCCCCATGCCCAGCTAATTTTTGTATTTTTAGTAGAGATGGGCTTTCACCGTGTTGGCCAGGCTGGTCTCGATCTCCTGACCTCAAATGATCTGCCTGCCTTGGCCTCCCAAAGTGCTGGGATTACAGGAGTGAGCCACCATGTCTGGCCTTCAAAATTCATTTAAAAATAACACTTTTACTAATTTGATGCAAAATATGAATAATATTCAGCTATCCAGCGTAGACAGAAATCTCAATATCAACAGAGGAAAGTGGGTTCAGCTAGTATATTTTGGTCTTTTGTCTTCACTTTGCAGGAGACTTGTCATGCTGATGGTCACTGCGTTTCCACTGTTTTTTTTTTCATGGACTCGGTAGTCCGCAAAATACATCCGAGCATAGGGGTTCTTAGGACTGAGAGAAGTGTTATGTACAATCATCTACCCTAACATGGCTGTAGGTCCCTAGTGTGACTTCAATTTTTCCTGTCATCAAAATGATGTTATATAATGATAAATAGCACTCACCTTTATGCTCTATGCCCTGGGTACTTATTCCTCATTCTTTGAGCATTCACAGCCAAATTGTCTGAGGCAAAATCATCTGACAGGAATCTGTTGCCATCCTTCCTTCAGTCAACACAGATTCTGATGATAAGTTGTTCAGTCTGTGCCCTTTTCCCTAGAAGGTGCACTCACACTATAGTACAGCGTGCTGGGAAAATAGCTCAGACTCATCCAACATGACAACTAAATAACTCCACAGAAGTAAAACAGGCAGCAGGAAATGTGGCAGAAATGGATATTTCTAAGCAGTTGAAATCTACATCATCTATTTAATCCACTCCAGGTGTTGAGTGAGTTCTACAAGAAACCGAACAGGGTATGAAAGCTTAAACATGTAGATTCCCCTGGGTGACTGAGTGCTGTGGCTGCTGATATTCCTATTACATTGCCTTTGGTTATCTTTTTCAGGAAGTGATGATCAGATGTGAGGCATTACCAGAAATCTGTGTCACCAGATACCTGAAATACAAATGCTGGATGAGGGTATAAGGAGCAGAGATGACTGTCAACAGTCTCAGCCCATTTAAAATTTTGGAATGATTTGTTTAGGTCACGTAGGCCACAATGACCATGGAATCTCTGCGTTGAAGACTGGCTTCAGAATATGCAGAAAATTCACACAGAAAAGAATGCTGATGGTAAATAAACACATAGAAAAATGTTAATTCTCACTAGCAGTTGAAAGAATGTAACTTAGAACCAATTCTATGGCCTATTTTGGACCATACTAAATAGACACTTTTATTTTCTCCACAAGGGCAGATGTTTCTCCATGTTTTCGTTCACTGATGTATTCCCAATTCCTAGGAGATGGCTTGGCATAAATATTTTGTGAGAGACAGCACGAATGGCAATACTCAAATATTAACCATCATGTGGTGATGCCAGAATATTGGCTTACTGCTCAAAACATAGTAAATTGAAGGAGTTCTTTTAGAAATGGATCAAATAAAACTAAAATTATCTTCACTAGGATCTAGTAACACCTCTCCTGGAAATTTATTTTAAAGAAGCAAAAATGCTTTATACATGAAGCTGCTAATCCTAGCAGTACCCTTTACAGCAGAATCCCATTTAAAAAACTTACATATCTGACTCCATGAAAATGTTCAAATAAATTATGTTTCACCAATTAGACAAAATATTACACAGGCAGAAAAAAATTATCAACTCTACAGAGCAAGAAAATTTCCATTCTTTGGTGGTAATTACATATGTCATATTTATGCATATGAACAATTGAAAATGAATGTAGAAAATAAAAATTTTAGTTGGGATAAAATTATTTTTAATGTTTAAATAAAATTGTCTTTTTAACATTGTTTTTTAAGTAGACGAATGAGAAATTGATACCCTGATTTCAGTTTTTATGTATAGTATTCACATTTTTCAATCTCCTTCTCTTATGCAACTGGGAAGTGGGGATGGGCAGAAAAGGGCAAATTTCTTCTAGAAGGAATCTCGATTCCATCATTACCACAGAGGAACCTTGTGTGTATAAGTGGCAGGACACTACAAATGAGGAAAATCCTGAAAACATAAGAAGGAAAATGGTACCCTTTTAATCTACCAAACATAAGTCCTAAAGAGTGCATGGGTTTTTACCAGATTTACCAATAGTCTTGTTAATCTCAAGTACCATCTCTTATTCCAGGGCACATACACTAAAAACAAAATGACCTGCTACCTGTCCAGACGAAAATGATATATGCAACCCTAAAACTTTTTGCTAATAGGACGGAGTATGCATAGTTATCTTTGTCTCTGATTTGCTGCCAATGAGTCAATTTAGGCAAATATAAGTCTTTAACAAAGGTCTACAAGAAAGTGCAACCTTTCCATATTGCACATGACATTCTTAATAAAGCTCAGAAAGACACAGGCGTCTGACTTGTGACTATGTAATCTAGTTGGATAATATGCATATGACTGTCTTTTCAAGTGATGGCATCTTGAGAAAAGTATTATCAGAGTCGTAAGAGTATCTTTCGTAACAAAATGAACCATTCAAGAAAGACAAATAAAGGAGAACTAGAAGCAAGAATACTTCCACAATCTTGAACTATGATACAATGAAACCTTTTTGGTCAAAGTCAGAAATAAGAATTATAGTTGGAGAATAATACAAGCACTTTAGCACAAGATTTTACAAAAATATGTCCATCTCTTTAAGGGCCTAAAATATACAAGTAGCAAATGTCATTGAATATAATGGATGATTTAGTAGTCAATCTGAAAGCTATTATTAATCAATACGATGATTCCATATTACATGTGGCCAACCATGAAAGCTCTTACTGTCTTTAAGAAATTTTAGTGCCTTTTATTTTAGAAGCACTGAGGTGAGAGAAAATGTCTTAGTACAATTTTTTTTTATGAATAATCTACACAAAGCCACCTAACATAAATGAGGAAATAATTTAAAGTGGCAGATATAGGCAGTGAAGAGGCAGTTTAGATATTGGCCATAAACTGAGGCTCAACATTTTGCAAGAAAAGAGACTGAAAATGCCACATATCCTCTCTGGAGGGTATTTCGTGGCTTGTTGATCCACTAAATGTTCAGCCTGAATTGAGAACCCATTCGTAAAATTCCTGGGACTTGTGAGTATTCCGATTTTCTCCATTTGCAGGATTGAAAGTTTGAGCAATAGAATGGCAGTCACCTCATGAATCATGACTCAGCCAGGCTGAAAGCATAGCTCTGTGACTCTAGTCATGTGCTAAAAATAAAAACTGGAAGTTAATGTTGTGGTGGCCACAGCCCCTTCATCCAGGATTATCCTGATCATTTTGAGGCAAGTCCCTGGCTTAGCCCCATGCTGGGGGATAAATCTTGCTGTGTGGCAAGATTCCTTTGAAAAACTAGAATAACAGATTACTAAAATCAAAAAAGTACTATTCATTATCCATTAATAGTGTGTAAATGTGACAAACCCGAATCACTGAAATAATAGAGAAGATATTAATAAGATATAATTAATAATAAAGATATTAATAGAGAAGATATTAATATTAATATCAATTATTAATCTCATCACCTTGCTGAAAATCTTCCTGTGTCCAGCTATCAACTAAGTCTGTGTGTGTTTCTTCTTCTCACTTCAATATATTGAGCCTGAAAGGGGCCTAACTACTGTGGAGTTTGAGGTACTAAAACGAGACTAAATAAATATCTAACCATTTTATCTCTGAGTATGAGACCTTACTTATATGTTTTTCTTTAATTTGGTAAAGAGGAAACAAAAACAGATTGAGTTTTCTCCATGCCATTTATGTTTTTTCTCATTTAAATGACTACATCTTATTCAACTCTTTCCTTCTACCTTCCTGCACACTCTTTTCTCTAATTTCTTAACTTTACATAATTATGGCATGAATCACAAGAGTACTTAATTTCTCTGTATCACAACTTCCTTTTGAAGCAAGCATAATCGTAACAGTATGTACTGCTGCTGCATCCACCATTTTAAATATTAATGAAGAAGCAGATGTAAATTTTTGAAAACAAATCCCAAGGTTCTCTACCCAAGATAAGACTATATTATTCCTAAGAAGTACACCAAAATGGCATTGGCTGTACATTCTTATGTCAGTTACGATGCTTTTGGTTGCCAGTAATAAAAAAAAAAATAAGGCCTAATTAGTACAGGTAATTTATTAATTTATCTAATCAAAGGCCCAGGGGGGCAAATTTTTGGTATAATTTCATCAGGGTTCATACTTCCTTTGCCACTTATTGACTATGGCAGAGTTGGCAAACTGCATAACCCTCTAAGCCTCTGTTGTCTCATCTATCAAATGGGAAGGATATTAATTACATGATACATTATTATCAAAATGCTTAGATACATTATTATCAAAATGCTTAGATATGTTATTATCAAAATGCTTAGCACAATGCCCGGCACTTAGCAAGTACTGATAAATATTTATCATTCTACTAAGAAGGGGTGGGGGTGAAGGGAAATGTCCCATTTAGAGTAGGGTTGGGCCAGATCAGATACCACATTTACCACTTCCCTATCTCTTCTCAGCCGTAGATTCTAAGTCATCTCATGCATAATAATCTCTTGAAAAGTGTACAGCTTTTAGTCATCCTCAGAAATATTATGATTTCTGTTTAAGAGATTAACCCAGCCCTTATAAGTAAAGTCTTAATTTTAAATGATAGAAAACATAAGATAGAAAAATCCAGGTTATTTTTTAAATCTCTGCTTATGAAAGAAAGACAAACTACCAAAGTTCAATGATCATCATGGCATGTTCTGTCAGAGCCTGACTACCTGGGTTTGCATCTCAACCGTGCTACTTATCCTGTGTGTGAGCTTGAGAAAGTTACTTAAATTTCTTTGAGCTGGAATATAAGTTGCCACATCTATCAAACGGAGCAATAATGCTCCCTATCTAGATGTGCATGATGTATAAGTCAATACTGTTTTACATAATACAGGAAGTGTCACATAAGTGTTAGCTACTTGTAACAGCTACCGTTATCTAATTCCATAACTACAGGTTAAATGATTGCCTATGATAACATCTAAAACATGAGAAAGTCACCTGATTATATCTGGGAAGATACAAGAAATTTAGAAGAATTTTTATCAGTGTCTTTCTACAACCCTTTAAAAAAAACACACATTCTTGCTTATAATTTTATCCCATCACTAAAGAGTGAAGAAAACAAATGCAAAAAAACTATCATCCTGCCTCAGTGAATTGCTCCAACCTGGTTTTATGACTTCCCATTAGGAAGAGCTGCAGGGAGGACAGCTATCCCACCCTTAGAGGCATCCTGAGTGCCAGGGCATGGACAAGGAGGTTTCGTGTGATGTAATGAAGTCTGCTTCCTGCAATTGCAGGGTGGGGGTGGGTGGGGGAATTAAAGCCAACTCAAAAAAGTAAATATTATTATCAGTAAAGGGCTTCTTCTTTATGAATCAAATTAAAATTTGCAGGACTCCATCGTGTCAGTTTAGAGTACCTTTTCTGCAGTATAAATTGAATAAAAAAGGATTGTTGTCTAGATTCTCTCACTAGAAAAATATTCTAGTCATAACCCCACCGAAGTAACAAATTGGTATTATTTTGTATTGAATTAAGTAATACTATTTTAATCAACATAAAATTGTAAACAAAACAAAAAATATATAAAAACTGCCAATTTGAGTACCAAACACCCTATGAGAGCTCAAGTTTTGTATGATTTCGATGCTGAAGATAATGCTAAACTCTGGAATGTCCCATTCAAAATCAGTTTTCCATGGCAGCTCTTTCACTGAATGTTTTCTTTGTGATGTTAATACAATTTAGTTTTTGAATACATGGCAAACAGTATGGTACAAGAGGTCAAACTAAGTTTCAATTTTTGTTTTGGAAATTGTCAAGAGAGGATCAGGAAGAATATCTTAATAATGTCCTATTTTTGAAGGCATATTTATTTTCAAAAATCCATGGAAACCCTTCTTGGAAAAATCTAGTCAACAAGTTTAAATTATCTTAAAAATGTATTCAGTGACTAGAAGATGCTTTTTTAAAACTCTATGTTAGCCATATGTATACTATAAATAAGACTAGATTGAGGTTAAGTGAATTTATATGTTTATACTTAAGAGTTAAAAACTGACCAATAAAATCCATTAAAATAACATTTTGGTAGTTTGATTCAAGTTGAGCTATGATGAACTAGCAAAAACAGATTTTGTTAGTCCCAGGTCACTATGAAGTAGCCAAATATTTATTTTAAATAGTCCCTATTGAATCAAAATTAATTTTTCTTAGATTTAGACAAAATACATTTCCTTCCACATGCTCAATACTTCAATGGCAGCTGGATATGCTACAATGCAACCAATAATGTTCTTCTTCTTTTTCTTCCTTTAACACCATTTTGGTCATAAAATCTGAGAGTCTCTGAGGGGGAAGAAAAAACTCATAGAATGTCTTTTTTTTTTTTTTTTAACTTGGACTCTCTACCTCGGCTAGAATTTCTTAATTTTGTTTATTTACATTTTCCTTTCCCATTCACACTGAGCTCATAACTGAGCCCACTAGTATCCTGCCCCAAAATATTCATCAATTTCAGAGTCTACCGTTGCCATGTTTCCATTTTCCACAGTGATATTTCCATATTTACCTGGGATTCTCCCCACAGGTAAAATGTTTCGGGCAAAAGAGAAACTATTGGGAGTCAGAAATTGGAGTCAGGAAGTAGAATCGCCCTGAAGTGCCTCCTGCTCTTTTTCCCACAATTCTTGGAAGGACATATTAAAGAAAGCATCAGCTCAGCTGAAGAATACATTAGCAACTCCGGCTAATTTACATTGGTTAATCAGATTACTGCACTAATGAGTTCCAAGCTACAGCTTCATTCCCATACAGTCCTTTTATCATTGCCGTCTTAGGTAAAAATCAAAAAGTGTAAGCCCAAAAGGTCTATAAGCAAAACAATTTTTCTAATAGAAAAAAAGATCAGAAGCTTTGTTTTCTAACAAGAGATAGTTAAATTAGAGTATGTAATTATTATAGAATACATAGTACATACACTATTTTTATGTAATTTATGTAACATATAGTATATAGTTATAGCATATGCTATATTGTCTTTAGTATGATATATACATGTTTATCCAATAATAATTTATAAAATATTGCAATGAAAAATGCTATTTTCATTAATATTACAGTTACATTATATATATATAAACAACCTAAAGGGACTAAACAAAATAATAGGTTACTTTTTTAGGATTGATTGCTTACGATTTTTTCCTAATTTTTAAGCATTCTATATTGTTTTACTATTGATAAGCAAAAAAAAGAAATAGGAAGAAGGATAACTCACTCTGTGTATTTATGCATTAGATATGATCAAATGGTTAATAATTTCACTCAAGAAGACCTTTTAAAATCACATAAGTTTTCAGTTAGTATGTATAATGCATTTGCTTACTTGCTTCAGGTAAACAAGTAGTAATCAAGTGTAAAATTTATATTCTTGTATTTATACATTTCTTGATCCATGTAACTCTACTCTCTAACTTGAGGATACCATGATCCTAAGGATTTCCAAAACTTGGGTAGAGTTTCTTGATAATTTCCAACTGAAAACCAGCTCTGCCGACAGTTTAGCAACTAGAACATGCAATGTAGAAGGAAAGCTTGAGTCTTTCTTACTCCTTCACTTTTGACTCTAAAATTTGCACCTTTCATCGATCTGGCTTTTGCACAATGAATAACCATCCAGTCATAAAAGGTTCTAGACTCAATCTAATCTTAAATAGCAATATTGCCCCTTCTGTTTGTGCTGTACTAAGGAGCAGGTAATAGCTATGGTTTTGAATCCGGTAGCAGTTTAAAGTAAGATAATCAGTAATTCACTCTGCCAAATAACTGTCATACAATTGTTACAGAAATAATATTTGTATCATGCATGCTGATTTTTGACTCGCAAATATCATAGGTTAGAGAGCACTGAAAAAGTTTTAATAGGTAAAATATTAGTTTTATAAAACTCCACTCAAAATGTAAGCTTTTGTGAACCACATGTACTCCTATATGAATATTTTTACTATTTTTACATCATTTCATCTCCATGTTTCTCCATCTCTGGATTTGTGAAGTAATAGTTCTAACTATAGTTATGTTCTTAGAAATAAAAAAGTGGAAAATTACCTAATTTATTTCAAGTATAAGAACGAATAGTCATCTTAGTGTTTACACCATATATTCACTCTCAAAATGCATGTAAACACAAAAATCAAAAACAAAATGGCTACTCACAGCTACAAATTCACATTCTGTATGTCCTGCTCTACCCCTACCTCCAAGCCAACAACAGCAGCAAAAGAAAACAAAATTCACCAAAGGACCATCCACAGCACAAATCATCTTGTTTTCAGAAATGAGAATGTATCACAAATATAAATGTGTCTGAATAAGTGTTTGTTCATTTTTAGTCTGTTTCTATACCATTTATATATTATTTTCTCTTATCAAACATTTTAGAAAAGCTGCCTGTTCTTACTTAAAGAATTGCTTTTCACATTTCCCCCTCAACAGGTTTGTATACGTTTTTGAGTTCTATTCTTCTGTTGTTGATTGGTTACTACATCGTTTCTGGGCAACAGTACCCTTAGGAACACTTCTTTCCCCATGTTCTATTTTCTATTATTTTTTAAATGGGCAGTGGCTTATGTCAACTGTCAACCTAAAAGATTATTTTAACCTGTCTGTCAGTCTTCTGGGACTAAACATGCCTTCCTGGGATGGCAAATATCAATCAATACAAGAAATTTGATCTGGTCCTTCAATGTACTAAAATTCTGTGAGTTAATGTTAAAATAGTTGAATCAGATAGGTCACAATGCTAAAGTAGCTGAAACTACACATTCAGCCTGGTCCTGATCGAAATAACTCTCTTCTGTTTGTTCTTCAACAAATTCTTAGTGCCTATTGGGTCCTATGAAAGAGTAAGACTGCATCTGGGAAAATTCAACACTGCTTCTGGAAAGCTGTACCAGAAAGCCAATGGTGCCAGTTTTATAAGCGAATGAAATGTCATTGTGTCTTAAATTGATGACTGCCAGCTATAAGAATCACTTAGGTTTCTGGAATTCCAAAGCATAGAATTTATCTGAACCAGTGAGCACTGAGAATGGTTCTTTTGCCTTAGGTTTCTCCCCAGAAATTATATTTTCATCCATTTATTCATCCACAAACCTTCTAATTTTAATAATTTCTCTCAAAGTGGATGAAAAATATTCTATCCTATGAAACACCCTAATTTTTAGTTTTGCCATTTTCATCTACTCAACTTTAAAAGGTGTTGTTCTATAATACTTTACATATCTCAAACTATGCAATCTGAATATAACTCAAAGTTCCTGCACATTAATAAAAGTCTGCGCCCCGTCCGGGAGGGAGGTGGGGGCCAGCCCCCGGCCGGCCAGCCGCCCCGTCAGGGAGGGAGGTTGGGGGCGGCCCTCGCCCGGCCAGCCGCCCCGTCCAGAAGGTGGGGGCGCCTCTGCCCGGCCGCCCCTTCTGGGAAGTGAGGAGCCCCTCTGCCCGGCCGCCACCCCGTCTGGGAGTTGTACCCAAGAGCTCATTGAGAACGGGCCATGATGACGATGGCTGTTTTGTCGAATAGAAAAGGGGGAAATGTGGGGAAAAGATAGAGAAATCAGATTGTTGCTGTGTCTGTGTAGAAAGAAGTAGACATAGGAGACTCCATTTTGTTCTGTACTAAGAAAAATTCTTCTGCCTTGGGATGCTGTTGATCTATGACCTTACCCCCAACCTGGTGCTCTCTGAAACATGAGCTGTGTCCACTCAGGGTTAAATGGATTAAGGGCGGTGCAAGATGTGCTTTGTTAAACAGATGCTTGAAAGCAGCATGCTCGTTAAGAGTCATCACCACTCCCTAATCTCAAGTACCCAGGGACACAAACACTGCGGAAGGCCCCAGCGTCCTCTGCCTAGGAAAACCAGAGACCTTTGTTCACTTGTTTATCTGCTGACCTTCCCTCCACTATTGTCCTATGACCCTGCCAAATCCCCCTCTGCGAGAAACACCCAAGAATGATCAATAAAAAAATAAAAATAAATAAAAAATAAAAAATAAAAGTCTGGCCCTTCCCATAATAGGCATTATACTTTTCAATAAAGAAAATATGTCCATAATTTTGGTTATTGCCTTTATCTAGGTGTATCACTCAGGGTTCAGTCAAGAGAGAGAAATCTCATAAGTTATTTAAAGAGAAAATAATATACAGAATTTTAAACTACATATATATTTATTAACAAGGTCACAAAAGGATAAAAGGGGAATTGAAAGGGACCATGATGAGTAGCAATTACAGGAAATAGCTAATTAGGGCTGGGGAAACAAAGAAGAGGCTGATGTTATTAAAACCTAGAAACTTGGAGCAACCTCATGAAGGTTAAGTTCGGACTTCTGAGTTAGAAGTGCTTGCAGCTCAACTGATGGTGGTGCATGGGAGCTTGGAGAAGGGCTCCTTGGGCCTGACTCCCCAACTTTTTTTTTTTTTTTATTATGACACCTCAACTTTTGCTGACAGGCTGCCTGCTGCCTGGTGCCAAAATCTGTCGGATGAGATGTGATGGAGCTAGTCTAGCAAGTGTTGGGGAAGCTGCAAACTGGATTCAGCTGCTGCTATAAGGAGGCAGGAGTGTTGTGTCACTAGGGTGAAAAGGGCCATTAGGATGACACTCACAAGAAAAGCAAGTGTTGACTTTACATAGAACTGATGTAGGCTGGGCTGACAATAGGGTCAGAATTGCATTTAGAAAGTAGTTTGGTTTCCTGCTACACACAAAATAAATGAAAAGTCAAGGCCACAAAGTTCTAGAACATAACTCATATTGACATGGTTTTGGCCCAGATTTTCAGACACAGAGTTACCAGTCCACCATCATGGTGAAAAAGACATTATTTTTTCAGTACTAGAAAAGATTCTCATTAAATATCTGATTTTGAGTAAGGCATATTCAGATTGAATATTTCAATTGGCTTAGACATTCATGAAAATGGAAAGCCACTTAAAAGGCATGATTATCAGAGAAACAAAAGTGCAAATAATAAAATACCATCTTTACATGTAAAAGCATTGAGATTTAGAAAGCAATATTCAATCTAGTAGCGTCTGATAATAGTGGCACTCATACATTACTAATAGAATCTAGGGAATAAACTGTAAATTTCTTTCAAGAAGAGCAAAATGTTCAAACTTTGATCTTTGATTCAGTCAGTGCAGATTTACATTCTAATAAAAGGAGCTTTATACATTGATTTATATATAAAGAAATTTATTGATATACTTATTATAATAAAATGGGCAATATGTAAATACGCAATAGTAGAGACAAAATAAAATATGTGATGTTGTAACTATATGATAGACTTTTATTCAGCCATTAAAACATATTTGCCATGTTCTCAAAGACTATTGATTAATTCTGATATATACTAAATTTTAAAGTAGGATAAACTGCAAATACACAATATTATCTCATTAGTAGAAAAAAATATGCACTGTGGATGTAGAAACTAGAAAATATACATCAAAATTTAAAATAAGTTACCCATGATTTTTCACCAATTATTGGTGTTTTCAATCTGTTCATATATGTTTATATTTTTCAGTTTGCTACAGTAGACATTTACCATTTTAATGATCATATCTATTTTAAGAGTTATTACAGATTGCTTTTGAAATATGTTTATACTGTTCAAAAATGAGTGTTTTGATATCATTGATAATAACAGCTAGCACAGAAGCCTTGGCTTAATAATTTTCATCCCATCATAAAAAAAATAGGATACCCACATAAGCATGGCAAAATTAATAGAAAAGGAAGATCCTCAAACTTTAAAGAGAAAATAGTATAGCTCATATTCAACTGATATACCATTACTATCACATTATGTGATAGTATCATGTGATATCAGTTGAATATGAGCTATACTATGAGGTATATCAAAAAACAATACTTTCAGACCTCCACAGTTTGCTTAATATTCCTTTTATAATATCAAGATTTAAAACAAATTATGGTTAATGTGCTACCCATCAGAAACTGGTTATAAGCTCTTATGCTATTCATGGTGTACAGCTTTGTGATAAATATACAACATATTTTGTTGTCTTACTCTCAGTTGAGGGTCCATTGCATAGAATAAAGGATTGTTAAGAACCCATATAATCTAAAAAGAAGTTCCAGCATCTATGTGGAACTTGCTAATGAGGTTTTTTTTTTTGTTTTTTTTTTTTTTTTTTGAGACGGAGTCTTGCTCTGTCACCAGGCTGGAGTGCAGTGGCGCCATCTGGGTTCACTGCAACCTCTGCCTCCCAGGTTCAAGCAATTCTCCTGCCTCAGCTTCCTGAGTACCTGGGATTACAGGAGCCTGCCACACCACGCCCGGCTAGTTTTTGTATTTCTAGTAGAGATGGGCTTTCACCATGTTGGCCAGGATGGTCTCTATCTCTTGACCTCGTGATCCACCCGCCTCAGCCTCCGAAAGTGCTGGGATTACAGGCATGAGCCTCCGTGCCCGGCCCCATGAAACTTTTAAAAAATTATCTCGGCCGGGGGCGGCGGCTCAAGCCTGTAATCCCAGCACTTTGGGAGGCCGAGACGGGCGAATCACGAGGTCAAGAGATAGAGACCATCTTGGAGACTTCCTTTCCTACCCCCGGGCCCAAGGTCAAAGATAAGCAAAGCTAGACCCTAGTTAAAATGGTAAGGACAGATTTTCATCAGTAATAACTATGTCAATAGAAAAAACGGTCCAAAGTGAACTGAACTCCAATTTGTACAGAGATGAGCAAGTGTTTTAAAGGGAGGGTGAGGGAGTAAGGAGAGGGAACTAGAGGCTTAGCAGAGTCATGGAAGTGAAAAATTACAGAGGGTTAGTTAGTGTAAATGTCATTAGACCAGCTGTGTCCACTAACTGACAATTATCAAAGATAGGACCCTGTTCTCCCCAAGAGACTCAGAGACAGAGGCCCTTTTCTCAGGTGTTGCCTGGAACGAATAATACATTTCTTCGGCAGCCTTGAGTTTTCTCAGACAGGCACTTTAAGGGGGGCAAAGGTTATTTTGCAGATGCGACTTTGAGTTTCTAGAAACTACATGAGTGTTGTTTAAGTCTTAATAGGCCAAGGCTGAAGTCTAGTTAAGAAGAGGGCTCAGAGAAGCCTGGCTATAATCTGTATAAAAGAGAGAGTCTTTGTCTCAGCATTAAAAAACAAACAGTAACTGAGGTGATAGAAGTGTTAAGTATCTTGATTGTGGTAATCATGTCACTATCATCTATCTGTCTGTCTATCTATCTACCTAATCATCAATCTATCTATCTAATCCTCACATTGTACACCACAAATTTATACCACGTTGTCAATCAGACCTCAATAAAGCTGGGGAAAAAAGGAATGAGTCTTTGTCACCAAATCCCCAAGCTAAGTGAAAGCAATGAATGGAGGATGGCCTGGTGAGCTCTGGATTAGAGAAATGCAGGGTCTGCTACCCGATGCATGGTCGAGAAGTCTAGAGGCAAGGATTGCATTATAAGAGAAATATCAGCATTTGGAATCTGCCATGTCAGAGGGCTCCAGTAGGAGATAATAACTGCGCCAGTCAGGTAAGAAGTTTTGTGCCCCGTATCACTTCCCCATTAATCAATCTCCACTCTCACACCCAACCATTAATCAGAGGTTGCATAGTAAACACAGGGGAAGTGGAAGAAACAGATGAAGAAAGAGTGCATAAACAAAACCTACTTCTTACTGCAGATTTTCCAGAAGCAGGACTGAGGTAGGGAAAGAGAGATTTAAATCTGATCAGATATTAGCCGGGCATGGTGGTGGGTGCCTGTGATTCCAGCAGCTTGGGTGGCTGAGGCAAGAGGATCACTTGAGCCTGGCGGGTGGAGGTTGCAATGAGCTGTGATCGTGCCACTGCACTTTAGCCGGGGCAACAGAGCAAGATCTGTCTTAAATTAAGAAAAAGAAAGAAATCTGATCACATATGGATCATTTTCTATTAGGCTGCTCTTTCTATGCTGGAAACTGATGCTACTCATTAATTCCAGAAAGTAGCTGACAAAGCTGTGGAATCCTCATCCATGGATAGAAAAGAACAATTTGGCACATTAAGTCAAAAGGAGCATTTAGGGAGAAGGAACAAAGTTACTTTACGTTTGTGCCTATTGAAATCCTGCTGATGCAATAAACTGGTTGCATAAGCATTGTACACAACAACAAAAGCATTCCAAATAAGGGAAAAAATAAAAAGAGAAAAAAGGCTTATACTACAAATAATTAGACAGATTTTATTCCAAAGGCCCCCTTTTTTTTTTTATTTTTTTGGAAAATGCAACAGAAGATTTCATCAAGGGAGGCATATATTTTGAGAAAATGTCTTCTGGTTTTTAAAAATACTTGTGTATAATACCGCAGTTGCTATTAAACTTATACCCTATATAAATGTGATGGAAGATGAGGCTCAGCCATTAAAAACAAGTTTCAGGAACAAACTACAATCTATTTACACAAAAATAAAGCACGTAGACATCTGATTTTCACAGCCCAGGGGAATTTGATGTTGGATAACTGAACAGACCTGCCAGTGTTTATTATTTCCATCTATAGATTGAAGGGCATATAAATTATTTCAGTGCAGTAAAAATCCACTGTCAGGAGTATGAATGTTGAATAGGAAAGAGGAGAATGTTTTTCCAGTTTTCCAGAGGAGAAGACTTAGGTGATCCCAGAACCACTGAAGCTTGAGAAGGAGAGAGGCTGCAATTCCAACAACTCTCTTAGTGGAAAGGGGCAGCAAATCACGACTCTTGGAAGCAGCAGAGGGAGGGAGCATGTATCTCTGAAAAAGCGGCCTAGTGTCCTTTCTGGAATTAAAGCCTGGGGCCTCTGAGCCCTTTATATACAAGAATAGGAGTGTGTTGGACCATAAGACATGAAACGTCTGGATGAGACATTTAAGTAAGGTAGCGGTAACAGGAGTCATAGAGTGATAGTAATATTAATAATAAACATTATTAAGCAATGCACTAAAGACCATATAAACATCATCTTCTTAGCATAATCATGAGAGACAGATATGATCTCCATTTGACAGATAGGAAACTGAGCCTTACAGAGTATAACTGAATTAAATTTCCAACATCACATGGCTAGTAAGTTGTGGATCATGGATTTTGGCCTGTGCTGTCTTGTACCAAAATTCATACTCTTTATACATGGTACTGCTCATTATTGCATTCATTTATTTCACTCAGTCAACAAATAAAACTGATTACTTACCTAAAACTTTTCTGTTTGTTTCTGTCATAGGGAGTAAGAGGAGTATTTGGGGAAAATGAAAGTATAGTTATGAAGTTCCTAAGAAAAGCTAAAAAGGGAGTTACTGATTATACTTCACACTACCCTCCTTAGGGATGGGTTTGCACTCACTTGACCTCTCCTCCTCCTCCCTGCACCACCCACAGTGTGTCCTCATTAGCCACATGATCTAACTGTCTGTAATATTTCTTATCATATTAGTCAGCTGCAGTTTGCTTATGTTTCCTGCATGGGATTCAATGAAGATATTCTAAGATTATCATTCAGATATTCCTCTAGGAAATAAACGTTCAAGCAGATATGTACATGGTGGTGATGTTGTGAACGCACAATTGATGCACTTCTGGATCTTTGATCAACTAATTTAGGAAGGACGCGGTAAGCTGTGAAAGTAATGGCAGGGATGGAAGAGAAAGGAAGAAAGGAAGAAACTAGTATCTTTTGAAAGTTTCTTGTACCCAGAAAAGTGGTAAGTGCCTTACACTTCATATAATCTAACCATAATTCTAGGCTCCAGATAACAATATCATCTTTAGCCTCAGAGTTAATGGAGGCTCAGAGAGTAACATGCTTAAGTTCACACAGCCAGTAAGTGGAGCAGCCTGGGTACAAAGCTAAGTCTGTCGGACTCCAAAGCATTCTTTCCACCACATGAAAGAACATGTGTTCCAAAGGAGTTGTACTCAAGTTTACAGATGATCAGGAAAGGGTCATGGAGAGCATAAAACATTAGGGGTCTATTTCTAAGTTTAAAAATAATAGTAAAGTCTAGGGGATTTTAGGAAGAACCCACAGGAGACCAGGAATTTGTCTTCAACCAGACAAGGGGCCAAACCCCTGTATCAGGAACAATGACACTTTGAGTTACATAATTATTATTATTGTTTGTGATAATGATAAGTATAGCTGAATCTCAGTGGTAACTTCTCACTTTCCTGTTCTGAGATAAAGGAACCCCTCAGCCATATAGCTAGACACTAATGTCACTTCTTTATAATATAATGCTTTAAGTTTATCTGCATCCTAGACAAAACGGAATCCAAAGGCACAGGAACCAGGCAAGGGACGGGCAAGGGATTACTGGTCCAGATAATCCTAAGGGTTAGAAAACATGACACATGAAGCTAATGGCATACAAAGAGGAAACATTTAACTTTTAAAGCAAAGCCAAATCCCAGCCAACTGCTAGGAAGATGGACAAACAATACATATTAGAGATAGCCTACCAGAGAGGCAATGTTTAACAGTGAGTAAGACAGAAAAGACTTGAGTAAAATGCCCTGAGCCTGTTGAACAGTTATTCTCAACAAAGCTAACACATGCATCTCAGTGTATTTTCCCAGAAAGGTCATTTTTGTTTTCTCACCCCCAGTTGCGACAGGAAGAATGCCAAGACCCTCTGTTCCTGAGCACAGGCATGGGAGCTCTTTACAGCCGTTGACCTCAAATGTGTCACCATGGCTCACCAGTTAAAATCAGTTGTCATGTGAATCACAAATCATATTCTATAACTAAAAACAAAGTACCGTTTGTTAATAATTGTTTAAACAAACTGTTTATTGATGTATAATATACACAAAAATGTGTACAAACAAAAAAGGTGTACAGCATGATGATTTTCCAAAACAAACACACCCACGCAACCAATATCCAAGTCAAGAAATGAAACATTATCAAAACTCTCACTATGCCTCCTCTCAATTACTATTTTCCTCTTGGTAACCAGTTTCTTGATTTCTAACACTGTGGATTGATTGTCTTTAAACTTTATACAAATGAAACCATATGAAATGTACTATTTTGTGTCTGCCTTTTTTCAGTCAACATTATGTTTCAGGGTGATATGAATCTATTGAGTATAGATGCAGTTTTCTCTTCTTTATTGCTATTTGATCTTCTATCATATGATTACACCACAATTTATTGATTGATTACATTATCAATGAACTTTTTAACATGAACATCTTTTTAAACAGTTGTAATGCATAGAGTGCTGCAGTATGCATCCTTGTACATGACTTTTAGTACACCTTTAGAGAGGAATTGCTGAGTTCTAAGATTTACTGTGTTCCACTTTAAGCAACACTACCAGATAGTTCTGCAAAATGACGTTGTACCAATTGTCACTCCACCGAGTAATCTTTGAAAGTTCCAGTTGTTCCACATTGCCGCTGATACTTGGTGTTGCTCATTATTTCAATCTCATACTTTCTGGCTAGCGTTACCAGATGTAAAATACAGGATGTCTACTTACATGAGAAATATTTGGGATATACTTATGCTAAAAATTATTCATTTTATGTCTAAAATTCAAATATATGTAGGAGTCCTGTGTTTTTATTTGCTAAATTTGGCAACTCCATTCTGGCACATTTGCAGTGGTATTGCTCACTGTGGTTTTCATCTGCATTTCCCTGATGATTAATAGATTGAACATCTTTCCATAAGCATTTTGACCATTTAGATGCCCTCTTTTGTGATCTTCCTGTGCAAGTCTTTGTCTGTTTTCTTGTTAGAGGTGTTAGCTTTTGCTTATTTATTTTTAGAAGTACTTTCAATATTCTTTATTTCTATTCTTTGTCAAATAAATAAGCTGCAAATATTTTCTCCCAATATGTCTCTTATCTGTCCAAGCCCATGATGATATCTTTTGATAAACAATTTGTGGTTTTATTCCAGTCCAATTTTTTAACATTTTCCTTTGCAGATAGTTACGGTATGCCTGGTTTAAGAATTATTTTTCTCTCCTGGAAACAATTCTGTTTTGAACTGGGCAACAGAAGGCTTTGGAAGGAGGAACTCTTGTTGGGGGTTGGGGAAGGAAATGTAACTAACAGATAATTCAATGTGTTTGAACTTTCAGTACATTTATTGATATGTATTTGACACATCAGAAGGCACATTTAAGAAAATATTAGAGATTGGCATGTTGACAACTAAACACCAGATGAAGTGAGAAATTATTAACTCCAGAACATACAAAATGTTGTATGAGAATGGAAAACTAACATGAAGGTCTATATAACAGGTCTAAAATGTTAATATCACAAGAGGGAGTCTCTCTCTCTCTACATACACACACACACATACACACACACACACACGATAAATCAAGTAATAATAGTAGCAGCATAACATGTATGAATACAAAAGGAAATGTCTTAAAAATAGCTAAAAGGTTTGACAGTATATTCCTCTGAGGAAGGACTTGGGTGCAGAGAATATTAGGGCAAGGGATTACACTTTATTATTCTTCAGTTTTAAATTACTCCCATATGTCACTTTGACTAAATGAGATTAAGTTAATATTTAAAAGAGAAAGCCCTAATGGTTCTCAAAATTTATATAGCATTTCTTATTTTTAAAAAGCTTTTAAATATAATCTTAGCTATTTCCTTTTCCTTAAATACTACTGCACAGCATTATACCTGTTCACCTTGATTAAACAAAACTTTTTTTCTAGATTTTAAATTAAATATTTTGGGAGTGTGTTCCTTATGCTATATTATTGATAAAAATGTGTATCTAATATTTGAGTCGTATTAGTCCATTTTCATACTTCTATGAGGAAATACCAGAGACTGGGTAATTTATAAAGAAAAAGAAATTTAATGGACTCACAGTTCCACATGGCTGGTGAGGCCTCACAATCATGGCAGAAGGCAAAGGAGAAGCAAAGGCATATCTTACATGGTGGCAGGCAAGAGAGTGTGTGTGTGGGAACTGCCCTCTATAAAACCATCAGATCTTGTAGGACTTATTCACTATCACAAAACAAGCATGGAAAAACCTGCCCCCATGATTCAATTACCTCCCACCGGGTCCCTGCCAAGACACATGGGGATTATTGGAGCTACAATTCAAGATACGATTCAGTGGGGACACAGCCAAGTCAATCAGTAGTTCTTCAAACGTATGTTAGATGTGTTAGTTTGTTTTTGCATTGCAATAAGGACATACCTGAGGCTGGGTAATGTATAAAGAAAACAGATTTATTGGTCTTACTGTTCTGTATGGCACCTGCACCTATCAGGCTTCCAGTGAGACCTCAGGAAGCTTACAATCATAGCAGAAGGCAAAAGGGGCATAGGTGCATCACATGGCTGGAGAGGGAATGAGAGATACAGGGAGAGAGGGAGGAGATGCCAGCCTCTTTTAAACAACCAGATCTCCTGTGAATTCACAGAATGAAAACCCATTTATTACCATGAATACAGCACCAAGCCATTCATGAGAAATCACCCCTATGAGTCAAGCACCTCCCACTGGGCCCCACCTCTGACATTGGGGATCATATTTCAACATGAGATTTGGAGAGGACAAAACATCCAAACTGTATCATTAGAATAGACTAGGGGTGGAGGGAAAACAGAATTTGGGAAGATTATCCCAATCTCCACCTCTTTAAACTATCCCTCATCATCTTGTTTTCAATGCACAGTATCATGTGTAAATCAGAATTAATATATCTTTCTTAAGAGAAATAAACTGAAAAGTAATAGTATCTGAAAACTTCAGGGAGATGGGGACATTATTTATTGTGGGGTAGTTAAATCTTTTTTCAGCTAAATGCCTAAAAGAGAAAAAATAATGGCTTATTGAGATCAAAGCATGAAACAATCTAAGGCAGAAAAAAGCTTATACACTTTGCCTTGAATAGTTTGGCACAATACCTATTCCAACATTTCCTCAGTGAATTTAAAAATATTGTTTATTGTTCTTCAAAGTATATTTGAAAAAAATTCTTTAAAAAAGGAGTTTGATCTTGTAAAACATAAAGGCAATATAAATCAAATTGTTGCTATTCAATGCCAAGTAGCATTCAATGGCCTGAGGAATTATTTTCATGTAGCATTGGCTCACACTCATGTTGGTTGACTTGGCTGGGTTTCTAGAGTTCTTTGGATTTTACATGGAGGTGCCACAAATCTACTAATTGAGCTATATGCCCTTCAATGCTACGCAGCAAAGTGTTGTCTGTGGTCAGTTCAGTTAGCCGTGGGCTAAGTCTAGTAAAAACTCCACCGGAAGAGAAAACATAAACTCTGATCACATTTATAACATATCTGCAAAAGTACTGCAATGTCTGGTTCCATCCAGTGACAGGGAATCCACAAACACAAGTTAGAATGCAATAGCTGCACATTAACTGCCAGAGCATTTCCTTTGACCTGGAATGTCCATTGCATTCTTAATGTTAGGAATGCCAGGTGTGTGGATTTCTGAACATAAGCTGGCATCTCTTATTAAGGAGGAATTTGACCATCTCTACCTCCCTTTGACCTACTTCATGTTGTGAACATCTCTCTTCTTTCCCTGATCACACCCTGTTGTTTCATTTGCTCTCCACGCACTTATCAGTTGCTTGGAATCTAACGTGTCCAGGAAGCAACCTTTGCTCCAAATATGGGTCTGTAGATAAATAAATAGTATGTTTCCCACATATTTATATATGTATATTACTACATTAAATGTATGAAGGTATTGTTATAATTTATAAAATCCTGGTTCATTTAAAATGACTTTTGGATTCACAGTAGAAAATTGTCATAATTTGTTTATGTTTTAAGCAATTGATTCTAAATTATTTTGTATACTTCAAAAGCATCTGAAACAAAATATTACTCCTATTTTTAGACGGAGTCACCACAACAATAATATGACTGCTTAAATATAATGGGGAAAAGTTTAAAGTAATATTTGGAAGCATGTAATCAAGAGAAAAAAGATGATTTATTACTTATAGTTGTTGAATTTGTCTCAGATAGAAATATATTTGATTTTGTATTTTAGTCTCACTTTGATGAAAGTTTCAACAAGTATCCTATGGCTCTGACTATGAACCCACACTGAGCTAATCAACCTAGCTTGACTTTTATCCAAAATACTGTGGGGGAAAAAGAGGCATTTCATTACTCATTACCTTAATACACATCTCCATATTCTTCAATCTCACGACAATTGTTCATAATACAAGCAGAATCGTTCTTTGAATACAAATAATTCTGCAAGCCATATCAGAAAATTTGCATCAAAAACTGGAATTTTGCCAAGTAGAGAGTGATTTTTGTAAACTACATCTTAAATATAAATAAATATGCAACTTAATAAAATGTAATAAAACATTCCAATAATCAGGATTTGGTTCAGTGATACTTCAGTGAGTTCCAAAAGTAAATCCAGATTTCTGTATTTGAGAAAAAAAGATAGGGGACAGCTTATGCTATCCTGGGTATGAAGATACAACCATTTAAAAGGCTAGAATCAAGAATGTTGAGAAGGTTAAGGAGGGCAGGCAATATGCTTGCAAGGAAGATGGATTTGGTCAATTTACCCCCACTACTTAGTCCAGGAAAAGGAGTTCTAATATCTCATGGAGACTTTACAAAGCATTGTATTTGAAAGTACCTTAGTAGGTCGGGCACAGTGGCTCACGCCTGTAATCCCAGCACTTAGGGAGGCCAACATGGGTGGATCACCTGAGGTCAGGAGTTCAAGACGAGCCTGGCCAAAATGGTGAAACCCCGTCTCTACTAAAAATACAAAAATTAGCCAAGCGTGGTGGCATGTGCCTGTAATCCCAGCTTAATCCCAGCTATTCGGGAGGCTGAGGCAGGAGAATCATTTGAACCCAGGAGGCAGAGGTTGCAGTGAGCTGAGATCCTGCCATTGCACTTCAGCCTGGGCGACAGAGCAAGACTCTGTCTCAAAATAATAATAATAATAACAATAATAAATTTAAAGTACCAGAATAAAGAGAAGAATTAGGTCAGATCAGAAATATCCTTTCACCTTCAAGGGATACAAGCAATGCTGATATGGTGGGGAAAAGAGTTGTTTTAAATTCAATGAGGAACCCGCTCAGCAAATAAATAAATAAATAAAAGTCCAGAGTTAGAGAAGGAAAGATAATCAATAAATGAAATAGAAAGGGAGAGGATGTTTATTAAGGAATATATATTTAATTAGAAAGAATGGTTTTCTTTGAAACAGTAGAAATGAACTTTGAAACATAAACGGGAGAAGAAAAATATGACTTGGAATTGACCAAGGCTGGATTTTACCATCTCTAACCTTGACTCAGTTGTTGTCTACCTTGTCAGTGATCTCTGTACAGTCCTCTCTATCTGTGGTTAAATAGACTGACCCGCATTATAGATGTTTCACAAAATGTTTGTGGATGGGGTAGCAGTTCTTTTTTAAAGAGACACACAGGAATTCAGGAAACCATTAAGAAGCCCACAGGCCCGGCGTGATGGCTCATTCCTGTAATCCCAGCATGTTGGGAGGCCAAGGTGGGCAGATCGCCTGAGGTCAGGAGTTTGAGACCAGCCTTGCCAACATGGTGAAACCCTGTCCCTACTAAAAATACAAAACAAATTAGCCGGGCGTGGTGGCAGGCACCTGTAATCCCAGCTACTCCAGAGCTAAAGCAGGAGAATCACTTGAACCCGGGAGGCAGAGGCTGCAGTGAGCCAAGATCATGCCCCTGCACTCCAGCCTGGGTGATAGAGCAAGACTGTGTCTCATTAAAAAAAAAAAAAAAGAAAAAACGCTCATCCCTCACTCGCTGACACTCACTTCGGTTGTGGAAAAGGTAGAAAGTAAGTTAAATGGCAGAGTGTATGTTGCCCCGTAGAGTGGAAAGGAAAAGCAAATGAATTAATTATATAAAGAGAGTTAATTACAAGATGTAATAGAAAACCACCATAACTGTTTAATAAGGAGCATGATAGAGTGAAAAAGACAACTTTGGTGGCAGTGTTAAGTAGGGGACACATTAGTAATGAGGAATGCATAAAGGGAGTAATTAATGTAAGTTACTAAATATATAAGGGGATCTATAATTTAACATAATAAAAACAACAATGAACAATAATAAGAAAAAGAATGAAACTGTACAGTTAAATGAAGATAAGAGACAGTATGCTGAAAAGAACTGATACAATAGAAAATACAGATAACATTAGAATCAGGCATAGTGTTAGTGTTTAACTTGCTCACCAAAATCCAATATAAAGCAAGCTAAGATGTATTTTGTAATGCTAAAAAGAGATGCTTTTAAGTCAATCAAAAGTAAGTTATATTTATATAGTATTTATAATATTCCACAACTTGGAGACTTTTCCCATAGTTTAGAAAGGTTAAGGCACAAATAACTTTAAAAATATTAAAACAAATCATTCAACTTTCAGAGTGATCTTTTAAACAGTCATGTTACTCTTTTGTTTAAAATCTTTCAATAGCCCCATTGCTCGCAGGATGAAGACCAATTGTCTTCAGGAGCACATAAGACAAGGGTCTAGCCACACTTCTTCCTTTACATTCCCCATATGAACCAATGGTTTCAGATATGTCAAACCATAACTACTTGCAAGTCTTTAAATGTTTAATCCTAACTACACTCTCTGCTTTTGTACTTCTTTTCTCTCCAATCTCGCTTGTTCACCTGATGATCACCTACTTACTGTGAATCAGAAGAAAGGTTTTAGGCTCTCCAAAAAATTCTGATACTGGAGGCATAATTTAGTAGCATTTACTTAGTAGGCTCATGGTTTTATTATAATGATTTGTTTACAGGTTTGTAATATTTATACAAATTAAAGAAATTCTAAAAGTCCTAAATAAATAAAGAGATATACCTCATTCATGGGTTAGAGGCTCAATATTTTAAGGTGTCAATTGTCCCAACATTGCTATATAGATTTAAGGTAATCCCAATAAAAACCTTGGTAGGAAATTTTGTAGAAATTAACAAGCTGTTTCTAAAATTTGTATGAAAATCTGAAGGATTTAGATTAGGTAAAGCAACTCTGAAAAAGGGGAATAATGTTGGAGGGTAAAAACTACTGGATTTCAAATCACACAAACTTACAATAACTAAAACAGTGTACAATGGATGTAAGTATAGATAAAGTTATCAATGGTACATAACAGAATCCAGAAATAGAGCTGTACATATATAGACCACTGAATTCGATAAAGATGCAGAGGCATTTATTTCAGTGGACAAAATATAGCCTTTTTAGAAAATGGTGCTGGAATAGTTGGACAGCCATATTAAAACAAAAAGCACTACAATCCATATCTTGCACCATATACAAAAAAATTAATTCAAAATTGAGCATAGGCCTAAATATAAAACTTATTACAGAACTTAGAGGGAAAAACATTGGAGAAAACCTTAGTGACTTAGGGTTAGCCAAATTTCTCCTAGTCAAAAGTACACTCCATAAAAGAACAAATCGATAAATTAACTTTATCAAAACTATATACTTTTGCTGTTTAATAGCCACAGTTAAGAACATGAAAAGTTATAGACTACAATAAAGCATTTGTAAAACATGTATCTTATAATACATATCTTATAAATGATTCGCATGCAGAGTATATAGAGAACACTCACAACTCAACCATAAAAAAGCAAACAACCCAAATAAAACTAAAATTGGGCAAGAAATTTGACCAGACACACCAGCCGTACATCACACTAAAGATGTATGGCTGGTGTAGGGAAGATAAAGTGGTGATGACTTTGTTAACGACCACAGGTTCTTAGGCACCTAAGCAATAGAAATTGACACAAGGCCAAGAAAATTGTTTCAGACAAGATTTTATTAGGGGCTTATGCTTGAGCACAAGGGAAACAGCACAGGGATGATAGTTCTCTGCCTTCCCATGAGGAGCCACCCAAGATTTTTTAATTCTGGAGGGAAAGAGGAAAGGTATCAAGGCATGATTAGGGAGGAGTTTCAGTGGCATAAGCACAGTTTAGAAACGTACTTCTTCACGCAACACATGATCAAAAAATGGTGGATACGCCCTCCTTTGGCAGGGATTTTAGTATTATAATGAGTCAAGGGGTCAAGGTGGGTCATTCTCCTGATTTGTGTACATACTGTAGATGAGAGGGTAAACTCCTTTGAGTAAGATTTTTGGTGGAATGCTGCTCAACTTAGTTTCTTCACACAGTTTGCAAGGTCTGGTCAGCAGGTATGGCGCCCGTGAGCATGGTACTGCAAGGTCTGGTAGGTGGCATGTGGATTAGTCCATTCTCACATTGATATAAAGAAAGACCTGATACTGCGGAATTTCTAAGGAAAAGAAGTTTAATTGGATCTGCAGGCTGTATTAGCATGGTGCCAACATGATTCATCTTCTGGGGAGGCCTCAGGGAGCTTTTATTTGTGGTGGAAGATGAAGCAGTATCACGTCCTTCACATGGAAAAAGCAGGAGCAAGAGAGTGAGAGGGGAGGTGCTACACACTTTTACATGACCGGATCTCACCAGAACTCACTCACTATCTCAAGGACAGTACCAAGAGGAGAGGATGTCTATTAAGGAATAAATATTTAATTAGAAAGAACGGTTTTCTTTGAAACAGTAGAAATGAACTGTGAAACATAAAAGGGAGAAGAAAAATATGACTTGGAATTGAGAAGGCTAGATTTTACCCTCTCTAACCTTGACTCACTTGTTGTCTACCTTGTCAATGATCTCTGTACAATCCTCACTATCTGTGGTAAAATAGACTGACCTGCATTATAGACGTTATATTATTATACAACATTATAGAGCAAGTTAAACAAACCATTCATGAGAATTCTGCCCCCATGATCCAATCACCTCCCACCAGGCCCCACCTCCAACACTGGGGATCACAATTCAATATGAGATTTGGGCGGGAGCACACATTCAGCCTGTATCATCAAATGTGGGGGAAAAAATGCATTAGTAAGGGTGGGGGGACTAGTCTCATCCCTCTTTTCTCTCAATTCACAAGTGTATGCATATGTCAAAATATCAAATTCTACACTTTAAATATGGGCAGTGTATTGGGTGTCAATTATACTTCAATAAAGCCATTAAACGAAATAGGTAGCACCCAAAGAAAGCTCTCCAAATTATTTTTGAAAGGTTGGGGAGAGAAAAAAGTCATAATAAAATAATACTACTTCTATATTCCTGTGGGTGATGTAGGGGAAAATATAGATTAAAAATAAGAATTATCATTTTACCAGGCAAGAGACTTCTCCCCTTTTTCCTTTTATTTCAAAATTCCTTTCTCTGTCCTTTTCAAATGTATATAAATCTTGATAATGGCGAAATAAACCTCTGCCAGTCTCACAATTCAGGAATGTTTCCTCAAGTACCTGTAAGCCTTTTTTAAAAAATTGCTTACCAGTTTATTATAAAGGATATTACAAAGGATACAGGTACATAGGGCAAGGTATGGGGGAAGGGGTGTGGAGCTTCCACATCCTCCCTGGGTGGTCAACCCTCCAGGACCCTCCACATGTTCAGCCATCCAGAAACTTTTGAATCCTGTTCTCTTGTGCCTTTTAGGAAGACTTCATCGGGTAGGCATCTTTTTGAAAGGCAAACATAAAGAGAGATAGTGGCCCTATCTTTCAGTTAGTGTGGGAGGAAAAGAGCTTAACATCTGTGGGCATCTTGTTCCAATTTGCAATGAGAAGTTTGTTACTCCTCCTGATACAGCCACAGGGAGTCTCCCCAATTATCATGATAAAATTAAGATAAAAGAATGTGACAAAAGGTATTGCAAAGTCCTCTTACTTGAGGACTAATGATTGTCTGTCTTGAGCGCATGTATGTAATAAGTCTATCTGCTTAGACCTATAGGGGGTGAAATTCCTTTCTGTCTTTTCAATGTGATTAGCATGACATCCTGGTTTCATGCTTTTTAAAATAATAAAACTGGCTTATTTCTCTACTATGTTTGTTGAGAAGTGTTCTGGGTTGGGGAAAGATTTAGTTTCTAATTATATTTCCCCAACAGTGGATGCATTCACACTTTTAAGTTTGAATTTTTGTTTTTTCTTGCTGTTGTTCTTTTGAGACAGGGTCTTGCTCTGTCACCCAGGCTGGAGTGCAGTGGTGTGATCTCAGCTCACTGCAGCCTGGACCTCCTGGGCTCAAGTTATCCTCCTACCTCAACCTCCTGAGTAGCTGAGACCACAGGCATGTGCCTCCCTACCAACCTAATTTTTTTGTAGTGACAGTGTTTCACCATGTTAGCCAGGCAGGTCTCAAACTCCTGAGCTTAAGCTATCCACCTGCCTCAGCCTCCCAAAGTGCTGGGATTACAGGCGTGAGCCACCGCACCCAGCCTCAAATCTGAACTTTTAAGTTTAACGTTTAATGGGAATAAAAGCAAACTTAGTCATTTATTTGAGGCTGTGTTTTTCCAAAGTTAAAATTATAAAACAAAGTGTTATATTATTTTCCCATAGAGCACAATTGCCAAAGACGAGTCAGGACTGTTTAAAAAGGGTGGTGATAGCCTGGAAAATATGTAAATGTATCCCCTTTACCAGTTAGTTGAATTCCTTTCTAATCACTAGATTCATAGAATACTGTTACCTGATTTCAGCAGATTCCCTACCAATGTTTATCCTTGAAATATAAATATTAATATTTAGTGAAAAGAAAATATTATAGAGAAGTTGAGTTTATTTTCAGTGCACTTAATATTTCTATCTCATTTTCTATAGAATAAATCCAATGCTGTATTGAACCAGGTCTTTTGAATAATTATGATTAGAATGATCACTATTAATGTTATACTTAGAAAATTTTCTTGATTTTATATAAACTCCAATGTGTCTAATGTATCTGATTTCAATTCCAATTAAATTTTGCCTTAGTGAAGACATTGGGAAATTAATAAATCCAGATAATTTAAGTGTAAAACAAAACTAATATTTAACACAAAACAAACCTCTCCTAAGTAAATTTCAATTTATTTTTAAAGCAATTTTTTAAAATGAAGTGGAAGCCCATTCTTTATTGATTGATATATACAGATGCACTTCAACTTACCTTCTTATAAACCCATCATTAAGTTGAAAATATTATAAGTCAAAAATGCATTTAATACAAATAACCTATGGAATCCATAGCTTAGCCTAGCCTACCTTAAACATGATCAGAACAGTTACATTAGCCTACAGCAAATTCATAGAATGCAAACCTATTTTATAACAAAGTGTTGAATATCTCTTGTACTGTATTGAATATAGTACAGTATGGAATACAGTAGTGTTTGTTTACCCTCATGATTGCTACTGCTCCCTGCTGCTGCCCAGCATCTAGAGAGTATCAGACCTCATATCCCTATCCCAGGAAAAGATCAACATTTGAAATTCAAAGTTTGGTTTCTACTGAATGTATATCACTTTTTAACCACCAGGAAGTCAAGCCATTGTAAATAGGGAACATTTATATATGCACACAAAACAAATTTTCACCGGTGACAGTGATCATCCACCCAGTTTTCTTGTGGTGATCTGTATCACGTTCCTAGCTGGTTAAATTCCCTCCTAGGATTAGAGCAAGGTTGAAAACATATTCTATAACATAGAATCAATAATAGCAGCTCTTCTTAGATAAATATCAGAGTTAATATCTATGCCAAAACAACCAGCTGAAAGAAGAAATAGTCAAAAAGTATAAAATATATACAGTTCCTCAATTTTGAAGACATTTTAAGTTCCTTTAAACTTTTGAGAGTCCATGATTTTTATTAACAAACCATAGGACATAAGATTTAAAGCACAGAAAAATAAAATAAAATTATTTTCCGTCGTGATCCTCCCACCACAGTTATATTTATTTAATCATGAACTTCCAATGACTACCCTATTCTATACCTTGTATTTTATTTTATTTTGTTTTTTATTTTAAGCTTTTATTTTAGGTTCAGGGGTATGTGTACATGTTTGCTATGTAGGTAAATCGTGTGTCATGGTGGTCTAGTGTACAACTTATTTTGTCACCCAGGTAATAAACATGGTACCCGATAGGTAGTTTTTCAAACTTCACCCTCCTGCCACCCTCCACCCTCAAGTAGGCCCCCATGTCTGTTGTTCCCTTCTTTGTGTCTGTGTGTACTCAGTGTTTAGCTTCCACTTACAAGTGAGAATATGAGGTATTTGGTTTTCTGTTCCTCCATCAGTTTGCTTAGGATAATGGCCTCCAGCTCCATCCATGTTGCTGCAAAGCACATGATCTAATTCTTTTTTTATGGTTACATGGTATTCTATGGTGTATGTACAACATTTTTTATCCAGTCTACCTTTGATGGACATTTAGGTTGTTGCATGTCTTTGCTATTGTGAATAGTGCTGCAATGAACGTACATGTGCATGTGCCTTTGTGGTAGAACAACTTATATTTCTTTGGGTGTATACCCAACAATGAGATTGCTGGCTCAAATGGTACTTCTATTTTAAGTTCTTTTAGAAACTACCGAACTGCTTTTCACAATAACTGAAGTAGTTTACATTTCCACCAGCAGTGTATAAGCATTCTCTTTTCTCTACAACCTCACCAACATGTTATTTTTTGACTTTTTAATAATAGCCATTCTGATTGGTGTGAAAAGTATCTCATTGCAGTTTTGAATTGCATTTATTTAATGATAAGGATGTTGAGCATTTTCTCATATGCTTCTTGGCTGCATGAATGTCTTCTTTTGAAAAGTGTCTGTTCATGTCCTTGGCCCACTTTTTAATGGCGTTGTTTTTTGCTTGTAAATTTAAGTTTCTCATAGACTCTGGATATTAGGCCTTTGTCAGATGCATAGTTTGAAGATATTTTCTTCCATTCTGTAGATCGTCTGTTTACATTTTTGATAGTTTATTTTGTTGTGCAGAGGCTCTTTAATTAGGTCCCATTTGTCAATTTTTGTTTTTGTTGCAATTGCTTTTGGTGTCTTTGTTATGAAGTCTTTGCCAAGTCCTATGTCCAGAATAGTATTTTCTAGGTTATCTTCCAGGGTTGTTGTAGTTTTTGATGTTAGCCTTTGGTTTTAGTTTTTAATCCATCTTAATTTTTATATTTGGTGTAAGGAAAGTGTCCAGTTTCAATCTTCTGCATATGGTCAGCCAGTTATCCCAGCACCATTTATTGAATAGAGAATCCTTGCCCTATTGCTTGTTTTGTGGATTTTGTCAATGATCAAATGGTTGTAGGTATATGGCATTATTTCTGGGCTCTCTGTTCTGTTCCATTGGTCTATGTGTCTGTTTTTGTACCAGTACCATGCTGTTTTCATTACTGAGCCTTGTAGAACAATTTGAAGTCAGGTAACGTGAGGCCTCCAGTGTTTGCTTAGAATTGCCTTGGCTATCTGAGCTCTTTTTTGGTTCCATATGAATTCAAAAATAGTTTTTTCTAATTTCATGAAGAATGTCATTGGTAATTTGATAGGAATAGCACCGAAGTAATGCTGTTTTGGGCAGTATGGCCATTTTGATAATATTGGTTCTTCCTATTCATGAGCCTGGAATGTTTTTCCATTTGTTTGTGTCATCATTGATTTCACTCAACGTTTTATATTCATTGCAGAGGTCTTTCACCTCCTTGGTTAGCTGTATTCCTAGGTATTTTATTCTTTTTGTGGCTATTAGGAATGAGATTTCTTTCTTCATTTGGCTCTCAGCTTGATGTTGTTGGTGCACAGGAATACAAGTGATTTTTGTACATTGGTTTTGTAACCTGAAACTTTGCTGAAGTTGTATATCACATCAAGGTCTACCTTCATTTTAATTAAATTAGAATGAAAGAATATTTATAATTGGATAAGTTTAGACAAAAATTACGTTTAAACCTTTCTCTTTTTTGGGGCACTATAATGTTAAGTTTCACTCAATTCAATTCTGTAAGATACAGTTGGTTCTTATTTGTAGCTTACAAGGGTTGAGCAACAGTAAAAACTATCTACATACTTGTTAATAGTTCATGCTTCTTAATGAACATAGATCAGAATTGATAATCTAGTTTTCATTACTTTTTATATTATTTAACTTCCACATTAAGTGATCTGTAATAGTTTTCACATGCTCCTGACCACATTCTATGTGGGAAGCAGGGAATCTTCAAATAATATATAAAATTTCTACTCAAAAAGCATATTTTCTTCTCTTTTCAGGATGAAACAAAAACATTGCTTTTAAGTGCTCCTTAAAATTTTCTGACTCAAAAGTAGTATCATTTTCCAAGCCATGAAAAGACACGGAAGAACATGAAAAGCATATTATTAAGTGAAAACAGACAGTTTGGAAAGGCTACATACCATATGATTCCACGTTTATACATTTTGGAAAAGGCAAAACCATGGAGGCAGTAAAAGAATACATGGTTGCCAGGGTGTGGGAAAAATAGAGAGACATACAAATAAGCAGGTAGAGCACAGGTCACTTTTAGGGAAGTGAAACTATTCTGTATGTTACTATAAGGATGAATATCTGCCATTACACATTTGTCAAAACTTATGGAATGTACAACACAGAGTGAACTCTCATGTAAACTATGGACTTTGGGTGATAACAATGTGTCAGTGTTGGTTCATGGATTGTAACAAATGTATCACTCTAGTGTAGGATGTGATGGTAGGGGAGGGAGGGATGTGGGGCATGGAATTTTTAATATGTGGGATTTTGCCCTATAAGCTAACTGCAGAACATACCACCTAACTGAGATGTGAATAACTGTATTTACCAATTCAGTGGAACCAATCAATGAGGAATTCCCATAGTGACTTAAACCCAGTGTCCATGGCTTAGAACTATTGGACACCACTCAAGATTCACTGGGAGCAGGAAATCTAAGCAAAATTCCCTCCCTAACCTTGGAATGAAATAAGTTAGATCTGAGATTTAGATTTCTGTGTTAACCAGGCTCTGAAATCACCTGTATAGCAATAATTACATCACTCAGTATTACCAATACTCTAATTGTTAATAGCAGTAAGTTGTAAAGATTTTGCTAAGTAGAGGTTTACTAAAGTAATGAATGCCCTGTGATTCAGTTGTCGTATTTGCAAAATAAAGAAGAGACTATCTTCTATATACTCTAACAGTAGAGAAGCTCAGTAATACATATGAGCCTTCTCTTTAAACACACTCTTAGCTTTATTCCTTGGAAACGTGGGTTTCAATCCACCTATGTTTCTACATTAGGAAATACAAAGAAAGAAGTTACAAAATTGTTAAACTAATAAGTGGAAATAGCTCAAAAGTATCCTAAGAGGAGTTGTGAAGAGAAATTGTATTGAGAAAATTATAACTAGGAAATAATGGCAGTCAGTCACATCAGTGATAATTAGCCCTCGTTTGTGAAAGCTGTGGATGACTGCAAAAGGCACAGAAGGAAATCTTCATGGTGACGAAAGGTTTGATAAAAAAGAACAATGGCTAGAAGCTCAAGCAATTACAATTCTTTACCTACAGAAACAGAGAGAACCAGCCACCTTGACCAAAGGAACATCTGGCACACATAGAGGTGAGCTAATTTAACTCTGTTTCAACCTGAGGACAGCAGAGGCAGCAATTACTTGGCTTAACTTACAGTGACAAAAGAAGACAAATGAAAAGGAAGCATGAATGACCTGGCAGTACAGGTGAGACTAATAGGAAGAGTTGTTGAGAGGGTGTATAAAACTCTAAGCTCTTTTGCACAATCATGCTTTCTCTCACTTCAGTTTGCTTCAAATGTGGTTCTGCCTAAAGGAAACAAGAATCTTCCAGAACTCTGATTCTTTTATAACATTTATTACACAAGTTAATACAGTTTAATAAGCTTTCAATGTATGCTTGAGATGAACACAAAACTATTTAAGTCTATCCAACATTTATTAAATGTTTGTTTGCTTTTATCACAGTTTTGACATAAAGGAACTTCCTTTCCTTTTCTAAGTTCAAAGATTTTGAAGCGCTTCAAACTATGACTTTTCTGGAAATAATGTCTGAAATTCTAAATGAAAAGAAAACAATGCAATTAATGTGCTTTATTGCAGAACTTTTAAAATCAGTGCAACGCCAAACAAGAAAATTACGTACGATGCACAACAGACCTAAAGGTCTGTGTCAATTTCAAGAAACTATGATAAAATACCTGGCAACTTATTATTATTTGGAGGAAACATAATGTTTCCCTCACGTAACACTGAAACCCTGACATTTCTCTCTGTTATTTCAATGTGATTTGAACATGTTTCTTTTCTCCTTAAACAGGTCATCTACGTCCATAGATATTATGCTTTGGATAAAATTATATACTAATATTTGCCTTTTTAAAAGTAGTTATAAAAGAGCTGGTATAGTCATTTTGATGGCTTCACTTCACCAATTTTATACTATAATATTTAATACAGTCTAAAAATGTTCTGAGAAAAAATATCTGTACCTGATCTATGAGTATTCACTACATAAAATGAAAAAGCTCTAATGTAATTCCAACCCTTGACAGTGTATTTATATTTATAAATATATAAATATATTTAAATTACATATATAAGATTATTTGTAACATGTTATGTGAAATATACATTATATGTGTTATATGTAGTGCATGTAAAACATATGTATATATTATGTATAATTATATGTGTAAACATTTGTTATATTAAATATTAACATTCCACAATATTATTTTTAATGATATTTTAATCATTGTTACCCTTTTCTCTCTGTAGTACCTACCATATGCCCATTCTGGTTACATATTTGAGAAATAATTATATTTGCAAAATGTGAAATGCTTTAAGGTTTATTCATGGTGTTATCTGAATTCTATGTTTAATTTAAAACTCAACTCACAAGATGATGAAAAGAGAAATAAAAAATATACTGTTTCCGATTGAAAACATCCTTCTATTATGGTACCTTTTAAAGAGTTTTCCAACTTCAATTACAACATGGTGAGCAAACTCTACCTGAGTAAGAATGTGAAATAAAAAAAGAAACAAAACTATTAGTACTAAATGTATAGAACAATACCTTATCTGTCTCCTTTTTGATACCTTCTATTCAAACTTACCTATTATCATAGCACTATGTGTTATTTTTATTACTAGGTTTATAATGATAAACTGGTTTTATACGTGAAGATATGCAATAATCTTATATTGTAATATATAGAGAGATAAATTAGGAATTAATCCATTTTTCCTTTCTTATTCACAACGTCTTGAATATATTTGGTACTGTTATAAAACTGTAACTCAAGCTGTCATCATATAGTGATTTAAGGTGCATTTAAAGCTCTCTCTGAACAGGAAGACTGAAGTGGAATAAATGAGGAAATCCTCCTTTTAAAGAATATTTACATAACTCCAAACAAATAGAGTGGACCTCTCTTCTTTTTCATTAAATAAACAATCTGCCTGGGAAAGCCACATGTCTTAGAGATTGCAGAAATAGCATCTTCTCTCTGTGAGCTCTGAAGGCAACAGGAAAAGAAAACAAATGAGAAGTAAGCATTAACTTCTGGCAGGAAAACTATGCATCCGGATTTAAAACTGCATGAAGGACAAAGATCGCAAGAAGATAGTAACAGAGAACTATTTTAGCTGAGAACAATGGATTATTTTACATTTTAAACAACCTCCACAGAAAGGACCCAACATTCCAAATACCAAACACATTTTGCTTAAAGGAGATTAACTTAAAAAAAAAAAAAAAATCACACAGGTGTACTTCCGGAGGGTAGAAAACATTTAACTTTCATAACTATCAACATATAAAAATAGATAAATTGGCCAATTCAAAGAATAAGTCTTTCCTTAATGTGCATATTATAGGCAATATAACATTTATAAGTTTATTTTCTCTAGCATTTTAGAGGAGTACATATACATGTACTATTCTAATATTTTACATTAGATCTATTCCTCAATATATGTTCCATCCCTTTGACATATATTGAAGATCAGGAATGAGTGACATTCAAAATATGTAACTACTGGTATGGCATGGGCATCAAGAAATCAGAACACCAGCCATAAACCTAAGCAAAGCTACCTGTGTGAAGTGAATCACTTTCAAAATCAAAAGAAAAAAGAATTCCTATAAGCTGCTTAAGATAGACCAGTTTTTGAATGAAAAATTAGAGATCCAGAATTACCCTTGGGTTGTGATATTGTATCCACTACTAGATTTCACAGGTTTAGGAGTAAAATTCAAAAATTGAGTAAAAAAAGAAGAATTGTTCCCTAAAAAGTTACTGTCCCAAAAAGCGCTTTGGAACTTACTGTTCCCAAATAGTATACTACAGAGAAAAAGGTAAGATAACAGAGTATCTGAAAAAATACTTAAAACTTTTTTGTAACTGTAAATGCCATAGGAATGTACAATTTTTTGGTACACAGACACAGAATTTTGTATTCAACTCTGGGATAACGTTTAGTTCCAAATACGTCCAGGGAAAAATGACAAAGATTGTAAAGAGACTTGAAACCATGTGATGAACAAACTATACATAGCTGTAATGAAAACAAGACTATTTGGGCAAAATACTCTGGTTGCTTTGAAATGTTTGAAGGAATCACATGAGAAAAAGGGACTGGAGTTTTTTTTTAATGTCATACCAAGGGATAGAATTAGAACAGTAGGGCATTTTCTATTTAGTAAATACTTTGCTGCTCAGTATAACAACTTCATAACAGTTCGAGTTATTCAATAAAAGAGCAGGTTCGCTGGTGTTGGCAGTGAAATTTAAATTACTGAAGATGTTAAAGGAAACCTGGTTAGCAATAATGGGGGTTGCCCCCCAAGGGATTCAAACACTAGATGAGGAATCTTACAAGGTGATCGCATTAGGATGGTGATGGTTTGTTGCACTAAGATTCCTTACTGCATTAAGACTATTTGATTAAATAGAAGTGGAGTCTCCTTGTAGCTAAATTTACTTCAACTTATTCAAACAGACGAGTAAGCTGGAAGCAGCCTTGAAACTGCAGCTAGTTGATTGGCCTGCAATCAACCCCTCCTAATGCCTGTCTCCTAATGAAGGCCTCTTGGAATATGCAGCACTGCATCTGAGAAACCAGCAGGGCCTGTTAGTTCTTTTCTCTGCATTCCTGTTTTGCTTGTAGCTACACCCATGTAACCATTTTCTGAGCATCCCGCAGAGCCTGTTTAGGCTATTGCTAAACAAGAAACAAGGACACCATAATGAGGTAACAAACAGGAGTTTCATGACAACTTTTCCATACTATGAAATAGGTTATTATAAGAAACTTATAAACCCCTCAGAATCATCTTGATAGGTGCCAGAAGAAAGGACAGGATATGATTTTAGATTTGGATTTTGACACTTTGAGGCAATCAGCTTTTACAGTCTGCTTGGGAGTCTCCAGAGTCCGGATTTGGTGGTATATTGGAAGCTTCTCAGCCGTTATATTCGTTTTCTTCTTCCTCATTATTGAAAGCATATGCTGGTATGTGCCTATGCTCGTCTACATGTTTCAGAAGCCATTCCTTTGTGCCTGCTTACCTTGGTCCCAGGGCACAGTAAAGAGGAACCTGAGTTGAACGATGAAATTAGAAGAGTAAGATCAGATCTGAGGTAAACATTGTAGATATAACCCACAATAACAAAAGTTCTTTGAAGTCCTTCATTGTTTTTAAGAGGGTAAAAGAGTTTTGAAACCAGAAATATGAGATTTACTACTTCTTAATTTTTATTTATTTATTTATTTTGAGGAGTCTCACTCTGTCACCCGGCACAGTGGCACAATCTCAGCTCACTGCAACCTCTGCCTCCTGGGCTCAAGCAATCCTCCCACTTCAGCCTCCCGAGTAGCTGGGACTACAGGCACTCACCACTATGCCTGGCTGATTTTTTTTTATTTTTGGTAAAGACAAGGTTTCACCATGTTGGCCAGGCTGGTCTCGAACTTCAGGCCTCAAGCAATCTGCCTGCTTCAGCATCCCAAAGTGTTGAGAATAGAGGTGTGAGCCACCGTGCCCAGCCCAGAAAACATTTCTATACAATCTCTTTCTCCATGGCAGTGGATAGCTGGTTTCTGGCCTTTATCTTAAATGCCTCAAATTATATTCTTTTGTCTATTCCCTGTGCAAGAATGTCTCCTCGAACTAGTAAACTCTCATTGTAGAAAACTCAGAAAACATTAAAGCATAAAGAAAATAAAAATCACTTCAAGCCAAGAAAAATTTATCACTCCATCAACCTTTTTCATAGTACTTTGTCCCTATTGCCATGACAGAAATTATCACTTTACATAAAACAATTTAAAATGGTCTGTTTCCTCAACTAGATTCTAACCCACTAATAAAGACAGGAAGCTCCTCTTCTTGGTATCTCTAGACATTGCCTGCTCAGATTTGTTGAACAAGTATCACCAATGTAAATGTAACCCCACTTCTCAGAGCAAATCGTGGCCATGTAATGTACACCTGGCCAAAAAAATAAACAAATGTTGTCAGTTGAATTATGTTCCTTCCACCCCAAAAAATATGTTTGAGTTTCTAACTTGCAGTACCTATGCTTATGTTATTAAGAAATAAGGTCATCGCAAATGTAACTAGCTAAGCTTAGATGAGTTCATACTACAGTAGGGTGGGCTCCTAATCCAGCGTGATCATTGTCCTTATAAGAAGATGGCCATGTGAAAACAACACAGGGAGAATGCCATGCGGCCTCAAAGTTAGGGATTGGAGTTATGCAGTTGTAAGTCAAGGACCACCAAAAGTTGTCAGCAAACCACTGGAAGTTAGGAGAGGTAGGGAAGGGTTTAATCCAGGTTTCGGAGGGAATGTGGTCCTGCTGAGAACTTGATTTCAGACTTGCAACCACCAGAACTGTGAGACAATAAAATTCAGTTGTTTCAAGCTGTCCAATTTATGGCAGTTTATTAGTGCAACCCTAGCAAGCTAACACAATAGGCTATTATTATTAACTACTCTTTCTTACAGCTTAGGGCCAACATCAGGATTTCCCTCATTTTACAGCTTACCAGCATCAGAATAAGGGAAGAAACCTATTAGATTTTTTTCTTGTTTCCTTCTTTCTTTCTGTGGTTGATTGAGCTCTAAAAACATATGTTATTAATGGGAGGTACACAGAATTAGAAGCTCGCATATCTCATGTCTGAGTTAGACAAAATTTTATCTTAATCTCAACAAGATAGTACTTTCATGAGACTGAGAGAAGGAAACTGGCCAATGGCTTTTACCTGCTCATTCATTTCCTAGTACATATTTATAAATACAATGCTCTATGAATATTATATTTTATCCACATTGCTTCCAACCTTCTTTTCAAAGGGAGAAAATTTAAGTGTCTGAAAAGTCCTAAGTGAATCTTTAAAAAGGGGGGACAAGTCATTCCCTAAACACTTTGCGAAGAGTCAGAATGAGCTAGCATGGTCCCTGAGCAGAAGAACTCTAATTGAGAGAATCTACCAATATATGTATCCTTTCTTAGTGTCTATATGCAGATATCTTATAATAAAAGATAATAAAACCTTTGGCATAATGTACATAAGAACTGAGCACATAAATGTATCAATATTCCCTCTTCCCATAAGAAGGAAAAATATCAGATGGCTGGGAAGTAGAGGACTTGAGCTCTCCTCTTCCACATACCTAATTCCAAAGAACATTTAATTTGTGAACTTCTATTTAGGTTTCTGACGTGTTAATGATGATTTTCTATCTTTACAGACACACTCCAAACTAGGCAGGATTTAATTTGAGATCTTTCCACAGGATGCCACAACATTTCTAATTTTAATAAAACAAAACACAACAAAAACCTGCTTGGGGGCCAGTGTGGTGGCTCACGCCTGTAATCCCAGCACTTTGGGAGGCCAAGGGGGTGGATTGCTTGAGGCTGGGAGTTGGAGACCAGCCTGGTTGTTATAATTAGTACGGCAAAACCCCATCTCTAAAAGAAAAATACAAAAATTAGCTGGGTGTGGTGGTGCAAACCTGTGGTCCTAGCTACTTGGGAGGCTGTGACGGAAGAATCACCTGAGTCTGGGAGGCGGAGGTTGCAATGAGCCAAGACAGCGCCTCTGCACTCCAGCCTCGGTGACAAAGAGAGACCCTGTCTCAAAAAGAAAATCCTAAAAAACAAAACAAAACAAAAAAAGAAAAGAAAACCTGTTGGACTTCTGCAGAATTTATTTATTTTTAATATGTAGACATTTTCAAAATCAAGAGCTAATGTTTTATTGATTTTATATTGATGTTGTATATTTAAGTGATATTATTTCCAAGATACTCTAATTAATTAACCTTGGAGTACATGATATCTTTTAAAGGTACAAAGATACCCAAGGTAACAGAAAAATTTTCCCTTTGCTTTCCATGTACTGAAGACACAAGATATTTTGTACCTATTTCTAACGAGAGACTGAAATAACTGATTTTCATATCCAACAAAAGACATGATATAAAAAGTACATCAATTAATTCTTGGAATTTACAAAATAAAACTAAATGGCATGACAAGCATAAGTTTTTTAAAAACTTGTATACAGAACCCTTACATTTTTTTCTTTTTATTTGTGGACAGTTTTTACTGATTGCATAAGACATCAATACGGGTGCAATCTACCTGCTAAAACTATGGAACTAAAAATATTAGCTGACTTACAAAATAGTGAAATCTTTATTGGCAAAACATTTAAAAAGCAAATGACTTGGAGATAGAGAAAAAAAAGCAATGCCACCTAATATGTAACCTCTGCTCCCAATTTAATGATCTACATTTGTAATCACAAGTTACCACATCATGCATTACACTGTAGGGCGTAATCCAGGTACAAAGTTAGCTTTGTATAGTAATTAACTTCCTTTATTTACAGTTTAGAAATATTTACTTCTGATCCAACTTGTTTATAATTTAAGGTCAATTCAAGTTTATTTCTTTAAGAAGCATTCTTCAATGGTTTACTGGGAAACTCAGAAAATAGGGAACAGGGAAGCTGGGGACTCACAGAACAAAGACATGAACATGGCTCAGGAACTAAGTTTTCAGTGCAACTAGACAAGTATCTGACATAGAATGGAGGCTCAATGGATATTTGTCAAATAAATAAAAATATTCTGCTGGAAAAAACACAGGTACACACACTACATTTCCTACTACTGGTTATAACTCAGTGTTTCCATCACATGAGAGAAGTCCTTAACAGCCACACTTTCGATTCAGAACAGCCCCTAATTACACCTGAAAGTTACCAGCTGAAAGGCCCAGAACTGTCTCTACAGTCACTTAGATCATCCCAAGACTTTTGCAGTTTGCGAGGTCATCTGCATAAAAATGTATTTTTGAAAAAGGTTCATAACAACTGCCAGGATATTGTTTCTTACAGCAGGAATCATGGAAAAATATCCAGTCTTCTATATCAAGGAAGCTTCTTGCTGGTGAGATTTAGCAATGGGTATATTGATTTCATCTCAAGGTAATTAGTGTCACTTTTTGGATCCCTAAACCTTAGACAAAAAATAAATTTATTCACTGGCTAAGTAATTTTTCAAGAGAGTGATTAATGAAGAAATTATGCAAAACACTTGACCAGTATTCCTCAAACCTGTCCAGGACATAAAAAACAAGGAAAGTCTTACATGTTGTCACAGCTAAGAGGAGCCTAAATGTGACAACTAAATGTATTACCTTGGATGGGATCTTGGAACAGAAGAAGGACATTAAGTAAAAACTAAGGAAATCTGAATAACATACGAACTTCATTAACAATAGTGGGTGAATACTGGTACAATAATTATAACAAATATATCATACTAATTGTAACAAATAAGATGCTAATAACAGAGGAACAGGGTGCCAAGTATGTGGAAACTCTGCTATCATAACCCTTCTGTAAATCTAATACTACTTTTAAAAATTAAATTTATTTTTAAAATTGTTCAACTGTTTACATACATATAAAACACTTAGCAAATTACGCACCTGAAATCTTACTTATATGAAGTTTTGTGTCCGTAGCTGGTTCCTTCTGGTGGGTTCGTGGTCTTGCTGACTTCAAGAATGGAGCCGCGGACCTTCGCGGTGAGTGTTACAGCTCTTAAAGATGGCATGGACCCAAAGAGTGAGCAGCAGCAAGATTTAATGTGAAGAGCAAAAGAACAAAGCTTGCACAGTGTGGAAGGGGACCTGAGCAGGTTGCCCCTGCTGGCTGGGGTGGCCAGCTTTTATTCCCTTATTTGTCCCTGCCCACGTCCTGCTGATTGGTCCATTTTACAAACCTCTAGCTAGCCACAGAGCGCTGATTGGTGCGTTTTACAATCCTAACTACAGAGTGCTGATTGGTGCATTTTACAATCCTCTTGTAAGACAGAAAAGTTCTCCAAGTCCCCTCTCGATCCAGGGAGTCTAGCTGGCTTCACCTCTCTGTTTCATTAATATCACATACATGGGCACATGCACACACACACACACATACACACACAAAAAAACACAATCACCCCCATACACAGAGGGCTGCTGAGATGATTGGGTTAAAGCACATGTACTTGTTTCCTGGTGTATGAGATAGGTTGCTTTTAATCCAAGACTTTTTAGTTAGCAAGTCAGTGGCCTGTCATTTCCCTTGAACATACAGTTCATTGAGACTAGAATCCCTGTTTGTTTTGTAATCACAGAAACTGCTTCTACAAGGGCTCACTCTGTCTATCTGTGCTTCATGAAGTTAATATTTCCCATCTAAGAGACACCAAAAAATGCCCCCAGGTCTGGGATGAAATAATAAGACTGCTGCTATAGGCATGCCAATGAGAATTAAGGTCATCACAAGTCTTCCTCAATGGTGCAGTTTAGGAAATTTATTTATTTCATGGTCTTTGCATAAAATTTTTGTACAGGTGTTCAATTCATATGTTTTGGACATAATTCAAAAGAAAAACATGTGTTTTCCCAAAGTAGGCTAATAGAATTTTATAGTATCATTCATCCTAAAACATTGTTGTAAGCTTTGCTTTTCGTATATATTTAAGGATTAAAAAAAAAACAATACTAAAGCAAGGCTTCTCGTGATTAGTGTATACACTGTGGAATAGCAGATGTTACAATGTACCCTGAGGACAAAAGAGGCTGCCAAATTTGAACACATCAGTTTTAACAACCCTGAAACTCATTTTTGCCAAATGTTTTAAGTACAGGAAATAACTTGAGCCACACTGTATTTTCTTTTTTATTTAAAACATGACTAAAGGTTGAGTCTTTCAGAAGAGCTGAGGCAAATAGCCAATTAAAGCTATGTCCATGATTTGCAAACTTCTTTGTGAGATGATTATGCACAATAACCCAACTTCAGCTACCTAAAGTGACAGGTTAATGATAAGACCCCTCATGTTTTCAAAATTACTTGTAATGATCCATACTATTGGTCTAAATTAGAAGGCATAAATAAGGAACTATAGATGTAAATGTTTGGCAACTATCTGGATATCTTTTAAAAAAGAAATAAATGTGTTCTAAAAATATCTCAGTGTGATATTGAGTTTTACATCTTTAATTTCTGCATTATCAGTCCCATACTTATGCTTTCATCCAACAAATATTGAGTGTTTTCATCCAATTCGCATTCATAATTACAGATACCCAAAATATACTTGGGAGCACAGAAATGTAAAAAACAAAACTTCAAATTATCTATAATCATTTTAAGGTACAAATTGTGTCAGAATAAAAATTTACTTAAAGGAAAAACCCAGCAATATTTGTTGAGATATATCGTGTGTATATATATATATATATGTATGTATGTATATATTTATGTTTGAATAGCAATCTTTAAACCATTTTGGGAGTTTATTCTGACATAGAACTTAAAGTCATATGGTTAGGTTCAGCATGTAACAGCAGATGAGTTTCTTTTATAGGCTCTGACAACACTCTTAATTCCACCCATATTGGTCACAAACCTGTCATCACTGACAGAAAAACAAGTCAAAGTATAAGCAGATTGGGTCAATAACATCACTATTTGCATATGCAGTGCAAGATTTTTACATTGTGTTCGCTTAATTCTATTTGTCATGTGCCCAGAACGTATAGCCAATATATTAGCAAAAAACTGCAATTACTTTTGCACCAACCTAATAATACTAGAACATCAAGACATATTAAAAGGGCTATATTTATGAAATGCATTTAGTATAAATGGCCCATGGAAATGTGAAAATATAGAAACTAGAGAAGGATGACACCTCTGTTCTGGCAAAACCATATCTATCTCTCAGAATCCAGCTTAGAAATCATTTCTTCTGGGACGGTTAACCAAACAACCCACCATTTGCCCCCATGTATACCATCTATAGATAGTTTTCTACTATCTCTCTCTCTATATATACATATATATATATTTTTTGAGACTGAATCTTGCTCTGTCGTCCAGGCTAGAGTGCAGTGGCATGATCTTGGCTAACTGCAACCTCTGCCATCCGGGTTCAAGCGATTCTCCTGCCTCAGCCTCCCGAGTAGCTCGGATTAGAGGTACGTGTCACCAAGCCCAGCTAATTTTTGTATTTTTAGTAGAGACGGGGTTTCAGCAACTTAGCCAGGCTGATCTTGAACTCCTGACGTCATGATCCACCCGTTTCGGTCTCCCAAAGTGCTGGGATTACAGGCGTGAGACACAGCACCTGGCCTACCATCTATATTTTTTTATTAAGACTCTTATACTTACTTCACTCTGAGAGGTGAAGCCAGCTGGACTTCTTGGGTCGAGTAGGGACTTGGAGAGCTTTCTTACAAGAGGATTGTAAAATGCACCAATCAGCACTCTGATTTGTAAAATACACCAATCAGTGCTCTGTAAAAATGCACCAATCAGCCTTCTGTGGCTAACTAGAGGTTTATAAAATGGACCAATCAGCACCCTGTAAAATGGACCAATCAGCACCCTGTAAAATGGACCAATCAGTGCTCTGTAAAATGGACCAATCAGCAGGACGTGGGAGGGGATGAATAAGGGAATAAAAGCTGGCCACCCCAGCCAGCAGGGGCAACCTGCTCAGGTCCCCTTCCACACTTGCAAGCTTTGTTCTTTCGCTCTTCACAATAAATGTTGTTGCTGCTCACTCTTTGGGACCGTGCCACCTTTAAGAGTTGTAACACTGCAAAAGTCCACGGCTTCATTCTTGAAGTCAGCAAGACCACAAACCCCCTGGAAGGAACAAACTCCGGACACAACTCTATTGTAATTTATTTATTTATTTACATATCTGCCAGCCCTATTAAATAACGGACTCATTAAAGGAGTAAATTCTTATTTCTCCAACTTCTAGCTCACTGCTGTGTACATTTTAAGCATTCATTAAGTGTTGATACATATGGCTAAGTGAAAGAAACCAGTCAAAAAGGATATATAGTATATGACTGTTCTGCAGTGAGCAGGTCTATGCAAACCTACCCACGAAGGCAAAGGAAGCTGAGAGACCAAAGAAATAGGCCGATAAATCCAGTTTCTCAGAAAGAAACATTTAATAGGGACTTAAGAACAGAAGCCATGTCTCAAGCAGCCACAAGATGAGATGGTGGATTCCCACACTGCCCAGGGCTTGTATAATATGCCACAGGGAAAGGGTATGTGTGTTACAGAAGGGATGTGTCCGATTGCTTAAGGGCAGGATTTATGGTAAATATGATAACATCAAGTTTGTTTTGACCTAAGGGAGGATTTACAGTAAGTACATGCTCTTACATAAGGAATAGTAGGTAAAATAGAAATCTTAGAGGCATTCCAGAACTAGTGTTATTCAGAAGTCAACACGGTGGATTAGCATCCAAGATGGAGTAGCTTTAGTCTCCACAATGACAGTCTGGAAAAGGCAAAACTATAGGTAGTTAAAAAAATCAGTGATTGCTAGGATTTGGGCAAAGGAAGAGAGGGATAAAAGGGTGGAGCATAGGATGTTTTAGAAGCAGTGTTTTAGTCTGTTCTCATGCTGCTAATAAAGACATATCTACCACTGGGTAATTTATAAAGAAAAAGAGGTTTAATGGACTCCCAGTTCCATGTGGCTGCGGAGGCCTCACAATCATGGCAGAAGGTGAAAGTCACGTCTTACATGGTGGCAGACAAGAAAATGAAAGCCAAGCAAAAGGGGTTTCCCCTTATAAAATCATCAGATCTCATGATGGCTTACTACCATCAGAACAATATGGGGGAAACCGACCCAATGATTCAATTATATCCCACCAGGTCCCTCCCACAACACTTAGGAATTATGGGAGCTATAATTTATAGGGGTTCAGTCAGGATAGTGGGAGAAATTTTAAAATAAATACAAACCTTCTTGGAAGACTGGAAGGTTTTTGCAAAAGCCTCAGGATAGAGTTATGGCTGAAGGCAGCCTAATCCTCTGACTATAGCAAGGGTAATTAACATAGGAATGTAGAAGAGTCTATCTAAATAGCTTGTTTACTCATTGGTCATAAGACTAACTTTTGACCATCCACATTTGCATGATTGCTCTCTACTTGGGGATTAGCAATGGTAATTACCTTCTAGTAGTGTTTACTTGAGAATTTTATCATTTAATGTGTGCTGAATAAATGCCAGGAGGGCCAGCTAGTAGGGGCCCAGTTGCAACTCTTTACAGCACTCTCCTTGGAGTCTGTGAGCAGCCCAGACCCTCAGCCAAACTGATAAGCATAATATCTGGGTCAGTGTATATTATTCATCCATCGTTGGGTCAGGGTCTGCGGGATGGACCCCCGCAACAATTCAAGATGAGATTTTTGGTGGGGACACAGCCAAACCATACCAAGAAGTGAGACTATTTTGTATGGTACTATAATGGTAGTTAGATGACATTATGCATTTGTCAAAACCCATAGAACTGTGCAACACAATGAATGGGTTCTAGTGTAAACTATGACCCTCAGTTAATAATAGTGTACTAATATTGGATCATCAACTGTAAAGAATGTGCCATACTGGTGTAAGATATTAGTAAGAGCAGGAGGAGAGAAAGTAGAAGAGGAGAGAGCCAAAATAACTTTTTGTACTTTCTGCTCAATTTTTCCATAAAACTAAAACTCCTCTAAAAAACCTATTTAAAAAAATGTGTTGAAAAATAAATTATGTTTAAGGGCTGTGATTCTGTTTCAAGTTACTGAGCAATGTTAAATTCTTTCACAAACTTTACAACTGCCATTAGAGTATTAAAAAATTCTGAACATCAGCAAGTTGAGATTAATTTGGCCAAGCTGTAGTTGGAATTTCTTATAGTGTTTACATTTCTGACACATTGCCAATATCATTACTTGGCAAGACAAGTATCTCCCTAGGGTATCTTCCCTACTTTCAAACATAGTTTTCTGGTTATCTGCAGCCATACCCCATGTCTGCTAATGTTTAAAGTGTATGCACACAAGGAAGGGTTTCATATTTATTCGTACTACTAGTATTAATTTGATGATTATATGTAAATCTTTACCACGTGCATTTATTAATAGATTGTACTCAAGTCATATATTTTTTGACTAATGTATATTATCTAAACTATTTCCTCAATCAAGGTAAAACTTTAACATATTGCCCCAATATATAATTTCAGCCACTGTGTACTCAACACTATTAAACTCAAAAATATTGAAATTATTACATTACTCAAAATTAAAATTTATCTCAAATGTCTAACTGAAGAAATTGTTTTATTACACACTAACTTCCAATAAATGTTTGAGGAGCTTGGAATATAACAAAGACTATCACATACTTTCTACCATTAAGGAGTTTATACTTTTTCAAGTGAAAGGGACAAATGAACAGACAATTATCATACAGTACTATTATTTCTACTATAATGGGTAAGTTTAAGGTTATTTGTTAGTAGAAACTGTCCATAAAACTATTGCTTTTATTGTCAGTCTGAAGATACTGCAGAGTCAGAATAGACTTGATAAGAAGAATCATCAGTAAGAAAAAGAAAAGATGAAGGAAGAGTGAGAATATCACCATGGTCTCTGACTTGGGAAAGTGGGGATATAGTGCCACAACTCACAGAGATATGGAATACAGGAGTGAGACCTGATTCCATGACAGCTAGAGATGGGTAGTTAGAGGCGAAAAAGGCAAAGTGATAACTATAAATGGAATGTAAGCATAAGAACTGATGCCATGGGAGTAAATATACTTATTGAGGGAGTGTATGTGATGTAGACTGTGAACATAAGAGAGCCTGTGTTAAAGTCCTAGAAGGAATTGACAGAAGTCAACACCAATAGGTTAACAGAAGAGGACCTTGCAGAGAACCCTAAAAAGGCTAAAAACTGGGGGGCAAGAAACAGAATGCAGAAGCATGAAACTAAAGGCAGGAAAATGGTTCGAGAAGTAAAGATAAAGAGTGTCAAATGTTAAAGCGAAGTAGAAATGACAATGACTACAATGTGTATGTGTGTACTTGGACAGTGCATGATGAATATTGCTATTATCTTAAGAGAAAAGCTAAGGTGGTACCATTTCCTCTCCTTCCCTCCAGTGCCTATCATCCAACATCCATTGATATTCATCATCCATTTATTTATTCAAAAAAATTTAAAGGGTCCATAATGTCCTAAGAAGTGGAATACTTTAGAAATAGAAAGTAAATTATTTCTAGTGGTTGGGATATATCAAAAAGAAGTGAGGAAAGCAGTCAATAAAAAACAAGTGAAGGGAAAAGAAATTTTAATTTATTGAAGAATGAGTGGTATGTGTATTAGTTCTTATTCTGCTAATACAGACACACATACCCAAGACTGGGTAATTGATAAAGAAAAAGAGGTTTAATGGTCTCACAGTTCCACATGGCTAGGGAGGCCTCATGATCATGACGGAAGGCAAAGGAGGAGCAAAGGCATGTCTTACATGGTGGCAGGCAAGAAGAGAGCTTGTGCAGGTGAACTCCCATTTATAAAACCATCAGATCTCCTAAGAAGTCACTCACTATCGTGAGAACCATATGGTGGAAACTGCCCCCATGATTCAATTATTTGAATGATGTTACTTCCCAGATACAATGGGGGTACAAGCACTGGGTAAATACAGCCATTCCAAATGGGAGAAATTGGCCAAAACAAAGGGGCTACTGGCCCCATGAAAGTCCAAAATCCAGTAAGGCAGTCAAATCTTAAAGCTCTGAAATGATCACCTTTGACTCTATGTCTCAGATCCAGGTCACATGGATGCAAGAGGTGGACTCCTATGGCCTTGGACAGCTCTGCCCCTGTGGCTTTACAAGGTACAGTACCTCTCCCCCTCCCCCAGCTGCTTTCATGAGCTGGTGTTGAGTGTCTGTGGCTTTTCCAGGCACACGGTGCAAGCTGTCGGTGGATCTACCATTCCAGGGTCTGCAGGATGGTGGCCCTCTTCTCACAGCTCCACTAGGCAGTGCCCCAGTGGGGACACTGTGTGGGTGCTCTGACCCCATATTTCCCTTCCACACTCTCCTAGCAGAGGTTCTCCATCAGGGCTTCACCCCTGCAGCAGATTTCTACCTGGACAGCCAGGCCTTTCCATACATCCTTTGAAACCTAGCCAGAGGTTCCCAAACATCAATTCTTGATTTATGTACAGCAGCAAGCCCAACATCACTTGTTAGCTACCAAGGATTGGGGCTTGCACCGTCTGAAGCAATGGCCCTGAGCTATACCTTCAACTCTTATAGTCACAGCTATAGCTGTTGGGATGCAGGACACCAAGTCCTGAGGTTGCAAACAGCAGGGGGGCCCTGGACAAGGCCCAGGAAACCACTTTTCCCTCCTAGGCCTCCAGGTCTGTGATAGGAGGGGCTGCTGTGAAGGTCTCTTACATGCCCCGGAGACATTTTCCCCATTATCTGGGTAATTAACATTGGGTTCCTAATTACTTATACAAATCTCTGCTGCCAGCTTGAATTTCTCCCCAGATAATTGGTTTTTCTTTTCTACTGCATCATCAGGCTGCAAAGATTTCAAACTTTTATGCTCTGCTTCCTCTTGAACACTTTGCCACTTAGAAATTTCGTCTGCCAGATATCCTAAATTATCTCTCTCAAGTTCAAATTTCCACAGATCTCTAGGTCAGGGCCAAATGTCATTAGTCTCTTTGCAAACAGTGAGCTTTGCTTCAGTTCCCAACAAGTTTCCCATCTCCATCTGAGAACACCTCAGCCTGGATTTTATTGTCCATATCACTGTTAGCATTTTTGTCAAAGCCATTCAACAAATCTTTAGGAAGTTCCAAACTTTCCCACATATTCCTTTCTTCTGAGCCTTCCGAACTGTTCCAACTTCTGCTTATTACCCAGTTCCAAAGTCGCTTCCACATTTATGGGTATCTTTACAGAAGCGCCCCACTATCCAGTACCAATTTACTGTATTAGTCTGTTCTTATGCTGCTAAAAAAAGACATACCCAAGATTGGGTAATTGATAAGGAAAAAGAGATTTAATAGACTCACAGTTCCACATGGCTGAGGAGGCCTCACAATCATGGTGGAAGGCAAAGGACAAGGAAAGGCACATTTTACACGGTGGAAGGCAAGAGAAGTGAGAGTCAAGTGAAGGAGGAAGCCCCTTAAGAAACATTAGATCTCATGAGAACTCACTCACTATCATGAGAATAGTATGGGGAAAACCACCCCCGTGATTCAATTATCTACTTGGTCCCATCCTTGACATGTGGGGATTATCAAAATTCAAGATGAGATTTGGGTTGGCACACAGAGTCAACCCATGTGATGAATTTGAGACAACAAATATACACCAACATCAAAATGAAGTGCCTAATACAAGAACAAGGGATTTTTTTCTTT